>NC_000012.12:21459650-22084650 GCF_000001405.40 Homo sapiens
TGCTATCTCCAGGTAGATAATAACATCAGAACTGAATTGAATTAGAGGACAGCCAGATGGTGTCCTGTGCAGAATTAATTGCTTGCTTAGTGTGTAGAAAACACCCCACACACATTTGGTCACAGAAGTATTCTGTGTTGTGAGACTATAGTAGGAGAAACTGAGTTTGTTTTTTCCTATATCCTCAGATCAGGGATAGAGCTTTCTATACCCAGACTACAGTGAATACTCCTGTCCTATTTTAAATTAATCTTTTCTCAAAGGTCACTTCAGATGCATGCAGTAAACTTACAAAAGTTATTAGATGGATTGGAAATACACACTTAATACCCTAATTGGATAAGGAGATGATTTGCTTTTCCTCATTTTGTTAGATATTTTGATTTTTTAATAGTTGTTAAAGGGCTGTGAAATCTAAATGCTGTAAGAAGCATGCATGCAGTCCTTCGTTACTTTGTGTGATTTCTTTAGAGCATTGGTTTTTGGCTTTCAGTAGGTAGGAGGGGAGCTGGCTGCACGGTGTATCTAATTTTTGTGATGGAAATTACACAAAGTCCCTTCTTCTTGCACCTTCAGATCCTAATATTATATTTTTAACCTGAGAACTTCAACAGTTTAATTCAATAAGCATTTATTGAGTATTTACTACCTACGTGGGACTTTATTAATGTTCAGGGATACGACAGTAAGTCAGAACTGACCTGAAGAAAATTTTATAGTCCATAACTGTTGTCATTTTTTAAATTTTTATTTATTTATTTATTTATTTATTTTATTTATTTATTTTTTTTGAGACAGAGTCTCGCTCTGTCACCCAAGCTGGAGTGCTGTGGTATGATCTTGGCTCGCTGCAACCTCTGCCTCCCGGGTTCAAGCGAGTCTCCTGCCTCAGCCTCCCGAGTAGCTGGGACTACAGGCGCACACCACCAGGCCTGGCTAATTTTTTAATTTTAGTAGAGACAGGGTTTCACCATATAGGCCAGGCTAGTCTTGAACTCCTGACCTCAGGTGATCCACCTGCGCCTCGGCCTCCCAGAGTGCTGGGATTACAGGCGTGAGCCACTGTGCCCAACAACTACTGTAATTTTTAAAAAATGCATTTGTAATTATCAATGAGGCCTAGGCTAAAAAGCATTCCCTCGATGCTATCTGCTAATGCAGCTACCAGATCTCTTAAGTTACTGAATGAATTTTTGTTCACTCCTTTCATGTGCATAGAGAGACTTATTTTAGGGCACCCAATGTGGTTTCATTTATATTATAAGAATTATGTTTTCTATACATTTCTACAAGTATACGTTTTTTCTTCATCATTAGTAACCCGGGTTATTCTTTCTGTAAGTATTATGCTAACCAGTATTTTCTTAATTTTAGTTTTCTCATAAGATTCACCTTGAAACTATGTGTGAAGTAAAGAAAATCTACCTTCAGGATGAGTTTAGAATTTTGAAGAAAAAGTCCTTCACTTTTCCAAGAGACCATAAGTCAGTTACAGCTGATACAGGCAAGTAATGAAATAAGAAAAAATATATATAACCACTTAATTAAAAGGAAAACAATTTAATCCTGCTGTGTTCTATTAAAAATAACTTCGTATTTCCATATAAAATTTAAACATGAAAAGTAAAAATAAAACCATAATTTAATAACATTAACTCACTTCATTTCACTGTCTGTTGTTTTCTAGTAAATTAAATCGTATAGGGCATTACATCTTACATAGAGCTGAGTGTTTTGACCAACAATCAGAATATATTATAAATCAAAATAAGACAAAAACCTAGAGCTCTTAAAGGTGACATGATTTCACCCAAATCAGATTGAAAATGTATATTTTTGGGACTAAGATGCAGCTCTCCTAACTCCAGTTCCACAACTCCTCTGAGAATTGCCATGATTTGAAGAAATACACTCAGTTAACTAGCATATGAAATATTCTACTGTTCTGAATTCTTTGAATTTTTCCATAGGAAAGGGGAATTTGAATATGAGTAGTGAGGGAAGACACCTAGTTGAACTAAACACTTAAGTGGAGTGTAAAGTATTACAAAAGATTTTTAGAGAAATAATTTAGAAATAATTTAAATGTACTTTGTCAAAATTTATGTGTCCAAATTTGAAGGAAAAACATTTAAAATGCCATGGTTTTAAAATTATACCCAAACGAGATGATGCTAATTGCATTAAAATTGCTTTAGCAAATATGCCTCATAATAATTGCTAAGGAGTGTGTTACAAAGTTATCTCTTGCCTTTCTTTTTCTTTCTTTGTTTCTAGTCATTGTAGTCACATACACTGCTGTGGTGATGGTTCCATTTACAAATAAAGTCTGTTTTTTTGGTTTTTTTTTCTTAAAGAGATGTGGCCTGTCTATGTGGAATTGACCAATGAAAAGATATATGGCTGCGATTTCATTGTCAGTGCTACAGGAGTTACACCAAATGTAGAACCTTTTCTCCATGGTAACAGTGTAAGGTGAAATTTTTTTGTCCAGCTGTGAATATATTTGAAGTATTTTTGTGAAGATCTCTAATTCTCAAACATGAATAATTATTATTTTAGTGTACAACTGTAACTTAACATGGTTGGAAACAGTTTGGTTAAAACATTGTCTTGATTTACAGTATTTTTTACTGCTTAAAATCCTTACATAGTTATATCCTTGCATAAGCGTCATCAGTAATGGTTTATAATGTACAATTTATTTATCTAAATGTTGGTAAGAGACTGACACCTCCCGTGACTTCTCAAAAATGATTCTTTTAGAGAAACCATCTTGTATTTTTTGCTTTTCAGCACTTGAAGCTTACAAAAAAAAAAAAAGAATATTCTTGTAGTTATGGATAAGGTAGTCACATGGTTATTGGATACTTTTCATGTTGAAATTCTGACAGTTTTATGGATCAGTCTTAGTTGGAATTTGATCCATGGAAATTCAGCTCAGGTGTCTAAACTTTGCTGATATTTTTCATTTTCTCATTAAAGATGAGCATGCAAAGTGTAACAATTTAATTTGTTCTTTTACTTTAAAATGGAAAAAGTCGTTTCATTTTTCTTAACACTTAACGCTTATGAGGAATGTTGTTTAGTTTGATCTAGGAGAAGATGGTGGCCTGAAAGTGGATGATCATATGCACACATCCCTTCCTGATATCTATGCTGCCGGTGACATCTGTACTACATCCTGGCAGCTGAGCCCAGTCTGGCAGCAGGTAAGCTAGCATATATAATTATATGTTTTCATCAGAGATTCTGTCTGAAAATAAAGCGGTTGTTACCAACAAATCCAACTTCTGGTTTTCCAACTTTTCTGCTTAAGTAGGAAGCTAGCACAGTTGTTATATATATTTAAAAAAAAAACTAGAATATTTCCCTGTTTGGTAAGTTATCATTATAATGGTAGACTGAGACATCTTTTACTTTAAAAGAAATTATGGGCTATTACTTTGTTTTTCATTCTTACCTGCTTATCAGCACTGTCCAGGAGAACTTTCTGTGATGATGGAAATGTTTAATTCCTCACCATCTAGTCAGGTAGCCAGCAGTATGTCACATGAGCACTTGAAATGTGGTTAATGTGACTGAGGAACTGAATTATTTTTACTTACTTCTCATTAACTTTAAATATATGTGGCTACGATGTTGGACAGCACAACTTTAGATTAAAAAAACTACTAAGATTGTAAATTATATAGAAAAGCATTCTATTCCTTTATGATCCTATTCTGTCCCTGTGGTAATCATTACTAAAAAATGTTCTGGGCGCAGTGGCTCACGCCTGTAATCCCAGCACTTTGGGAGGGTGAGAGGCAGGTGTATCATCTGAAGTTAGGAGTTTGAGACCAGCCTGAACAACATGATGAAACCCCGTCTTTACTAAAAATACAAAAAATTAGCTGAGCATGATGGTGTGCGTCTGTAATCCCAGCTATTCAGGAGGCTGAGGCACAAGAATCCCTTGAACCTGGGAGGCGGAGGTTGCAGTGAGCTGAGATCGCACCACTGCACCCCAGCCTGGGCAACAAGAGCAAAACTCTGTCTCAAAAAAAAAAAAAAAAATTCCTGTAGTAAACACCTTTCCTGAGCCTTAACAAGTCCCAACTGGATCTAGACTTTTTCCTACCCTCACAGCTTTACCTACCTCCTCCTAACGGTGGAACAAAAATACTAGAGGAAGATAAAGACAGTGACCAGAGGTGTGCAGAGGGGTAGAGACCTAGGTAGATGTTTGAAATAAAGGAACCAGGCAACATTTATCTTTGTTAAAGACCAGCTCCACAGTTAGGGACATTATTCATTCAGATTATGCAGTGTGAAGTAGGAGAAGAGCTAAAAGTATTTCAAGAGGCAGCACCATCATTTTGTGTTCTTACAGACAGTAGAGACATCAGTAAGAATGGTTCCAGCCTTTTTGTTTCTAACCTGCCTCATTCTATGTCATTTCTGTGGCAAGACTATCACAAATTCTTAGAGTTGGAGTTTATGGGTTTTTTTTTTTTTAACATTTTTAATTCTCTAGGGTAAATTATATCTTAATGTGTTATAATCTGAAAGAGGGGAAAAAATCCGAAAATAAACAGATGGCCTTGTTTTGAGTGCACCTTATAGGCCCCATTTCTTGGCTTACACAAGCAATAAGGATACTAATTTATGCAGTTCAAGATGCAAATTTTCCGGCCACTTGTATTAGCTGTTCTCTAGTTGTTACTGTGCTCAGTTTATTCTGACCCCCAGCCATAAACTGCCTTTCACTTCATCAAATCTATAATACCTTGTTTACAGAGGAGATTGAAAAAAAAAAATCTATCACTTCTGCTAGAAATGCTTAAAACTCATGTCTATGATTATGATATTATTTCTGCAAACAAAAGACAGCATTAAGTACATATGCACATACAGGGAGGTAGAAGGAAACCAAGTGCTTATTATACGCTAACCTGTTTAATTCTCTCAATAGTTACAGAGTAGGTAGTGTTATGTTTACGTTTCAGGTAAATGAACCGAGGCCCAGAAAAGTTAAATATATATGTAGATCTGTTGATATTAAAATCCACTGTGACTCCCAAGGTCAGTGTTTTTTTTTTTTATTATTATATTTAAGTTTTAGGATACATGTACACAACGTGCAAGTTTGTTACATATGTATACATGTGCCATGTTGGTGTGCTGCACCCCCACCCCACAAGAGTCCCCGGTGTGTGATGTTCCCCTTCCTGTGTCCATGTGTTCTCATTGTTCAGTTCCCACCTATGAGTGAGAACATGTGGTGTTTGGTTTTTTGTCCTTGCAATAGTTTGCTGAGAATAATGGTTTCCAGCTTCATCCATGTCCCTACAAAGGACATGAACTCATCATTTTTTATGGCTGCATAGTATTCCATGGTGTATATGTGCCACATTTTCTTAATCCAGTCTATCATTGTTGGACATTTGGGTTGGTTCCAAGTCTTTGCTATTGTGAATAGTGCCGCTATAAACATACGTGTGCATGTGTCTTTATAGCAGCATGATTTATAATCCTTTGGGTATATACGCAGTACTGGGATGGCTGAGTCAAATGGTATTTCTAGTTCTAGATCCCTGAGGAATCGCCACACCAACTTCCACAATGGTTGAACTAGTTTACAGTCCCACCAACAGTGTAAAAGTGTTCCTATTTCTCCACATCCTCTCCAGCACATGTTGTTTCCTGACTTTTTAATGATTGCCATTCTAACTGGTGTGAGATGGTATCTCACTGTGGTTTTGATTTGCATTTCTCTGATGGCCAGTGATGATGAGCATTTTTTCATTTGTCTTTTGGCTGCATAAATATCTTCTTTTGAGAAGTGTCTGTTCATATCCTTCGCCGACTTTTTGATGGGGTTGTTTTTTTTTTGTAAATTTGTTTGAGTTCATTGTAGATTCTGGATATTAGCCATTTGTCGGACGAGTAGGTTGCAAAAATTTTCTCCCATTCTGTAGGTTGCCTGTTCACTCTGATGGTGGTTTCTTTTACTGTGCAGAAGCTCTTTAGTGTAATTAGATCCCATTTGTTAATTTTGACTTTTGTTGCCATTGCTTTTGGTGTTTTAGACATGAAGTCCTTGCCCATGCCTATGTCCTGAATGGTATTGCCTAGGTTTTCTTCTAGGGTTTTTATGGTTTTAGGTCTAACATGTAAGTCTTTAATCCATCTTGAATTAATTTTTGTATAAGGTGTAAGGAAGGGATCCCGTTTCAGCTTTCTACATATGGCTAGCCAGTTTTCCCAGCACCATTTATTAAATAGGGAATCCCTTCCCCATTTCTTCTTTTTGTCAGGTTTGTGAAAGATCAGATAGTTGTAGATATGAGGCATTATTTCTGAGGGTTCTGTTCTGCTCGATTGGTCTATATCTCTGTTTTGGTACCAGTACCATGCTGTTTTGGTTACTGTAGCCTTGTAGTACAGTTTGAAGTCAGGTAGCGTGATGCCTCCAGCTTTGTTCTTTTGGCTTAGGATTGACTTGGCGATGCGGGCTCTTTTTTGGTTCCATATGAACTTTAAAGTAGTTTTTTCCAATTCTGTGAAGAAAGTCATTGGTAGCTTGATGGGGATGGCATTGAATCTATAAATTACCTTGGGCAGTATGGCCATTTTCACGATATTGATTCTTCCTACCCATGAGCATGGAATGTTCTTCCATTTGTTTGTATCCTCTTTTATTTCATTGAGCAGTGGTTTGTAGTTCTCCTTGAAGAGGTCCTTCACATCCCTTGTAAGTTGGATTCCTAGGTATTTTATTCTCTTTGAAGCAATTGTGAATGGGAATTCACTCATGATTTGGCTCTGTTTGTCTGTTGTTGGTGTATAAGAATGCTTGTGATTTTTGCACATTGATTTTGTATCCTGAGACTTTGCTGAAGTTGCTTATCAGCTTAAGATTTTGGGCTGAGCTGATGGGGTTTTCTAGATATACAATCATGTCATCTGCAAACAGGGACAATTTGACTTCCTCTTTTCCTAATTGAATGCCCTTTATTCCCTTCTCCTGCCTGATTGCCCTGGCCAGAACTTCCAACACTATGTTGAATAGGAGTGGTGAGAGAGGGCATCCCTGTCTTATGCCAGTTTTCAAAGGGAATGCTTCCAGTTTTTGTTCATTCAGTATGATATTGGCTGTGGGTTTGTCATAGATCTTATTATTTTGAGATACGTCCCATCAATACCTTATTGAGAGTTTTTAGCATGAAGGGTTGTTGAATTTTGTCAAAGGCCGTGTTCTTTTATACCAGGGAGTCTCAAAACTTCATAGAAATAAAATAAAAATACAATAGATGAATTAATACGGTCATGCAAAACAATTTAAATGACTTCCCAGAATCAGTTGCTGAGATATTTATGTTGTCTTGGTGAGGCACCAAGAGTCTGTCTAACCACTGAGGTTAACAGCACAGCAGACCTTAAGTAGTGCATAAAAATGAAGGTTGCTGGAAAATAGAACAAATTCTTCAGTGATAATTTGACATCTCTGTTAATGGTGATGACAAATTTTTGAAGAAGGGACTGGTTAATTAAAACATTTTTCTCACCTGGTATAGCTTAATATAGTTTCATAATATTTAATAGAAATGCTACTAAAACAGGTGTGATTGGTATCATCTTTTAATTTTAGAGGCAGTAATTTAGATAGAATTAACAAATACCAAAAATCAGTCTGATTAGTTATCCATTGGTGACTGCTTCTGTGGCAAAGATGACAGAAAGACTGTCAAACATTGAACTCCTTTAAGTGAATTTACAAGGTTAACATTTTTCAGATAATGATCATGAAAAATGACATTGTGTAACATTTTTTCATCATTTCAGATGAGGCTGTGGACCCAGGCTAGACAGATGGGATGGTATGCAGCAAAGTGCATGGCTGCAGCGAGTTCAGGAGACTCTATTGACATGGATTTCAGCTTTGAACTGTTTGCTCATGTGACAAAATTTTTTAACTATAAGGTAAGATAGTTAAGCATATTAATGCCTTCTCTGCTTGTTAGTCTTATGACTATGATAAATCATGTGATTTTCTTGCTTGAATAAAAACGTACATAGTTTTAATCATCTACAAAAAAATGACATTTTTCATTTCTTACAAACCAATACCTGGTATTATTGCTAGTCTTAATCCCTAATCATCTGATAATTATCCACCTTACCACTATTCTATTTTAGTTAAGAGGGAAAAAAATTTCTCTCTAGATCTGTTACTTGTTGGTGCATTTTTAACTTTTACTTGTGATTCATCCTTTCTTTGTGAGGGGAACTAACTGCTGTTGTACTCAAAAATAAACCAAGAGCTTTCCTGTATCTATTATCTTATTCAGTCCTCTTCACATTGACAAAGGTTGTTTTGGGTTTTTTTTTTTCCCTAATTTACAGAGAAGGAGAAACATATTCAAAAGCCTCAGGGAAATTAAGAAACTTTTCCATGAAAGCTCTAATTCAGTTCCTTGCCAAATCTTTAAACCACGACTCCACATGGTTTAATGTATCCACATCCTACATATTTATATATTTACTGTATAGTTTTAATGTTCATATAGATTGGTAGAATCACCTACCTATATTCACTAGATATTTTTAGTGTTAAAATATTAAACATTAACATTTGACTATATTCACCAGAATTTTTTAATGTCAGTGTAGAGTGTGTGATAGTGTCATCTGTAGAATTAACGCATGCTGTTGAAACATTTTCTTTGGGACTCTCCCCAATAACATTTTTAGTTATGAAATTTTGTGGCATAAGTTTTCTGCGGCTATTCAAACTTGACACAAAATAACTACCCATTACATTTTCTTTATGATACTCATGACAATAACCTTTTTATCTCTAAATATAGGTTGTACTGCTGGGAAAATACAATGCACAGGGCTTAGGTTCAGATCATGAATTAATGCTGAGATGTACCAAAGGACGAGAATACATCAAAGTCGTCATGCAAAATGGACGAATGATGGGAGCTGTCTTAATTGGTGAAACCGATTTAGAAGAAACATTTGAAAACCTAATCTTAAACCAAATGAATCTTTCATCATATGGAGAAGATCTGCTAGATCCAAATATTGATATAGAAGATTATTTTGACTAAAAATGGAATTTCTTCAGGAATCATATAAAGTTCCAAATGACACCAGAAAAATCACAAGTCAATAAAATGAATGACTGTATTGAGTTAATGATGACCACACTGAAAATTACAGAAGTGATAATGATATTAGTGGAAAAATATAAAAACATAAATTCTAAGTTTGAAATCAGTTCAAAGTTTATTTATAGATATATCTTTCCAATACAACACTGACCGCTTAGATAAAAATCTTAAGTTATTTATTTCTGTGTTTTAAACATAAATATGTTTACTTGTGATTTAGCTTTGGAGCAAATTTAGGTAAGTTATCTACTTAGCCAAATGTACTCTAGTAGACTAGAACCATTCTTTGTGAAATGTCAAAATATGGCTATGGTTTCAGGAACTTTAAAATCGGTTGTATTTTACTTTAAATAGAGATGTAGCAATATCTCGTTTGCTAATATTTATATTGATGACTTACTCCTTTTTTGTTGAATTGTACTTCTGGTTTTATAACCTGAAATCATCTACAAGCTTGTCCAACTCTAGCCCACGGGTCTAATGCAGCCCAGAACAGCTTTGAATGCAGCCCAACACAAATCTGTAAACTTTCTTAAAACATGAGATTTTTCTTGCAATTTTTTTTTTTTTAAGCTCATCAGCTATCGTCAGTGTTAGCATATTTTATGTGCGGCCCAAGACAATTCTTCTTCCAATGTGGCTCAGGGAAGCCAAAAGATTGGACATCCCTGATCTACATATTTAACTTAAAGTATCACTCAGTGAACCTCTGTCAGTATAATATTGCTTTCAAAAAGATGGTTATGTCAAAAGAAAAAATATAGCTAAGTATATAAAGGCATAAAAAACTTAAGACAATTACATGAACTTATTCTCAAATATTTTACATTTTTTGTAAACTTTCTTAAAACATGAGATTTTTCTTGCAATTTTTTTTTTAAGCTCATCAGCTATCATCAGTGTTAGCATATTTTATGTGCGGCCCAAGACAATTCTTCTTCCAATGTGGCTCAGGGAAGCCAAAAGATTGGACATCCTTGATCTACATATTTAACTTAAAGTATCACTCAGTGAGCCTCTGTCAGTATAATATTGCTTTCAAAAAGATAGTTATGTCAAAAGAAAAAATATAGCTAAGTATATAAAGGCATAAAAAACTTAAGACGATTGTATGAACTTATTCTCAAATATTTTACATTTAAAGGGTTTTACATAAAAATTTTTCCCTTGTTTTATACTGGAAAATTATATAATTCATGATCTCTAATTTTCAAACATTCTCAAAAGTTTAGATCTTCAGAGATAAGCTCTGAAAATATAGATCCATACATATAAAATATCTATGAAATTCTTTTAAAAACTATTGTCTAACTACAAAAATAATGGCATATACATGCATAAACCATCTTTAATTAGAAAATTTAGTAACATTCATATCAGGCATCATCGATTTTTCTTTTCTTAGCTCCTGTATTCTTAGAACCAGATTGCTGAAGCATGTTTGCAGCCTTCTTCTGGAAGTTGCCTGAATTTTTTTCCTCCATCTTTTTATCACCTTGTTCAGAATGACAAGTTTGAGACGATTCAGCCTACAAAAAAAAAAAAAAAACAAAGCAAGCACCTTGGTAAAAATCCAGCTATTCAGTTTTCTCATGAGATTAAATATTTCAAAATATTCTTTCTGTATCAGTTGGCTTTTTAAGTATACAGGGGTCTAGTTTTTTATCTACAAATTTCTATTCAAATATGAGCTCTATTTTGAATAAAAGGGGCTACGTTGTGAGAGAAGTTCTAAAGACCTCAAATGTCCTTAGACACAATGGCACTTGACTTGACATGCTTTTGCAGACTTGATAGTATTTGGTTTAAAACAGTGGTTTCTAACCACTGGAACAGCAGAAACAGACTTCTCAACTATTAGTAATCACAACCAAATAAGAGCAGAGTGCATAACAAAATTAGATATTCAAACGGAGTCCTCCCATTCCAAGAAACTGGAAACCCCTAGTTTATGTTAAAAGGCCAGTCTAAATTCTTTCACTTACATCTTTACAGAAAACTATATTTTCTCTCTTCCATACCCAGAAATCTAATCAGAAAACTGACTTTTCTCATGTTCAACTGGACCTAGGGGAATATGACAGAAAAGCATCCCATAGGCTTTAATATACTTTTTAAAATATATAAAACTGAAAATTAATAGCCATTTACCCTGAAAGAGTTCTGCGTGGACTTTGTCACTTGCATAGTAATAGCATGTGCCTCATTGTTCAGAAGATTAGCTTTAGGTCCTATTTTCAAATACGAAATGGTAGCATAAGCTGTAAAACTGTAGTCTTCTCTGCAGAAAATAAAGGCCAACAATAAGAAAGCTTTTGAAGGAATCACGGAAAACAAATTTATAAAAGAAATAACTATATGCGCAGTAATTCTTAACACATTGACTTGAAATAATAAAATTTACAAGAATGCAAATAAAGCCTTTAAAGAAAATATTTTCGTTACTTTTTTTTATTTATAGTGATTAAAGTTTGAGTGTTTTAGGTAAATTACTTTCTATAGCATTTAAAAGTTCACACAAAATAACTGCAAAACCGTTTATTCTGTTGCAATTTTTAAAAAAAAACCATAAAGACAACCTGAAAGAATAATGAATGAGTTTGTACATACTTAAGATACTGCTGTATTAGAAAGTGTGCAATAATCTTCTCCAGATCTTCACGAGGAAGTGTGGGAGCCACAACACCTGCTACTCTCAGTTTTGCTGCACCCTTTCCCATCCAAGAATCAATCAGTTTCAATGGAGTGAGTTTTTCATTCAGTTCCTCTGCCTGCTTCAGGATCTTGATTAGATCTCTGCAGTACTCTGTTATGTTCTTTCTTTCAAATGCTGTAATAAAACAAATATGGTAGCAGGTAATTAGGATTTAGAAATGAGGGCAAAGATAGGCTATCTTAAGTAGTTAAACTGGTTTAAAGCTGGTTATCAATGTGAGCCACCCTAAACATTGATTTTTAAATGTATTCTGAATTAAGACTAGGCTATTCCTCAAGTCTCTGTCACTAGACCAAGTTATGGTCTCTGTAAGCATTGTGGGGTTTACAGTGATATATATAAAAAAAAATTGGTTATCAGAAGCCCTGCCATATACTCTAGAAATCAGAAAGTGTCTGCCAGACATGATTACTAAGTTACTAAGAGGTGTGTTTTATAGGAGACCCTGTCTGTTCTAGTATAGGCTCCTGAGTGAACTCTGATTTAGCAACAAGAATGTCCTCAACTGATAACCCAATTATTAAGAGACCAGTACTCTGATTTATATATAACACTCTTGTTATTTTATAAGATAGTCTAATAAACTCATAAATTTCTCTGTCTGCAAAGTTAAAAATACAGTGGCTTCCACCTAACAAGGCATCAGAACTCAGTAAGGTCTTACCATGAGGTACTGGCTAGTCCAGATCTTGAAATACAACACACGGATGAAAAAAAGTTAAAATATAGTGCCAAAATGCTGCAGGCAAATCCGAAAATTGGGACTCAGCCCAGGAGGGTTCCCAGTTTCATGCAAGAAACAATCTGAGAGCAAGCCAACAGAGTAAAGTGAAAGCAAAGCAAGTTTATTAGCAATAGAGTATAGGAAAATGGCGGCTCCATAGACAGAGCAGGGCTACCCCAAAGGCAGAGTGGCACTGTACATTGCTCACTAGCGGTATTTATAGCTGCTCCTTAGTTATATGCTAAATAAGGGGAAGATTATTCATGAATCTTCTAGAAAAGGTTAGGGAGTTCCTAGAACCATGTAATTTTCGGGCATTGTCACGGCATTTGTAAACTGTCATGGTGCTAGTGGGAGTGTCTTACATCATGCAAATACATTATATTTTCTAGTTCTAACTTGTTTGGGCCAGTTTCTTTGCTATATCTTGTTTTGACCAGATCCTGTTTTGATCAGCAGGGTTGTGACCAATGCTCAGAAAACAAATCCTGCTGATCTACATTTAAAAGAATTTTAAGTAAATCTCCGATGACTAGCCATTAACTGGATCAAAAGTGATTCTCTATAGTCTCTATTTTGCACTAAATTTTCTTTTCAATTAGTGACTATAAAGTATTAGAGATTATCACATGGTTTCCCTTTTCTTATAGAATAGCATTTCTATTCAGAAAAATTCAAATATTTTCCTTCATTTATTAAAAATTTCACATCCTCAGTATAGCAATATAAAATGTGTGCATACACATAAGACTTTTCCTTTTATTCACCTTTGTTTCAAAACTTCATGTTGATAGTTTTAATTCTGGAAAATCTGATTCACACTTTAATCTTTTAAATCCATTTGGAAGTCTAATACTTCTCTCATGTCCCAGCTGTATATACAGTTTTGTGCCACATAATATTTTGGTCGGTGATGGACCACGTATATGCCAGTGGTCCCAAGAGATTATATAATACCATATATTTTTTTTTGAGACGGAGTCTCGCTGTCACCCAGGTTATAATACCATATTTTTACTGTACTTACTCTATGTTTAGATACACAAATACTTAACCATGTGTTACAGCTGCCTGCAGTATGCAGTACAGTAACACGCTGTACAGATTGGTAGCCTAGGATCAATAGGCTATAACATATCACCTAGGAGACTATACCATCTAGGTTTATGTAAGTACACTTTGATGTTTGCACAATGACAAAATCACCTAGTGATGCATTTCTCAGAACGTATCTCTGTCACTAGGCATTATGACTGTATTAGCCTATAAAGGTTTACAAAACAACAAACTCACCACTGTCTTTACAGCAGTTATCGCACATTTTGTTACATGCTTCTGAGTTCCATACTTCATCAAAATGTTGAGCCATCAACACACGACGACATCTGCAAACACATTTAAAGATACAAATTATTAAAGGATATAATAAAGTTTTAAGAATCTCTATTTCAGCTTACATAGTTATATACTGTATTAGCTTCCTATAACTGCCATAATATTACCATAAACTTAGTGGCTTTAAACACATTTATTCTTACATTTCTGTGGTTTAGATTTAGAAGTGTACTATGGGTTTCACTGGATCAAAATCAGAGTGTCAGGTTCTTCTCACATCACACAATCTAAAATAATCTCCCTATTTTAAGGTCAGCTAATGAACAGTCTTAATTCCATGTGCAATGCTACTTTCCTTTTGCCATGTGAGGTAACATACAGGTTAGGAATTAGGACGTGAACATCTTTGGGGGGCCATTGTGCCCCCGACATAGGACTTTTTTCCCCACATATTCTTGATAAACACTGTTTAAAAAATTGTCTGAGTTCCATTTTTAAATTCAATGTTTTGCAACTATTAGGAGAATATTCTTGACAGTAAAATAGTTTCTTATATTTTAATAAAGTAGCAATATTTGAGTTGAAACCTTAAAATATGCTTCATGAGACTCTACTGGCCTTTGGAAGACATTTTCATTTTCTCATTTCTTTTAACTAGATTATTGTAGTATCTATTGGAAAGAAAGAACATTTCTATCACTGTCTGGCTGCTATTTACCACCTCGACATTTCTGAGCACTTCTTATGTGATAGGCAATAAAAGCACAAAGATAACTATGACAGAAAGCTTTCAGGAAGCTATCTAGTCTAAAGCCACCCTAAGTAGATTTAAACTTACTTCTTAAGGAGAAACTTGGTATTTCATTGACACATGAGCTGGCAAGGTGGCACGTTACTGAGCTTGACTCTCAAAATGCCTATCTTAACCATAGACCTTTTCAAAATTATTAAATCATGTAACTGTACAGCAGTGCCAGAGAAAAAAAGCCTTCAAGTTGCTATCAATGTGTCTCAAAAACCTTCAATTAAAAAAGTAGTTTTGGAGGATTATCTCAAAGATAGGGCATCTTTTCTTGAACTAAGGCAGATCATACAGGTTGATGTGCTGGTTCCTACCCTCCAACATCTGCTTTTATGGATCTGCACTTTGGTGTTCCACCAATGTATTTAGTAAGAACTTAAAAACGATGTCATATACTTTCATATTTGCTTTAATTGATAAAAGTTATAAAAAGGTATGTGGCTTACTTGCTTATGTTTTGACAGTATGATACCATCTCATAAAGCTTCTGCTGTCCCACATTTTCCATCACCACCATTGAACTTATTCTGAATATATCTCCAAAGCCGTAGTACAAAATACAGTCTGCTTTCATGTCATCTCGACCTGTGGTGTGAGAAACCTTGAGATTGCAGAATTACATTTACAAATTCAAAATATGCAAAAATGACATATGGTAAAATTAGCAGGCAATGTTTTATACTACATCTAGAAATTTTAGAGATGTGGAAGTTAATTTGTAATGGGTACCCTCAAATTAAAAAAAACTCTAAAGAGACATCAATAATCAGCTCTACTAAGTTAAAAAATGTGTCTATAATCCAGTTAAGTTATAGATTTGAAATCACTAATTAAAAATTCAGGAGGCAAAGATGAACATCAAATTATCTTAACACACATAAAAAGAAACAATTCAGATAACAGAACATAAGTAAAAATTTCTCCATATGCAAGTAAGTGTCAAACTGCTAAAAATACATTGTTCTAAAAATACTATCCAATAAAGATAAAACATACAGACTTATTAAGCATTTATCATGTATTTTTTGGAAAAGCTTTCTAAAAATTTACTTCTGGATTTGAGTCCTACATACCTGCACGTCCACTCTCTTGGTAATAATTTTCCATGGATTTACTCATTGAATGATGGATAACAAACCTCACATCTGGCTTATCAATTCCCATACCAAATGCAACAGTTGCCACTACTACCTGAAATATTTTAACATTTTATCAGTTAATTAAATCAAGTTTAAATATTTTAAAGGTAAATTAGGCTTCTATGGAAGATATAGACCTAACCTGAATTTCATTGGCTGACCATTTTCTATGAACTGTGGTCTTATCTTCTGGCTCCAAATTGGCATGGTAAGCACCTGCATGAATTCCCAGATTCTGCAAACTAACCGTAACTTGTTCAGAGTCTTTCTGAGAAAAACAATATATGATTCCTGCAGTAAAATATGTGCATTTGTTAGATAGATATGGCATATTCCTGGAAGATGGTTTTCAACACACACATTCAGGACATTGATTAATACAATGCACAGAAGGAAAAAAAGAATTATGAAAAATTTCAAGGCCTTGTGCATATATTGACATTTTGGTATAATTCCAGATTTGAGCACCAGCTTCCTTTAAAGCAGAAATGAGCCTGAGCCATCAGTTTTTGTTCCTGTTATCTCTTTTCTCTCTTTAACTTTATCTCCCACTAAACAGTATTTCTCAAACTGATGTCTGTAAGATGCTAACAAATGTGCTATGAATGCAGTGTTCTCCAGATTAATTTTGGGTTAATTTAGATTAATTTGCATGCAAATTAATTTGGAGAACATTGCATTCAACAAAGTTAAATGGGTGTCTCTCTTTATTTTCAGGGATGGTCAGAGCTTCTAGTTTGCTGATACACCCTGTGAACATCCAGGCAGAATAAATACCTGCAACCTTTCTCAAATTCATTTGACCCTAGAACTCCTTTTACCCAGGACTACCTCCTGAAAATCTATAGAACAGTTTAAAATGCTACTTTCACACAAATTCTTTGCTTCAGTAACATTTGCTTAGTCATTAAACCCAGAAAACCATGTATATATACTCACAACTCGATCTGTGCTTAATCTATTCAGTATGTACTACTGGATTTATTTATTGCTTTAACGTGTCCTTTACTGTAAGGGAGTATATTTTCTATCCCTTTAGAATATCAGTTGCTTAATCCACTATTTTGTACACAGTGGATACATACTAAATATGTGCTGTTGATAATTAACATTAAGTCATCAGGTCTATTCTAAAGCAAGTGTAAATAAGCAAAAATAAATCAGGCAATTTGACGACTCATAATCTATGGCATAAGCAAATGTCACACCCAATTTCTAAGATCAAGTGAATTAATTTTATCACGTATTTTCAAGTATCTTCTGCTATACATTAATTTTTTTTGGTGTTATTCAGTTATCAGTATAATTATCAATATGATATGAAGTCACTTTTTGAAAGTTATCTCTGTCTCCAAAGTTGGTTTGTTTTTACATTACCTGATTGCCCTTTGTATCTCCCATTAATGAGCTTTACAATATCCTCAATAAAATCTTCAGTGTTTGAGGGCTTCTGCCGAACCTAAAAAAAACTTAACTTATTAAAAAGTAAATGAATGAGTACCATCCAAGTGGCTGTCTATGTACAACTTTCAGGATGCAGTTCTTTCATGACCATAGTGTTTTTTTTCCTATTACTCTTTCACTTACTCACAGGATTCAACCCATCTGACTCATCTGTTCCTCCTCCCAGACTCTTCTTGATCTTTATTTTTTTAATTTACCAGAGAAGAGCAAGCACATGAGCAGTGAATAACTTGCAAGGATGCAGACTTTTTTATTTTGCGATGCTACTTTTATAAAAACAAACCGTAACATAAATAACTCTTTAATGAAAACTCAGAAAAATATTAAATCTATTCTTAAAAGGGTTTAGAAAGAAAGAAAAGACAGCTGTTAGGTTATTTGATTTTCAAGTTTATCAAATAAAATTCAAATAGAATTGGCAAATCTTTAATGGCATATGAATACTTCTATCACTTAGTAATTAATTTGAACAGAGATGTTATTAGGGTCCTTAGTATCACTCCATCCTTTCTCTCCATCTTTATACAAAAAAGAACATACAGAAATTTAACAAAGATATATGACTTACTCATATGTTTTATAAAAAGTATCACCTAGCAGGTGTCTTCCATTTAATCTAACAAAGGTTTATGTAGCAAAAGATACATGAATGAAGCCCTAATCACAGAATCTACTTATAATTACCTCCTAATGTTAAAAATTTTTGTAAGTACTTAACTGCTCATGTAAATAAACATAATAAAAAGGCAGATCCCCTCTGCGTAATTCTTCACAAAAGTAAGGAATTGACATAAAAATTACATACCTCATAATATAGATTTGGCCTATTAAAAGAAGCTGTAAAAGTAAAACACTTTTCAATGCACAAAATTTTCTGAGCATCCGTCAAAACGTGATTTGTTGCAGTTGCAGTCAGCCCAATTAGTGATGCGTTAGGGAACTGCCGCTTTAAGATACCAAGTGCCTTATAATCTGAAAAAACAAACAAAGTGGCCCTTTTTCTATCCTTTAAGAGTTAGAGTAAATTATATCTTTTAACATTATGCAGATAATCGATGACTACTATGATTTTGTTTCCACAGCCATCTATAGCAGTAAATTTGCAGTTCTGTGTTAGCCTCTTTGATGGGCAGGCTTTATTACGTTTATTTCAGACATTACTCTTGGTCACGGTGGACTCAAGAGACAGTGGGTATAGCCACAGTGTTTTAATTTATTACAACTAACAAAAGATAAAACAGGCCATCAGACAAACCCCTGCTACCACCTAGTGTCATCAGACCAAAAAAATCTTGGTAAGGGCGGCACTGCTTTGTATATAACCTATTTCTCGGAAACCATTCTAGGCTCAAACTTGTTATAAGCATCTACATCACTAGATAAATTGTCACTTAAACTATTTGGAGGAAACTGAAAAAAATGTGGTAGAAATTGCTTACATGCTAAGTAGAGGACTACTATGAAAACAAAGAGGACAGAGCAGCTGCTTGGGAAGTGAAGATTTCAAGGAGATAATACTTGAGTTGTGTCTTAAGAGAATGAGCAGAAGTTCACTAGGAAGAGACGAACATCACGCAGAGGAAACAGCATATACACTGCAAATACACTGACATGAAATTAGTATGTTCAGATAACAGCAAGCAGTTCACTGGGGCTAAGTCACAGAGTCTTGTGGTGGATGGATTTACTGTCCAATCCATTAAGCTGTGAATTACATCTCCCAGAATCTCTTTCCTGTTCCAAGTTAGAGCTGACCCAAAAGAGGGACTTGTGCAAGATTTGGTGGCAGAAGTGAACCAGCTAACATCACTCCTTCAAGGTCTTTACACGCAGAGAGGATGATGGACAGATGCAGAAGTGCTCAGCCAGTTCTAGGTCATCCTAGTTCTTTTCCATTCCTCATTCAGCTGTTCCTCCCAACTGCAGGTCCTGCCAATCAACAGCAGACCCACAGAGGCGATAGCTACTCACAGGAAGTAGCTTACCAGAGACCTTTCCACGAGCTTCCCTTTAGGGGTCCCCTTTGCCACTGTACATGCCAGCTGCAGATTTCCCTACAAGCTCCGCCTCGTCCTCCTGCACCAGTGCTTAGGTATCAATCCATTACTTTTCTCTAATCCTCCAACTCCCCTCTTCAGACCTGCACTTCCCCAGTTCCTCCCACAATTGTTCAAGATCTACTTCCTACAGTAAAACCGTTATCCCATAACATTCATCGTGACTCTGCTTCTCTGCCTGAACCCTGACTGACACTGTTATGTACAAGGCAGGTTTAAGAAAAGCTATGAACAATTCAACCAGTTGATTCTAAGCTGAGACTTTATCCTACAGGAAATGAGGAATCATCATGTAATTTTTTTTTTTTTTTTTTTTGAGATGGAGTCTCACTCTGTCACCCAGGTTGGAGTGCAGTGACACGATCTTGGCTCACTGCAAGCTCCACCTCCCGGGTTCACGCCATTCTCCCGCCTTAGCCTTTCGAGTAGCTGGGATTACAGGCATACACCGCCACACCTGGCTAATTTTTATATTTTTAGTAGAGACGGGGTTTCACCACGTTGGCCAGGCTGGTCTTGAATTCCTGACCTCAGGTGATCCGCCCGCCTCGGCCTCCCAAAGTGCTGGGATTACAGGCGTGAGCCACCGCACCGAGCCCATCATGTAATTTTTAAAGACCTATGCTTCATAAATCATCTTTTGGTGACAGTGCAAAATACAGACTGGAATAGACAAAACACTGAAGGAAAACCAGTTAAAAGATGGCAGTAACAGACCAGAAAACAAATAATACAGAATATAAAATGAGACATGACATTCAGGATAAATCAAAAAGAGTAAAGAGACATACATGAACCTACAGGTCCTAGTGACTACTGGGATATGGAGGTGGCAGGGAAGAGGGAGACAGTGCTGGATTTACCCATTCATCAATAGATAAATGTTGAACACCTTTTTAATTGTGTGCCAAGCATTTCCCTAGGCACTGAAGATAAAGTGATGAACAAGACAAAAATGCTATGCAAATGTGTCTATAATTCAAGCAAAGAAACAAGACAATACAAAGAGTAAACCAATAAATATGCCATTAGAGAGTGGTAAGTGCTCATAATGATAAGCCCAGTATGCTGGGGCTTAAGAAGAGAGGAAGAGTAGGAAATCAGGTAGACAGATGGGGGCAGATCACATATTACCCTATGGGCCCCAGTTAAGAACGCTGGGTTTTATTCTAAGTACACAGTAGCTACTGGGTAGTTTAGGTAGGGAAGTAACATGATTTGATGTGTATTTAGAAAATATCACTGGTTGCTCTGTGGAGAATGAACAAAAAGTGTAAGAACGGAATCAAAGACTACTTAGGAAGCTGCTGCAGTAGACCAGTGGAAGGGAGCTCAACTGTATGTAAGACGTAGGTGCACAGAGAGTAGACAAACTTGAGATTCATTCTAGAGGCAGAGCTGACAACACTTAGTGGTGGACTGGATCTGCAAAGGGAGGGTAAATCAAGGACGGTGTGTCATCCATTTTTTTTTTGTCATCTCTAACCCCACCCTTCTATACTGTGCTTTGGGATGCTGCACCAAGGACTCTGCACACTACGCATCAGCTTTGCCTGCTGGCCCTGGATGGAAGACACCATGGCTGCTTCCTCCCTAACTGCTTCCTGTGGGCTTGCTTGTGTTCCTGTGACTGTCACCCCTGCAAGGCTTCTCATCCCTGCAGCAGCACTTCTTTCCTTAAGAGCAACTAAATACAGTTGGCACTTTTCTCAGCCTTTGGAGAACCAGCTTTATCACAGACGTACCCCACCTCTGCCTCTACCAAGAGACTCCAGCACCAGGGAGCTCAGTTCCACAAGCCCTCTTCATTAAGTTTCTAAGTCTTATTTGTTCCAATCTTTTCTTCCTGTTCTCCCAGCCCTACAGGTGGTTGTTGCTTCTTCCAGTTTTTAACTCCATGATATCTTCGTTTTCTTTTTACTTTTTCAGTTATCTATTTAGCTACTTTTTACCTAGTTCACAATTCTTTCTAAAAAATTCTCTCTGTTCAAATAACTGTCTCCTGACTGGAACCTAAATGATAAAGATAACTGCTAAAATTTTGGCTTCAGCAAACATGTGAGTGAGTGGATGATTTTTTAAGACAGAGAAGACTGAAGGGGAAATTGCTTGGGAGTAGAGAGGAGAACGGAGAAAGGAAAGGCGAAGAAAACAAAAAGTTTTTGGTTAGAATGTCGAGTAGAGTTATGGGGAAAATATTCCCAGTTGAGAAGAAAAAGAGCAGTTCTTTTGGGGGAATTTAGTTTTGGTCATGCTAATTTAGATACACATTTCTGATAAACAATTAGGAGTATAAATTTAAAGTTTAGCAGTTAGCTAATTAGATATGGGAATAATGTTTTACACTTTGGCAGCAGATCCACAGAGACAACATAAGTCATGGTAATACTTAAGCAAGGGTGATAATCATAAGGGATCAAACCATTTAGGTTGAAAATAGGGCAAGAGTCACAAATCAGGTAACTTCAGTGGCCACCAGGTAACAACTATGTGGCGCTATCTGGTTAAGAAAAGAGGGGCCCTTAATAGAAAGGCGTATACATCCCGTTTAAGGCATTTAAATCTATTTAAAATATATAAATAAATAAAAACAATGCCCATAATAATTCTGTAGGTAGAGAATGCAGTCTTCGGGCTACAAGCTCACTATCCCTGGAGAAACGTAAGAAAGGGTAAAGACTGAGGTCAGAACCCTAGGGAACACTAATATTTAAAAAGAAGACAGGAAGAGCGAAGGAGGTGAGAATGGAAGGGAAGACACTGAACAGCACTGCTGTACAGTAACCAAGGGAGTAGAATGTGGCAAGGTGAGAGGTGAATATATAAAATGTTACTGAAGTGAAGTGGGAAGAGGAATGAAGATGAGACCACTTGATGAAGTGGTCTCATCTGGGGGTGGGTCACCGATGACCTGTTTCAGTAGTATGGTGGTGGCAGAAGCATGATTCAATGAGTTCAGAATGGGTTAAAGGTGAAAAATGGAGATGGTAAGCTGAGAAGTCTGATGGTGACAGAAAGAACAGAAAGAGGACAGTAACATTAAAAGGTCAGAAGGGTGTTTTAGTTTCTGTTTTTAGGGAGAGGACAAAAGAGCCTGAAGGTGAAGGAGTGAGGAATTTGGCAGTGCAAGATCTTAAGAAGGCAGGAAAGGATGAAACGGGAGTGGTCATGGTTAGCCTTATAAAGCAGTGGTCTTTTCTGCCTTAACAAAAGAAAAAAAAAAAAGATTACTAATGTTTGAAAGTAGAAAGAGGAGCTGTTCATACCTGATGGCATCTATTTTCTGTGAAGCAGAAAGCATCTGCTAAGTACAAGTTAGGGCCTGAATAGAAAGTTAATGATAGGAGACATTTGTTGGAAGAAATGTATAAAGGAGTTGAAATAGGGACAAGTATAAGGACGGCTGAGGATAATGAAAAGCTGAATGGAGTTATGCAATTTTTGTTTTTTTGACAATGTTTAGTAGCCAAGCAGCAGGAATGGGGAAAGCCAAAGTCTAGATGAATCCAGCATCTCAGGCACAACGCCTGAAGCAGACTGGCAGAATGGCCAGGCAGTCCAGGGCAAATATAACAGAAGTAAGGGGCAACAGCACAGTGTCTGGACGGGAAACAGAGTGATTGCTATGTAGGGACAGGAGCCTGGATAAATAAGCAGGGATTAAAAGAGGGATCCAGCAAATCCTAATGTGTGAAAAGCTTCAGAAGGAAAACAGGTTGAAGCCAGGGAGTCGGATTTTTGAATTTAAGATTTTTTTGCATATAACAATTCTGAGTAACTTACTTTAGGCTATGACTGTAGGATTAGGTGGTGGGGTGAAGAAAAAGGTCACTAAAAATATCTCATCAAAGTTTCATGCTGAGGAGTTGTATGTGGGTGCTGAAAAGACCCTCAGAATGATGACTAAAGATGACAACTTTGAAACAGATGCAAATTCTTCAACAAATGTGAAGGAATACCTAGATGTCATAAATGCCACAAAGATGTCCACTATTGGCTAGTAAACATATGTGTCCATATTTGTCCATAATTGACAAGGGCAATTAAACTACAGACTACAGTGGGGAATGAAACTAAACATTCTGCCTCTCAGTCCTCCTCATAATGAGGCAAGATAAAATAAGTAATACAGGTTGATCATCCCAAATCCAAAAAAATCCAAAATTTAAAACCCTTTTGGTTCCGAACATTCTGGATAACGGATATTCAATGTGTAACTACTTGAGGATGATTTTAATAGAAGCAGAGATTTCCATCATGCCAAGCTGAGTAAGGACACGGTCTATGACATCAAAAAGTTTTCTAGATAAAACATACATACCAGGTCTGAAATCATGTCCCCACTGACTACAGCAGTGAACTTCATCCACAGCAATTCGAGTAAATCTCCTTGCTTCATAGGCTTTCTCTAGTCTTGACATAAACATTTTGCTTTTTGCAATTTTCTCTGGAGTCACATAAATCAGCTTTAACTCGGAGTTTTTATTTACCATTTCAGCATGAACCCATTTAACATGCTCCTATTAAAAGAAAAAAATAGACACAATGATAGTAAAACTAAGCTAGCAGACTGAAATACTAGGTGGTAAATGAAAACGTTCATTTCTCCAAAGCAATAATAGCCTTTGGCTCTTCTAGGAGCAGATGTTTAGTTCATTAAAACTGAAACCATGTCTCAGTACGAAACATCATGGCAGCTGTGTAAATAGCATTCTAGTTATTTACTAACGTCTACATTGTTGATGACTAAAAAAAACTCACTTGACAAAAAAGAACACAAACAGATACTCCAATGAAGAGCATTTATTCTATGAAGGCATAATCCTAAATTGTTCATAATATATTCTAAAATGTGAGCTAGATGCAATTGTTATGGTTATAAAGGTGGGTTTTATTAATTTTAACATTATATTTATAATCCCTTTATGTATGTGAACAAAATTTATTATTTATTAACTTCTCAAATGATACCATCAAATCTTTTAATCTCTTTATTTAAATATAAAGACCATGGGGTTTCACAAAGTATCACTCATTAAATTAAGATAATAATAATAAATCTTAAAAGGTAACAGTTATTAGATTCTTAGTACTCATACAATTCTATACAATACTTAGCATATTAGATGTCATTTTTTTTCCTTCTAATCTAAAGAGGACCAAAAAAGTATAAAAACATGCCAGTGAATGAGATAGAAAGAGACAGTCAAACTACTTTCATCATCCCAGCAAAGAAGCAGTTTGTTAACTCCTAGATATATTCTAGGATACAGATGTTCTTTTTTTCTCTCTCCAACTTTCAAGAGTAGGGATATATCATGAACTTGTAATTATCTGCAACTTTCTAAATTACTTTCTATTACTATTATGTTCTTTTTCAATTTTAAGAAAGTACATTATTAGAAGGCAGTTTTCTCCACAGATTGATTTTGTTGGAGGAAGGAGCAGTTATAATAGAATGACATGGAGTTTAAATAAAACAAAAATATATGGGTAAACTAAAGGAACCAGGGCTTCTTAGAGGTATGGCTGACTCTAGGTCTGGGCAGGAAATGCATAAAATGAACATGGATTATCTTACTGCAAAAGAAAGCAAGGAACAGAAGCAATGGGGTTAAGAGAAAGGATTCAGGAACCAACTTAAAGAGGCTCTCACTGCCCAAGGACAGGACTATTTCAGCATTACATATATACATATTGATATATATATATATATGATTCCAAAGGTGAATCATATTATACGTCAAAGCTTGTAAGTTTATAGTGATACTTGGGGAAAGAAAACCTTAAAAATCTTGTTGACCACCTTTGGAGAATGCTAGAAAACCAACTCTTTCTGAAAACTCATAAAGAAAGGGAAAAAAAAATCAAGCATTTTCATCATGCAGAGTTAATGAGGAAAAAGTTTATTTTTGTAGAAAAAGTATAACTAATACATGAAGAAAGAGTGACAGAATTAGATATCACCATTTTGCACCTCCCTAATGAAATCATGGCTCTCACGGTGCCACTCAGTGGCTGCTAAAACCATTAGATGAAAAACTGATAACCAGAGATCAGGCAGACATCACTTGAACCCACTGACGCTTAGCATCACAAAAAGATAACCAGGTACTATGTACCACTTGAGTGATACCACAGTAAGTATACTCTTGCAAAAAAAAAAAAAAAAGTTAAAGAAAAATTCCAAATACAATCAGGCTTTTAGATCTAACTAAAAGGATCCAGTTACCTATGTAACAAACCTGCACATCCTGCATATGGACCCCAGAACTGAAAAAAAAAAAAAGAAAAAGAAAGAAAAGAAAAGAAAGAGAGAAAGAAAGAACACCACAAGGACGCAATCAGGAAAATGTAGAAAGATACAGGACAGTTAACCCAGTTTCTTCAACAAAGAATTTGCATGGGAAATATAAAAGATATAAAGAGAACCTATGGGTATATCAACCAAATACAATACAATGCATGAATATTATCTGGGCTATATTTTTTTTTAAAAAAAACATAAAAATGAGATAGAAATCTGAATTTTTTTTATAATTCTAAAGAATTGATTAAACTTCTTAGATGTGATGATGGCACAGCACTTTTCTTTAAAGTTAGAGATACGTACTGAAGAATTTACAATTAAAATATGATGTCTGGAATTTGTTCTGAATAAATAAACTAAGAGGAAAGGGGTAGGGAAAACTGGAGGTATACAGATTAAAAAAAAAGATTAGCCGTATGTTGATAACTGTTGAAGGGGGAAATGGCTACATGGCAGTTTTTATGCTATTCTCTCTCCTTTTGAAGATTTCAGTAATATGCTTTTTAAAAAAGAATAGCTGGGAAATGCTTTATTCTACAGATGAGGGTAAGACAGTCCATTCCTAAATACAAGAAATTCCACAGGTATAGGGTAACTTCTTAATAATTCATATTTCATATTTAATTACACTGCATAATTAGCAATTCTCCCTTACTATTTTAGAATGGATAATACAAAACAGGTCAGCAAATGTTTCCTGTAAAGTATCAGACAAAAATATTAGGTTTTATGGGCTATAAGGTCTCTATCACAACTACTCCACTGTGCCATTATACTGTAAAAGCAGCCATAGACAACATGTCAACAAATGAGCATGGTGGTGTTTCAATAAAACTTTATTTATGGATACTGAAACTTGAATTGCAAATAATTTTCCCATTTCACAAAATATTCTTTTTAGATTTTTTTTAGCCATTTAAAAATATAAAAACCATTCTTAACTCATGGGACATACAAAAATAGACAGTGGGCCAGAACTGGCCAAGAGCAGTAGTTTGTAACTCCTGATATAAATAGTTAACAGTTTATAATTTTATAAGCAACTCAACTGCAGGTAAAGCTCCTATTTCAGTGAATAGTTTACATTAAAAAAAAAAAAGCCACTGAAACATACCTTAGAACTAGAAGCATTTAACATGGTTGCTGAAATTCCTAATTGTTTTAAAACCATTAATTGGTCTTCCATAAGAGAGATCAATGGGCAAATGACGAGTGTAAAACCTAAAAGAGAAAAAAAAAAAAATCTACCTTAAACTTTACACCACCCTCAGAATCAGATGCAAACCATTCACGTTTTTTTTTTTTTTTTTTTTTTTTTTTTTTAGAGATGGAGTCTCACTCTCTTGCCCAGGCTAGAGTGCAGTGGTGCGATGTTGGCTCATTGCAACCTCTGCCTCCCGGGTTCAAGCAATTCTCCTGCCTCAGCCTCCCGAGTAGCTGGGACTACAGGCACCTGCTGCCATGCCTGGCTAATTTCTTTTGTATTTTAGTAGGGACAGGGTTTCACTGTGTTGCCCAGGCTGGTCTCAAACTCCTGAGCTCAGGCAATCTGCCCACCTTGGCCTCCCAAAGTGCTAGGATTACAGGCATGAGCTACCACGCCCGGCCCATTCACCTTCTTAACTTGTGGGCACTGGCCATCAATTCAGATTAATTTTTAATGCAGCTTTAGTAAAGCTTACTTCTTACTCTCATTAATTAGATATGAATAAATGACCAAACAAGGTAAGTAGAAGCCAAATAAACATACAACTAAACAGAACTCTATCCTTATAAAAATAAAGACAGATTTTTATCATTTCAAATGTTTAATTTGCTATCGTTTTAAATAATCACTATTGGTAATTTCAGTAAGACAACATATATCAGTTCAAACACTAAACAGTTTCATCAGGGAAAAATCACTATAAAGCTTTCCAAAAAAACCAGATTTTTAATTATACAGTAGTGTGTATAATTAAACATGATAGTTGCATAAGCATTCTTTTACTTTTTGTACGAGATTCATTTATGCTGAGTAGAAATCAGTGAACAGTTTACTGTCTGAATGAAGTTATAGTAATATGCCCCCTTCCTTATAATTGAAACTGTTTAAAGTACAAAAGCTATTCTACAGTTAAAATTATATATGGCTTTACGTTTCTGTAGTTTGTTTCTTAAAACAACCTTTGGCAAAGAGCAGACATGTTTAAAAAACATAATCAAATTAAGACCTTATTAGGGATTTTTCCCAGTCAATTATTCTCTCTCCTATTATTTTCACTTTTCCTTACTAGCACCTACTCATTACATTTAAACATGGTCAAGTCCCTCTCATCTTGGAAAACACCCACTATGGTCTGAAAGTTGGTATCCCCACAGAAGTGATTAAGTAATGAGGGCTCTGCTTTCATAAGTGGGATTAATGCCATTTTACAAAAAGTTGAAGGGAGTGCCCTTTCTTTGCCGCCATGTGAGGGTGTAGCAAGAAGGTGCCATCTATGAGAAACACCCCCTCTCTAGACACCGAAATCTATTAGCATCTTGATCTTGGACTTCCCAGCCTCCAGAACTGCAAGCAGTAAACTTCTGTTGTTTGTTAATTAACTGATATAAAGTATTCTGTTACAGCAGCTGGAATAGACTAAGATAACATCTCATTTATGGCCCACTCTCTTCTTCCCTTCATAGTCATTCTTTTCCAAAGAGAATCCCATACTCACCAGTTCCACTTCCTCAATTCCTACCTGCTTCAAACCATTGCTATTTGGTCTCCACCCAACCATTTCAATAAAATTGCTCTAGCTAAGGTCATAGATGAGTCCTTTGTCATTAAACTCATTGAAACTTACATCCTTACGTATTTGACATTTTGCTAACAGACATCACTATTAACTACTCCCTCATTCAAACACACCCTTCCCTAGCCTTCTAATAACATCATACAATCCTGGTTATCCTATATGTTGCTACTCTTTCTCAGCCTTGTCTGCAAGCCCTTTTTCTCTGTTTATCCCTAAACTCTTGGTGTTCTGGTTTCTGTTCTAGGCCTTCTTTTCTTCTTATGCTGCTCTGAAATTCATTCCAATGGCTTCAGTGGCCATCTCCACACTAACAACCCCCAACTCAGACCTCTAACACCAGGCTTTAGACACAAACATCCTCCTACTCATAGGACAATTCCACCTGGATGTCTTAAAGGCATCGTAAATTCAACATGTCCCAAATAAATTCATCATCTTTCCCCTCTCCATTCCCAAGAGTTCTTTCGCCAATGTACCCCATTTCAGTGAAGAACCTCACCACTTGTCCAAGCCTAAAATTTGAGTATCATTCTTGACTCTTCTTTCTCCTTTCCCCCCAAGCAATAAATACCAAGTCCCATTGAATCTATCTTCCAGATGTATCTGGAATTCATCTAACTGCTAGAATTATCCTTCTAAACCATGAAATAATGAGTCTCTTACCTGTGTAAAACTCTTCAATGGCTTCTTGCTAAAATAAGGAAAAGTTTTAAAAATAAGACTCTTTCCACATGTCTTACCACTGACTGCCACATAGAAATTCCTCCAGGTTACTGAATACATCATAATGTGAATGTTCTCTCTTGCTTTTGGATCTCAAGTATTGCTTTTCTGAATGAACACTCTTCCTTCCCTGTCCCTTCTGCCTACTCACCCTTTAAACTTTAGCTTAAATGCCACTTCCTCAGAACAGCTTTCCCTGACAGCCCCTAGACCAGATCTTTGTACAGACTTAATTCCCTATTAAAACCTTTATCCCAAAATTCTTATTGCAATTGCTTGCAATTACCTGTATTCTCTAAACCAGGGATCAACAAAGTAAGGGCTGGTTGCCTATTTTTGTAAGTTATTTTAATGGAACACAGCTACACCCATGTGTTTACACATTATCTGTGGCTGCTTTTGTGCTACAATGGCAGGGTTGAAGAGCTGCCAAGGAGACCATATGGACCACAAGCCTATATTATTTACTATCTACCCTTTCAAGAAAAAGCTTGCTGATCCCTTGCTACTACCCAATCAGTAATATCAGTAGCACTAGCGAACTTGTTAGAAATGCAGGATCTTTGGTCTCACATAAAATCAGAATCTGCACATAATCAAATTCTCAGGTGATTCTTATGTACACTAAAGTCTGAGAAAGTGCTACTCTACACTATGAGTTCTGTGAAAACTAAGACCACGCCCATTTTGCTCACTACTGTGTCTCCCAGTGCCTAGCACCATGGCAGACACTCAGTAAAGATCTGGGACTAGAATTCAGGTCTACTGATTCTTCTTCCAGAGCTGCTTCTCCTACAACATTTTTGGGTTTTTTTGCCCCTTGTATCTTCTGTTCAAGTGTTCTATAGCACTGTAGGGTGAATATGGTTAACAATAATTTAGATAGGGTTTCGAAAAGCTAGAAGAGAGGATTTTGAATGTTCAGTACAATATGTTTTTAAATTTATGTTTCAGGAACCAGATAAAAGGATTAATCTCAGAAGTTTTTAAAACTCCTCCTTTAGGGAGAGAGGAGGGCAAGGGCTGAAAAACTACCTAGCAGGTACTATGTTTACTACTTGGACGATGGATCATTAGAAGTCCAAATCTCAGCATCACACAATATACCCATGTAACAAACCTGCACATATACCCCTGAATCTAAAATAAAAAATAAATAAAATTCCTCCTTTAAGTGAAACTTTAAATTTCTATTAATATAGAAGAAATCAAACAAAAATGCACTTGATTTTTATATATGTATGATTATAAATTATTTTTTAAAAGAATTAAAAAGGTATGATGACAAAGCACTTCTTCAACTCAAAATTAATTTTTTTAGTACATACCATCTGAACATAATGCTGGTAACTGGTAACATAAGCTCTTTCCACCTCCTGTAGGCATAACAAGAAATACCTCCTTTCCAGCCATTGTTACGTTAATAGTTTCAAGCTGAAGTGGTCTGAACTTTTCCAGTTTAAAGACATTTTGCAGAATATCTTTAACTTTACCAGACCATGGAAAATCTAGGAAAAGAAAGTTAAGAATCAGACAAACATGTAAGACTATTATAGAAGTTTGATAAGAATGAGACAAACATATATAAGACTTCTAATACTTATAGACCATTAAACTTTTATGATAATAGTTTTGAGATTAACTCACTAGCTAAGCAAAGCAAAAACAAGTTAAATGATGTATTATAAGACATAGTAGGCATGGTGGCTCATGCCTATAATCTCAACAGTTTTGGGAGGCCTAAGCAGGAGGATTACTTGAGCTCAGGAGTTCGAGACCAGCCTGAGCTCAAGCGATGGCAAGACTCTATCCCTATAAAAAAATTTTTTTTAAAGTAGCCAGGTGTGGTTCTGTGCACCTGTAGTCCCAGCTACTAAGGAGGCTGAGGAGGGAGGATTGCTTGAGGCTGGGAGTTTGAGGCTGCAGTGAGTTGTGGTTGTGCCACTGCACTCCAGCCTGGGCAACAAAGCAAGACCCTATCTCAAAAACAAAAAAAAAGTAACAAATGTAAACATTTGCCAGTTGAGAATTAACCCACACAAGAAAGGAAGGTGTTTGATCAGGTATTTAAAAAATTGTCTGAATGTTGATCAGGGAATTCACAGCATCATAAAGTACTCAAATATCATGAACAAAGTTAACAATTATCTGGAATTTTTGGTGTAAATATCTTGTTCAGACGTGAATCATTGAAAAGCAACATCCACAAAAAGCACAATCCCTTCTAGAGTTATTCTAATTATTCTATTATTCTATTTATAATTGATAAACTTGATGTTTGATAAGGTCTTGAATCATGAAAGGTTTGTTCACTAGGGCAGGAAAATGATCTAACCTTTGGCAAGGAGTTTGAATTTTTTTTCTTAACTGTTTGTTAATGTAGGTAAAGGAAGTATCTCATTTTCTAAACATGATCAATGTTGCTGTAACAATAACTGGAAAAAAATGTCTGAATAATAAAAGTTTAATTTGAAGACTACAGAACACAGGGAAAGAATGATCCACCTGCAAGTTTCCCATTCCACTGGAGAAATGGCCAGTTTCACCTCTAAGCCTACTGGAAAGCACTGTCCCATCAAGAATTCATTCTAGTTTTTTAAAATATGAGAAGAAATAAAACTAGCAAAAAAAAAAAAAAAAAAGTTAACCTTCTTTATTCCAAGCGGCAGGTGAAGAATCATATTCATTGCTTGCCCCGGCATCAGAATCCTCTAAACACTGCTTTATTTTCTTTGTCAGGACTTTTTTTTTCTGAATAAGCTCTTGTTGCCTTTCCGTAAGTTCTTGAATTTGAATTTCTACTGCATGTAGCTCACTGGTTATAGAATCCAGTTCCTCAGTTAGAGCTATGGGAGGCAGCGCGGATACAATGATTAGACAGAGTAAATTACAACTTTAGGTTTCCAGATTGATTTCTGGGTGTTGCCCGCCATATCAATTACAGACAAACTTGAAGTAGTATAGCAGAATGGTTATGAGCATGTTTTTGAGTCATATAGACCTAAGTTAAATCTCAGGTCCTCCTTTTACCTGCTGAGTGACCTCAGACAAGATACTCACCTGCATCCCCATTTCCCTTCCTGTAAAATGGGGACAATATCTAACTTTCATAGTATTTTTATGAAGAGCTAGTGAGATAATATATTAGGAGTTCTAGACGCAGTACCTGGTACACAAATATTTAATACATGATAATTATTTTTATTATGTTGTAGAGAAGTGGTCTAACAATCTCCTAAATCATTTAAGTAAAGTATCAGACTTTGAAGCAAAAGGAAGCTAATTCCCTAATTACTTTGCTATTACTTTATGAAGGTATTCCTATTTGGGCTCACTTGGTGGTAAAAGGAGTTGGTAATTATAAACAAGAGGATGTAACAAGTAAGAGAAATCAAGTGTACTATTGGAATTGGCATTTTATCTCCTTTGTAACTAATCTATAAAGAAACCCCAGTGTATGATTCTAATCAATCTAAGTATTAAAGTCAAAAAGTGAGATGCTTTTTGATACCACATCGATGGAAGCTAGAAAAATCTTAAAGATGTTCTTGGTGCATTCTCATATACCTGCCTGCATTAATCAGTATACAGGTTTAATGTGCTTCTTCATGAGATATAATTTATGGCTGTGATTTAAAATAGGATGTTGGGGTACCTTTTTATTGTACCAACTGCCATCATCCCTTGTATCAACCCTTCCCTACATGACTTTGGGTTAGGTTTGGCCACAAGTGAACTCTGCATGAGATTTACAAGGCAGAAATAAAGCAGCAGCCAGTTTTACATTGGGATGGTTGGCCTATGGCCAGGTGCTTCTGGAGCTCACTCATGATATTAGGAAACTGCTGCCTCACTTTGTGGACGTGGGGCAGAAGCCAGTTCCCCCAGCTCCTGCTAAATCTTGGTGGAACAACTTGGCCCACAGATTCTTTGGCTTCTTGGTCATGTTGCTGGCCAACCTTCTGTGACAAGTGCACCAGCTTTTCAGCAGGGCACCAGCATCCTAACTTTGTCCTCATGAATTTCAACTTATCCTTGCAGCTTCCAGCTCATCCATACCCTCCCATACTTCACACCCATCTTCCTTTCTCACTGCTGGTACTGCTGACTTCAGGACCAGAAGCTGACTCAGGGATAGCTGCTTAACCAGCTCCCATGATCACATAAGTTTTAATCCCCATAATAAAACTTACAGCACTCATAATGGTTCAGCTTACCTGACTGAACCCTAACCAATACAGAATTTTGATCCGGAAGAACAGAAACTTAACAGGTTCTCTGAATTGTTTCTGGGCCACATAGAACTGGCTTTCTGATCTGATTAGATTTCAAGGCATTAATAACCCTGTTTCCACTGATAAAGGGAACATAACTATTCTATGTCATCATGCAGTGAAAAAAGTTATTTAAATCATCATCCATAGACACCAGTAGAAAAATAACTAGAGAAGGCAAGGCTGTGGGTGACAAAGTGTTTGCTGTTACAAATGTTTTGGTGAGAATAATGGGGTTGACTGGTTGCTTCTAAGTGTGCAAAGAACTCAGGGGAAAAATGTAGGATCTGCATTAAGGGACCTCAAAGTTTCTATGATTGTCCTTAAAAAAAAACCTTATCCTCTATAGGTACAGGGCCAATATTTTGGAAAAATAGCTGTAAGTCTAAATCCTGCAGATGGCTGAATTTCAATACAAACTGAATTCCCAACCTTGCAGGGACTTTTATGATAAAGTCAGCACACTGACTGGGAAGGAGACTGAAATTTGGAGGGGAACATAAGGGCAGATTCCAACGAAGCAGGTTACCTTAAACCACTAAATTATGCCAAGTCTCTTCTACCCTGCCTCCCCTTTCTGAAACAATGTCCTCCTAACTGAAGTCCCCACAATGGTCCTTGTTGCCTTGTATGGGACTGCTAAGCCTCCTAAGAATCAGCCTCTACCATCTTTCAGTGCTTTAAGATCCAGAAGTCCTAGAGGATAAAACACAAAGATGTAACCTGTCAAAAGACATGATATGCACCAAAAGAGCTGCATGTGCCAAAATATATCAATAGAAACTGTGTTCATCCATTTTGCATTGATATAAAGGCGTATCCGAGGCTGGGTAATTTATAAAAGAAAAGAAGTTTATTTTGCTTATGGTTCTGTAGGCTATACAAGGAGCATAGCGCTGGCATCTGCTTCTTGTGAGGACCCCAGGAAGCTTCCAATCATGACAGAAGGCAAAGGGGGGCAGGTGTGTCACACAGTGGGAGATAGAGTAAGAAAGAGAAGAGGCAGTGCCAGGCTCCTTGAAACAACCAGCTCTCATGTGAACTAACAGAGCAAGAACTCAGTCATTACCATAGGGAGGGCACCAAACCATTCATGAGGGATCCTGCTCCATGACCCAAACACCTCCCACTAGGCCCACCTCCAACACTGGAGGTCACATTTCAACATGAGATTAGGAGGAGACACATATCCAAACTACATCAGAAACCTAGAGAATGTATATGGGAATAGATCATAAAGGTACTGAAACAGGGTTTATGGAATACAATGTCGAATTAAGCTAAGTTTATTGATACGGGCTCACTAAGAAATTCTGGATTTAATGTCCTAGATAGTGGCCAGGAGTGGCTCTAGTAATTTGCTTGGCTCATTGCCTGAAACCTGGCCTCAAAGATGAATGTCAGAAAATTGGGATGGAATAAAACAGGTATAGAGTCCAGTGAGGCTGGAGCTCTGGAATTTCCTGGGTATGCTCTAAAGGAAGGTATTCAGAGGCTTAGAGAGAGAGCAGTGCCAGAGTGGAAGATCAAATAGATTGATAATCCACTCCCTTGCTGTCCCCCAGGAGAATCCAGAGGACACTTCTTTCACCAAGACTGTGAAAAATACAGTCATGAGCAGAGCGCCAGCATCAGCGGAGCTCTTCAGGGATGCTGGGGCTCCCCTGGCTGTTCTCTGTAAGCTAGGAATGACAGTGGGAAATATCATCTTCCAAGTAGACCACCTGATTCAACGACAATGATGGATTCCAAGGTATGGGGGCTAACCATTGGCAATTGAATTTATGACGAAAAATAAAGTAGATGTGGTTGCCATGAAGGGCAACAGAGCTGAGGCAGCAATCAGAATGGTCTGACCGACAAGATCTTGGATTGACTAGTTGACTGTGAAGTCCCTGAAACGGAAATAGATTACTTGATTTGTAACACGCAGAATAGAAAGCTCTGATTCTGGTAAACAGAACCAGAAACACAACAGAGAGACCATCCTTCGACGAATTTCCAGAATTGAACCACCTTATAGAACCAGAGGCCCTTGAATAAGGCAGAGGTTGGAGCCTGTTGGGGAAGGACTCAACCACACAGCTAAAAATGTATGTAATGAATCTTCCTACTACTCTTCACCAGGAAGTTTATTAGGGTAACTGTGCATTAGAAAAAAAGAGAAATCGGCCAGGCACGGTGGCTCACGCCTGTAATCCCAGCACTTTGGGAGGCCGAGGCGGGTGGATCACGAGATCAGGAGATCGAGACCATCCTGGCTAACATGGTGAAACCCCGTCTCTACTAAAAATACAAAAAATTAGCCAGGCGTGGTGGCGGGCGCCTGTAGTCCTAGCTACTTGGGAGGCTGAGGCAGGAGAATGGTGTGAACCCGGGAGCGGAGCTTGGAGTGAGCTGAGATCACACCACTGTACTCCAGCCTGGGTGACAGAGTGAGACTCCGTCCAAAAAAAAAAGAAAGAAAAAGAGAAATCACTTCTCAGAAACTACTGGACATTAGCTCTGAACTGATGCTAATTCTTAGAAAACCAAAATGCCATGGTGATCCACCAGTCAGAGTATAGACTCGACTTAAGTGAGGTGATCAATGCAGCTTTGGTTTCCAGAGATTTAAAAGGTAGAAATGAAGCAGTAGACATATTTTCTGTATTTAAGAAAGTCAGTGTAAGGGCAGGGTTGGTGATCTCATTGGCATGGGGCAGCAGCAGGTTCAAGTCCAGCGGCTGCTAGTGATATACAGTGGGCCTTCTAATCTGCTGTGTGGTTATTTCCTCAGTTTCAGAATGTATACTGAGAACAGATATATTCAGCAAGTGGCAGAATCCACCCATTGGTCTCCTGGCAAAGTAACTAAGGATTATTATTATAGGAAAGATCAAACGGAAGCCAGCAAAACTGCCTTTACCAACCAATACAGCAAACTAAAAATATTACTGCATTCCTGGAGGGATTGCAGAGATTACTGCCTACATCAACGGCATGAAAGATATGAGGGTAATGATGACTTCCATGTCGCATTCAACTCACCTATGTGGTGTATGCAGAAGACAATGGATTCTGGAGATTGAGAATGGATTATGCCAAAATTAATAAGGCTGTGGCTCCAACAGCAGCCATGGTTCCAGCTGTAATTTCATTAATAAGACAGAACACATGCCCTGGCATCTGGCTTCAGCTATTGATCTGCTGAATGTTTTATTCTCCATACCCATGTACCTGTTATTATAGCATAGGGGAATAGTATAGCACAGTAAAAGCAGTTTGCTGAGCCAGCAATGTATCTTTATTCTCCCACCTCAGAGCTATATCTACTCTCTAGCCCTAATCTAGGCTGCAGGGATCCTGATTCCCTTTTCATTCCACCAGACATTACACTAGCTCTCTGCATTGATGATATCATGCTTGTCTGACCTGCTGAGCAAGAAGCAGCAGTAGCAGCTACTATAGACAAACTGCTAAGAGAGACACTTGCCAGAGGATAGAAGATAAATCCCATAAAAATTCAGAGGCCTGACACCTTGGTGAGAGTCAAAGGGTATGGGGCATGTTGAGATACCTCTTCTAAAGTGAAGGATAAGTTTCTATATCTGGCCCCTCCTATTACTAAGAGAGCAGCACAGAGCCTAATGGACTACTTGGATTTGGGAGGCAACATACACCTAATTTACCAAGTAACCCCAAAACTTGCCGGTTTTGAGTAGGACCTCGAACAAGAGGTAACGCCATGATACAATCTTCTCTTACCATTGAGCCATATGACCCAACAGATTTGATGGTGCTGTAAGTTTGTGATGAATGCAGATGTTATATGACACCTTTGGCCTATAGATGAGTCACAACAAAGATGATAAGGATTTTAGAGCAAAGCTCTTTGCCATTATCTACAGAGAACTATTACCCTTTCAGAAACAACTTCTGGGTTGCTCCTGGGTCTTACAAGAGACTAAGTTACTATGTGACCTGTGCTGCCTATCATCAACCAGGTGTCATCCGACCCATCAATTCATCAGGCAGGCCTCCATCATCACAATGGAAGTGGTATGTGCCAAAGTGAGCAGGTTCTAAGTGAAGGCGTGAACAAGAAGTCTGAATGCTCATGCACCATGCTCCCCTTTGCCTCCTCCTCCTCAACCTGTAGCTATAACCTCATGGTGGGATTCAGTGTTACTAAGGGAAAAAAAAATGCAGACCTAATTTACAAAAGATTCTGCATGATATATTGTCACTACCTGAAAGTGAACAACTAAAGCACTCTAGCATCTCTCCAGAGTGATCCTGAAAAACATTGGAGATGGAAAATTCTCCCAGTCAGCAGTAAGCAGTCCACATAGTTATTCATTTTGCCAGAGGAATACATCCACACTATTATAAGCAATGGTTAATGATTGGCAGGATGGTTAGCAACTTGGAAGGTAGCAAATAGGAAAACTGGTGGCAATGAGGTCTGAGGAAGAGATATATGTATAGACCTCTCTGAATGGTCAGAGTGTGAAGGTATTTGTGTCCAATGTGAATGCTCATTAAAAACAACTTCGACAAAGTATAATCATAATTAATCAGGTAGACAAGATGACCTGGACATTGACCACACTTGTCCTTGCACAACGAAGTCAAGAACAAAGTGCCTTCTGCAACATGGACTGCCACTCACGAAGACCCATCTGGCTACATCCAGAGCTAAGTGCTCAACCTGCAAACAGCTCATACCAACCTTGAGTTCCAATGGAGGCACCATTCTCTGTGGGGACAGACAGATGCTTGATGGCAAAGTGACCGCATTGGAACCGTCTATAATGAAAGAGGCAGCACTTTGTTCTCACTGATACAGATGCTTACTCCGGATATGAATTTACCATACCTGCCTGCAGTGCTCTATCATGTCCACCATCCAGGAATTCACGGAATTCCTACTGATTGTCATCGTATTCCCCACCAAATTACTTCTGACCAAAGAACTCATTTACAGCAAACAAAGCACAACAGAAGGCTAATGTTCAAGATATTAACTGGTCTAACTATGTTCACCAACAACCTGCAGCAGCTAGCCTGAGAAAATAATGGAGTGGCATTTTGCAGACTCAATTATGCTGCCAGCTGGGTATCAGCACTTTAAGGGCTGGACTAGTAGCCTCCAGGATATGGCATGCTATACATCAGTGAATAGTGCTGTTTCTCCCATTGCCACGATTCACGGGAATCAGCGGTGGAAATGGGAGTGGCTCTTCTATTACCCTTAGTGATCCGCTAGTGAAATTTTTGCTTCCCATCCTTGAAACATCGGACTCTTGCTGGCCTAGAGGTCTTGGTTACCAAGAAAGAAATGCTTGTACCAGGGGAAAAAGCAATAGTTCCATTAAACTGGAAGTTGACTGCCACTTGGCCACTTTGGGTTCCTCATGCCAACAAATGAACAGGCAAAGAAGGCGATTACTATACTTGCTGGGGTAAGTGATCCTGACTATTAAGGGGAAATCAGATAGCTACTACACTATAGGGATAAGGAAGAGTATGTCTGGAAAGCAGAAGATCCTCTAGTGCACCTCTCAGTATTCCCTTACCTTGTGATTAAAGTTAATTGAAAACTATAATAACCAAATATAGGAAACTACTAAGGCAAGTAGTCCCCACCAAGCAAAGACCCATTACCAACTGAGAACCAAGGAATACAGAATGGGTAGTTGAAGAAGGCAGTTATAAAGTACAAACTATGATCACATGACCAATTGAAAAACAAGAACTGTAATAGCTATAAGTCTTTCTTGCTTTTTAAAATTTGTATATAAACCAAGTTTGGGTTTTTCCTTTTATTTGGTCCCTCTCCGATACATTACAGTATTACCAAGGAGGACATGATTCAGCAAGAAGAGAAATGAGCATCACCCAAAGACGAATAAAGATAATTTGTACCTGCTCTTTTGGGGAAGGGGTCAGTGTATACTCAGCAGTAAGAGAAATAGGCAAAAGCATGATTCCGCTATTGCCTTTATTTGGACACAAATAAGGTAAAAATTAGACACAAAAGGACAAATGTTATATGATTCCATTTATATGAGGTACCTAAAATAGTCAAGAAACAGAAAGTAGAATAGTGGCTATCAGGGATTAGGAGAAGAGAAGTAATGGAAAGTTACGGATTAATGAGTATAGAATTTTAGTCTGGATAGATGAAAAAGCTCTGGAGATGGATAGTGGTGACGACTGCACAACAGTCTAAATGCATTTAATGCCAATGAATTATTCACTTAATAATGGTTAGCATGGCAAAGTTTGTAATGTGTATTTTACTTCAATAAAAAAGCTGAAAAAAATCATTTCTATAATCAGAATTTTTAAAACAAACTTTTTCAAATATCATACAAACAGAAATAGAACAGAAGGAAGAAGAAAATGTAATCATTGCTACTAACCTGAAACGGACGCCATTCTTTTTCTTTCCAAATTTGTTTCTAAAATAATCCAAATTTCTTTCTAAAAATAAAAGCACAACAGTGACAACAAGTTTTTAAAAATAGTACTATTAATGATGTTCACTCAACAGTAATCTGTCATTCCTAAGCACGGAAAATGTTAGAAAGTAAATTATATATTGCAGTGACCTTTCAAATAAGAACCACATGGTTCTTTTGACACTAATTTTTTATGGAAAACTCTATATTTCAGCTTAATAACCCACAACACTCAGAACGACTAACTCTCTAGATTTCAGAGAAGTGTCCAAAGTCACATAAACGTATACATGACAAATACAGTAGCAATGACACTCAGCAAACATCCACAAGATACAAAGTGATGTAACAAAAAACAGCAAACATTCAACAGGTCTAGCACCAATTGCTATGTGACTAAATTACTATGTTAGGCAAAGTTGCATATGCTGTTCCTCCAAGCCTCTTTCCCTACCTGTAAAACTGGGAGGATGGCAATCTTATAAATAAGTTGGATAGATTCAAATGTACCAGATTAAGCAAAATACATCAACATAAATAATAAAATTAATCATCTAACATTTTATTGAGCCCTTGCGTTAAAGAATTACAATATAAGCCCAATCTTAAAAGAGAAACTGGTATTCTACAGAAAAGCTAGATTTTCTAAGTTAGAGGTGGGGGGAGGGGAAAATGGTTTGTAATGATTTCTAAGTATCTATGAATGACTAAAACCTAAGCATGCATATGGACAAGTGGAAAATGGGGCTGGAGAGTAGAAACTTTAAATTCCCCATAATCCTAAAAACACCTCTTCTATCTCTCTAATATGGACATTTTCTAAAACTAAGATGCTCTCCAAAAGTCACTTCTGCAACACCTATCCTTAGACTGCTGACCTTACGCCCTTTCTACACAGAATTCTGAAGCCACCACTAGGCCGGAAAGATAGGCTGACTCTTTTTTGCCTTGCTAAAGAATGTGGAATAACCACACCATTAAAAGAAGGCTAAATAGGAGAGTAAACCAAGGATTTCTAATTCTTGATCTATACAAACATCTCTTCACGTAATGAAAATGTAACATTCCTTCCATAGACTGTAAGGTCCTTTAGCAGGGCTGGGGTTCAATCTCTTCACCTTTGTATCCGCACAGCCCAGGAAAATGCCTTGATGTAGTGAGGGCTCAGGTTTGCTAAGGTAGCAGGGGCTGTTTCTACCCTTATGAAAAGACACAGTCTATATCCAATTCTCCCCCACGATTTTAAATGACTCCTTTGATTATGCGGTTAAAAGACTGCTCCTTCCCAAAATGATGTGATTTAACAGCAAAAGATATCTCAACATAAAATGTATCCAGAAATTGAACTACAGCAGGTCTGTCACTCAGCAGTATAAGCTAGGCATCCACAGGAAGAATGTTACAGGGTGACAGCCAGTCATCAATGTTGGAGGAAACGCCACTGAGATACCATAGGCTAAATCCTCTCTCTCCCCGCCACCTGCATTTAGAGGCAATAGTAATTTAATATTAATAACGCCCGCCCTTCCGCTACTGTGAAGCAGGGGGTGGAAGAAGCATCCCCAGTAGTATTTACCAACAAATGGCAGCTGCTAATAAACAGGCTTTGGTGGCCAATCCTCCTGCATGGAAAAGAATGGGGAGATCAGAAGACCGGTCAGCAGGCGAACGTGCCCCTAAAGGCCCGAGTTCTCAGAGCAGGGCAGTGATTAACTTTCCGGTTTCTCCTCCGCCAATGTGTGGGCGAAAGGAAGTGATCCGCTACAGACCGGCCTCGCCCTGCAGCAGGAAAGGGAAGGATGAAACAAAAAGCGCACACCCTTGACCCTTCAAAGCTGTAACAGTAGTTATCCCAGAGCCTCTCCCCACCGAGAAGCCCGGTCTAACTCTCCGGTGTTTGACTGTCCGGTGTCCGACTGTCCTGTGTCCGACTCTCCGATCTCCGACTCTCGGATCTCCGACACCAAAGCACCCAGGCCTCGAGCAGATCTTTCCGCTACTCGGGAGTAAAATCTTCCCGCCAGCCAGCTGAGAGCATCCACCCTTCCGGGTCGGTCCGTTCAGCCAATCACAGATAACTCCCTTCTCTAATTGGTCAAGGGGTGTGGTCACCATGCGCGTCACCGAACAACATTACGAGTTATTGGTTGAGATTGGAAGCAGGTTTCGCCAATAGGAAGCGCTCTTAAAGCGGCAGTGAGGGTGGCTGCGTGTTTCCGGAAGACGTGGCGGCTCTCGCCTGGGCTGTTTCCCGGCTTCATTTCTCCCGACTCAGCTTCCCACCCTGGGCTTTCCGAGGTGCTGTCGCCGCTGTCCCCACCACTGCAGCCATGATCTCCTTAACGGACACGCAGAGTAAGCACCTGCTCCGGGGCCCCCGCCTCGAGCCGCGCACACCCATCGCCCGGCTGGGTCTCGCCCCTCCGCCGGGGTCAATGAATGAAGCTCTGGGTTGGGGGCGGTGGCCTGCGAGACAGAGCTAGGGCTGCTGGGACCCTAAGGGGCTGCCTTCGGGATGCCGGGGCTAGACTTGGACTGGCGGACCTGACCTGGGAGAAGAGTCTGTGGGGCAGGGTGGGACGCCCTATGTTGGGAGGGGAGCTTTAGCCCAGAGTCTGTCTCATTCCAGGGTCGCGCTGATCTCCTCATCCCCAGTGAGATGGGCGCTTTGTTCTAGGGGCTTGCCACAAGAGAAAGTTTGCGTGGTGCCCGCGGCCCACTCTCGGGATCGTTTATGCGCATGACACACTTCGGGTCCTCTACAAGTCCCTGGCTGGCTGGTTATTTGGGAGGCGGTATTTTAAATGTCACCTACAGTAGGCTCTTTTTGAAAATGTCCTTACGCTTAAATGTGGCATTTTGAATATTCGCTTTTTGCCAGTACTGTAAGCAACCTTTTAGAAGTCTCTTGAAACATTCTCACTTTTCTACCTGCTAAAGTTTCAAGCAGTAGAGAAAAGCCACTTTGTGTGCCATTAAAGGATATATTTCGTTAGTATTGTATATTGTGCTTTGTGGCTTGTTTTATTATTTTAGCATCGCTCTCTGCCTGCCACAGAGTTCTCCAGGCCTATTTCATCTCTAAAGCTAGCATTGATATCGGTTTCCTTTTCTTTCATTATAATATTTCCACTTTCCTACTGCTTTTTGTTAATATTAATAATTTTTGTATTTATGTCTGCCCAAGCTCTGTACCTCATATTTTGATGTTCATAAGAGTCTCTTTTTGTCTCACTTTGCTTTATCTGCCACGCCTTTCATTTCACTCCAGTTAACTCAGATTTTCAATATTTTAAGACTTAAACAGTGAATTGAAGTGAAAAATAGAAGTTTATTTAAAATGCCCTATTTTAAAGTGGAGTCTTCTTGTGGAGATTCAAGTCATGGCAGACCAACTTCACAGAGCTTCTAAGGCCTCCTACACACACTGCCACCCCCCAATCAGGCTGTCTTCCCTCCTGAGGCTGGACTGGGGCTGCCTCTTGGGGCCACCTGCCCCAAGGTTGCCGCCCACTTTGGTCCATTGGCCTGGCCTGTTCTGATCAAAGAAAATAAAAGTGTAGTCTTGAGGGGATAGGAATCTAGTGTAATAATAATTACTGGCAATTATATAAAGGTATTTTCTTTCAGTTAACCATGTGCTTTCATGTGAATCATTATGCATAATTCTTATAAGAGCCCTGTAAGGCTCACAGAAGCATGCCCCTTTCATAAGTTAAATGAGGCACAAAAGAAATTGAGTGCATGGTCAAAGAAAAAGTGACAGAAACAAAACTTGATCCCAGGTGTGCTGGCTCAGAAACCTTTTGCACTGTACCCCACTATCACCTAAGAAGACTTGATATAAACTTTATTTGAGATCTGAGAATAATCTGTGCATAGAAATTATATTTTTGAAGACTTAATATAGTGATGAGTGCCTGCTTTATAAAAACAAGAGAGTGGGTTTGGACTATGGGCATTCTCCCTGAGAAGCATTCTCCTCACTTCATTAAATTTTGTGAGGGCAATGAAATTTTACTCTTTGCTGTTCACTTGTCACATGTTTTAGGTGAAACAGTGGATTGAAACATAAAACGATTAGTGAACCAAATGCATTTTGGATTTCAAATTGTGTTTGTGTGTGAGTGTGTTTAACTGCAGGGATTGGCCATCATTCAAGTGATTTGTCAGGATTATTCTGGGATTTTGGTTTTTAGAGAGTGGCCAAGCACTGCTCAGAGTAGAATAAATGGAAATTCATGATTATTTTAAGGCATTCTAGGACTTTCCTCACCGCCCCAAAAAAGACAAGACTTATTCAGAGGGGCGGAGGAGGGGCATGCTGCCTCTAAATCTTCATTTCATCACATTGTCTAAAAGCCTAGTGTGATAATTGCATTCTCCAGTACAGTTAATGTTCAATTGAATTCTTGCTTGACTTCTGTTTTTCAAAGGGTATGGTAAGAGAGACAATGCTGCTTTTAAAAAATTGTGAATAAGATATCAAAATGCTAACAGTGTTTGCCATTAGATTATGCGTGTCTTTCCTTATACAATTTCCACAGTATGCTCCTTATGTTAGACAGATTCGTTTTATTAAATTGTTTTTATATTTTTTTTAACTTGTGGACAGTTTTTTAAACATGTGGGAGGAGTGAAGGAAGATAAGTTTGTTTTACTGGATATGATTCCGATGGGAAGAAGGCAGCTCTATGCAAGGCTTTTGATAGCCAGAGGGCTTATGAATGCATACGGATAGGGAAAAGGGGGATCCTGGAGGTGAGAAAAAGGCACAATGAGGCCAATTTGAGACTTTTGACCAGTGTGGATCAGGAGCTACTTGGCAATGTCATTGCCAGTACCAGTTGTGGCAAAGATGTTTTGGGCAATGTCTCCCGCTGGACTGTACTGGATAAAGTAGTGGAATATTTTGGTTCCCATGTTGTAGTTGTAGGACCATTGTCTGTGGAGTGAGAAGACTGGTTGAATGCTGACTTCACAGACTGTTGTACCTGCCTCCATACCACCAGCACCCACACACACATTTTTGCTGCTTCTATGATCAAGAACAAGTTACTGAATTACCTCTAGGTCCATGGTTGCACATATGAACCATAGGACCAGTGCTACCTTTTACCTCACAATTTTGTTAAAGAAATTATAAAATTTTTGTATAAACACTTCATAACACGGTAAACCATACTCAGAGATTGGCCTTTTTGACCGCAGTTAATTTTTAATAGTTCTACTTGGCTATGTTAGATAACAAGCTAATATTAAACTTGAATCCCCTAAAAGATGCGTCCCCCAGAAGTTCAGAATACTCCAGTGTCCTTGAGTTTCATGTAACCAAACACCTTTAACCTAAAAAATAAAAATTCTGTGGGAAGAGGTATGGCATTAATGGTTAAGCACATGAGCTTTGGATTCAAAAGACCTTGGTTCGAATGCTTATCTAGAAGTGTGGCTTTAGGCAACTTAAGTCAACTCTCTAAACTTCAATTTCCTCCATCTTTAAAAAGATGTAATTATACCTGCATTCCAGTAGTATTGGAAGTATTAAGTTATATATAAGGTATGTGAAGCACTTCATAAGGCCTAATTCGTGGTAAATTCTCAGTACATAGTAGGTGTCTTTCCATATACCTTCCTTTCTAAAAACATCTCAGAATTTTTATGTAATCATCAAGGTTATTTGTGAAATGATAGAAATTAGTCATCTTCAACTAACAAAGCTGCCGATGTTTAATCCTAACTACTAAATAGTTATTTAATAGAATTTTACTTGCTCTTTTGTCCATATTTTCCTCTATGAAATTATGTCCACTATCCAAATAGTTAATTTGGTAAATTCTCTTAAGGCCTTTGATCATGAAAGTATCAGCCTCAAATTTTCATAGGAATGTGTGTTGAATTCACTTAACTGGTGTATTTATAGACCAGGTACCTGAATTATTTTAGACTAACTTTGGGAACAAAAGGTGTCTGCAATGGAAGACACTAGTTATCAGGAAATTGAGCAGGTGGGGAATGTAGAAAAAGCTAAAGTTGATAAAAGTTTTCAAGTTATCAGAACATTTTATATGACTTAAGAGTTTTTTAAGTAGCTGTGACCTAGATTTTAGCTTTCTGGAGCTGAGGCAAAAAAGTTAAGCAATAGATCAGAAATCAGTGATAGGGTATTTTAAATTGTGCTTCTAAAAATACGGTGGCTTCTACTCTGACTCATCTGTATGCAGATTGTGCTTCTAACTAAACTACGGATTAATGGCTATTTTCTAGAATCAAAACTAAAATGATCAAGGAGGTAACTTAGTGAATTGTGCTTTATAACATTAATAGAAGAGTACATCTGTCACCTTAGAAGTTAAGACTTTTCATACTAAAAAAATAAGACCTAGAGAATGCACAGTCAATAAAAGTATTAATTTTATATACAAGATAAACATAGACTTTAAAGCTTACACCTCGTCTACCACTGTATATTCAGTACCTGGAACAGTTCCTTGCATCTGGCAGTTGATCAACAATTCTTTGTTTTTTAATGAAACTAATGAAACATGAAAAACCTAGAATATTAATATTAGGTAAAACAGTATTCTTTGAAACTTCGGAGAGGTGATTTTAGGACTCTAGACCAAATATTTAAGTAGATTTATAGTTTAGGTAAATTTGTAGATAAGTCCATAATAAGTAATCAAGAAATTAAAAGTGATGCCTGACCTTCTGAAAATTTGGTTTTGAGAATACTGGTACCATGATTTTCGAAATATTTCTTGTTGCCATTGTGACAAGCAGTATATAATTGGATAAAGGATATTGATTGTGCGGACCTACCATAACATTTCTAATGCAGTAAAGAAGGAATCAATTTTAAGAGGAAGAAAGAACTACAGATATTGTGCATTTAAATAATAATTATAGAATGTGAAAGGAGATAAGTAATTAAGGAAACCTATACATTTATGTCTGATGCGAGAGAGCTTTTCAGGAGGAAAAAAACAAATTACATATTAAAACCAAAGGTTTAGAATCCCGATTTATCTTTTTTATTATAGCTATGTCTGAGAAATGCTATCTCCCATATAAGGCTTAGAAATTTTCATTCATGTTTTAAATTTTGAAATAATTTGCTGATAATTAATTTGTTATAAGAGCTAAATAAATGTCATTATGAAGTTAACCTGCAATGTTGGGTACCTGTTTTCTTATACCTATGAAAGGAAAACTGGAAAATTTTCTTAGTTTACAGGGATGTTAATGTGACTTTAATTTTTCTCTACCCTTAACCATATACCTTATATTGCAGAAATTGGAATGGGATTAACAGGATTTGGAGTGTTTTTCCTGTTCTTTGGAATGATTCTCTTTTTTGACAAAGCACTACTGGCTATTGGAAATGTGAGTTTTTAAATATATATTTTAACTAAATTTATAAGGAAATTTTAACTACGAATGAATTATTATCTGCTATTAAATTTGGGGAAAATAATTCACTATTACTCATAAGTAATTCCTGTTACATTCTCTATTTCCATCAGGAATGAAACCTGTCAGCTTTCTGTTTAAATAAAAGGTAAACACTTAATGAGGTTTTCTAATTCCATAACTACTCTGTTAAGTGTTTGTCATGAGATTTACAATAGATTAAATGAAGGCTGCCTCTAAATAGGAGTTCAAAATAGATGACTTGATAGTTTCATGTCTTGATAAATCACTAAAGTATTTTTACTTTAAACATCCAAGACTTCACATTTGATTCAGCTGCATAAGATAGATTTTTTTAACCTTTTTAAAAATATATATTTCTATGTTAATGGTTGACTTGCTTAGAAAGGGATCTATGTTGTTTATTTGGAATGTGTACTATGCTATTCATGTGTGGAGGTTATGATCCAGAAATAAATAATAACCCTTCTAAGGTAGTGAAGACACTGTATGTGTGTGTGTGTGTATATATATATATACACACACACATATATATTTGGGCTTTTAACTGGAAATGGGAAAAGATAAAGAATAGCAAAATTGTTCAAAATTGATGTCTTAATAAATGATAATAGCATTAGTATCCTAGAATATGAAGCTTAACCATTAGGCTTAATATGTATTTGTGCGAAATATTTTTCACTAAAGAATGTTAATGGGGAGGGCAAGTATTTGGAAAGAAAACCTGGGGAAAGCAAGCTCTTAATCCATCACCATTTCTTGTCCACAGAATACATTCAAAATATTTGAAAACACATGGTTGTATTTTTATTTCTGCTGCCACCAGATATTCTAGAATTTATAAAACTAGAATCTTCTTGGCTTCACGTTGTTTCTTCTGCTATCAACTTAGCCATGTCAATATTTCTCCCATCCATAGAAACTCCTGTAGCCTATGATGAATATTTCAGAACCAAGAGGAATACCCTTGGGTGACATATTTATGGGCAGCTTTCCTCTTTATGCCTTGCCAACTCATCTGCTTGACTAAGCCTTCCTCATCCAGCTAAAACTAGGAAAACTACTGCAGACACAGATGCCCCTTGGTAACGTCTAATCTTTCTTTGTTTCTCTTTTTCTCCATTTAATCAAGATAGAAGAGGAATGAGACAAGTGGAACAAAGCTACAACTTTAAAATGCATAACCCACTCCTTGGTTCTGCTGCTTGGTTGTACATTACAGTTCTGTCTGGCCAGTTGCCCACATTAAAAGCCAAACAAATGTGCTTCTTTTTTTATATTTAGCTTTGACTTTACGTTTAAAATTTATGCATTGTGTTTAATTACCTTTTCCGTGTTGTATTTTCTTTCTCTTTTAGGTTTTATTTGTAGCCGGCTTGGCTTTTGTAATTGGTTTAGAAAGAACATTCAGATTCTTCTTCCAAAAACATAAAATGAAAGCTACAGGTTTTTTTCTGGGTGGTGTATTTGTAGTCCTTATTGGTTGGCCTTTGATAGGCATGATCTTCGAAATTTATGGATTTTTTCTCTTGTTCAGGTAAGGCATATTATTGTCTCTTTCAGTAAATCAGTGTGTCAGATAGTTAGTACAAAAACTCAGATATTTGCATCAGTTGGAGTAAGATGATGATCATTTCCTTAAATGGAATTTTATTTAGGTTGAATCTTATAGATTTAGATGAAGCAACTATAAAAATGTTTTATCACATGTGAATGATTGCCTAATGGTATAAATTATCTTGTTTTGTCAGCACAATAAAGTTTATTTTATTGGCATTTTAAGGCACCATCTTTATGTTGGATATTTGTATCAACTAAATAGTGGTAGGTAGGTCGGTCGATCGATCAATCGGTAGGTAGGTAGGTAGATAGATAGATAGATAGATAGATAGATAGATCCAGCATTTTGGTGTGTAGAATCTTATACTTCATAGCTACTGCTACTTGATGGAAATTTATTTAGCACATATACGTATTAGAAGATTGTTTACCAAATACACTACTATGGGAGATTTTGAGCAGGTAATATTTTGTAAATGCCAGTTAGCAGATAAACAATAGTATGTGTATATATCTATATGAAAATACCTTTGGCCAGGTGCGGTGGCTCACACCTGTAATCCCAGCACTTTGGGAGGCCGAGGTGGGCGGATCACCTGAGGTCAGGAGGTCAAGACCAGCCTGGCCAGCATGATGAAACCCCGTCTCTACTAAAAATTCAAAAATTAGCTGGCCATGCTGGCAGGCGCCTGTAATCCTAGCTACTCGGGAGGCTGAGGCAGGCGAATTGTTTGAACCTGGGAGGCGGAAGTTGCAGTGAGCCGATCACACCATTGCACTCCAGCCTAGGCAATAGAGCGAGACTCTGTCTCAAAAAAAAAAAAAAAAAAAAAAAAAAAACAGAAAAGAAAATAACTTTAAGTAGGGTTGAGCTTAATTATTTATTCCAGAAATGCATATCCTTTGTCTTCTGTCTGCCAGGCACTGTATTACCCACAGGAGACATAAAAATAAATTAAGTACCAAATCTGCTTTAGAAAATCTCTCATTTCTATTATGGAAAGTAGACTCTAAAAATACCAATAGGATATAGTCATAATGCCATTATAAATGTGTATGCAGAATATTGTGGAAGCATGATTAAAAAATTAGTAAATTCAAGGAGAGGTGAGAAATGTTAACTGATAAACTGGGCTTTGAAGAATGGGTAAGAATTTATCCTATAAACGAGAAAGGGAACGACAGTTAACAGAAGGAACAGACAGGGCCATAAAAACACACAGCTTGTTCTGAAAAGAATGAATACTCTTATAGAACAGGAGCATGTGATCAGTTGAAGGAAATGGTTGGTAATGAAACTGAAAATGAAGCCTGGAGCCAGGTTACAAACTTTCTTTGATGACTTGTTGAGAAAAGTATACCTTATCCTGTAACCAAATTTGGGCTGGGGGAGCAGTGTTTGGAGAAGGTCGGGGGAGTGGGGCACAGAGGTTTTTAAGCCAGAGGTGGTACAACAGGGTAGATGTTTTAGGAAGGTTGTTCTGATATCAGGATAAAGTAGGTATTAAAGAGAAAAACTGAAGTCAGGGGAGCCAGTCAAGAGGCGGTTAATACAGTACAGAATATACAGTGATAAGACTGGAATCTTGGAGTACTTTTGACATTTTAGGGTAGGTGGAGAAAAAGAAGAAAACACTAGAAGAGACTAGGAAAAGAGGTGGGAGAAGAACTAGGAGTAAAGATCATAGTGGCTAAGAGAGAAAAGAGTGAAGAAGAGTTTGTTTTGGCAGATGTATCTTGCAGCAGAAAACTTAAGCACCTTAAGAAGTAAGAAAATCATTGGCTTTCCCAGTTATGTGGGGGTTTTAGTAATGAAGGTTAAAAGCCAAAGCTGATCTTTGAGATGAATAAAAAATGGGAAGTCTTAGTATCATCGACAAGCTTGGAGTAATACACAGGTTTCGTGGTTTAGAGAGCTTTGTGGTATAAATACTAGTTTTTGTTGTTGGGTTTTGTTGTGTTCTGAGATATTCTGAGCTGGAGATTTAGTGCCAAGGGTCTTTGATGTTGTTTTTCTAGATATTTATAACCCTAAATAATGGCATTTGAAATCACACATTTTTATGTTTTAAAACAATACTTAAAACAAAATAAATGATCTTTTGAATTCATTACTACTAGAAAATGATTGTGATTTTCTTTGAAACACGCACATACACCATCAACATAAATACTTGTCTAATTTAAAAATTCTGCTTTCTGTTTAATTCTTTATTTTGACTTCTGCAGATCCATAACAGAATCTTATTGCTTAACTTCTGAATTGTATTCATTGTAGTATTTTCATCCCTATCTAACTCTGTGAAGAAAACAGCTTTTTTTCTGTACTCGTCTTACCACAATCAACACAGAAGACTGCTGTGACCAAATGGGTGGGGGGTTTTCCCGATATCGCAATCAGTTAGTTGTCTGCAACAGACAACAGCTGGGTGTCCTCCCAATATAGTTCTGATACTGTCTACATGGAGATAGCTCCAGATCACACAGGTTGAGGGCTCAGTCCCACAACTGTCCTCCACTCCCAATGATGCCAGCCACAAGCCCCAGGTTGTTTTACCCATGCTTCTGACTGATCAGCTCTAAGTTGGGGTTCCCACGATCCCCTGTTTGGATCAGACTAATTTACTAGAGAGGCTCACAGAGCTCAAGGAAACACTGATGTTTACTAGTTTATTATAAAGGATATTACAAAGGATACAAATAAAGAGATGCATAGGGCAAGGAAAGGGGGGAGGGTCGCAGATCCCCCCCCACCCTCCCCAACCCACCATCCTCCAAGAACATCCTTGTGTTCAGCTATCCGGAAGCTCCCTGAACACTGTCCTTTTGGGTTTTTATGGAGGCTTCATTACTAGGCATGATTGATTAAATTATTGGCCATGAGTGACCAGCTTCACAGCCCCCCTCCCCTTCGTGGAGGTTAGGAGGTAGGGCTCAGATTTCCAGCCCTCTAATCTTGCCTTGGTCTTTCTGGTGACCAGCCCCCATCCTGAAGCTGCCTAGGGGCTGCCAACCATTGATGATAACTCATTAGTATACAAAAAGACATCACCTTGTAGAGACTCTTAAGTATTTTAGGAGTTGTAAGCCAGAAAATGAGGTCAAAGACCAAATATATATTTCACAGTATCACTACATATTTTAAGACCCAGGAAAAGTTTAGTTTCTTTGCATTTTTAAAATAAACTATTTCATTCTCTTCCTATACTGAGGTAGCTTAACTGATCTACTGTCAATTTTAAACTGGTTAGAAGCTGTTTAACTTCTGTAGACTTGTATTTCTACCAAGAAAGAATGAGACATACTGTGAGGATCAGTATCTGGCAGGTAGTCTCTTAGTGTTAACTAAATGTTTTGACCCTTAGTACTTACTTAGTAAATGATAGCTATTATTATTTTCATGGTTCTACACATATGGTCTCAACAGCCCCTTTCTTTTTATCAGTTTCACCCCACACAACTCATAGTTGGAGAAATCTTCAGCAGTTGAGCTAACTCATAATCTGAGTTATATATAGCTAGGCCTCATGTACTTGTCACATTTTTACCAACAATCACAAAATTTTTAATTAAGTTTGTAGTTATTTCTAAGTTTGAAGACCCTCAATTATTCAGAATTTTAACAGGATACTTTCTTTTTCCTTGGTTAGCAATTATTTTGAAAATAGAAAATGTGTAAATATTAAGAACCTTTTTTTTCCCTCTCCCAGGGGCTTCTTTCCTGTCGTTGTTGGCTTTATTAGAAGAGTGCCAGTCCTTGGATCCCTCCTAAATTTACCTGGAATTAGATCAGTAAGTAATCATGTATATTTTAGGCCAACAAAATACGTATTTTGATGCTTTTTACTTCTAGAAATTTGAGTAATTGATACTTGGTTAATTGCTGAGTTTTGTATTATGATATAGTTACTTCACATAGATCATGAGTACCATGAAGACCAAAAAATAATTATTGCTAAACCTATAAAATGTGAAATTTTGTTTTACCGTATCCATTTCTGGATCCATATTCTCTATTTTTTAATGTTACTCAGATTTGATATGCTATGCTACCTTTCTCTTTGAGAGTTCAGGGCATTTTTTATTTAACTTTTATATAATCTCTAATTTTAGAAGCAATAATGTAAAAAGGAAACCATTATTTCCTACAAATATTTTGTTTCTCAGACTGTATCACCAATAGACTAGATTCAGACAATTAAATAAGGCCGGGTGTGGTGGCTCACACCCTGCACTTTGGGAGGCTGAGGTGGGTGAATTGCTTGAGCCTAGGAGTTCGAGACCAGCCTGGGCAACATGGTGAAACCCCATCTCTACCCCCGCAAATACAAAAATTAGCTGGGTGTGATGGTATGCCTATAGTCCCAGCTACTCGAGAGACTGAGGTGAGAGGATTGGCTTGGGCCTAGGGGGTCAAGGCTGCAGTGAGCCATGATTGTGCCACTGCACTTTAGCCTGGGTGGGTGACACAGTAAGACCCTGTCTCAAAAAAAAAAAAAAAAAAAAAAGAGTTGAATAAAGCACTATTATACTGGGATTCAGATGGTAAGAGTCTATTCCCAGCTCTGTTTACAGTTTGAACAAGCTTGTCAAATTTGTTTTCCAGTGTGTGCCTTGGTTTCCACCTTGATAAAATAAAGGGAATCAAATCAGACAAGAGTTAAAGAGAATGTTTTCAAAGTTAACAAATAGAGTTTCTTCCTTTTATTCAATATTCATTCAACAAATGTTTCGTACTAAACTGCTACCTTGAAGGTTGTAACATCTTTTGGTGGAGTCTTAGAAGGCCATTCAGAATTCAGCTTATTTTTTGCCACCTTGGGAAAAGCTTTCCTGACTCCCTGTGGCTGACTCGGGGTGTGCTTCTATAACATTCCTGTGCACAACTCTATCATAGCATTTACCTCTGTTTTTTTCTTTGTTTTTGTTTTTTCTTAGAGAGAGTCTCAAACTCTTGGGCTCAAGCAATGCCCCCACCTCAGCCTCCCAAAGTGCTGGGATTACAGGTGTGAGCCACCACACCCAGCCTTACCTCTCATTTAATTGTCAAAAAAAAAAGGCTTCAGGCCATGCATGGTGGTTCACTCCTGTAATTCCAGCACTTTGGGAGGCCAAGGTGGAAGGATTGCTTGAACCAGGAGATCAAGGCTGTGTTAAGCGATGCTCACACCGCCACACTATAGCCTGGGCAATAGGGCAAAACCTTGTCTCAAACAAAAAAGAAAAAAGAGAAAGGAAAGGAGAAAGGGAGGCACTTCCATGTAAAACTACAGTCCTTGAGGGCAGAGACAGGTTGTATTTTAGTCATTGTTCTATCCCCAGTGACCCAGCATAATATCTGCCGTATAATGGAAACTCAAAATATTTTCTGCTAAGCAAGTGAGTGAAGGATGGCATTTTGTTGACCTCAGGGAACTTGCTCAATTTCAAGACAAGACCAGATGACTGTCTCTTAGCCTACCTCCTCAGTTTCAAAACTAAACAAAATCCTTAATTTCTAAAAGAATCTAGGTGATCTAGAATTCAGCTGAGTTGGCTACAATCCTTTTGGCTCTAGGTCAGACCCATATCAGAAGTATTCATATCCTTCTTTGGATTGGTTTCATAGATCCAACTCTGTCCTAAATAACTAGGATAAACTAGCTTTATAGGAAAACTTAAAAGACTACAAGTTCCAGTTAGGTTCAGGGAAGTTAATCAACTTTCTAAAGTTGTTCACAGATTTTTATAGATGTTTCTAGAGAGAAAGTTCATAGCATTTTATTGAATGCTCAAAGAGCTAAAGAATGGCTTACCTATGGAAGAATAAGTACCACTATAAGCCTAATCCCATTTCCATCCCCAGGGTAATTTTAGGGTCAGAACCTTACAGCCAAGACAATCTAAATATTTCAAGTTACCTTTGGAGAGAGAATATTGTGCTTTCTCTCCACTTAAATTTACCTTAAAATTCTAATAAATCCATGAATTCTTTGAGAGCAACTTTTAGTTTCAGTGGCCAGCCACCTGTTTGTGATAATATAACAAAATGTTGGAATGTAGGCTTATAGGGGTATACTCTGATTTCATTTGCATTAATCTGCAAATTCATACAGTGGTCAGTGTTATTTATACCTAGAATGGCTTTTGAATGTACTGAAACTTCTAGTTACAGAGTTGTAATCATTATTTGTGCCCTTAATTTAAGGATTCTCAAGAATTTGCATAAATGGACACCCAATACAATAGAATATGTTTCTTATCGTTATTCATCATGATAAGTGCTTATGTAAACATGTGAATCGTGAAACAAAATAAATGATCAGATGATTACTAGAATTTGATAGTATAACCACCTGGGTTATATAACTTTTAATGTCTCTACCAATTATATACAATATCAGTCTTTACATCACCATCTGGAATGTTAAAAAAAAAAAAAAAGCCCAACTGCTTTATGTTTGGGGTGGAGTAACCAAAGTAAATAACCACTTACAGTAATGTGTGTTAAAATTTATATTCAATAATTATAAATTTATGCTTACATCATTAAATCTATCTTTAATGTCATTACCACTTTCAATCCAAAGTCCAGAATACACATTTAAAGTATTTTTAGTCAATAACTGTTGTTAACTATTGAACTTAATGGAGTTAAATCTGTTTGTCCAAAGACTACATAGGCCCAGAAGAGATCCACAGTAATGGTCAGTTGAAATATCTTATTGGGTTCATTAATGCATGAATGGCTGACATTTCAGTTTTTTTTATGTTTTTATTTTTTATTTTTTGTTAAGCTAGCAGTGTTATCTTCATCTTATACAATTTCTTTATTCATTGTGTTGCATTTTTCATGTTGCACCCTTAAATTCATATGTATAACATGTCATGCAAAAAACAACTTTTAGAAAAAAAAATTTTATACACGTTTATGTATCAGAAGATGATGGTGAGTAGTACTGGATTAGTCATTGTCAGTCATACCTTAAATTTCCACAACTCTTCTTGTAAGGCTGGGTTTTTAAAATCAACATTTTAAATATTGATATAATGTTTTATAATGTTCCGGGCTTTCTTTAATTCTCTGTTTTTCTTCTCCTTACAGTTTGTAGATAAAGTTGGAGAAAGCAACAATATGGTATAACAACAAGTGAATTTGAAGACTCATTTAAAATATTGTGTTATTTATAAAGTCATTTGAAGAATATTCAGCACAAAATTAAATTACATGAAATAGCTTGTAATGTTCTTTACAGGAGTTTAAAACGTATAGCCTACAAAGTACCAGCAGCAAATTAGCAAAGAAGCAGTGAAAACAGGCTTCTACTCAAGTGAACTAAGAAGAAGTCAGCAAGCAAACTGAGAGAGGTGAAATCCATGTTAATGATGCTTAAGAAACTCTTGAAGGCTATTTGTGTTGTTTTTCCACAATGTGCGAAACTCAGCCATCCTTAGAGAACTGTGGTGCCTGTTTCTTTTCTTTTTATTTTGAAGGCTCAGGAGCATCCATAGGCATTTGCTTTTTAGAAATGTCCACTGCAATGGCAAAAATATTTCCAGTTGCACTGTATCTCTGGAAGTGATGCATGAATTCGATTGGATTGTGTCATTTTAAAGTATTAAAACCAAGGAAACCCCAATTTTGATGTATGGATTACTTTTTTTTGTAAACATGGTTAAAATAAAACTTTTGTGGTTCTTCTGAATCTTAATATTTCAAAGCCAGGTGAAAATCTGAACTAGATATTCTTTGTTGGAATATGCAAAGGTCATTCTTTACTAACTTTTAGTTACTAAATTATAGCTAAGTTTTGTCAGCAGCATACTCCGGAAAGTCTCATACTTCTTGGGAGTCTGCCCTCCTAAGTATCTGTCTATATCATTCATTACGTGTAAGTATTTAACAAAAAAGCATTCTTGACCATGAATGAAGTAGTTTGTTTCATAGCTTGTCTCATTGAATAGTATTATTGAAGATACTAAATGATGCAAACCAAATGGATTTTTTCCATGTCATGATGTAATTTTTCTTTCTTCTTTCTTTTTTTTAAATTTTAGCAGTGGCTTATTATTTGTTTTTCATAAATTAAAATAACTTTTGATAATGTTTACTTTAAGACATGTAACATGTTAAAAGGTTAAACTTATGGCTATTTTTAAAGGGCTATTCATTTAATCTGAGTTTTCCCTTATTTTCAGCTTTTTCCTAGCATATAATAGTCATTAAGCATGACATATCCTTCATATGATCACTCATCTTGAGTTAATTAGAAAATACCTGAGTTCACGTGCTAAAGTCATTTCACTGTAATAAACTGACTGTGGTTTCTTAAGAACATGACACTAAAAAAAAAGTGTTTTTTTTCCACCGTTGCTGATTATTAGACAGTAGGAAATAGCTGTTTTCTTTAGTTTTACAAGATGTGACAGCTTTAGTGGTAGATGTAGGGAAACATTTCAACAGCCATAGTACTATTTGTTTTACCACTGATTGCACTGTTTTGTTTTTTTAACAGTTGCAAAGCTTTTTAATGCATAAAAGTATAATTGAAATCTGTGGTATTTATTTACAAACATGTCTACAAAAATAGATTACAGCTTATTTTATTTTTAGTTAAATCTCTTAATACACAGAGAACTCCCAATCTTGCTCATCTAAATAAGGAAAGACTTGGTGTATAGTGTGATGGTTTAGTCTTAAGGATTAAGACATTTTTGGTACTTGCATTTGACTTACGATGTATCTGTGAAAATGGGATGATATTGACAAATGGAGACTCCTACCTCAATAGTTAATGGAATAATAAGAGGCTACTGTTGTGTCTAATGTTCTTCAAAAAAGTAATATCCTCACTTGGAGAGTGTCAAATACATACTTTGAGGATTGACTTTATATAAGGTGCCCTGTAGAACTCTGTTACACATATTTTTGACCCATATTATTTACAATGTCTTGATAATTCTACCTTTTTAGAGCAAGAATAGTATCTGCTAATGTAAGGGACATCTGTATTTAACTCCTTTGTAGACATGAATTTCTATCAAAATGTTCTTTGCACTGTAACAGAGATTCCTTTTTTCAATAATCTTAATTCAAAAGCATTATTAGACTTGAAAGGGTTTGATAATCTCCCAGTCCTTAGTAAAGATTGAGAGAGGCTGGAGCAGTTTTCAGTTTTAAATGAGTCTGCAGTTAATATCAAATGTGAGTTTGGGACTGCCTGGCAACATTTATATTTCTTATTCAGAACCCTTGATGAGACTATTTTTAAACATACTAGTCTGCTGATAGAAAGCACTATACATCCTATTGTTTCTTTCTTTCCAAAATCAGCCTTCTGTCTGTAACAAAAATGTACTTTATAGAGATGGAGGAAAAGGTCTAATACTACATAGCCTTAAGTGTTTCTGTCATTGTTCAAGTGTATTTTCTGTAACAGAAACATATTTGGAATGTTTTTCTTTTCCCCTTATAAATTGTAATTCCTGAAATACTGCTGCTTTAAAAAGTCCCACTGTCAGATTATATTATCTAACAATTGAATATTGTAAATATACTTGTCTTACCTCTCAATAAAAGGGTACTTTTCTATTAATTGGTGGTCAAGTATATCTGTGTTATGAAGTTCTAAAAGCTAATTTAGCATTGCAAAATAACCTCATTTTTAAAAAATTAGCCTTATATGCAGTGTTCTATTTATCAAATGATCTTCACATCTTTCATTTCCAAATTGTTGAAATGTACTAATGAATACAAATAGACTTCAAGTAAGCAAAAATGTTCTTAATTTTGAAAACTGTAAAATAAAGTCACTTACCTTGGGCAATATGCTATTTTTTAAAAATCAGACTCCCAGTTTGTATATTATGTTATTCAATAGACATTTTCTGAGTACCCCTTGAATACTAAAAGTCCTGTGTTGAATGTGGGAGACCCAGGAGAACAAGATATGTGCCATCTGCTCATTAAGTGCTTAGAATGTTAACATTGCTTTTAAATTCTTAGCCGTATTTCCACATAACTTGTCCTGACTTACACTGCAAACAAATGGTGGTAGAAGAATTTGCAGTCGAAACACCCCAACCTCTTATTTTTCTCCCAGTCAAGAGTTACTAGAACTATTCAACCTTCAGCTGTGTTGAATAGTTTTAGTAACTCTTGACTGGGAGAAAAGCTGTGTGATTGGTTCGCATTTTCAAAAGATGTCTGGAGGAAAAAAAATAATACCAGCTTTAACTCTGGGAGGTTTGTTTTGAGATGTAATTTCTTTTGCAAGTCTGTATATGTATTCAACTTAATGTAGCGTATGTTTTTGGTTTCTTTGTGGCAGGGGGAAGAGAATTGTTTTTAATGTAGGCCTAGGGATTTAGAACTGTCACTGCTATTTGTGTTGTCTGGAAGCCTGCCACCAAATCTGTATTGCCACAGGCAGTTGGGGTAGTTTTCTGAAAGCTGCTATGATTGCTACCATTAATTGCAAAGTTTAAAAAGCGGTGAGGGAATTTAGAAATTAGAGGAGAAATGCTTATATATTTTTTCTCAGGATGGAAAGGATCTTAAGTTTTTCTCACCTAAATAAGACCACAACACCTACATTGTTTTAACTGTAAATTTTATTAAGGCCGAAAAAAAACACTGGCCAAGTCTACCACTTAACATACCCAGTAAGTATTTGTTGAATTCACTAATTAAGCTGCAAATCCAGACTATTGTTGGGTAAACGGGAAGTCTTGAATCTGTTATTAAATATCCAGCATATTTCTCTAATCTTGACCTGAGCCAAAAGGCCCCAACCTCAGTTCTTCTGTTACCTGTATCCATGTAGGAGATTGGACACTAGCAGCATGCCCAAAATTCTTCATTGACTAACATGCGTTTCCATGACCTTAGCTTTACTCAATTCTCAAGGCCTGATTAAAATGTCACTGCTGTCATATCTTTCCTTACCAGCTAGGCCCAAACAGTTGCTCCTTCCCTGTCCTCTCATACAACTTTCCACTTGCTTTGTATTGATTTGGTTATGGAAAAGATTCTTGAGGTTCGAAATCTCCTCTTTGATTTGTATCTCCAGTTCCTGGCATTTAGTGGGTGCCCAGTAAGTGGTTTAATGAGTGAAAGTTCATTCTTCCAGCTCTTCTGGTGCTGGCCCCACTGATCACTTCTTTTTTTTGTTTGTTCGTTTTTGTTTTTTGAGACTTGCTCTTGTCACCCAGGCTGGAGTGCAGTGGCATGATCTTGGCTCACTGCAGCCTTCACCTTCTGGGTTCAAGTGATTCTCCCGCCTCAGCCTCCTGAGTAGCTGGGATTACAGGCACCCGCCACCACACCTGGCTAATTTTTGTATTTCTAGTAGAGATGGGGTTTTGCCATGTTAGCCAGGCTGGTCCCGAACTCCTGACCTCGTGATCTGCCCACCTCGGCCTCCCAAAGTGCTGGGATTACAGGCTTGAGCCACCATGCCCGGCCTGATCACTTCTAATATATTGAAATCAGCCTCTATCAGCCGTAAAGTTAAATCTAATGATCTGGCCCCCGCTGAAGTCCACCTTTCTACTTCACATTCCTTAGGACTTTACTGTACCCAGTAGCTTGTCAACGGAGAGAGGGATCATAGATAAAAGAAAGACCATGCCTCCAGATTGGCTGCCCTTCTTCACAAAAAAGGGAGGCCGCTGGGGAAACCAGAAGCTACTCCTAAAGTTTTGAGGCTGGTGTGAATCACTGATACTCAGTTTTCCTTTCTTTCCAATAGGAAATGACGAGTTTCTTGGGTTTTGTTGGTCACTGGAGCTGGTATTACAAAGTAAAATTATCCCAAAGAGAAAATGAAATTTATTCCTTAAGTGACAAAAGCCAGAAATAATACCCTATGACAAGAGGGATCACTTGCACGATGGTCTTTTACATATATGAATTAATACTGATAATAATGGGTAATTGAATCCCTGAAGAAGACTCGTCTGATGTGATGTGATCCCATGAGGTGACTATGAGTTCTGTGGCGGTATAAAGACCAGTCTTGGTGCTAAAACACTAACTCTACCATTTAGTGTCATGTCAAGTCAAACTCTATGAGTATGCTCTTAAGTGAAATTCAGGATCTACTGCATGAATTTGGTGTGAAAAATGAATGTAACAATGGGTGTCAAAGGGCTTTCTCAAATTTAAAGTGTTGTGAAAATAACATGTGTTATTGTCCTGAGAGTATTTCTGGCCCAGTGATATAGATTAGAAGTAGGACAACTAACTATCCCATCTTCCTATTGATCACACCTGGCAACAGCTGGTATTCAACCTAATTCACATTGTAGGATTATGGGATCATTCTTCACATTTCTGAGCTACCAGTGTTTATATGGCTCAACATTTCCAAAATGTTGAGTATTAGTGTTTTGTTGTTTGCATCTTGATCCAAGACCTTTTTGCTATATTTGTCCTCTGTCTTTGTGCTGCTCCTACGTAGCATACACCATTAGCAGCCATGTCTTATGAATTATCCTGTAGTAATGGTGGGTGTATATTAATTCATATGCACTATTCTGTCATTTTGGAAATGAATGGTAAAACATTTTAATCCAGAAGTTAGTATGAAATTGGTGAACTTGAGTCTTCCCTGCTTCACTTTTATCTACCCCAACTCCCCCTAAACAGTACTTATCTTAACTCTCCTCAGAAAACCAATATCTTCATATTTTCTCCTCCTCCCTATCTGCAGTTCTGGAGAAAGGATCTGAAACAGTCTGTAAACAAAGAATTGCAATATTATCTGCTTCAGGGTGTGAGCTCATCGGGAATTAACGTGTTAAGTAAAAGGAAACCCAGGTTAAGACATTGGCCAATTAATGGGAAGTTTTATTTTGGATAGCAGGCCTTCTTAATGCCCCTAAAGCCCCTCCTAAAACTGGTAACCCTTTGGGGAAATGACTTCTTTCATCTGATGATGAGACAGCTGGCCTAAGGGGCTGAATACAAGCCCCACAGAAGATTGAACCCATATCTTTATTCATGTTATCCAACCCAAATTCTCTCTATGCTGTCATCAAAAAGTAATTTAGGCATTTTGTACCATAATAGCCATATTGTCCAGATAACCTTATCCAAGATAGCAGCTGTTTTCCTTGTGAACACAATAATCACTGACCTTGAAAGAATGTCATTTAAACAGTGACAGGTGATCACTGGTTAAATAGGTTCTGGGCACTCTACAGTCGACTACAAGAATCCAGGTAACAGTGATGAATTCAAAACAGTCTTCATTGAATGTGCCTTTAAAAAAGGCTTAAAAGACCATTTGTTCAACATCTACTGCTTGCTCATACTGTCAGGAGAATAAAATTCAAGGGCTTTACCTATCTTGGATTTTTGTTGTTGTGTGTTTTGTTTTGTTTTATACCAAATATTGTAACTTAACCCATGTCTTGTTTTGGACCTGTAAAAACCCTAAAAGCTTTGTGATTTAACAAAAACATTCTATTGGGGTTCAGTGCCCTTTGGAAATCCTTTTAGAAGTAACACATTCTAGCATGTTACTCTTGATAAGACTGCAATATTGATAATATGTCAAAACCATTCCCTTCTTTTGTGCACATTAAACTGAAAATGGCAGCTTTGACGTAAGACATCTGCTTGTGAATTCATTAGCTAAACTATTATCAGCAAAGCACATTTATTTATTCTTAAAATTGTAAGTTCAAAGCACATTTTATTGGTGATTCATTTTCCTGCTCCTCTTCCCAAAACCTTTGTGTTTTGGGAACAAAAAGGCATTTGACTTATTTTTCAGGTAACCTAGTAATCAGGTTTCATGTGTGACTATTTAAAATATAAACACAGCATATTTCACTTCTTTTATCGCTCTTTTTTGAAGGAAATTGCTACAATCCTTAGAAATGAAAATCCTAAAATCTCACATTTGAAGCATTATTAAAATAGCATCCAGATAACCTTTTAGTCAGTTTTTATCTTTCTCCTCTCCTACGACAGTAGAAATAGAACATTACACTAATGCCTCTAGTTTTTTCCTGCTTTGCTGTTTTCCTTGAAGACAGTAAATAGTTCTCAAGTTTCTACTCACATACTACTTTCTATATTCCATTCTCATTTACTAACCAAACCTCAGTTTTCCTGTCTGCATATCAGTGTCAAGTCTAAATATCAGTGCCCAAACTCCAATCTCTTTTCCAAGTATTTGCAGGTAGATAGCATGAGCCTTTTAAACTTCAATCCCAAATGAAACTTACTGGTTCTCTCCTCAGAGTCCCTGCTATTTCTGTCTAGCCATTCTTCCAGCCACACAAACTCTGAGGTTTAGTTTTCGTCACTTCTTATACCCCTAAATCTTTGTTACTCAAAATGTCCAAGGGTCAATAGCATCTATCACCATCACCTGGGAGTCTATTAGAAATGCAGAATTTCAGGCCCCACTCCAGGTATACTGAATCAGAATCTGCATTTTAACAAATTCTCAGGTGATTCCCATGCACATTAATACCTGAAAACCACTGCCCTAACTGAGAAGGAACTGCTATGACCTAAATGTTTGTGTCCTACCAAAATTCATATGCTAAAATCCTAAACCTCAATATGATGGTAGGGCCTTTGGGACATGACTAGGTCATAAGGGTGGAGCCCTCATAAATGGGATTAATGTCCTTATAAAAGCATTCCAAAGAGTTTGTTTTCCCCTCCCACCCATGTAAGAACACAGCAGAGAAGACAACAGTCTGCAACCCAGAAAAGGGCCCTCACCAGAACCCAACCATGCTGACTGGACTTTGATCTTGGACTTCCCAGCTTTCAGAGTTGAGTAAGGAATTTCCATTGAGTAAGCTACCCAGTTTGTTGTATTTTGCTATAGCAGCTTGAATGGACTAAGAGAGGGACCATCTCTTTCTTTCATGGTAACTTAGTATGTGGTGGATACTCAGGTCCTTGTTCAATATCTGCCTATGTATATAGATCTTTTAACTGAATATTGATATACTTGGAATCCTATCCCTCTTGCCTTCTAAGAATTTCCTTTTGCTGTTATATTCCCTTTCTTCTACATCATGAATTTCTCCTTCCCTACTGATCATCCCCATCAATATACATGTCTTACAAATTGTTTCTTAGTTGTCACATCAACAGAAACCAATAAACATGGCTGATTTGGGCAAAACAAAGATTTTATTAAAAGGACACTGCAGCTGGCATCACCACTGCTACAGCACTGGATGCTGGAACTTGCCACTAGCACCGTAGCTAAGACTACTCCAGAAACTCAATCTTACTACAACCCCTGCTTCACCCGAGCACTTCTTCCATCCTGGCATGAGATTCCCCATCTAAGCATGCTCATCTGATTGGTGAAGCCCGTGTCATATGCCCACATTCTCCCTGATAGGGAGGCTAGAAAACTGACTATCTGGCATTTTCAGTTTGTACAATAGAAGAAACACTCTGCCTCCCAAAAAGATTCATAATTTCATAATTCATAATTCAGGGAATTTTAGGAATTTCCTAGAAATGAAAGGTTTCCCAAAAAGTATAACAAATCTTCTATCTTATCTTTTAAAAAAAAAAAAAAGATTTCACAGGCCAAGCATGCCTATAATCCCAGAGGTTTGGGAGGCTGACATGGGAGGACCAGTTGAGGACAGGAGTTTCAGCCCAGCCTGAACAACATAGTGAGACCCTGTCTTTAAAATAACAATAACAATAATAATAACAGTAAAAAAAATTCTCATTTTTTCCTTTCCCTTCTTTTGTGACATCTGTAAAAGAGATTGTTTATTCTTGGCTTTAATTTATCATATCATATTCACTATTCAACCAACTCCAATCTTGCTTCTATCCTCAAAACCATCATATTCCAAATCCAGTGGATGTTTCTTGGAGCTAATGTTGCTTGACCTCCCAATACTACTGGATCTTCACTTGGCTTCCATGATATCAGGGTCCCCTGGAATTTCTCCTTTCTTTCTGACTCTACCTCAACCTCCTTTTCTGGCTCTTCCTCTGCTCATTCTCTATGCGTTTGTTTTCATAGCTCTGTCCCTGCCACTCTTCTTTAGCCCTATTCACTCCCTAAGTGTTGTGTTTAATCTCATCCCTTTACTGGTTGTAAAATTCTTAGAATTCTTAAAATTCTTAAAGCTAATCATTTCTGCCCCCCACCAAAAAGAAAATCTGTAGGCTGGTGACCTCTTGGCTGACCTCTATCAAGTTTTGCATTTCTAACCTTCTATTTTGTACTTGTACTTGGATATTTTTAATATACATTTTAATTTTAATATGCCTATATGGCAAGTGTTAATTTCCCTCTCATAACTTGCTTCTTAAGAAGTTTCTCTAATTTCAGTAAATTACTTCATAATTTACCCACAGTTTTATCCATAAACCTAAGAATCATCCTTGATTTATTTTTCTCACACTTTCATATCCCTTTTATATACAAGTTCTATATTTTCTACCTCCACAACATGTATTCCAAATTCATTTACAGCTCTTCTTTCCCTGTGTGTACCATCCCAGTGTAAGCCATCATCATCTATTGCTTATAATCGTATTTCCACATCAACTGGCCCATTTCTTCTTCTCCAATCTCATTTCAAAGCACCTCCCCCGTTCACCCACACAACGCTGCCTCCATTGGCCTCTTTCCTAGTCCCCAAGCAAGTCATGCTCTTTGCTGTCCACAGATTTTGCTTTTCTTTCTTCTATTGAGAATGCCTGGAATACTAATTCCTGCCCAGCTTCTCCCATTACTTCACCTTATCCTTCAAGACTACCCTCTGTTTTTAACCTTCCCTAAAGTAGCCCACCACTTATCCTATCACATCACCTTGCTTACTTTTACTTAACAATTTAAAACATTCTGTAGTTACAGTAGTCCCTGCTTATCCACGGTTTCACTTTCCATGGTTTCAGTTACCCATGGTCAACTACAGTCTGAAAATATTAAATGGGAAATTCCAGAATTAATAAGTTTAAATTGTGAGCTTTAAATCTGAGTAGGGTGTTGAAATCTCTCACTGTCCAGCTCCAGCCCACCCAAGACATGAACCATCTTTTTGTCCAGCATGTCCATATGTAAACACCACTCTCCCATTAATCAGTTAGTAACCATCTTGGTGAACAGATAAAAAAAAATAGTATAATAAGGCATATACGTATCAGTGGTTTCAGGCATCCACTGTGGGTCTTGAAACATGCTCCTCCACCCCACACACACCTACGATTAAGGGGTAACTACTGTGTCTTATTTATCTATTCATCAGTTTACTGTGTACCTTAACTAGTAGGTAACTTAGATCAAAGCAGAGACCATGTCTTTTCAGTGCATGGCTGTGTCCCTTGAAATACAAGGATTGTGTGTCTCATAGGCACTCAATAAATATTTGCTAAACAACAGAATGAATTGATAATTAAGTGAATGACTGATGTCAAATTCCATTGAGATTCCCAAACCTTTTCATACATCTTTAGCCATCAGTGATAGACTGATGGCTAGTTACCCAAGAAAAGTTTTCTGATTTATTCTTTTACTTTTGATTCTGCCTTGGACTATTGATTGTTTTCATTAATAATAATAATAACATGTTACTTTGGGCAGCTAGTAGGAAAAGCAAGGCCAATGATGCTGACACATTCTGAAGGCCTCCTGGGTGATGCAATCAGTATTTAAACAAATAATTTCTGCCCATCAATCATTCCTCTACTTCCTGCAATGAAGCTCCCTGGAGGAGTCATCAGATTCTCAATCTTGCTTGAAGACTGACAAGATGTCCCTGTGGACTCCCAAACTCTACTCCAGATGGGGAGGTGCCCTTAACACCAAGATTTTAAAAGCTCCAATTTCAGAGCAAGAGTCGAAAACTCACAGATAAAGTTATAGTTATTTCAGGGTTCTGAAAAGACGCAGAACATGAAGGTAAGTAAAGGCTTTATTAACTTGAGACTTCTTAGCTATTTTTTAAAACGTTTTATAGCATTTTACCTATTTCATGTTTAATAAGGATTTTAGAGTTTAAAGGATATTTGAACGATACGCCTTTAGAATAACAGAATCATTTGATTTTACTAAGAAAAAAATTCACGTATTTACTTATTCTTCATTTGGGTGAAGTAATACAAATAATATGTTTCTAAATACGTTTTTTCAAGTGGACTCTTTGTGAATTAACTAGAAGGTAGAAGGGAAACACCTCCAGAAAACTGAGTATTAAAACAGAATATTGCGAGAAGTAAGGGGGTTTATAATTGTCCAGGCGTCAAGGAAGGAAGCAGAAGATCCTATTGGCACAGAAATGACCCTTTCTGGTTGATCGCTTCATATAGGGACTCAGAAGTCTGGCAGCAACAACCTTGGCTCTTTTCCTGGTGTTTGTTTTCCTGGGAAACTCCAGCTGCGCTCCGCAGGTAATCAAATGCAAAATAAAAAATTTTAAAACAATGCGCACTGTGTGTCCACTCTGCTCTTTCTTTCTTCCTTCTTGTTTTATTCTCTTCTTTTTCCTTTATTTTGCTGTAATAGAGGACTGAGCTGCAATGTTTTATTAACTGCTCTTCCCTTCCCCCGGGCTATAGAGACTGTTGGAGAGAAGGAACTGGACTCCTCAAGCTATGCTCTACCTGAAAGGGGCACGTAAGTTCCAAATATTTCGCTCTTCCTACAATAATGGAAGACCCCTAGGAGTCAGGAACAGATAGATGGAGAGTTATGGAGAGAGAATAATGTCGAGTTTATTCCCTTAAATCATCGAGGCCATCAAAGAGACCGGTAGGTGAGGGAGGGGTGGGAGAGGGGAAGAGTCCCTGATTATTGGAAATCCTCCATCCTTATTAGAAATTCTCCATCCAAAACTGGAGGGTTGCTTCTCTTGGTCCAAATGGGGACTCGGGTTGCCTGGGAAATATCTCAGTAACCCGACCTCCGCTCCAAAGCGCCCTTGCGGCGTCCGGTCAGGCGCGGGGCTTTCCTCCAGAGCTCCAGGGCCCCTGGCTCAGCCCGGGGTTGCGCTGGGAGCGCTGGAAACTCGGCAGCCCCGCGCGACCCTATCCTGGAGCAACCTGCCCCCTCCCCACGCCCGGGGACTGCGCTGTGCCGGGAGGAGCTGAGGTTTAAGCCCGGGTTGTCCCGGGCCAGGCTGTCGCTGAGCCCCAGGTCTCGTTTTTGCAGAGGGTCGCCGCTTCATCTCCGACCAGAGCCGGAGAAAGGACCTCTCCGACCGGCCACTGCCGGGTGAGTGACCAAGGGTGCAAGGGCGCTAGTCCTGCGCTTTTGGAATAGGATGGGGCGGGCAGGGCTTGCTCCGCGCTGGTGCCGAAAGAAAGCGTCTCCTCACCGGAAAGACGCGGCTCTGAGGCGCCCTCAGATACAGTCCGCCCGAGGGCAGCCCGGGTTGGCAGCAGCAGCAGCTGGATGCCGAGCGCCGGAGCTGGGAGCTCGCGCGTCCAGCCCCGCGCCAATGGTGGCAAGGGCGGCCCAGGCTGGCGCTGCGGCTCCCCAAGCCTTATTGGCTTGCGGCTGTTCAGCCAGCCCTCTGGCTGCCAGGGTGTGCAGAGGTCCCCAGGGAGTTAGGACCTGAGGTGCAGCTCAGAGGGGTAAGGCGAGATAGGAAGAACTATGCAAATGCTTCTAGAAATGTATCTGCGCGTTTGTGCAGGAACTTTACTCAGCCTCCTCTTAAACGCTGTTATTATTAAAATAAGAACTTACCTAGGAACTTCAAATGTATGCTTTTGTTTGACTAGAAAGAACTATCAAAGGTTCAAAATCAAAAGAGTAACATGCGGGCAGTTAAGGATGGGACCGGGGACTGTTCTTTTTCATGATAAACCTTTCCATCGTATTGTATTAACAAATAACAATACAATTTGATGAAATTGTAAAGATTGAAATGCTAAAATTAAAAAGTATACTTACTTGGAAAAATACCAAACACTGTTGAACACATAGTAGGTGCTTAAATTTTTGTTTAGGCTCTTCAAACATGCTGTGTAATTGAGCTTATTTATTTTATGAGGTTAAGATTTGTTTCTCAACTTCAGTTGCCCCAAATTAGAAATCATGTTTTGTGCTGAATCAGAACAATTTGTCTTTTTTCAACTTAGATTTGAAATAACTTTGAGTTCTTAGCAGATACTCCTTCAGTCAAATAATTACCTTATATTTGGCCGCAAAGGTTAAATTATTATCTAAAATTCTCTTTGGCATATAGTTTAACATTCTCTTCCATACCCTGTTTGTAAACTTGACATAACCAATTGTAAGTCATTTCCAAGGCAATTGTGACATGTTAAAAAATTAGTCTTCTGTGTAAGTAGTCCTTTGTTGAGGGGTCAAAATCTATTTCATAGAGGTTTTTCTAGTATTGCTGCATGTTAGAATAGGACTTATCTACATCAATATATAAATGCTAAGAGAATCTGTATACATTTTTGTTTCTGCAGAAAGACGAAGCCCAAATCCCCAACTACTAACTATTCCGGAGGCAGCAACCATCTTACTGGCGTCCCTTCAGAAATCACCAGAAGGTACTAGCATAGTGGCCTCTTTCACCTGCATAACAGAACAGCTTTGCTTACTTTCGGGATTCTGTGTTGAGTGCAACACCCCTCCCCCAGAATTTCTTGGCCTTAGGCCCAGAAATTCTAATTCTGTACTGCTTGAGTGAGGCCCAAGAATCTCTGTCCTTAAGAAGTTCTTCCACATTATTCTGATGATTGGTCAGGTTTGAAAACAGGAACTTCAGAGCCCGTTAATAAAGGTTGAAATCATGAGAATGGAGATACCTTCTAGGGCTTAGATATAGTGGGAAAAGGGAAGACAATAAAACACCCAAAAATCAAGGGAAATGGGGGGAAATAGTACCAGTGAAGGGACATTAAAAGGAGCAAGCAGAAAGGTAAGAGGAAAATCAGAATAAGAGAGTATCCCAGAATTCATTCAGTAGCTGATGCTACTGATCCCGCTCCTCTTGAAACTTTCCAGGGATGGAAACTATCAGAATGGTTACTATAGCAGAATGGTTAGTAAGAATACAGAACTCAGGGGACATTAAACAGTGTGTCACAGGACTTCCCCCCACCTCCTGCCCAGTGACACAGCTTGCTGCTGCTATTCCATATCTGAAACTTTGTTTACAGAATGTGATACAAGAAAGTAAACTGCAAAGTTAAGAGAAAGCAGGTCTCAGGCTCTGGAGAGCTGGCATGACTCTCAGAACTCTTGCAGTGAAAAGGTGTGAAATAGTTGAATAACGGGTAGAGGATGCTGTATCCAAGGTGTTCTTTTTAAAACCCAAGACATGGAACCCAGCGATTTTTGGAGTCAGTACGAAAAGAGCTCTGATGGAGATTGGTTGATAGTGACGTTTTAGATTTGATTGTTGGGAAAATGTGCAGAGCCAGAAAGGAAAGTGACTTATAATGGACAAGAGAGAGCTAATTTTAAAGAGGAGAGGTATCTTCATTAGCAATTTGAGGAAAGGATGTGATTATAGGTCCCCATCTCAAGTCTTTTTTGGAAAATAAATATGTATTTTTTTAATTATTGAAGTTTTCTAAGTGGATTGTCTCTGAAGATGAAATGACTAATTTTATTAGTCTAAATTGATAGAAAAGTTTTTGATTCCCATATGATAAATTAATCACTAGTCTTCTTTAGTATTTTTATTCTATACTACCTCATTATTATTTAGAAGGCTCTTATTTAGTGAATTATGGTTTCAGTGGAATTTATACAGGGACGCCGTTCTGGTTTTGTTTTGTTTTGTTTTGTTTTCTTCCTTCCCTTTAAAGAGAAGCCCATTTTCTGCAATGGTTTAAAGTGTGCTAGAAATTCAGGTTAAGATGTAACCCAAACATTCAAATTATATTGCAACTAACTGAAAGAATGTGCTTTTATCTAGAGGTGATCTTAGAAGAAATTAGTAGATGCACTTTGCCCCTGGCCACTGCTTCTCCCTACCGTATTGTAACTTTTAGTCATTCTATCCTATTTTTAGAGTCCCAGGAACCTGCTATTGTCTAACTCTTTAAGTATCCCCACCTCAGAAGTGATACCTCATGCTCTAAAGTTTCGCGATCCCAGCCAGCAAACGAGTGCCTCTTCTTTTTGTCTCATTTCCTCCCCAGAACTCTAGCTCCCCTAATAAAAGAACATTTGCAAATGTGTTCCCATGTCATCTTTCCCGAGCAAGATCCATTTTAACAGGAAATATAAAGAGACAGTCCTTTGATGCAAGTGAATTATTTTAATGGTGGGTATTTTAGATATAAGTCAATCTGTGAGAGCAAGACACATGACTTTTGAGATTTTTACCAGACATACCATACTGTAGTTTCAGTCATTATAGAGGTTCAGATGTAAAATATGAATTCCCCAATGTGTCCCAAGCTGAGAAAAAAAGATTTTAAACTGAGCAAATCAAAGCCCATATTGTTTAAATTTTCAGTAGCAGAGTCCATAAGTTAACATAGCTTAGAAGGCTAAATGTTTATTTCCTGAGATTCTCTTTGTCTTACCTTTTCCTCTATTAAAACGCAGAGTGTATATTTATTTTAAAGAATTTTTTTTTCTTACAGATGAAGAAAAAAACTTTGATCAAACCAGATTCCTGGAAGACAGTCTGCTTAACTGGTGAAAATATACTGGATTATGTTTAATTATGGTTCTATTCTCTTTGAAAACATGAACCATGTGAATAAAACCTTTGGACCCTTTTATTCCATTTGTAATCTTAAGAACACACACAGATAGTTTTATTCTTTCAGAAACAAAATATATATAGGATGCTTAGCTGAGAACATCATCTTCTTTCATTGCTTCAGGTCCTGTTTAGATGACCAAAAATGTTTTCAGATCACCTTGTGTCTTACTCTTGAGTTTCTTAGAATATTTATAATTATAAGGCTGAAGACTAAAGTGTTCTTTCCTTTTAACTATAGCCAGTACCTGTCTTGATCTTAGTTGTGTTTTTTTTTCATTTTGTTACCCACTTGCATTTTGTTTTCACTCAGCAGAAATTCTCCTTCTCTGTTTTCCTTTTATCCCATCCCCAAGAATGTGGAAGGAAGGTGAGAAACATGGCAGGATGGGAAATAGGAGAGTATGACTCTCTATAGCTCATCCAGGAGTAATCAATTAAGAAGATAAATTGGATGACTGTGGAGAAGCTCTGTGATAGGAACACTTCAGTGTGGTTGCTGAGAGGAGACAGTCATTGAGGTAGAAGGTTTGCCAAAGATCCAGAGCTCAGAGCTCCCTTTGTGCTCTTTGGGAATTACCTTGCATTCAGTTTAGAAACATGGATCTAAAAGTTACTGGGAAATAAGCAGATGGAGACACACTCTGTTGTTTACGTATTGGAAGAAGGGAACAAGCCAGTTTTGTTAGAGGTAACTCATTTTCCATGACCAAACAGACTCAACAGATTCAAGTACTCTGCTTACTCTAATTGACTAGACTCTAGGTTTTATTTGACATCATAGCATTACATAAATCACTCTGATAACATAAGTGCACAGTAATATGCCTGATCTCTTCCTTTTTAAAAGCCAACTTGAGTTCAGTACCATCTGAATACACACACATGCACATATACCCACACACGCATACACACATACTCCTGTGGCAAACATAATAATGTATTTATTTAGAATTATAATATGACCATCATGTTAATTATTTTTTACCTAATCAGAGTTGTTATTGACAAATGTCATAAGTGGAAAGTATTAATTCTTATTGTCATCAGTATTTAGCCATTATTTAGTAGCTCAAGAATATCTTTATGTGAATGTCTCTGTAACTTGGAATTGCAATTTCACTGTGTTAAGTAATCAGAACTCTGCTTATAAGATTTATCTGTATCTTGTTTCATAATTTAATAATGAAACTAAATTCAAGTTAATGTAATGTTGATCTCCGTCGAAAAATAACTTGTGAGCATTAAAATATCTGTATGGCATTATAATAGGCACCTGTCATTAATTATGATTTGATTTGAAAGTAGACTTACTAGGTAGTGCTTACATCTGATTTATTGAAAATTTTTTCCAAAAGCATTGTCTTTTATTTATACAGTCCTAACCACTTCACCATTAGGAGGGGTGGGACATTAAAAATTATTTACCCATCAGACATAAAATTGTACAAATTGACTATTCAAAATAGTATGTGTATTCAAAGAACACTTTTAACATCTATCTTATGAAATAATTCTTCCTACAACTAACCAGAACAATCTCAAAAATGTCATACTAACCATTGTTTTAAAAGCTGTCTCAATGATCAATAGCTGTTAAAATATAGCTCCAAGTATTCTAAGTACTCAAATTCCTTGAATGTTCTTATGTACAAATATGCTGATTAATTAAAAGGTCCCTCTTCCCAATTTTCTATAACTTTCCAACTCTCTTATGGTGTCTATATTCTGTTTATTTCTAGATTTTTAAAAAACCAAAATGAACAAGTGATCATAGATCAGAAAACCTTCACATTATATGGCTTGTGTTTTAAAATTGGGAATTTTCTGGCTTCAACACACAGATACATGCACTAGAATACCTTGATCTGCAGGGAGCGCTTTCAGCCACTTTCTGCACAGTTCTCATTGCCCTTCTCTTTTTTGCCTCTATAGCCTACCTCGGCTATCTGGCCTCCATCCTGGGCTCTTAATTATTCTTTGTTTTCCAGTAGTTGCCTTCGCTCCCTCAATACCATCATTGTGTTCCTAAGAGAGGAGAGAAGAAGGCGAAGTGACCCTGGCTTGTTCAGATTAGCCTCCAGCTTGCATTTCTTCTTTACCTGGTTATGATAAATGAAAATGTGTATCTTACAATCTTGAATTACATTATTTTATCTTGACCACAAAGAAAGGGAAGTTGGGAATGTAACTTCATTCTGTTCGGTCGCTTCATACTGGGCTATAAATTCCTTTAGAAAGAGCTCATTTTTAATTTGATTTGATCCTCACAACAACTGTGTGAAATGGGCCATTTTATTGCCCTTAGTACTCATAGAAATTTGGGTTCATTCAGTGAAGACTCTTCGGACCTCCCTAAGTAGACTTAACTAGTCCCCCTCCTGAGTCTTCCTTGTACCCTGGAAAACTATTAGTATAACACCTTGTAACATTTATGTTCTCATCTGCATATATAAAACCAGTTCTGTTCACTCTAACTCTTACTATGGAAGAGACAGTAGTATCTTGATCAGTTCAGGCTGCTAAAACAAAATACCACAAACTGTGTGGCTTATAAACAACAGAAATTTATTTCTCACAATTCTGGAGCCTGAGAAGTTCAAGATCAAGGTGTCAACAGAATCAGTGTCTGGTAGAAGGCCCATTTCTCATAGATGGCGCTTTCTTGCTGTGTCCTCACGTGGTGGAAAGGGCAAGGCAGCTCTCTGGGGCCTCTTTTATAAGGGCAGTAATCCTATTCATGAGGGCTCTGTCCACATGATCTAATCACTTCCCAAAGGCTCTGCCTCCTTTGTGGATACCATCACATTGGGGATTAGGATTTCAATACAGACGGGCCCAACTTATGATGGTTCGATTTATGATTTTTCAACTTTATGATGGGATGAAAGCAACACACAGTACACTCCTTGACTTACCATGGATTTATATTCTGATAGGCCCATTATAAATTAAAAATATCAGTGGGCTGGCCAGGCATGGTGGCTCATGCCTGTAATCCCAGCACTTTGGGAGGCCAAGGTGGGCACATCACTTGAGGCCAGAAGTTCAAAGACCAGCCTGACCAATATGCCAACACCCTGTCTCTACTAAAAAGAAAATACAAAAATTAGCCAGCTGTGGTGGCACATGCCTGTGGTCTGAGATACTTGGGAGGCTGCAGCACAAGAATTGCTTGAGCCTGGGAAGTGGAGGTTGCAGTGAGCCAAGATGACACCACTGCACTCCAGCCTGGGTGACAGAGCAAGACTCTTGTCAAAAAGAAAAAGAAAAAGAAGGAAAGAAATAAAGAGAGAAAGGAAAAAGAAAGAAAAGAAAAAGGAAAGAAGGAAAGAAAGAAAAAAGAGAGAAGGTAAGAAAGAAAAAAAGAGAGAAAGAAAGAAAAAGGAAGAAAGAAAAAATATCAGTGGGTTTATCCAAACATAATCCCATTGTAAGTTGAGGAGCACCTATATATGAATTTGGGGGGCACACAAACATTCAAACCATAGCAGGTGGTACAATCCATAAAACGGGTCTTTCTCTCAGCTGATCAGGCACCACACACGTTTTCTATAGTTCCTGTCCTTCAATTTATGAATACATACATTCTTTAAAAGCAAAATTTTTTGAACCTCTATGTCTCCCAATAAGACCATTTATCTATGCAACTATTATGTACAAGGCACTGTACTAGACACAGAGCCTTCTACTAAAAATCATATTTGCTTCTCCTCACCAGCTTTTGTCGGTCTTGGGGAAAAGGATGAAGAAATGACTACAGTGGAGAGATGGAGTCACCTGGCAGCAGCTGTCTGAATAGGGGACTGAGTACAGGATAGAAGGTGATTCCTACACATACTGCCAAAGCCAGGTATTTGTAAGTCAGCTAAATTCCATGTGCCCTATCATTTGTACACACTTATTATCATCAAATTATTATTTCATTGAACAAAAAGCACTTACATCTTCAGGTATTTTACTGTGTAGGCATGTTTTCAATAACAGTCAAGCAACCAGTTACCAATCGAGTATCATTTGAATAGACACGTTAAGCTAGTTTACTGGGGATACATTTTCATGGTTATTGTAACAGTGAACCCTAGTTTATCACAGTATCTTTCTGGTACTTCAGGGAATGAGCCTATAATATAAGTCCTTCTCATATTTTTTCTACTCTCCAGTACAGAGCATTTCAAACTGCTCTGCAGATGCTCGGTTAATTGGCATCCACAGGGCATTTGTCAAAGGCTAGATTTTAGGTCAATTATTTCTCTTCTTTCTGGACATCTAAGTAAAGTAAATTTCCAGCTATCTTCCATTTTTGTCTGATTTGCTGCTTGTATCCAACAGTTTTCTACTTTTTTCTAGCTACTGCAGCAATAGGAGGGCTGGATTACAGTTTTCCAGTGGTCTTGAACCATCTGACACCTTGTCGTTGCTGCTATTCCATTTTTGTGATCAATAATCCAGCACTGAGAAGACCAAAACTTTTTTAGAACCTCTTCAGAACAAGGCCAATTGATATGTCAATAAAGGAACTCACTGTGAGTTAAGTGGAACTCACAATGAATAACTACTTAGTTAGCAAAAAAGCAATCCAAGAGTGTGATTTTTGTTTTTGTTTTGTTGCCAATTTAGACTTAATTACACTTAAAACATAAATCGGCTAAATTAATAATCATTCATCTATGACTCTATGCACATCACAGAATATGTTGAGACATTGTCATTATTACAACTGAATAGATGTTCTATTTTTTCTATTTTTTAAAAAGATAGCTTCTCTAGGAATTATTCATAACAGCTGCTTCCCACATGTTATTCGAATGTCTAAACAATTTTTAAAGAAGGCATTATCAGTGAAAGTTGTTATTCAATATTAATGTGTTTATTTACTTGGATTTAACAACTTATCATCTATGAAGAAACAAGGCATTACCAGTGAAAGTTAAGTTATTAAATATTAATGTGTTTATTTACTTGGATTTTACAAGTTATCATCTATGAAGATTGACCAAATTTTAAAAAGGCTTTCTATTTAAACAATAGAAAAATGTTACAGTAAGATGGTGGTACCATGTACATGGTAATATCTTGCATTAATTACAACATCAATTCTAGATTTCAAAAGTGACATAAATGTCCATTAATATGCATCAAAATATGGACTTAGGATAGCTATTCACTCATGGATTTTTGTCTCTGCAAAACTACATCTAAATCATGGTTCTGATGCATGTGAAAAATGAAAATAATCAGTAAAAACCTAGCTATTTAAAAAATGTAGGTAGTGCACATTCATGGGTAAGATCAAGGTTTTCGGGGGGGAAATGGGAAATTTGTGTGGTGGGGTAGAGAAGCTGCATAAATAGTAAGCAAAGGATTATGATGATCATTTAAAAATAAACAGAGTAAGAGAAAATCCTTACCACTTAAATTCACCATTTTAAAAACACTTTTCCGTCTTCTGCCTTTAATGAGTGCTCCTCCTCATGCCTAACTTTATGGGGGAAACAAGAGTTGGGGAAAATAACTTGGATCTTATCCTAAATTACAAAATTGTCATTCACTCAATTTCTTCCACTTTTTAGGCAGAGAATAAACTCCATTGTAATACTTAGAAGGAGAAAATGAAATTTGTGGCATTTTTATTTTAAATAATTAGTCTTACTTTGCTTTTTTAAATTAGCTCTTCATGCAGCACATGTAGAATTCAGTTCTTATATTCACCATGCAGCTTTTTCTTCCCATGAGGAACGTGGCTCAGTGAAAATGGTGACTTGATATTTAACCGATCCCTTTCAGCCTCCTCTTCCTCATCGTATCTCTCATCCTCCACTTCATCTTCCACATCACTGCTCTGAGGACTGGAGGCCTGAGACCCTGAAGGAGAAGGTGGTACTGAGGAAGGCCTGGGATATTTAAATCCTTCTGTCTGCCAAAGACAAAAATAAGACATAAACATCACAACAGTTTCTTGGCTTTCAACGATGTAAATACTATGCATGCACTATCAATTTTTTAAGTAGTTATCTATCTTTTGTAGTCTGGGTGCTATTAAACTTTGATTCATTTTGATTTTGATACCACCAATCTCAAGAGGGATTCATTCAATATATAGCTATTCTTTATTAAGTACTGAAATGTGCTAAGTGTTATATACATATTATTATCATCTTATCTTTTAACAACACTCTGATAAATATGTTTTTTTCAGTACAGAAGAAAATGGAGGGTTAGAGGGGTCAAGTAACTTGCCCAACATCACTCAGCACATAAATGGTAGAGCAAAGATTTGTACCAGGTCTGTGATGACTCCAGAAACTTTAATGTCAACTGCCACCTTACACTGCTGATACTGTTAGTCTCTAAGTCTCAAATTTGTTCAGCAAAGCTTTTGGATGTGGATAGCCTGGAAATGCCATGGATGGCCACCACTAGAAGGCATCCTGGAAGTCAGGTCACTTAATTGACTCTACAATTCCACTAGTTGCTGTTATTTCAGTTAATGAGAAAATATCACTAGACTTTAATTAATTTGCCCTTCTACTTGAGATACTGAGATAACTTATTTGATAAACACACACTGCAATGCCACTAAAGAAACCAGATGAAAAAACATGATTGGAGTGCATATAATTGAATGGGGAGACAGATGTGTAAAAGTGTTATAGCGCTCGTCACTCTGTATTTCAATTACTTTATACATTATATCATGTCATACATGTACAGTCATTTTAAGGTTCAGATACTTTACCTGTCAGCAATACAACAAAAGAACTGAGTTCTGCACTTGAGACCTAGCTTGAAGTAGGTGCTCAATGCTTATTAGACGTAATAACTGGATAAATAAGTAGATAAGCAGATAAATGGATGAATATTGCTGAATTATCATTAAGTGGAATGACCACCTCTGAATAAGCTAAGCAATCAACTCTGAATGCTAGAATCATAAACATGAAAGTCAGAATTTGTAGCCTGAGGGTTTAAGAAAACCTTATCACCTTTTTTACGGGCAAATTTTACTTCAGGTTAACTTTCTAGATCTGTTCCTCTGGAAACCTGATATAGGTGGAATATAAGTCATGTTATTAGGGATGGTTGTTTATGGTAACAGTGACCCCTGATTGAGAAATTATATCTGAACTGAAAAATCTATAAATACTTGATAAGGCGCCAGAGTTTTTGGGAATCTCTGAATGACTCTTATAAGATGACTCATAATTGGGCATATTCCTTGCAGGGAGCATGAAAGCTGGTTTGCGGAGATTTACATGAGATAGAGGCTCCTGTGGGGCATGCAGCTACTAAGCTAAGGTGATCTCATTTGCAATGGTATGGGTCTTATCTTCTTGCACCTAAGCTGTCACCTAGTGTGTAGGCGGCCAAAGATGTTTAGCTCTTGGATTGCTGTGTAGACTACTGCAAGGACTGATCCCACTAAAGAGAAATGCCTGACGCTCCCCTGCTTCAAGTGGCACCTCATGTCTTCTCCCTGCTAAGTGAATCTGATGACAAATGTGGCCTATAGCAGTCTTATGAACATAAACGTCTAGTTGGATTTTAGAAGAAGACACCCTGGTGGGCACTGATGAATGGACCATAAATGCTCATCTAGTTCAATTCCTCCTGGGGTGCTGAACTTACTCTATTTTACTCTTGCCAAGCGGTCACCCTATATTTAAACACTTCCTTGGAGAGCAAATTCACTTTCAATTAAAGCAGTCCAGTTTGTTTTTGAACAACTCCCCAAAGAATAAATGTCCATCAGAACCATTTCAAGCATTAAGGCAGAGAAAGTTTTAATTCAGAGATGCTTCTCCAATGAGATGAATTAACTGTCTTGAGAGCTTTAGGACAGTCTGATTTGTGAGTTCCTCTCTCTCTCCTTTGGTTTGATTCAACATTATGAAAAAGTATCATAGCTTGTGTGCATAGCTACTTCCAAATTTAAATGTATTATTTAAACTTATAAAAAGAAATATAGCTTTCAAAAAAAAATACATTGAATATTTACCGTTGGTGGTGATGTTAGTTCCACATGGAATTTATCTGGAAAAGCTCTGCTTAATGTCAGGTGTCTGGCATGCTGGTAATACTATTGATAGAAAGCCAAATCACAGGTTAATAAAAACCCTTAGATATCTCAATAATCAAGTTATTAAATAAGGCCTTATTCTCCTAGTTCTGAAACATATGTATTTTTTAAAGTGACAGAATCTATGCAGTCTAAGTTTGAGACTCAGGAAAGAAATTACAGTTTATAGTTTTACTATTTTTCAACCCATAGGCAGAGTAATACTATAAAATGCTGGGGAAGAATGCCCATACTGGTCATATTGAGCTCTGAATTGAGCATTAAGGTGACTGAAAACACTGGTTTCATTCCACAGAGAAGCAGTGTGGCATGGAGAAAAGATAGGGCCTGAATATTCAGATAAATTGGGTGTAAATCCTGCTTCAGACCTTAGGCAAGAAACATCACTTCTAAAAGCCTAGTGTATCTATCTTCATTGCAAGATGGAGATAGTAAAATTAATCATCCAGGTTGTAATGAGCACTGGCATTTGTGTGTGCAGATACTCAGCAAATGGCAGCATCTCTCATTCAGCCAAGAGTGTTCAGCACTGTGCAAACAGACACATTATGTGAAGGCAAAGTCAATTCATTTATTATTAAATCACCACTGCTAAGCTGTGTGAGCATCCAGGTGTTTATAAACCTATTGCATGATTGAAAGGAGGTATTTCCTGTAGTCATCATTTTGAAAAACCATATTATACCCATTACTCACTACAGTTGAGAAATATGACTACACTATTTCTCTAGAGAGAAACAAAGTAGGGACTTTTCTCTTGATGTTTTCTTCAACTTCATAAAATGTTTCCTTATACCAGTAACACATCAAGTGAGGCACTGACAATGGAATAGCTAGTAAGATCAGTGCTAGATCCTGATGGACTTGCTATTATGAATAGACTCAAACGAAACATGAAGAAATACATATAGGACTTTGTAAACTTATTAAATTTTAAAAAGTACATGGAGACACTGAGATTTTAACAATTATAATATTGGATTAACTTTAGAGATTATGACTAGAATCAATATGTTTATAGTCCAGTGGAATTTTTTAAGTGGTCTGCTGTGTTTATCTAAACTTGCTTACTCTGCCTAAGTATCTCCAATCCAGAAGATCTGAGAGCCTCTCAGTTCTGTTCCTCTGGATAATCCTTTGGCGGCGTGACTGTTTGCAAAATCCATAGAGAAACTTAGTCAGCTGATTGCAAGAATCATCTGGAGAACGGAACCGCCTGTCAACGATGTAAATACCTGAAGAACACAAAAGCCAAAGCACAAGTAAAAGTAGGACTAACCTTAAACATTTGTTCTCCTGTGATTTACTAACTCTTTGGTTCCATCAAAAACCTATGCATTATCTACCCCCTGACTCAGGAATTACCCCCACTTTATTCTTTTCTGAGGCCCTAATTCCCTTCTAATGGTTTACAACCATCACTGACACACAGCCAACGAAGTGGATCTTGCTGAAAAAAACTCTGGCAGTCTAGGGATACGCTGGATCAGTGATCCTCCATGGGGTTGCTCACTAACCAGAATTTCCAGGGCGGGGCCTGGATATCTGTGCCTTTTATGTTCCCCAGTGTTCCCACTGTTCAGCCGAGGCTGAAAACCCCAGATCTAGCCTGAGGAAAGAGCCACAGTACACCCATAAAAGACTGAGGGAAGGCCAGGGCTTGGTAGCTCACACCTGTAATCCCAGCAGTTTGGGAGGCAGAGGTGGGTGGATTCCTTGAGCCCAGGAGTTCAAGACCAACCTGGGCAACCTGGGGAAATCCCATCTCTACATACAAAATTTAGCCAGGTGTGGTGGTGTGCGCCTGTAGCCCCAGCTACTCGGGAGGTTGGGGCAGGAGAATCACCTGAGCCAGAAATGTGGAGACTGCAGTGAGCCAGGATCAGGCCACTGCACTCCAGCCTGGGCAACAGAGTGAGACCATGTTTCCAAAAAAAAAAAAAAAAAAAAAAACAAAAAACCCAGGGAAATGGCAATGTATTGGCAGACAATATATCCCATTTTAACTTTTCTTGCTGCTAGGGAATATGAACAGACAGATAATGGTATGCAAATTATTCTGCCATCTTAAACAATTTAGGTGAACTTTGCTAAGTTGTCACGGGCCTTTAAAATAATAACAGTAATGATAACAATAATAATAATATATGTACTATCTAATGACCAATATATGCACTCTAAGACCATGGTTATTGTCATATCATTTCTAGGCAGCAGAAGGGATCAAAATTCAGGGAGGAAAAAGGTAAAGGACAAAGTTTGTCCAAGTTTTGCACTCTTTTTGCAGTTTGTCTCATGGGCAATATATTAATATTAATAGCATTCTTATGTTATCTGTGGGCCACATATTTAAAGCTACTTTTTTTTCTCCACTTTTAGTTTAGGTTCAGGGGGTACATGTGCACATTTGTTAGATGGGTACATTTCATACTGCTGAGGCTTGGTGTACAAATGATCCCATCGCCCAGGTGATTAACATAGTGCCTGGTAGGTAGTCTTTCAACCCACGCCCCTTCCCCCACTCCCCACTCAAGCAGTCCCCAGATGTCTATTGTTCCCATCTTTGTGTCTATGTGTATTCAATGTTTAGCTCCCACTTATAAGTGGGAACATGCAGTATTTGGTTATCTGTTCCCGCATTAATTCACTTAAGATAATGACCTCCAGCTGCGTCCATGTTGCTGCAAAGGACAGAATTCTATTTATAAATCTACTTTTTTTTTTTATGAGACAGCCTGAGGCTCTGTCACCCAGGCAGGTGTGCAGTGGCACGATCTCAGCTCACTGCCTCCTCCGCCTCCCAGGTTCAAGTGATTATAGTGCCTCAGCCTCTGGAGTAGCTGGAATTACAGGCGTGCACCACCATACTTGGCTAATTTTTTTGTATTTTTAGTAGAGATGGGATTTTGCCGTGTTGGCCATGCTGGTCTCGAACCCCTGACCTCAAGTGATCCACCCACCTCGGCCTCCCAAAGTGCTGGGATTACAGGCATGAGCCACTGTGCCCAGCCTAAATTGACTTTTAATTAAACAAGAAATATAAAAACATTAGTTTAATTATCAGGATAGCTTTAGAGTTAGGCTCTGTAAAGACCCTGTGCTTTGTTTGGTTAGAGGTCATGTCTCCCCAGCATGGGTTAATGATGAAAACCCTCACCGTAAGCAGTAGGATCAGCCACGTGCTCCTGCATGAAACAGCCAAACCCGGAGAGATTCGTGGTCACACTGGGGATACCCATCACAGTGCATTCAGCTGCCAGGGGAAATAGACCAAAGCTTGGCTTCAGACCAGCGCCTATATCCTTGTATGCACTCAGAGGAGGAAAAGGCCCTAGTCCTCCTAAGAATAGCAATGTTCACTATGTGTCAGTCACAACACTAAACTCTTTACATGTCTCACTAACTTATTTAATCTCTCAACAACCCTGTGAAGTGGGGCCATCATTATCCCCATCTTACAGCTGAAGAAATGAGGCACAGAGAAATTAATAACTTTCCCACCTTCACAAAGCCAGGGTTCGTGGTATAGCTGGGATTTGAAGTCAGGCACCCGGCTGCAGAACCCTTGTGCGGAACTGCCGGGCTCCACTGCAGCTTCAATCCCAGCTGGTTTTGTTTCTTGCTTCTTTCTAGCCTGTGTTTCTAAGTACTTGGCAAGTTTATGAGGTAGGTTAAATATGTTTTGGATGCGACCAGCTTCTTCCCCCATTTAAATCTCCCTTGGCACATATTCCTTCCACTCTCTCAGGAGCTCAATAAATGGATGATCTCTTGCAGTCCTCCCTCACCTTTTAATCAAAATCTGTTTTCCAGGAAATAACTGATATGTCTTAAAAATTTTACTAGTCTCAAGGATGTCTACATTTTTAGGAATTTATATTTGATAATGGAATTACCCTTGGTTGGTGAGTGGAGTTGGATGAAAAAAAGATCTTCCCATTACCCATGAAGTAATACAATCTAGACAGCAACCTTATCTCTTGCTCTGCAAATGTTTCCTCTTGGTTTAGCTGTATAGCTGTGGAGTTGTGGTTCTCTAATTTTAGTGGTGGGTGGTGCAGAGGAGGAAAGTGGGATGGGGACTATCAGCCCTTTTGAGAGTCTGATGAACATTTTGGAACTCCTCTCCAGAAATATTCTTCTTTTTTTAATTTTTACACACTTTTATTTCCTCAGACTTCCTCCTGGACTCAGCTCCACCTTCTATGGGAGTTGGGAGTTGGAGAGTATCTCTTATTTTCTTTTTTAAAAAATTTTACTTTAAGTCTGGGACACATGTGCTGAACGTGCAGGTTCGTTACATAGGTATACATGTGCTATGGTGGTTTGCTGCACCTATCAACCCATCGTCTAGGTTTTAAGCCCTGCATGCATTAGGTATTTGTCCTAATGCTCTCCCTCACCTCGCCCCACAACCCGACAGGCCCCGATGTGTGATGTTCCCCTCCCTGTGTCCATGTGTTCTCATTGTTCAACTCCCACTTATGAGTGAGAACATGCGGTGTTTGGTTTTCTGTTCCTGTGTTAGTTTGCTGAGGATGATGAAGAGAAATATTCTTATACACATATGTATACAAAATTTTGTCTACAATGCCGTGAAAGTTCACAGATCCTTCATGTTTATTAAATGGCCATCAATTCACTATGTAGTAATATTCCAGGCACCCATGAAGTTTAGTATATGTTCATTGAATTAATTTAATGAAATAAATGCTTATATTTATTTGGCTCTCTGAAAACACATTTGGATGAATGCTTTCTAGAGTGAGTTAAGTCTAGTAACACGTAAAAAGATTATTCTAAAAACATTAGCAAGTTATCTAATATGCTAATGTTAAATGTATACCACCAGAAGTCGCATTCTTCCTGTAACTATAGGTTAGGGGAAGAGTGACCAGCTCCCTTTGGTTAATGTAAAACACAGCATGACTCATTCACTATGGACTATTCCACAAACTCCCTTATTTGTCTATTTATAATATCCTTTGTAACATCTTCTTTGGCCTTTATCTTAAAACAGTAGATATATCTCCTCTATCATTTTGGGTTGTTAAGTTTAACTTTGCCCTATAAAATGACACTTTGGTGGACAGTCAGCTGTTAGTTCTATAACATTTTCTTGACCCGACAGAAAGGACTTCCCACATTGCCTCAGTCACTCATGCATTTGGTTGTATACTCTTCTATCCATGATACTTCCAATAGTAAATTGTTTTACTAGAAATAATAAGAACAAGGTCAAAAACAAAGTGTTAAGTTCATCAGTGAAACGTGTGCTTTATGTATCTCAAAAGATAGTGCATTGCAAGCAATTTGAGATATTTATGTGGACATTTCCTAAGTAAGAAGACACCACCTTCACAAAAGTAGGCCACTTTTAGATCTGCAAGAGAGATACCCGGAAGAGTTAGATACAAATATTTCCTATGTCATGTTTCAAGACAATCCTTTGTCTATTTTCCCCAAGAAATTTTAAAGTTTTTATAGCTGCTGGCAAATTATGCTTGGTGAAGCTAGAACAATAGAATAGGACCTTATGACCAAACATGCCCAGCCCTCATGTTGTTCCTGCTGTAAATAATACAGGATCCTATTTTTGTAGACTTTTAAATTCTGTATTTTAATTCTAGGATAAAGATGCAAATAATAGAAAAAATTCTTCCTCTTCATAATTCAGCCTATTATTCCCTCTCACCTTGGCCTCTGCTGCTCCTTACTTGAGCTTTATATCAATGATAACATTGAGATACAAAAGGCAACATTTACTATCTCAATTATAAATAAAAATGTTTTCTGAACTTTTTAAAAGTCACAAGTGAAGAGGCCGGGTGTGATGGCTCACGTCTATAATCCCACCACTTTGGGGAGCCAAGGCAGGTGGATCAGTTGAGGCCAACAGTTTGAGACCAGCCTGGCCAACATGATGAAACCTGTCTCTACTAAAAACACAAAAATTAGCCAGGCGTGGTGGTGTGTGCCTGTAATCCCAGCTACTCAAGAGGCTGAGGCACGAGAATCTCTTGAACCCAGGAGGCGAAGGTTGCAGTGAGCCAAGATCATGCCACTGCACTCCAGCCTGGGTGACAGAGTGAGACTCCGTCTCAAAGAAATAATAATAAAATCACAAGTGAAACTTTATTTACATTGGGCAGAAAAATATCTGATTATTAATAAGAGATGGAAAAGTTATTGTTGTATTCTTTGCATTGGCATGTATTTAAAGTATTTGTTTCCCTTTTAATTAGACATTTCAGTACAAGTACAAATTGGTCGCTCTTGATGCTAATGGCAACCATGCCAGTTCGGTCCAGAAAAGAAAAATACATAGTAAACCTGAGAAACTACCATCTGTTAAAAAATAAAATAAAATAAAATAACAAAGGAGGGTGAAGAAGGAGGAGTTTCTGAATGGAATGATGTCATTGTTGACAATACCACTGAATTGCTAATCTCTCTTAGTACCTTTTATTTTGAGGCACAAGAATGTGAAGAAGACTTTTCACTGTACACCTTTTTATATTTATTTCCCTAACCATATGACTGTGTTACCCATTACATATTAAATATGTTCATTAAATTTTAAAAAGAATTATTCTAAAATAATTTTTAAAGAACAACATTGCTAGACTATTATTTATTATATTAATCCTACTTACAGTCAATTTCTCCTTCACACTAATAAATGGGGCAGATAGAGATAGCTAAATAAGATACAACCTTTATATCACATTCCTTTTTCTTTGGAATTCAATGAGGCAATACCTCACATACCTCCTAAAATATGCCCAAACCGTGGTATACTTATATAATCTTCATCCTTATTCTTAAGTAATTATCTACAAATCATAAATTAATCCCTGTGATAAATCCAACCAAAATTTTTTAAAACTGAAGAATTGAAATCTTATTAGAAATTTAATATCAACTTTGAATATTATATATATGCACATAAAATAATATACTAACAAAATTCAAAACATTCCACACTCTATACATGACACATACCTGGAGTATAACCCCAGGGTTCATAGTATGATGGAAATACTCCAAGATGACAACCTCTAACAAACTCTTCATAGTCCATGGGTAGTAAGGGACTGGTGGAGGATAGAAACTCTGGGTGCAAAATCACCTAAAAAAGGAAAATTCTAATTTAAAAAAAAAGAAAAAGGAGCAAGTAAAGTGAAAAATCTCCTACAATTTGGTTATTTCAGTACTCTACTATAGAATCCTTATGTTCTAGATTCAGAAAGAAAAAAAGAGATAAGACAAAAGAAAAAGAAAAAAGCCGTGGTGGTTTGTTCTCCTCTCTCCATTCTGTAGAAGTGTCTATGCTGCATATTTAACTTTCCCTCAGGTTCCAAGGCTTAGGTTGAAGGATAAGGAGTTAGAGTGCTCATTTTTGCTCTCACACTAAACTATATCCTCCAGTCCAGCTTTGACATGCAATAAACCTTATATTTGGTTATCTAATTGCTCTTGTCTTTTTATCTATTTGTTCCCAACTTGAGCAGGGAAGAGGGGGCTGTGTAACAGACCACTCTTACATGCCTTAAGCATGAGTTATTCAACTGAAATGGAACTAAGGGACAGGGAAGATGTTCTAGGAATGCCATCTAGATTAAATCATGCTAGAGGACTTCGTGCAAACCTCCCTCCTCTCTCAGCTAGAGACCATCACCTCCTAACATACTTGCCTGCTTCTTTCTGTCCCACTGGGGTCTCTATTCAACACAACTAGATTGATCCTTTAAAAATGTCAGTCATTCCCTTGCTCAAAGTTGTTCAGTGGCTTCCCATTTTACTCAGAGTAAAAGCCAAAGTGTTTACCATGGCTTCTAAGCAGTGGTATGCTGGTAAATATTTAAGAACTGAGACACTGAAGTATAAATATATATTAATACTTAAATTTGTTGTAATTTTTAATGAGATAAATGATGTATATACAGTTACCAAATGACAAAAGATGTTATAACATGTAGATGTTTATAACAACTTTATTCCTAATTGCCAAAACTTGGAAGCAACACAGATGTCCTTCAGTAGGTGAATGAATACATAAATTGTGGTACATCCAGACAATGGAATATTATTTAGTGCTAAAAAGAAATGAGCTATCAAGCCATGAAAATAAATAGAGGAAACATAAATGCATACTACTAAGTGAAAGAAGCTCATCTGAAAATACTACATGATGTATGATTTCAACTGTGTGACAATCTTGAAAAAGTTAAACTATGGAACCAGTGAAAAGATCTGTGGTTTCCAGGCGTCAGGGGTGAGGGAGGGATGAGTGGGCAGAGTATAGACAATTTTTAGGGCAGTGAAACTATTCTGTATCATACTATGATGATGAATACATTTGTCAAAACCCATAGAATGTATAACACCAAGAGTGAATCCTAATGTAAACTATGGATCTTGGGTGGTAATTATGTGCCAATGTAGGTTCATCTACTGGAACAAATATACCACTTTGGGGGATGCTGATAATGGGGGAGTCTATGCATGGGAAGGGCCAGAGAGCAAATGGACACTGTACTTTCTGTTCAATTTTTCTGTGAACCTAAAACTGTTCTAAAAAGCAAACTCTATTAAAAGTGGATATATACAATACTCCTTATTGTGAATTCTATATAGTCAATTAATTCTCACAATTTGCTATTTTTATTTTTCCAAAATTTTGTATTCATAACCAATTTATGGTTTCAATTGATGGCTGAATATAGCTCTGACATAAATGTTGGTTGATTTCCTTTGTTAATGAGTAGAAGGAGCGGAAATAACAGAGACATTTGTTGGAACTTCATGAGTTCATCAGTAATGCAAGTGACTTCTTTGCTGGGTCAGATATTAGTTTTTGAACATGGAGAAAATTTTTTTTTTGCCACTCACAATGTACAGGTTACAGATCCAGAAATCAATACGCAGTAAATGAAGCCATGATTCGTAGTGTTTGCCTATTTTCATTCTATAAATACTCCCACTACCACCAAGGCCATTTTTAAGCTACCAATATGATGTTGCCGAATTCAGAGACAGGGAAAGCAGTAGCACATCATTATAAAGCATTTGCACCACGAAGATCTGACAGACATAGAGTCTCAACTGCATAGGTCATAGTAATATGAAGTAAATAATTAGGATGTGATGAATTTTGAGAACTACCTTTCATTTAATATAGTTGACTTATTTTAAAATTTATATAATTTAATTTTAGCAATAGCTGTATTTAAAACTGGTTCACAAAGCTTCTGAACATTTAACTACTGGCTCTTGTGCACTTGTATGAGCCAGTTCTGGGCCCACACTGGAAACGCAGAAACAAGAGCATCGATATTCTGTACTTTCTGTTCAATTTTGCTGTGAACCTAAAACTGTTCTAAAAATAAAGTCTATTAAAAATGTATATATACAGTACTCCATATTGTCAATTCTATATAGTCAATTAATTTGCACAATGTGCTATTTTTCCCAGCGCTTTTTTTTGGTGGGGGGCACGTATTTTGCCCAACATGCTATTTTCTCCTTCTATTTCCTACTATTTTCTCTTAATTCAGTGACATCGCATTGGTAGCTTGACAATGGCCTTGGTGGCAGTGAGAGTTTTCATAGAATGAAAATAGGCATATACTACAAATCATGGCTTGATTTACTGTGTATTGATTTCTGGACTCAAGAAAGTAATGGAAAAATATTAATAGTTCAGGTTTAGCCTTAAAATGTGTTGTACCTGTAGCCATTACAATGTGAGTGGCACAAAATATTACTAATGACAAGAGCATGGCTATAATTGGAAAGTTGTGACTAGAATAGCTATTTAACTTGCTAACTCTGTGAATGAATTATCCTATTTCTCCCACTTACTACAGTTATCACTGAGCTATTATTAGATTATCTCTCAGCCTCACCCATACCTAAGGGGTTATTGAAAATAAGTGACATCTGATATAAAAGTACTGGGAATCCCACATTTACAGAAAGTTCCAAGTACAATATGAAGAGAATTCATATATTTTCAGAACCATTCATAAACTGTACTGTGGGAAATACACAAACAAGAGCATTCTTACATAATCTTACACAAACATAAAAGTCAGGAAATTAACATTGATGCATCACTACCGTATAATTCTTAAACCCCATTTAAGTGTTTCTGATGATTCAAATAGTGATTTTTAAACCAAAGGATCCAGTTCAGAATTACATATTACATTTAGTTGTCACATCGCTTTAGAGTCCTTCAATTTGGAAGAGTTCATGGGCTTTTTTGGCTTTTCTGACTTTGGTATTTTTGAAGACTATATTTATTTTGATGTATGTCCCTCAATGCGGGTTTGTCTTACGCTTCTTCATAATTAGATTTAGTTCACACATCTTTGGCAGATATATCACAGAAGTGGTGCTGTGTTCTTTTCATTGCATTTTAATCAGGTGGTAAAGGTTTTCTATTTTTTTCATTAATGATGATGTTTATTTTGATCTCTTGATTAAGGCCAAGACTTTTTGGCTTCTCCACTATAAAGTTATTCTTTTTACTCTTTGTTATTAACAAGTATTGAGGCAGTTATTTCGAAGCTGTGTAAATCTCTCATTCCTAATTAAACTTTTAATTAATATTTGTATTGGACTTCTGATTCCTTATGTCATTCAATGCATCCTAATTCCTTACTATCTTTATTTATTTTGACACTCAAATTGTCCATGATTTGGCCAGTGGGAGCTCCTTCAAGTTTGTTTCTGTATATATTTAACAAAACTTCATTGTTCCTTGAGCATTTCTTTGATTTTTGACACAAGAAGTTCCAGGCTCAACTTGTACTTTACCTGTCACAGTTCTAAAATCAGCCAATTCTAAAGGCAGCCCTGGTTCCCTTTAGTAGCAAATGGCATTTAGCAATCAAGACGTGGCTACTAGGTGTGCTCATTGTCATTGGCCTATTACTTCCCCCAAGTGCTCTGAGTAGACAGAAAGAACACACACACACACACACACACACACACACACACACACCCCTGGTTTTTACTACCTTTAATTTGCTACATATTGGGTCAATCTTCTTCTGTGTAACTAATCTTTCTCCATACACTCCCTCACATGCACGGATGCCCTCCTCTCTCCATTCTGGCTCTGACACTGCTTTAGGCTGCTCCTCTTTGTGTAGACATTTCTCAAACTGCTTGGACTCTGATGCCTTTCTCTGGACTTCCACAGCACCCTCCCTGTTCTAGTGCAGATACCTACCTTATGTTGCCCACCAAATGGCTTTAGAACTGAATTGTTCTGGAAGGAAAAGGAAAGACAAAGAAAAAGGAGACAGGCCGGGTACCGTGGCTCACTGCTGTAATCCCAGCACTTTGGGAGGCTGAGGCAGGTAGATCACCTGAGGTCAGGAGTTCGAGACCAGCCTGGCCAACATGATGAAACCCCATCTCCACTAAAAATACAAAAATCAGCTGGGTGTGGTGGCATGCACCTGTAGTCCCAGCTACTCAGGAGGTTGGAGCAGGAGAATCGCCTTGAACCTGGGAGGCAGAGGTTGCAGTGAACGGAGATCGTGCCACTGCACTCCAGCCTGGGCGACAGAGCGAGACTCCATTTCAAAAACAGAGAAAGAGAGAAAGAAGACAAACTATTTTTACACAAGCACTCTACACTTTTCTTTTTTTTTTAATTTTTTTTTATTATACTTTAAGTTTTAGGGTACATGTGCACATTGTGCAGGTTAGTTACATACGTATACATGTGCCATGCTGGTGTGCTGCACCCACTAACTCGTTATCTAGCATTAGGTATATCTCCCAATGCTATCCCTCCCCCCTCCCCCCACCCCACAACAGTCCCCAGAGTGTGATGTTCCCCTTCCTGTGTCCATATGATCTCATTGTTCAATTCCCACCTATGAGTGAGAATAGACACTTTTCATGTTTATTCACGAAATAATAAGTATGCATTCTTCAGAAGAGATTACTTTGAAGAAAAACCCTAACTTGGGTATGTAACAATTATCATTATATTGTATAACATTTTATATACTATAAATATACATATTACCTCATTTAATCTTAGTGACCTTGTGCAATTGGTAAAGAAGATAAGACATAAAGAGGGCTGTTGAATTATCAATTTTAAATTGATTTTATCACTTTATAATCTTATCATATGCCAAGGATTAAAGTAAAAAAAAAAGTCTGAAGTCTTTGTTTTATTGGAGAGATTTACCCCTTGGATCCTCAAGGACATTACAAACATTAATTATATCTCAGCAGATCCATAAGTAAGAGATAAGTTAAACTTAAGAATAAAATGATATGCAAACCCCAGTACTTAAGAATTCAATCACAGAAATTAAAAAATGGCAAAGTAAAAGTGAATACAATATTTTCATTCATAGAACATGATTTGAGTTCCTATTATGTGCAAAGTAGCTCACTACAAAAAAAGACAAAAGACACAGATACTGTATCTGGGCAATCATCAAACTGGCAACCCGTTGTACTCTCTTGGCAAAGAACAAGAAAGGGGGATTTGAAAAGCATTGTGTCTACTTTAGCGTTTCCAAGCTTAGGAAAAGTTGCCCTCTCCAAAGCCCATTTTGGAACATGAAAACACCATGGTTCATTTGTTTTGCTCCCAGCCAAACAGAATGACAGCATAACTAAAATAAGAAAACAGCTGCTCTGGCTCTAAACCAGCCAATTGCAGAAGCCCAGGGATGAGGAAGGGATATTAGAGGTCAGCTGAAGGTTATAAAGAGGATTAAATGAGATCCTGTACAAAAATCGCCCAGGAAAGCTCCTGGCTCACAGCAGACCCTACCTAGATCAGTAGGAAAAACAAAACAAGAAACAGAGACAAAGGCTTGTCTGACTCTTTATTTATTCCAGGACAGAAGTAAGGTCTCAGGAAGTTAGTTTATTTTTACACCGTGGCAGCCCAGAGCTGAGACATGAAATCTTCAGCCTGGGCTTTCCTCACCACACTACGTAGCTAAGGCAAAATGATAAATAAATTCAAATTCAAAATGATCTGCAATGTTTGCTGAATCAAATATGACATTCATATCAAAAACTTATCAATGCACTCTGAGAGTTTAGAACCATTCTACACAGTTCTTTAAGCAGGTGATTAAATAGGCACTTAAATCAGCACAGGCCTAAGTTATTGCCAAATTTTTGAAGAATTGTTAATAAAATATAATACCTAATTCTGCATTGATGGGAGTTTCTCTCAGTGCTTTGAGTATGTAGCAAATGTCAGGAAGGTGCTGTACATTTATTTTGTGTGTGTGTCTGTGGCTGCCTTATGATAATAAATGAGCATCTCAAAATATTCATTTTAACTGTGTAGACATAAATTATGAGACAAACTTTCATCTCCACTCACCCTATGAAAGTCATGTGCTTTGATATCTCTGTGCCTTCTCCTCTACTTTTTTTCTCTGCCTGGTGAGTCCCCTTTCCTGTTATTTGCATGACAAATTCCAGATCATTAATCAAGATCTAGCTAACACGTCATCTCTTTTATAAAACGTCTTACCAAATCCTGCAGGAGAAGATAAATCCGCTTTCTTCACCTCTCACCAAACCCTATTCACATCTCTCCTAAAAATAATGAGTTCCCATCATGTGTCAGATTCTGGGCTAAGAACTAAAAGAAGCTAATACTTATTATGTATTTACTATGTGCCAAGCTGTTAAATGCAGCACCTATTTATGAATTCTTTTTGAGATGGGGTCCCACTCTGTCGCTCAGGCTAGAGTGCAGTGGCACATTCATAGGTCATTGCATCCTCAAACTCCTGGCCTCAAGTGATCCCCCCGCCTCAGTCTTCTGAGTAACTGGGATTACAGACAGGAGCCACTGCGCTTGGCCTATGTCTAATTTAATCCTTACAGTTCTATGAGTGTGGGGTTATTTTATGACCATTCACAGATGAGAAGACTGAAGTGCAGAGAGATTAAGTGAATTTACAAAATTGATAAGTGTCAGGGATTTAAATACAGTCTTCATGGACTTAGTCTGCTGCCTTCTTTATAGATCTGCCAACCCTGGAAATATAGCTCAGCTTTACTTCTAGAGATCTTAGCCCCAGGAATCTTGACTGACAGCACCAATTGCCTTCCCTCTGGATCTATTGCAGCAGCTGCTCCTAACTTACAGGACTGGCAGAAACTGGTACCAGTGTGAAGTCATTTCTGCCCAACAGGTGCCTTTAATGGGCAATTTTTGTTTGGGGAATCCCTATCCCTATTAATAGGAATCCATATTCAATTGCTCATAGAATCAGACACCTATCTGTCTGCCAATCTGAAACTATTCTGGTAAGTGGGAGGTACATATAAAGGTAAAACAGAATGGAAAGGTTGCTGAATACAGGAAAAAGTGGTATGTAGTAACATTAACACTAATATATTTAAAATAAGTTAACAGTAAACCAATTTATACACACATATAACACACACACACACACACATAAAATAGGCTTCTTTTGTATTAAGAAATGAAGCACTGTAAAATAGTTCTGAATTTGTGTTAGCTGTAGATTACACTATCGAAAACTATTTTTCCTATTTGTCTGTGTACATGTATATGTATGTATTCCTTTTTCTCTTCCATTAACTGAAAAGCCATGTTGAGTGGTCTTCGACCACTGCTTTTCCCCTGTGTGAGGCACAAGTGCTGCTGCTGTGTGTATATTTTTTGTATATTAGCCAATTTTTATTAATTCTTGTTTTTTTATTAAATACATTGACTTTCCTTTCTAGGAAGGAAAGAAGAATGGAAGGAAGGAAGGAAGCGAGGAAGGAAGGAAGAAGGAAGGAAGGAAGGAGGGAAGGAAAAAAGGAAGTGAGGAAGGAAGGAAGTGAGCAAGGAAGGAAGGAAGTGAGGAAGGGAAGGAGAGAGGCAGGGAAGGAGGGAGGGAGGGAGGAAGGACAGACTGAGGCATTTTTAAATCTGGGCTGCAGTCTGTGGTTCTTCCTACATCATCCTTCCTTCCTGCTCTCTCCTCATGGGTATATTGACCTGCATGACCTGCATCTCCCTGCCTGTACTTGCTTTCGACCCCTTCATCCTTCACAGGGCTTTCTCTAATTAGTCCTTCGCATATCTAATCTCACCTTGGTGTCTGCTTCTCAGAGAACCTAAACAGAGACAATACATATGAGAATGATTGCTGCCTCAAATAACTGAGTTATTCTAGAAAAATGGACACATAACATTTTTAAAACACAATTTATTGTAATCACTCCTATAACTATAGCAGATATAAAGTGTCTCGAGAATACAGATAAGGAAACAACCGTTCCTGTCTGGAGTAGAGGAATGTGTGTTAGGGAAAGGTGCAAGGAAATAACGACTTTTAGGTTGGAACCCAGAAGAATTGTTAGAATAACAGATAAGAGTATTTCAGAAGAGATGATAACATCAGGAAGGACACAGAGGTATGTAAGTGTTACGTATGTTTAGGAAATAAGGTACTTTTCCATTCCTGGAAAATTGTTTCACTGATGCAAAACACTTTTAAAACACGGATCAGCAAGGCATTCTTCATTTAGAACGTCCAATTTCAATGAACCTTCCAGCCTCAGTCTTCCCAAGGCCAAGGGAAGCATGAACTATTGCCAGCTGCATGACCCATCCCTCCTTTTCCCACTTTCCCTCATCCCTCCCTTCTGTCTGCATGTATTGTACGTAACATGTGCCAGGCAGCAGACAGATCCTCAGAAAAAGACCTATAGATTTAGATAAAAGTGTGACACAAAATGTTCTGAGAAAAACAGAAGTCTACAGGGAAATAAACTTTCCCTGCCTCTACTATTTCCTTTCCAGGAGACAGAGACAGAAAGACCAGCTTAGGTTAAACTATATGAGAATGAGGCCTAGTTAGTACTGACATACTCTGCAATGAAGTATAAGTCTCTGTGGATATAATAATACTAAAAAATCTAAGGGATAGATTTTTCTATCTCTTAGAAATTATTTCTGTCCCTTAGTATTATTTTCACTTTGATGGATACATTCCTGCATTCCCAGGGATGTAGCTCACTTATTATAGGAGGTGTGCTAGGTGTAGATATTTCAGAAATACAGAAACACAAATGAGAAAATAAAAACCACTTATAATGAAAGGGGCCCCATAGTCCTATAGAAATAATACTTACTGGTTTTTAAATAAACATAGAAATTGACACTTCTGATCTTAAAACTTGAAATTTACATTTGTCTCATCTGAGTTCCTCCCTTAGGAAACTGATCTTCAGGTAAGGGACTGAAGCTCACCAGATCATCACATCCAGACAATGAGATGCCAGAACCCTCATTCCTCATGATTGCTTCTTTATCCTTTCCTAATTCCTGTTTTACATTCCTTCCCTGTTTATATAAATCCCCCAATTTTAGTCAGATGGGGAGATGAGTATGAGGCTGATCTCTCATTCTCCTAGGCTGCAGCACCTGAAAAAGCCTTCTTCCCTGGCAATACTCATTTTCTCAGTAACTGGCTTTCTGCCCCACCAGCAAGGGGACCCAGATCAAAAACATGGCATCTCAGTAACAATTCTATGGCCTAGGGCCATCTATGTGCATGTGGATATGTTTGATATAAATGTTCCACAGCATGGAACATTTTATAAACTGCTTGTGTTACTTAATGCTGTATCATGAGGTCTTCCTACAATTAAGAAAGTTTCTCCTACCTCAATTTCTGAAATATTTTTCTTTTTATTTTCTGCTCTTTCTTTCCCTGACTTTTCTTCCTCTAATTTTCTCTTAAATCTTGAAGTTTCCTTGGATTGACATTTTTCTCTACTCATTCAACCTAGTCTTTTTAATTTTTGTTTTTGTGTTTTTTGTGAGGCGGAGTCTCACTCTGTCACCCATGCTGGAGGGCAGTGGCACAATCGCAGCCTCTACCTCCAGGGCCCAAGCAATCCTCCCACTTATGCCTCCCTAGTAGCTGGTACTACAGGCGTGTACCACCACACCTGGCTAATTTCTTTGTATTTTTTGTAGAGACAGGGTTTCACCATGTTGCCCAGGCTGGTCTTGAACTCCTGGCCTCAAGCGATCCACCTACCGCAACCTCCCAAAGGGCTGGAATTATAGGTGTGAAGCACCGCACCCAGCCCTCAACCTGGTTTTGAGTGTGTCAGGGTCATCATTCATTGATGTCCACTGCTGCCCATGCACCAATGTCTCTCCTTCAAGGTTGCCCTCATAAGCTCCAGGCCTATGTTTTCTCAGTGCCCATTAAACATCTCAAGTTCTATATCTCACATGTAACTCAAACTCAATTAATCAGAAACCGAACTCAGTTCATGACATGATCCTCAAACCAGTTTGTGCGAAAGACTTGTTTTGATTTTTAGGAAGCATTGGTTAAATACTAAAGCCAAGAGGCTATTATTCTTGAATTTTCCCTCTTTCTTACTCCCAGTATCCATCAGTCACTAAGGATGACCTTTTCTACATGCAACCGTCTCTCCCATGGTTTTGTAAAAACATCAAAGGGAAAGAGGGTGAAGGCCAAATTTATTTGTTTGATTTTTTTAACATGGAGAAATTTAAGGAATATTTATAGATAGCAAGAGAAGAAGCTAGTGATAAGAATGAAATGTACAATACAACAGAAGGAAAAAAGATAAGGCAAGTTTCCTAAGAATGTGGGGATTGAAATCTTAGAATAGTTGTAAGAACCTGAAGGAAAAAATGTAAGGATAGGTCAAAATCTACATTTGGGGCCAGCATGGGGGGGACACTGAAGGAGTTCATAATTTATTTAATTATCAATTAGGTCATCTGCTAAAAATGAAAGAAAGAAGTGAAAATGGGTTCATTTGAAAAGATTCATTGTGGCTATTTGATCTTGAACATTAGTGGATGGAGCTTAGTAGAGGTAAGCAATTATCTGTTTGCATGTTCATCTTTGTCTTCAATATCCAAAACCATGCCTGGAATACAGCAGGCCCTCAGTAAACATCATATAGTTTAAGGTCCACAGTGGAAGAAACCAGCTCTTATTCATATAAATGCCCTCAGCAAGTAACATTGTGCCTAGTCATTGTGGAAACTCAAGTCAAAAGAATGAATTGCTCTATAGAAAATTTTATAAAAACATTATCAGCCACATTCTCTGAAACTGGAAGTTCCTCATATTATCCCCTTAAGTTGAACTTTATTAGAAAGAAACAAACACTATCCATGTTAATATCAACGATTCTTTCATTCAAATAATTCTTAGAATAATTGGTATCATTAAAAAGTAAGTAATTTCTGGCCGGGCGCGGTGGCTCACGCCTGTAATCCCAGCACTTTGGGAGGCCGAGGCAGGTGGATCACGAGGTCAGGAGATCGAGACCATCCTGGCTTACATGGTGAAACCCCGTCTCTACTAAAAATACAAAAAATTAGCCGGGCATGGTTGCGGGCGCCTGTAGTCCCAGCTACTCGGGAGGCTGAGGCAGGAGAATGGTGTGGACCCGGGAGGCGGAGCTTGCAGTGAGCCGAGATAGCGCCACTGCACTCCAGCCTGGGCGACAGAGCGAGACTCCGTCTCAAAAAAAGAAAAAAAAGAAATAAAAAAGTAAGTAATTTCCTTATGCTTATTAGCAGTATTGTACAGTGGAAATAAATGCTAGAATTGTAGCTCAAAGCTATGAATATGCTTCAATTTTCAAGAATTATACCAAAATATTCATTATACTTTAGTTATCCAAGACAAGAAACTGAACCCATTTTCCTTTAAAATACTTAAAATATTTCTTGTAGATGTAAAAACAACTAAGGAAAGCTAATAAATTCTCAGAAAATATATTTTAAGTAAGTTTAAAGTTCGCCACATGAACAATTTGTTCTACCTTGACTCTATCTGTGCGGTTGTTGAAAAGTCCAATCCGTCTAATGGTGCTGAGGATGGGGTCGGTGGAGTCATCAATCATGTTGTGCGTGGTCACTGGGGGCAATGACTGTCGCTGAAGTATGAGAGGGAAGGAAATATCAATTGCGGAAAGAATTAATAAGGGTGACTAATTTCAACAATAGGTCATTGACATTTCATCCAACCTTCACACCTTCAGTCTTTTGAGATGGCACTAATGATGATGACTAAGTCTTGTGTGTGTGTCAAAGGAAGATATGGGTTGAAGAATCTCCTTTGCATGCTATGAATACATGAAGCTTTTGTTTTCCGCCTGCAGCTACTATATGAGAGACCTGGACTTCTTGATTGCTTCCGGGACTTATTTGGAATATAAAGGTGTCCTGAAGTCTTGACTTAAGATGAACTTTACTGATTTCTTTTAGCAAGGCTGTCCTCCAGTATCTGATTCTTCCCTATTATAACAAGCATTCTGATGCAAGCCTGACACATTTGTTTTATCTCCTTTGTAATAATTCCACTCGACTAAGAAATATTCTTTTCTCTAATGTGACTCAAATTCTATGTTTTGGAAGTATTTAGGACTTTTTTGTAGTTACTAAACTATACATAATTTTTATATTGAATATATTAATTCAAAAATAATTTTGTAAGCAAGTGGAAGGACAAGTTTCATGAGATGTTTTAAAGGAGCTCTTAAAACCACTAATGAAAAAATGTCCAAAGTAATCATTTAAGTGACTATGTAAGAATGTCTTTTCTAGCCTCAGGTCTGAAAATGTTCCAAATTAGCACATTCCAATAAATTAAAATACTGATTAGATAGAATTTAATAACTATGGGACATAGTGGGTGCTTTTTTCCTTATTACCTGAGTTGAAAAGATGGCTCTTTTCATAATTGTTAGATCATCTCGATCTAAAATATCGTTCAGGTCAGGAATTTCTCCTCTGCAGGGAAAAAATGTTAATAACAAAAATAAAAACAGCTGGCACTAATTCAGTGATTCCTAAGCATCAGATTATATATTATATATTTCATGTATTTTAATAAATAATGTTGATTATTCTATTAAGTAAATGTGTTCACATAGACTTAATATTTAAGTACATATTTAATACACATTGTCAATATATATTTTGAATTAAAATCTCATGAAGTCTCTCTCAGCTTCAGACTGACATATCAACCCTTAATGAGTTCATCATTGAATTAGAACTTGCCTGCATATAAATGTATTCTTATTTGTACAGCTATTTACAAGTTTTGTCAAATGAAGGGTAAAATACTGTTCACATGACATAACACATTTTCAAAGGTTATTAATTCCTTGATATTTGGAACAAAATTAATAAGTTATGATGTCTAAATTGTTAAATTTGAATAGTGAAACCTTAAGTGATTGAAGTAGAAAGCATTTCAAGCACCTACCTTAATAATGCATCATAGAGTTTTTTTCCAAACTTTTCCTTCACAGAATGTGCAACATCCCTGTTTGAAACAGAAAGATTTATCATTTAAACAGTATGACAATGTTTAATCTTTATTTGTCACGATAATGCTATTGTTTTGTTGACATTCTTTGAAATTACATTCTTTGAAATTACAGGTATCTTTTTTATAGTCTCTTCTATTATTTTACTACTTGCCAATTCAGCTTAAGTTGACATCTCCAGAGCTGAGGCAACAGAACACCATGGCCAGCACAAAGAGCTTAAAATTTTTTTGCTTCATGATGATTGGAACAGGATAGAGAGCAGAGAGGGGGAGTAGATGAAGGTATAGGTGTAACAAGACGGGAATTCGTTGATCATTGTTGAATCTGAACTATGAGTATACAGGGAGTCATATTACTAAGCTTTTTACTTGACATGTTCTTAGAATTTCACAATAGAAAGTTAAAAAATGTTTGACTCATCTTTAAAGATTTCTACAGGGCCTTGTTCCTTCAATGGTAGCTCATTCCAAAATTTGTATAACACCTATAATGTTATAACCATTACGATAACCTAAAATAGTAGCACGATGAAAAGAGAGTCAAGTATTATTTGTCTGTAATAATCTTAAGGAAAAAACAAAGTTCAAGGCGATACATGAGATGTCATTCACTTAAAAGAAATCTTTTCACATTTATTGCTAGAGAACATTCACAGGTTGTGAGATTACCACAGCTGTTTTCGCACTGCTTGTCCTTTCAGGGTTTCCACGTTGAAATTATTTGTCTTGGCAGGCATAATGAAAAACACCATCACTGTGATGTCACTTTTATGCATCTGATGAGGAATTAGAAAACACAGAGTCAACTATCAAAGATTTTTAAAAAGTATGATAGATGGAACTTAAACATTGAAAAGTAGAGTTTTAAAATATCAGTAGATAAAAGGTATAGTTATTTATGTTTCACAGAGAGATTATATTCACCTTCCTGAGACTTTTTCAGAAATTTTAATTAAAATCAAAATAAATTTTAAATTTTCAGTCTGTACTTGCCAATAAACAAATTGACTTTCAATCAGTATTTGTCAGTTAACAATTTGAAAATTCAAACAAAATATTTTCGTGCCTTTGACCATCTAGAATAGATAACAATTGCTATTGATGACACTGTGCTTTTCTGTGGTTAAAAAAATAGCATGAATGAGAGCTAATATTACAAGACCAAAATTAGTTCTTTAAAATTTCAGATTGGAAGTTTAATGAAGATTTAAGCTTTGGTAAAAGCTAAAATAATATTTCAATTTTTTTGCTTATTCATGTTGATTGATGACAGATAGATTATTTTTACTTTTCCGCTAAATGTCTTGATTCTCATGATGTTGTATTTTGGTTTTTAGCCCTAAAGCAAAGAAACAAGCACATGACGAGCACTTTTGGGATAGCAGACACTGTGCTGGGTGCTTTAAATATACTACTAATAATCATGTACAATAGGCATTTCTCTCCTCATTTTATTAATGTCAAAAGAAAGGAATGAGAGGTTAAATATTTTCTCTGAGTCCTATAACAGGTTAGTGCCAAAGCTGACATTTAAACTGCTGGCTTAGCATCTCTCAAAAGGAAATGACTTGTTAAGAAGCTGTAAGAATGAAAGCATAAACTCACTTAAAATCATGAACCTCTATGAAGGTTTATGTGTTCTGGAAATGACTGACTAGCTCCAGAGTGTGGGGCACTTTACCGTCTAGTATGCAGCCTCGGCCCTCTAGGGCCTGACATTTTATTAGGGAAAGCTACTGAAGGCATACAATAGGAAACTCACCCTAGGAACAGCCAAGGTGCTATCAAAAAATAAATGTACTATGTGGAAAGAGAATTCCTTCTTTTAACTTCTCCAAGTATTGCAGTTATCTTTTATGTCTAGTATAATAGTAATCAGTCTTTTCTTCATATCTATAAATAAAGTGAATATTTAATAACTATATAAATGCATTTATTAATAATGTCCCTAAAGATTGTATATGTGATATAGTTGTGAGTCCATTATAAAGCTTGTTGAATGAATATATACTAGGAAATATTAAGTAAGGTTATTTAAGAATAATCTTTTTAGTCTTCAGTTCTGTTTTGCATAGTTGGATTTTATTAATAAATCGCTTGTTTATTAACGTGGCTTTAGTAAATTTTTTTAGCATATTTGGCATAATGTCTGCTCTAAAGCAAAAAATTTATGTCCAAGAAATAAAAATTTAACTGGAGGGTAGTACAGAACTCAGGAAAGTTTAGATTTTCTCATTATCTCATTAAGATTGAAATTCTACACTCTTCTCCTGTGAATATTTTCCTATTACTTATTCTACATTTTTATGTGATGGGATTGGAATATAAACCAATAGCTGCCATCAATAGCTATGACATGGTATCTTTTTTTATAGTTGCTTTTATTTATGCATATTGTGTTGCTCGGTTAGTTGAGAACCCACTTTGTATCCCACCTTCCTGAGTAAAAAAAATGATTTCACATGGTTGGGAGTAAGAACCTTCTTTTTCCTCCTTCATGCTTTCATGTGGTGTGACATCCACTAGTTCAAGAGTTTAAAACTCTTAGTCGCAGGGAGGTGGTGTGGCTGGGGAGGTGAGTGAACCGAGTGTGTATGTGTCTGCCCTGTTCTATAGAGAGTTCGTGCTGTCGGGTTTGGCTGCCAGCTATGTGGCACGTGCTACTCTGAAGGCCTGCTTCAGTCGGGAGAGGAGAGTGATGGTCAGAGCTTCCTATGATTAAATGGCTAAGAGTCATAACAAGGTTCAGTATTAGGATGCGTATTGTCATGTGCATAAGCCACATCTTCCATTATAGTCTTCACTGATTTTCTGAAAATTGATATTTTGCTCTGCATTTACTGGATTTCTCTATATTTACTTTTCAATTGATTACAAACTCATGTGAGGGAAAAGGGATGTTATAATGACTTATTAAAACATAGAAGGGGAGAATGGGATAAGCTTAATGAGACATATAATGGGATAAGCTTAAGATTCTCCAAAAAAAAAAAAAAAAAAAAAAAGATGACATTATAGACAAACACACAAGTCAACAGTGTGGTAACTCCAATATGTAAATTGAAAGGCTGAAGCCATTTTTAGAATACGATTATCGTTTATTCTCTTGAAAACTATTTAAGAAGCCAAAAAATTCTTCACTTCCCACAGAAGAAAGTTCTCCCTACAAGAGTGTTATACCATGTCCTAGAGCTTTCTTACCCTCAGCAGGAAATTTAGCCTGGATAAGGATTCTAGGAAGATGTCAGCTCCTTTGTTTGAAAACTCATACCTCCCAGCAATGAAAAGGAACAAAGTCTTTTCAAGATCAAAGTCGAGATGACTAAAACAAAACAAAACCAAACAGTTTCAAATGAAATACAGCAACAGTAACAAAATGTACACATGAATTCTGTTAATGTACAAAGGGGGCTGGGAAAGATAAACATTTATTATTACAATTCTGTTTTCTCTCTACCAAAGATCACTCATATCTGATACTTCTTTTTCTTTTTAATAAAGAAAATCATACCCATAGAAATGACCTCGAACAAAATCTTGGATTCTGGCCTTGTACATGGCATGTAGATTTTGAAACTCATGCACTGCTGAAAATTTCTTAACATTCAAGCCGTTTGGAGTAACTACATCTAGAAAGGCAAAACAAAATTATTATGAAAATTCTCTTTTCAAAGAGGGTACCATTGTAGAAAAAAGTATCTTTAAAACTATAAAGTTAGATGTTTATTGACATTCTACTTTCTGACTACCATAAAATTTAAAATTTATAAAACTTCCAGTTCATAAAAAATTCATAAAAATTCGCAACAAATTTGGTCTACTGATTGAAATAGGAAATCAGAAATGCCTGACCAAAATAACAATGAAGCACTGGTACAATGAAACAAGTTAATCAATAACAATAATAATGGTTATTATAGTACTCATTTATTGATTATTTAATGTGTACCAGGTGTTGCTCTAAAGGCTTAGAGTGTAACTCAATCTCTTCAACAAACCAAGGGAGTGAGTGCTCTTATCTGCATTTTCAGAGGTGGAAACTCAGGCACAGAGTTGTTTAAAGACGCCGTCCAAGAACACACAGCTGGTAAGTCGAAGCAGAATCCATGCAGTCTGACCCCACATACTGTTTCCTTAACCCTGCACTAAACTACCTCCTGCCATCTTGTTTTCCACAAGTGTATGGGACACCTTTTGTGCATTTGGAAAATTGGAAAAGGAAACCTCTTACTTCTAATTTCTATTCTTATTTCCATCTCTTATTTCTAACACAACTGATTCATTCTTCCCAGGAGATTTTGTTGCTCAGGCAGGAAGACATTCTTGGTTTTCAAAACATTGGTCTGTGACAAGAAAGAGAGGGACCACTCTGAGCATATGACGGAAACTACCTACTGAGTTGAATACATGGGTTATCAGATTTAGCAGCATAAAGCAAAAACAAGAAAAAAGAAGCTATGTTAAAAAAAAATGTGGCATAGGGCTATGAAGATTTTTGTAATTTTAAGAATCTTTTCCAGCCTGGCCAACATGGTGAAACCCCATCTCTACTAAAAATACAAAAATTAGTCAGGCATGGTGGTGTGCGCCTGTAGTCCCAGCTACTGGGGAGGCTGAGCCAGGAGAATTGCTTCAACCCAGGAGGTGGAGGTTGCAGTGAGCTGAAATCACGCCACTGCACTTCAGCCTGGGTGACAGAGTGAGACTCCATCTCAAAAGAAAAAAAAAAAGAATCTTTTACAGTTAACTGGCTATTTTCTTGACATGGTTCCACAAAATCAATCCAGGCTTTTTGGTCATTTTTTGTGGAAAATAAAAACTTACTGATTTTTATGAGTTTTTATTAAGTAATCTGACCTTTGTTACACTCTTTTACATACATGGCCACAGTAGAATCAATTTTAAGTAGCCAAGGTTTCCAGTGAAAGCTTTCATGTGAATAATTCCTAAATGAACTATATAATGTGATTCGTACAGTATGACAATTACATCTTAAAATGTATTTATCTTTCTACAGCAATTATGTAGGGCTCACTTTGTGCCAGGCCCTATTATATTTGATATATAATAATTTTTAAAAATCCCTATGAGGTAAATTGTTTTCACTGTCCCCATTTTACAAATAACGAAACTGGCCTGCAGAATATTAAGTCATTTGCCCAATGTCAAGTAAGCACAAAGTAACAGAGGCTGGATTTAGAACCAAAGCAGCCTGGCTCAGGAGTTTCCACCCTTTTGATGCAGTGGTGTCATACAACTGTACCATACAAAAGCTATAGAAGGCAAGAATGTATGTGGATACCAGCTTATTATGGATTGTAATCCTCAGCAGTTTTCCAAATTGTTTCACAAACAATTATAAAAAAAAGATCTGTGTCCTGAAATTGTCTGTTCATTAGCCTAAAGTGTTAGGCCAGTGAGGTCTTCTAATATCCATATTTATAACAGAATAATCTCACATGCACAGGCCTATGTGCAGTCATATGCTGGTAAAATTTAACAAAGAGTACTCCAGGAAAAAGAGAGAAAAAGAGAGAGAGAGATAGATAATTTTAGTGTTTGCCTTTCTCCAAGGTGTAAATATTCCCATCATGACTGATTTCAAGCTACCAATGTAAATGCAGAGTTGGGAAGAAAAGTGCAGTAACACCATTATACTATTTCCATCCATGAAATATATATATATATATATATATATATATATATATATATATATATGGATGTTACTGCACCATTATATAGGTTATAGGTTTTAGGTTATTTGTATGTAATGGTGCGCAGTAACATATAATGGTATTACTGCACTACTATATACAAATAACCTAAAATCATAGTAAAATGTAGTAAAATAACCAGGAAATGATGTTAAATTAGTTAAATTAATTTGATTAATTTAATTTAATTAGTTTATATAAATACATGTATTATTACATAATAAATTAGTGTATATAAGTTATATGCTCATATCATTTAAATTTTTAAAAAATCAAAATATTGACCTTGAAAAATCTCCTTTTCACTTCCGTTCCATAATTTTTTCCTTTCCCTGGAAGCAACATTGGTCACTAATTTCTTGCTATTGTTCCCAAGTAGAAGACAATGTTACCCACCTTTCTGATGTTAACAACGCCAACACAAAAGAAAAACGTTGACTAAAGGATGGTATTAGCTAGAGTTCATAGTAAGGTATTAGCATGGGCTCCAAAATCAATAATTGCAACACTATTAATGACTATATTAAAGGGAAAATGACAAATTTTTTTAAAGCAACATAAGATATTTAAGGCATATGTTGTATTCAGTTTTGTATCTGTAATTGGTAAATTTATCATACTGCCTTCTCTCCAATATTTTTAAGAAAATATCACCTTTTCAACATCTTAAACTATTTTGAGTCAAATTTATGGCAAAAGCATAATGATATAGTAATAAATATAAGCTTTTGCCAATTATTATTATATAGTGACATTTTGAAAAATATCTGGTCCCATGCATGTTTTTCACCCAGCCAATTTTCCTCTTGCTCTGTAGTTGCACCCTCAGCGTTAAAAGTAATGGCTGTAGTTAAACTTTTAATCGGGGAAGACTTCAAGAAAAATCAAGGAATACAAAGTCATAGTTACACTATGTGATCTTTTTTTTTTTTTCAGAATGCTCTTGGGAAGGTTTATATGTTTAATGATCTACTAAAAGTCCATTGACCTTCTTGAGCCACAAAATGTTCAGAGATTTCACAATTTCCATCAGAGCCACCACATGATTCTACTGCAAGTCTGAAGAAGCCCAGATTGCAGTGTTTATGGTTTCTGGTAGAACTTCCAGAGAAAGCTAGCTTGTGGGCACTCAGTAATAGATGAGAACTTGGGGAAAATCTAGACAGTGATCCACACAAAATAATAATCGATATTTTCTAAATCTTTACAATGTACCAGGCACTGAGCTGAGTTTTTTCCATATGTTAACGTTTGAATCATTGCAATGATTCTAGATAAGAGAAAGGATTATCCACATTATGCAGATAAGACACAGAGAGCTTAAGTAACTTTTATAATGTCACACAGCTAGTAACGTATACTCAACATAAAATCATTTTTGGTACTGAATACAGGCAGTTTGGCAAAAAGCTCATGCTTTGACCACTACTCTGTAGCTATATTCTTAAGAAAACAAAAATTTAAGAAAATAGTATATAGAGAAAGCAGGACCTAGAATAGAATCTTGGAGAATGTCCACTTTGAAAAGTAAAAGAAAGTAGAAAAATGATTAGAGGCACCAGAAAAGATTATACTGGAAAGAAAGTAGAATGTGCAGTGTCATGAAAAATAATGGAAACAGATGTTCACCGCCTTTAAATGCTAGAGAATATAAAGAAAAATAAAAAACATTAGATGACCCTGAATTCGATGATTTTTGGAAACACAATTTTAGGCCAGAGTTGGAGGTCGGAAGCCAGAGTCCCAGGGGCTAATGAGTAAGTGAACCTAGCAATTATGGTTTACTCTTATAAGATATTTGGCAGCAGGAGAAAGGAGGAGATGGTATGATATTTGGCAGGGTAGAAACCTCAAGAGAAATTTTCATTTTAGAATAGGCAAAAACAAAGAAAGTATTTTTGTGAGCTCAGAGAAAGATAACTGTAGACAGGAAAAAGGAAGATCCAAGAGAGAAATGAGCATATTGATGGAATAAACTCCCAAAAGAAGAATGAGAGTAAGAATCCAAGCGAATTCAAGAGAATCCTTGGAAAGAAAAAAGGCTACTATAGGTTCTTAATGCTGCCACTATTCAAATTAGTTGGGTTCTTGTTCTATCTTGTTTTTTTTTTTTTTTTTAACCTAGCACCTTGAAATACCTCTTCTACACATTCTGCTATCTGAAAGAAGGACAACTAGAGACAAGACCACAGAAATTAAGCAAGGAGGATATATTAATTAGGATGATTTCGTTGCAAGTAATATAAACCTACTAATGCTGGCTTAAGTATAATAACAAGGAATTTATTAATAGGATGCCGGAGTGTCTCATGGCAAATATTTAGCTGAGCCTTAGGAATGATTTTTAAAAGTGGTCAAAACTGGCTGGCCGCGGTAGCTCACACATGTAATCCCAGCACTTTGGGAGGCCAAGGCGGGTGGATCACGAGGTCAGGAGTTCAAGACCAGCCTGGCCAAGATAGTGAAACCCCGTCTCTACTAAAAATACAAAAATTAGCTGGGCGTGGTGGCAGGTGCCTGTAATCCCAGCTACTCGAGAGGCTGAGGCAGAGAATTGCTTGAACCCGGGAGGCAGAAGCTGCAGTGAGCTGAGATCACGCCACTGCACTCCAGCCTGGGCAATGGAGCAAGACTCCATCTCAAAAAAAAAAAAGAAAAAGGGGTCGAAATCACTGTGGAGAGCCTCTAGTTCTCTCTCTCAGTCTGTTTTTGCTTCTTATAACAATTCAGTGTAGTTTAATCTTCTTTGCATCCAGTGCAACAAAGTAGAAAAATGAACACTACCAATAGCTTTGAGTTATTGGTAGTGTTTCATTGTATGACAGTGCATTGAGAGACTCGTTTGAATGGGAGCATTCTGATTGGCCCAGCTTATGTCAGATGTCTTCCTTTGGGCCAATCAGCCGTGGCCGGGTGACAGGGCCATGTCTTATGAGCATGAGTTCTTCACATTGCAAGCTCTGGTTGGGTCTGTAGATAGTTCCTGGAAAAATTTCCAAGGAATCTGGGGATAAGTAATATAAAACGTTTCTACCAACACAGCACCAATGAGGCAATATTACAAGATGTAGGACTGGGATAGTCTCACACAAATTTCTGTTTTCTTGGCTTTCATTTTCTCAAAAGACAAGAGTCAACCGAACTTCCTTACACATACCGACTCATTATGACAACCCAGGTCATACCAAGGTTATTTCAAGCATAGCTCATTTATTCAACAAGCACAGATTGAACACTTAGCCATGTTCCAGATATAGCTTTGAGTTGGCTTCCCTGCAAACCTACTGAAATTGAGAATTAAAATACATAAAAAGAGCTGCGTGGTAACTGAATGCAATTTTTCCTCAAACTACTACTTCACGATGGAAAACAAAATCCTCATAGTGTAACATCATTCGGAACTGAAAGATAGGTGATCCAGGGATAATAATTACCAGGCTTTCTCTTCAGCATATGTTCAGCTTCTATTGCTGTTATTTCAGAAACCGTGGTGAACACGTGAGCGCAATGAACGGAAGCTCGCTCCATGCAGTACCGGTGGTAAATCTGCCTTTCCCCAGCCTCTTTGTCAATGTTAAACTGTTAGAAACAAAAATAAAACACACATTTGCTAACAATGGCCCTTCTACACAAGCTAAACAAAATCACACATTTCACCAAGTGGCTTACCTCAAGGCTGTGTAAAAATTTATGACCACAAAAAAGTAATAAAAACTTGAATTAAACCCATTACTACAATATACATAAGGAATTACACTTTAAAAGACATTGTTTACTCCATTTCTCCCTCTAAACTGCAGTTTAACTCCCTAAGTAAATGATGTTTCTACCTTACTGTAATCACATAGAATTCTTGAATTTTTGACATTTTAATTACACTTTTACTTATTCTACATCTTGGAATACTGAGCTAATGCCTTTCTCCAAAGTCTTTTATATATTTTCCCATAAACAATGAAACAAAGTTGACATTAAAGTTGACATCGAAAATAAGAATAATTATTATAATGCTTAATTCACTGAAAGGGAACCTGAAAAAGAGAAAGACAAACGCTTTTCCTTGGTTATAGAACTTCCCCTTTATAATTGCAAAGAGTGTATAGTTAGTCTAGTTAGATATTGTGCTAGATTATGCAATTATCTATGCTTCTGGGTAGCTTAACTTAAAAAAAGTCAAATTCCCAACAATCACTTAAATAACTGGCAACAGTGTGGGCTTTTGCCATTTCACTTAGTTACTGAATGTAGTGTCTCACGCAGCTCCATATGAAACTAGCAGTGTCTAAGAAAAAAAGAATATGTAAAGTTTCTGACATTATGTAAGTAGGGTGCTTTTCATAGTGAAGATTTTTAGTAGCTCTTCAGCACTAGTGTCAGGCACTCCACTACGCACAATAACATATTTAATTCTTATAAACTACTGAGACACATATTTTGCCTTCATTTTATGGAGAAGGAAATTGAACCTTTTAGAGGTCAAGAAACTTGTCGAAGGTCACATTGCTATTAAGAATCTTGGTAGAACCCTAATTTGATCCTTAATCAGCCTGACTGATTAATGAATACAGTCTTGTATTCATCTGTTTTTATATCATTGAGACTTCAACTCTATCAAGAAGTTAGTCCCAATAATTATGGCATCATATAGAGAAAAATACTAAAAAGAGACCCATTAGAGGAATCTCATGATTAGAACAAGAAAACTCCTAGAGCATTCTTTCATGACTGTAATATTTGGAATCATCTCTCTGAAAATGTTTGAATCAGGTTGTATATGACATGCTTGGATCAGCAGAAGTTTTCTTAAAAGCTCTATGTGGCCAGCCTAATTAATGAAACCAAATCTCTCATTTAATCAACTTTTTTGAGCAATTTATGTGTATCTATTAACTTTAAGAAACTTATAAATTAATGGAAAATGGATTAAAAACAGGTAGAAATGAAATGAGTATGTGTCTGAATAAGTTATAGGATCAAAGCAGCACTGATTCACTCTGGCTGAAGGTAGGCAAAATTATCTCATACTACGCAGTAAGCGTAGTCAGTATCAACTCTACAAATGTAAGACTTTCAAGTGCAAAGACGAAGACTTATTCATCTTTCTATCTCCAAATTGGTTGGATGAATAAAATGGCATTTGGACCAGGATATGAAAGTTTAATTCTGGGAAAGTTATTTTTAGCTGAAATGCTAGCTGCCCTAAAGAACAAGTATAGAAAATGCTATGGCATGTGCAGAAAATAGCAGGACATCTGATGTGACTGTAGCACTGGATGTAGAATGTAAGAGACAGAGGCTGGTCGGATACAATAGGGCCAGATCACTGAAATCCCTGAAGATGAGCCTAGGAATTTTGCCTTTGTCCTGTAAACAAGAAAAGCCACTCTGAAAGTGTTTATTTAGAGGTGTGGTAAAGACAGAGCCAGTGTTTAAGAAAAATAACTCTGGAAAGAAGTAAAGAATGTTTTCTATCCCATTGAGTATTTTGTGAATTTCAAATGAGACAACAAATGTCAAATGTTTAGAAAAGTGCCTGGTATATGGAAAGTGCTCAATAAATTTAGCCATTGTTATTATTAATTATTATTATTGTTGTAGAGAATCACATGTCACAGATAAGACAGCATTTAACATTTGGACATTTAGAGATGGGAAGATAGATTTTCTAAATGAGCAGGCTGAGTATGCACAAATACAGAGGCAGGATAGCAAGAGCCTGGAGACCCCGTGAGAGGCCTTGGGGAAGTCGGGTGGGTGTGCATGCTTCTGCCTTTCCCTCCTCCCATGGGGCACACTTATCTTTTAGGTCTGTAGTACGCGTGGCCACTCCTGTGGCTTTACAGAAACCTTATCCGTTTACACATGTTGTCCATTCTTCCACATATTTATGATTATATCTTAAAATCTCTGTACAATAATTCCAACACAGGACATATCTGGACCTGGTCTTTCTGACAATGGGTTTTTACTTTCTTGCATTTTAATATATCTCATAGTTTTTTATTGAATTCTGGATAATGTGTATAGAAAAACAAAAAATGGGTAAAGTACATATTAATCAATAAAACACAGTCCAGTGACACATGTGGATAACCCTGTAATTGAAGTTGACTAGCTCAAAGCTTGATCAGAAGAAAGAGTTTAAATCCACCAAATAATTGTCCATGGCTTCCTTCCCCATTTTCCAATCCCAAACGGCACTGTCCTCAGATTTCCATCTAGGAAATTCTGCTACAATTAAGAAAAAAAAGGCCGGGAGTGGTGGCTCACGCCTGTAATCCCAGCACTTTGGGAGGCTGAGGCGGGCGGATGACGAGCTCAGGAGATCGAGGCGATCCTGGCCAATATGGTGAAAACTCGTCTCTACTAAAAATACAAAAAATTAGCTGGCTGTGGTTGTGCGTGCCTGTAGTCCCACCTACTCAGGAGGCTGAGGCAGGGGAATCGCTTGAACCCGGGAGGTGGAGGTTGCAGTGAGCCGAGATCACGCTACGGCACTCTAGCCTGGCGACAGAGCAAGACTCCGCGTCAAAAACAAAAACAAACAAACAACATAAAATGGGAGGGGGGGTGGGGCGGGGGGCAAAACAAGAAAACTAAAGGCTTTAGAGGAAAAAAAAGAATTTATTATGTAGTCATTAGAGTCGAGAGGATAATTGATCAATGATTGGACTTTAAAAAATGAATTTGGAGACATATTCTCAGAAATTTCATACGCTGGCTGAAAATGGTTAAAATCTTATTTTAAATAATGAATTTTACTAAAAACTTAAACCAGCGTTAGAGTTTTTGTAATTGGCTACTAACAAAAATTGTTTTCAGTTAGCAGTAATTTGAGTAAAATCGTTCTAATCTTTCTGATTTTACAAAAGTTTAATTATCTTATTCTTGTTCTCATATTTGCCCTATTTTCATTTGTCTGAGTCAGAATTTACTGAAGCTGATCCTGGTTCCTGCATCAAAGATTAAACTATGACTTCTTCCTTATACTGAAATTTTAAAAACCTTTCATGTATATAATTTGGTATTCTTATGTGTCACCCAAATTCTAAATTTAGTGTGAGCATGGGGGCTTCTGCTGTGTAAAATGACTATGAATTTAACCCAAAAGCTAGTTCTTGACTGCTTGTTGTCTACTAGTCATTTTGCTAGATAGAACATTTTACTAGAAAGATGGGCAGGGATCTGACTAAACTTAAGTATCTCAACCAGTGAAGGGCTTTAAACTAGAGAGATGTGTGATTATATCTAAAGACAGTATGAAAAATACTGCCCTTTCATCAAAAGGGTAAAATTGTAATATATAACTATATACTATAATGCATTTCTTCCTTAAAACCAAAGAAAAATATCCTATGTATATTATTAGTAGCTTTTAAAATTAATTATTACTATACAAGATTCAAGAATTCTGAAGTGAAATATTCAATCTGCCACTCTAATATTTTCTCCTTCACTGAAGTCAAAGTGCACTCCTCTCCAGGAAGCATGGTTGTTGAGCTTACCAGCTTATCACAGATCACTGGTTTGCCCTTATTAGTCCACCATTACTATATACCGCTAAGAACCTCCCAGATCCCCAGGCTTTCTGAATTCCTTGGTGATTTTATTTTAAATGTACAGCTTGTGTTTCTAGTTTGACCTTTAAATTAGGCTGACCTTTTTATAGGGAAGGGCTCATCAGGACCACTCATTGCTTTACAGATGTTAAAGTTTTTCAGAAAGAACGTTCTTGCGCTCTAAGTGTCTTTGAGACAGTAGTATAACTTTTCAGTGGCATTATTTGAGTATTATTTGTGTATTACACACACATACACATTCTATTTTATAGAATCCTAGAACTCTTTAAGCTGGGAAATTTTTAAAAATCAACTTTCTAACTTCCTAATTTTCCTGATAGCAAAACTGAACCCTAGAGTACTAAATAGATTTGATTGTTAATATAGACACCAAATCTGCAAAACCTCTGAATTTATACTACTCAAACATTTTGTTAATATTATTAACATGATGATATAAAATATATACTTTCATTAATCTAAATTGACATGAAAAATAGAAGAAATAAATCAAAACTGAATGACTTTGGCAGGTCATAGACTCAGGTAACCTGCTAAGATGAGCAAAAATAACTTCTTGTTCACCAAGGACCCATATCCCTGTTTGCAATAACTTCTGTTTTACTTGATCCCACAAAAATGCCCCCTGTGCATTGCAAAGTTACAGGGAAAACTGAACCTATCAACCTATAATGTGGCTTTTAATCAATTGTTTACTTGGAGGATAGAAGAAATAGAGGAAGTAAGTCTCATAGTGCAAGTTTGTATGTCTCAAATCTCAATTATCTACCTGCCACTCAGAGCTGCATGTGGATCCAGGGTGTTCACAGCGCTTCCATAGCCTTAGGCTAGAACAAGGGCCCAACCTTGCACCTACACCATGTCTTTACTCCTACCATATCCCTCTGGAACTATTGTTCCAAAGTGGGACAGAAATCAGGCCTCTCACCTCTATACTCTAGTGTACTCTGAACAAAGTTGAACTATATGAGCTGTCTTTCAACCCAAGGGAAGCTTTGTCATGAATATTGATTAGCTAAAAGGGCATTTCTGCCATCTGGTTGGCAGATGAAATGTACAGATCAATACTTATCTTTCAGCTTCAGCAATCTGAAAGAAGGGTGAGTAAGAGGGAGGGAGGAAGGAATATTTACCTTATCAAGATGGTTGTAGAAATCAATATTTGCTGCACAGAGATACCTCCCAAGTAGTGTAGCGTGGGTTGTAAATATTGTGGCAATAGGAAGTTTCCTGGCTCGAGAAAGGATCAGTCCAATTCCAGCCTGCCATTCATGGAATTGGGCAACGACATATTTACCATCTGCATGATCTGTCACCTACATTAGGAAAAAAAAAGCATTCAGAAAAGTTGTTGATGAAGCTTGATTGTGCTCATGGTCCACATCATAAGTGGAGTTATGGTGTCTATAAATTATTTTGCAACTTAAAGGAGTCGAAACATAAAGCATGAATATTTAGCAAGGATAATACAGGATTCAGTGGCATGTTCATTAACCCCATATATTTTTAGGTCTTAATCCTCCCTTTCAGTGATGGAGCAGATTTTTTATATCCACAGAAGAATAAATACTAATATTAATAACAGGTAATGAATATTAATAAATAAATGGAATAAATGCAAAGTAGGCACTCAAAAAATATTTATTTAAGAATAAATAAATTCTTAAAGATATCACTGAACAGCTGAATCAATTGGGACCACTTACTTATAAGCTTATTTTTAAAAAACTACTTAAATTTTTTTTAATTGACTAGACTTGTGTTTATTTATAGTATATATTTTGATATTTACTAAAGAAATGGCCAGGAAGAGACTTGAAAATGCCTTGTATATTTGTAGTGTCCCAATTATGGAGAAGCAAATGTTGCCTAAAACTATTTAACAATCATAATGAAAAAAAAATGCATATGAAGAAAAAGTGACTTTTACAATATCATTTTTTTCTAATAGATAATTACTTGGATTTTCAATGACTTGAAAACTCTAAAAGCATACAATGATTTTCATGTATATATTTGCATATTTGATTTTGAGAAACAAAGATAAAATGCCGTTACATCATTTTATAATAAATAATAAATGATTCCATGTTTTAAATTTATCTTATTTGGGTTTTCTTTTTCTTGAAGCCAACAAAATTTAACTGATATATTATTAAGAATATGGAATTAGAGAGAAAGAGGCTAATAAAAAACATGCCTAGAATCAAATAGCAGCTTTGTAACACACTGAAGATCGGGGTCTAATTCCACCCCAGGGTCTAGTTCCAAATCAGGTGGGCATCCGTATCTTTGCCTTACAAAGAGACAACTTATTTTGTTTGCCCTTACAAAATATTAACATTCACACTGACTCCACAATGAGAGTTCATTTCCTTAATAGAGACAATAGCAAAACACTGTCATTGAAGAAGGCTGAGCAGAGAATTGGGAAATTTGGAGAGTAAACTTAAAACAGTGGTTATCACATGTAGTGTACATCAGGATCACCTGGAAAGCTTATTAAACAAATAGCTTATTAAGCTATTTGCTACTCTTAAGATTCTATACTTCATGTTTTTCTTATATATATATATTAAGTATCATCTATATATGGGGCAATATAATTGGGTGTTTGATACACATCATGCCATTTAAATTTGACATGAGGTAAATAGTAATAAGTATCATTATTACGCTATTCCATTTAATTTGCAGAATGCTCAACATTTCCTCAGATTTCTTTCAATTGTATTAGGACAAGCCATAATGGCATCATCTCAAAATCTGCCTCATTTAAAGATCATGGGATCATTCTTGGGCACTGAAAGCAGTTGTGCTGCTCCTCCGTTGTATCACTATATAATAAACCATACCTCTTTTAAGAACCAGGCAGTTAAAGATCCAAATATCAGCATATCATTGGCTTCTCGGTCATGATAAGGAATGCCGACACTGCATGCTTCCCAGAGGTCACCCTTCCACCTGTCCAGATTCCAAGCTGAATAGCCTATGTCAAAAAGTACCACATAAGGACTTCCTTCTATCAGCCATCTTCCAAAATGCACCTGTCATATAAAGAACACAGCCATGTAGTGATATTAAGTCATGCAAGACAGGACAATGTATTTGCACTCTGAGGATATAAACTTTATGTAGTACTCAATAGCAAATTAAACAAGCTACTTAGAAAAGAATATTGATAACATATAGCCTCTGCTGTTTGAGCCTCAAGCTGGAATGGGCATAAATCCATTCATCTAGAACCTCCAAATTCTTGCTCTTCATTAAATTTAAAAACAATGTATCTAAATCATGTAATCTCTGTTCATCTGTCTCTAGTTACTCTCTTGTGACCATGAACTCACAGTGATTAATATTATAGTGTCTGCTTTTATGACAGAGCCATGAAATGCTTTGTATCTCTGAAAACCTGGGTAGTTGGATATAATGGCTCCAGTGTCGCTTATTTTCTTTTATGGAACAGGACTAACAATATTTCCTGCTAGAAGAAAAAGCTATTTCTGTAGTCCAATATGTATGATTTATCTTACTATTCCTATCAAAAGAAGTGATGCAAAATGTTTCCCAGTATGGTTGCTGCCAGAGGTTTAACTAAACACATTGCCCTAGATACATTATCTCTTTAATCTAGTAACTCAAAGTATAATTCTATTACATTCTTCAAATTGACGTTGATTCCTAAATGTTTTATCTTCTGCAAGTTTTAATGAATTAGCTCTCTCATTTTTTTCCAGTTGTATGTATATCATCACTTGCATATCCAAGTTTTAACTTCCTTTTTTGTCTCCATATTTCTATAGTAATTTACTTGTTCTTTTGTCTTAATTTTCATTTTATGTTTATTCTCCTTTTACATGATATACAACCTCATAAACCACTTCAAACCCTTTCTGGAACTCAGCAGAGGCTACGAGTCTTTCTCAATGTGGATCCAGGCTTCTCTAGAAAATAAAATATATTAATATTGCTTACATATTGACACTTATGACTCCACCTATGGCTGAATTTTGCAGGACTTCAAAGCCCAATTTGATCATTTCCTACCAGGGGACCCAGGCATGTGTGGGGATGCTTCTCACCCATCTGTTCCTTGGTCAACCTTGAAAGACCCTCATTATGTTTCAGTTGTTTCCATTATAATTTAGTGTTTATCATGCCACTGTTTCCTTTTAAGATGAAATTTTCCTGAGCCCCAAACCACTTTTCAATAGTTTTTCTCCTTGGGAAATTCATTGCTTCATGTATTTATACACTGTGAATAACATGTAATATTACTATATAATATTTACTGACTGCCTAATATGTGCCACATGATACATAAGCTAAGATCATAAAGAAGAGCTGAACCTATTACACAAATAGAGAATGTAAGCCAATTGGCATTGACCTCCAGTCAGTTCTTGGCTGCAACGTGAAAATATCCCTACACTAGAAAGCCATGAAGTCTTGAGACCAGTCAGTTCCATTGTGTTTCTCATCTAACTCTTCCTTCACCAGAACTTCAAATGCAAGCCCTTTCTAACATTTCATTTATTTGCATCCTGATAGTACAATAGGCATTGTTCTATCACATTTCTAACATTCTCTATGCTGCCTTCACTAAGAAATGTTTTCCGGTACTCTTTGGGATCTCAATTTCCCTTGTAAATTATGCATTCCACTCTTTAAACCTTGCATGCACCTCCTAGACACCACTACCCACACAGCATCTCAAGTGAAGACTTTGCATTTTTTCACCCCCAGAAACTATATTCCTGGGATGAGTAGGAAGGAAAGTTACTGATTTTTAAAATTCTACTGAAGCTTTTAAAGCCTTATTCTTTATTTACATATAAAACACCTTTGAAATGTTTGCTATCCAAAAATATTACCTTTCCTTGCTCAGCAAAGATAAGGTTACTTTTTGACCTTATCCTAAGCAACTTCAAAGTCCAGATTTTTTATCCTGCACACTTAACCTCATGGTTACTTGACCTTATGGACTTAAAAGACTTTCATGTCCACCTGATTTCAGCTACTCAGGATCATGACTGCATTCTTTCCTTGTCAAATCCCAAATGATTTCTTCTCTAAAATATTCCACTTCGGCATTCTGTTACCCAGTTACAACTCTTGTACTTCCATTTCTGTCACTGTGTTTCTGCCAGTGTATATATTCTTTCTTTCTCCCCTTTAAGACCTCCAGTTCCTATAACCCTCCATTTTGTCCTACATTATCATCTTCTTTCTGGCTTTGCTTACTTTCTTTCCTGTCTATTCCTTATTTAATTCCTTCCTTTTCTATCTATTCCAATGCAATGGCCCATGAATTAAACTATTAATTCAATCACTTTTACAATTACCTTCAATTCTTGGGCCACCTTGACCCATTGCATGAATGGTCAAATTAAACAACACTGGATCTTCATCTATTCAACTTCCTGCACCATCACTCAGACTGCAGACTGCTCCTGGACAAAGTCACAGCCGTGTGTATTTGTGCCACTATAAAGTCATGACTACATCTCAAACATGTCCAAAAATTCCTTGAACACTTTTTCAGAACTTCTTTCTTGAACTTCCCTAGTTTCTACACTTGCCTTTTAATTGTCATAAAATGACCTTTAATACCTGCTTCAGTGAGATCATCAAAAACATTGGGTAAGATTGTCCTGAATTCTTCATTAACTTGTATCTAGTATTTGCATTTATCTTTTTTTCCTTTTTTGAGTGAGACAAGCGAAAAATGATTCTTTCAGTATTGCTTTGGATCTTGTCCCCTTCCCCATTCTCAGCGACTTTATTCTCTTCAATCCTCCATTTATTCTGAGCTTTTAGCTTTTCCCTGTCTGCTAGGTATTTCCTTTTTGCAAATAAACATGCTCAGGTCTTACCCATATTTAATAACACACCAATTCTCAAAACCATGTCATTCTGCAACTACATTATTATATTTTATATTCATAGAAAAATCTCATAATCACAACTTCTGTGTCTTTTTTCTTACCACGTATTTATTCCTTAACCCACTGAAATGAGATTTAACCTTCCTTTCTCCTCTGAAACTGTACTTATCCATGTTACCAATGGCCCAAATATTACCAAACCCAACAGACCCTGGATCAGTCCTTTGCTGACTTAATCCCTTCTTCATACTTAAAATTCTCTCCTCCCTTGACTTGACATCACGATTCCTGTTGGAGCTGTAACAAATTACCAATAGCCTAGTGGCTTAAAACAAATTTATTATCTTACAGATATTGAAGTCAGTAGTCCAAAATAGACTAAAATCAGTGTGTTGACAGAGCCACATTCCATGTGTAGTTTCCAGGGAAGAATTTATTTTCTTACTTCTTCTTTTTTTTTTTTTTTTTTTTTGAGATGAAGTTTCACTTTTGTTGCCCAAGCAGGCGAGCAATGGCACGATCTCAGCTCATTGCAACCTCTGCCTCCTGGGTTCAAGTGATTCTCCTGCCTCAGCCTCCTGAGTAGCTGGGACTACAGGTGCCTGCCTGCAAAACCACACCTGGCTAATTTTTGTATATCTAGTAGAGACAGGGGTTTCACCACGTTGACCAGGCTGGTCTTGAACTTCTGACCTCAGGTGATCCATCCATCTTGGCCTCCCAAAGTGCTGGGATTATAGGCATGAGCCACCATGCCTGGCCGCTTTTTCTTACTTCTATAGGCCACCTATATTCCTTGTGGCCTCTTCCTCCATCTGCAAAGTAGCTCCCTTCAACCTCTGCTTTCATTGGCACATCTCCTGCCTGATTCTAATTCTATGGCCTCCCTCTTAGGAGGACCCACCTAGATAACTCAGGATTATCTCCCCTTCTCAAAATCTTTAACTTAATCACATCTGCCATATTCCATTTGCTATAAAAGGTAGCATATTCACAGCTTCTGAGGATTAAGACTTGAACATCCTTGGTTGTACATCATTAGCTTTGCTTCTACATTTGCAATCTCTAGCTTCTTTTAATGTAGATGCCCTAACATGCTGACATTCCACAAGGTTTGGTTGAAAACCTTTACTCCAAGTCTAAACATTTCCACTGAATAATTTTTAACAACACTCATGACTTCAGTTTATGTACAAATGACTTCCTCAAAAACATGTTTACTCTGTATCTTCTGCTGAACTCCAAACCAATTATCCTTCCTCCTCGGTTTTCACAAGGTGTCTCAAATTCAATCCATTTAAAAGCAAGTTCATCATCTTTCTCACAAACCTGAAAGTTTTCCTTAAGTAAGTGAATGGTCTTCTCTTGTGAGTTCATGTTAGTTACAGTCTTTTTTCCCATAAGTTTACTGAGAATTGCCAAGTGAAGTGTCAGTTCCTTTACCTGGCAGCCATGCTTATTCATTGCGTCCACTGCTCTTCTGACAGCATCATTTACAGGTTCACACTGTTCCACCTGAGTCTTCATATTATGCTCAAAATATGGACCTATCAGAAAATAGTTCTCTCCCCATTCATCTGCTGTTGTTTTGGCCTTTGTCTGAATCACAGTATAGATGCCTCCAACTGTTAAAAGGAAAAAAGTTTCTATTATCATTCAGGTTAGCAATTTGTTTAAAGTAATAAGGGATGGAAATGAGTTCAGATTTTTAAATTAGCATTTAGGATCCACTAAGCCCAAGGATTTATTTACCTTTCAAAAATAATAGTATTTGACATATTGTTAAGGGACACCAACGAATGGTTACTGCTTTGTTCAATTCTGTGCATGTTTTAAAGTCCCTTCTAGGTGCATGTGAAATAGCAGCAGGCTGATGCCGCAAAGAGGTCAAATACCTCAAAAAGAAAGAGTCTGAAAAGACAATTGGAGTAACTACTTGCCTAAAGCTCCAGTCACTTTGTAGTGTCAAAGTTAGGACAAATACCCATTGTCATCATACATGCCCTCAGCAGCAGAAATCACTTTCACCTCTCTTCCTCCTTCTCCTACAGTGGTCCAGAAGGGGCTCAGGTATGTTCAAATAACAGCTGCTGTGGTTTTCAATTATGAAGAAATCTCCTAAGCTACATAGTCATTTATCTTTTAAAGCACCAAGCAAAGTACCTTTTGATAAGGAGAACGTGCTTATAGATGTTCATAGAAGATGCTTGGTCCAACCCCGATGTCAAATCCAATAACACAAATACGTATTTCATTCTCACATGGTATTTCTCTCTTCCTAGTAAGGGAGGAGACCACCCTTCATATTGTTTTATGCCCAATTTCTGCCTCCAAAGAAAGAAGAAGTAAAAACTAAAAGGCAGAAATGAAATCCACAGGCAAACAGCCTGAGACCACATCCTGGGCCTGGTTAAAGATAGACCCCTGACCTGGCCAGTTATGTTATCTATAGATTCCAGACACTGTATGGAAAAGCAGTGTGAAAATCCCTGTCCTGTTCTGTTCCATTCTGATGACCAGTGCATGCAGCCCCCAGTCATGTACCCCCTTAGAGTTGTAAGCCCTTAAAAGGGACAGGAATTGCTCACTCTGAGAGCTTGGTTGTTGGAGATGTGAGTCTTGCCCAAGCTCCCAGCCGAATAAAGCCCTTCCTTCTTTAACTCGGTGTCTGAGGGGTTTTGTATGCAGCTTGTCCTGCTACACTAGAATCGTTCCTTAATTCTCTCCTCTAATATTGCTGCTACCTCTATTAAAACACAAAGCCACAATATATGGATACATTTGGAAAATATGCACACTTTGGATCCAGCAAGTCCACATCTAGAAAACCATCCTGGGGGAAAATTAAGGAGAGTATGAAAAGGATGTTTACTAAAGCATTATGATGGCAAAAAATTAGAAACAACTTACACTGAACTAGTCAACTTACTTAACAGACAGAAGGCTCAATTAGCTCATGTGTCAAATGGGGGTAAAATAATATTTAGTTTGGAGGGAAAGACAGGCTCTAAAAGAGGATTAAAAATTAGATGTGGCCTAGGCAAAGAATTTATGACCAAGTCCTCAAAACTAAACACAACAAAAACAAAAACAGACAAATGGGACTTAATTAAACTAAAATGCTTCTGCACCGCAAAAGACCGAATCAACAGAGTAAACGGATAACCTACAGAATGAGAAAAAAAAATTGCAAACTATGAATGCAACAAAAGGCTAATATACAGAATCTACAAGGAACTCAACAACAAAAAAACCAACCTCATTAGAAAGTGACTGTGATGGTTAATACTGAGTGTCAACTTGATTGGACTGAAGGATGCAAAGTAATGATCTTGGGTGTGTCTGTGAGGGTGTTACCAAAGGAGATTAATATTTCAGTCAGTGGGCTGGGGAAGGCAGACCCACCCTTAATCTGGGTGGGCACCATCTAATCAGTTGCCAGCACAGCCAGGATATAAAGCAGGCAGAAAAATGTGAAAAGGCTAGATTGGCTTGGCATCCCAGCCTACATTTTTCTCCCATGCTGGATTCTTCCTGCCCTGGAACATTGAACTCCAGGTTCTTCAGCTTTGGGACTCCGACTAGCTTCCTTGTTCCTCAGCTGGCAGATGGCCTGTTTTGGGACCTTGTGAACATGTGAGTCAATACTACATAATAAACTCTCATATAGATATAGATATAGAGATAGATATAGAGATAGATATAGATATAGATATAGATATAGATATAGATATAGATATATATCTCCTATTAATTCTGTTTCTCTGTAGAACCCTAATACAGATTTTGGTACCAGGAGTGGTTCTAGAGGAACAGAATATTAAGGATGGAGTTCTTTCATTGGTTTTGGGGTTTCTGGAGTTGGCTGCTTAATATGATTAGACCCAAATATGCTAAGGACTCTTCTTCTAATGGTATGGAGAACACTGATAATCCTTGGCATCAATTGTTTAGAGAGTTATGCAAAATAAATGCATTTGACACTCTTGATTCAACGCTTGTGAGAGGCAAGGAATTTAGCTACTGTATACATAATACTTTTGACTATATGTGGAGAATCAAGGAACATAGTGAAGTTGGTTGGTTGCTTGTAAGTTCGCTGGACAAAGTGATGAAAGAAAATGATGAACTCAGGAGTATATCAACTCTCCAGCTTTGTGCCATAATCTTATTTGGAGAGAACTTGCTCACCTTTCACTTCCACAAGATATCACAGTGGTCCATTACATTGATGACATGCTGACTGGAACTAGTGAGCAAGAAGTAGCAAACACACTGGATTTATTGATGAGACATTTGTGGGACAGAGGATGGGAAATAAATCTGATTAAATTCAGGGACCTTCTACCTCAGTAAAATTTATAGGGGTCCAATGGTTTGGGGCTCTTTGAGATATTCCTTCTAAAGTGAAGGATAATTTGCTGCATTTGGCCACTCTTACAACCAAGAAATAGGCACAACGCCTAGTGGGCCTATTTGGATTTTGGAGGCAACATATTCCTGATTTGGGTGTGTTACTCTGGCCCATTTATCGAGTGATCCAAAAGGCTGCCAGTTTTGAGTGGAGTCCAGAACAGAAGGCTCTGCCACAGGTCCAGGCTGCTGTGCAAGCTGCTATGCCACTTGGGCCATATGACCTAGCAGATCCAATGATGCTTGAGGTGTCAGTGCCAGATAGGGATGCTGTTTGGAGCATTTGGCAGGCTGAATCACAGCGGAGGCCTCTAGGATTTTGGAGCAAGGCCCTGCCATCTTCTGCAGATAACTACTCTCTTTTAGGGAGAAAGCTCTTGGCCTGTTACTGGGCTTTGGTGGAAACGAAATATTTGACTATGAGTCATCAAGTCACCATGTGACCTGAACTGCCTATCATGAACTGGGTGCTTTCTGATCCATCTAGCCATAAAGTGGGCTGTGCACAGCAGCATTGCATCAGCAAATGGAAGTGGTATATATGCGATTGGGCTTGAGCAGATCCTGAAGGCACTAGTAAGTTACATGAGAAAGGGGCTCAAATGCCCATGGTCTCCACTCCTGACACACTGCTTTCTCTCCCTGAGACTGCACCGATGGTCTCATGGGGAGTTCCCTATGATCAGCTGACAGAGGAAGAGAAGACTAGGTCCTGGTTCACAGATAGTTCTGCACGATATGCAGGCACCACCCAAAAGTGGACAGCCGCAGCACTACAGCCCCTTTCTAGGACATCCCTGAAGGACAACGGTGAAGGGAAATCTTCCTAGTTGGCAGAACTTTGAGCAGTGTGCCTGGTTGTGCACTTTGCACAGAAGGAGAAATGGCCAGATTTGCGATTATATACTTATTCATGGGCTGTAGCCAAAGGTTTGGCTAGATGGTCAGGGACTTGGAAAAAGCATGACTGGAAAATTGATGACAAAGAAATTTGGGGAAGAGGTATGTGGATGGACCTCTATGATTAGTCAAAAACTACAAAGATATTTTCATCCCATGTGAGTGCTCACCAATGGGTGACCTCAGCAGAAGAGGATTTTAATAATCAAGTGGATAGGATGATCAATTCTGTGGACACCACTCAGCCTTTTCCCAGGCCACTCATGTCATCGTCCAATGGACCCATGAACAAAGTGGCCACAGTTGCAGGGATGGAAGTTATGCTTGGGCTCAGCAACATGGACTTCCACTCACCAAAGCTGACCTGGCCACAGCCACTGCTTGCCAGCATCAGAGACCAACACTAAGCCCTTGATATGGCACCATTCCTCGGGGTGATCAGCCAGCTACCTGGTGGCAGGTTGATTATATTGGACCTCTTCCATCATGGAAAGGGCAGAGGCTTGTCCTCACTGGAATAGACACTTACTCTGGATATGGGTTTCCCAATCCTGAACTCAATGCTTATGCCAAGACTACCATCCATGGAATCACAGAATGCCGTATCCACTGTCATGGTATTCCACACAGCATTGCTTCTGACCAAGCCACTCACTTTATGGCTAAAGAAGTGTGACAGTGGGCTCATGCTCATGGAATTTACTGGTCTTACCATGATCCCTATCATCCTGAAGCAGCTTTTGAATGGCCTTTTGAAGTCACGATTACAATGCCAACTAGGTGACAATACTTTGCAGGCCTGGGGCAAAGTTCTCCAGAAGGCTGTGTATGCTCTGAATCAGTGTCCAATATATGGTACTGTTTCTCCCATAGACAGGATTCACGGGTCCAGGAATCAAAGGGTGGAAGTGGAAGTGGAAGTGGCACCACTCACCATCACCCCTAGTGTTCCACTAGCAAAATTTTTGCTTCCTGTTCCCATGGCATTATGTTCTGCTGGCTTAGAGGTCTTAGTTCCAGAGGGAGGAACACTGCCGCCAGGTGACACAATAATGATTCCATTAAACTGCAAATTAAGATTGCCACCTGGACACTTTGGGCTCCTCCCACCTTTAAGTCAACAGGCTAAGAAGAGAGTTACAGTGTTGGCTGCGGTGATTAACCCAGACTATCAAGATGAAATCAGTCTACAACTCCACAATGGAGGTAAGGAAGCGTATGCATGGAATATAGGAGATCCATTAGGGTGTCTCTTAGTTTTACCATGTCCTGGAATTAAGGTCAGTGGGAAACTACTACAGGCCATTCCAGGCAGGACTACAAATAAAGGTTTGGGTCACTCCACCAGGAAAAAAAAAAAAAAAAAAGACAAGACCTGCTGAGGTGCTTGCTGAGGGCAAAGGGAATACAGAATATGTAGCAGAAGAAGGTAGTCATCAATACCAGCTACGATCACGTGACCAATTGCAGATACAAGGACTGTAATTGTCATGAGTATTTCCTCCTTCTTTTGTTAAAAACACCTTCGTGTCTGTATACACTTGTACTAAGAAAATATATACATTTTACTTCCTTTTTCCTTTATCATGTGACATAAGATTTATTGACTTCATATCAGCATTTAAGTATTGTTAAGTTTATGTAATAGCATTTGCAATGGGGATTGGTGCATTTTCAATTGCACGAAGGATAGTTTTAGTATGTTAGGCATAATTATGACTTATTGTTGTCTTTATTTGAAGATAATGTATGACCTCAGGGGATGTGTATAGGCTCAAGTTGACAAGCGATGGACTTGTGATGGTTAATACTGAGTGTCAACTTGATTGGATTGAAGTGTGCAAAGTATTGATCCTGAGTGTGTCTGTGAGGGTATTGCCAAAGGAGATTAACATTTTAGTCAGTGGGCTGGGAAAGGCAGACCCACCCTTAATCTGGGTGGGCACCATCTAATCAGTTGCCAGTGTGGCCAGGATATAAAGCAGGCAGAAAAAAAACATGTGAAAATCCTGGACTGGCTTAGCCTCCAAGCCTACATCTTTCTCCCATGCTGGATGCTTCCTGCCCTCAAACATTGGACTCCAAGTCCTTCAGCTTTGGGACTTGGACTGGCTTCCTTGCTCCTCTGCTTGCAGATGGCCTATTGTGGGACCTTGTGATTGTGTAAGTTAACACTACTTAATAAACTCCCTTTTATATCTAAATCTATATCTATCTATCTATCTATCTATCTATCTATCTATCTATCTATCTCCTATTAGTTCTGTCTCTCTAGGGAACCCTGACAAATACAGTGAGCTCAGGTCCTGAGCAGACATTTTCCAAAAGAAGACATACAAGTGGCCAATAAACGTCAAAAAAAAGTTCAACATCACTAATAATCAGAGAATGCAAATTAAAACCACCATATGATACCTCCTTATGCCAGTCAGAATGGCTATCATTATAAAGTTCAAAAACAGCAGATGTTGGTGAGGATGTGGAGACAAGAAAATGCTTATACACTGTTGGTAAGAATGTAAATTAGTACAAACTTTATGGAAGACAGCATGAAGATTTCTTAAAGAACTAGAAACAGAACTACCATTCAATCCTGCAATCCCACTACTGGGTATGGACCCAAAGTGAAAGAGATCATATTAAAAAAGATATCTGCATTAGTATGTTCAAAGTAGCACTGTTCCCAATAGCAAAGATATGGAATCAACCTAAATGTCTACCAATGGACGATTGGATAAAGAAAATGTGGTGTATATATATTTATATACATATATATTACTCAGCCATAAAAAAGAATGAAATCATGTCTTCTCTAGAAACATGGTTAGAACTGGAGGACATTATCCTCAGTGAAATAACTCAGAAACAGAAAGTCAAACACAGTATGTTCTCATTTAGTGAGAGCCAAGTGGGAGCTAAACGATGAGTAAGCATAGACATATAGAATGAAATAATAGACACTTGAGACTAGAGAAAGGTGGGAGGATAGGAGTATGGTGAGGACTGAAAAACTACGGATTGGATACAACATTCACTTTTCAGGTGATGGTCCACTAAAAGCTCAGACTTCACCACTATGCAACATACATATGTAAGGAACCCGAGCTTGTACCCTGATACAGCTTGACTGTGTCCCCACCCAAATCTCATCTTGAATTGTAGTTCCCATAATCCTCACGTGTTGTGGGAGGGATTTGGAGGGAGGTAATTGAATCATAGAGGAGGTTACTCTCATGCTCTTCTCGTGATAGTGAGTTCTTACAAGATCTGATGGTTTTATAAGCGGCTTTTCCCCCTTTTGCTTGGCACTTCTACTTGCTGCTGCCATGTGAAGAAGGACATGTTTGTTTCTTCTTCTGCCATGATTGTAAGTTTCCCGAGGCCTCCCCAGCCCTGTGGAACTGTGAGACAATTAAACGTTTTTTCCTTATAAATTACCCAGTCTCAGGTATGTCTTTATAAGCAGCATGATAACGAACTAGTACATACCTTCTAAATATATATAAATAAATTTTAAAAATATAAAATAAATTAGATCTGATTGAAAAGGCAAAAATTGAGCAAGCAAAATATCACTTAATGGGGTAATTAAAAGGGTGAAGAAATTGGGCAAATGGATGTCATGAGGAGGAATTTTTAGGCAGAGGTAATGGTCAGAGCCCAGGCCCTAAGCTGGAGTAGAGTGTGCAAGGAAAGAGTAATAGGATTGAAAAGGATAACCAGGTAGGAGGACATAGGGAGGGGTAAGGGGAGGAAGACCTCCAGTAAACTTAGGCAGGATATTTCCCGTGACAGCACTAAATAATAATCACATGTGAGAATACACAAATAATCTGTCGATTACTTGAGCAATACTTTGTTCATGAGCTAGAGCAAGGGGATGACTCAAGAAATCCTTTGTGAAATCCTGGAGGTAATAAGATCCTGGCATCAATCTTCAACTCAATTGCAAAAAGCAATTTTATTACTTATATATTACTTCTCATTTTTCACTGCTGTCTTTCAAAACATATTCCATTTCATCAGACTACAGGTTTTAATAGCTACTATATTTCTTAAATGTATTATTCCAGTAACTTATACTTTACATAGTAAATCTTATCAATAGTCACAATCAATGGTCACAAAGTAGAACTTCATCTGGAGACATTACTTTTAGCCTGAGCCATGCAAAATATACTTTTTGGAAAATTGCCCTTTGAAAGGCGAGACACAAAAGGCAAATGTTGATGCTATTATATGGTACCAATAGGATTCATTAATTTATAAAGGAGAAGAGCTAATGTAACTCCAAAATGCAAGCAATTTTCATATGAGTCTACACAAGCTAATTGTCCTTAAGAATTTCATCTTTAAGGAAAAGTTTTTTACTGTATCAAAAAGAAGTTTAAACTGTCATTGAGCAGAGTCTGATAATAAGGACACTGTCAAATCACAGTTCAGATGTTATGTGATGAGGACAGAATAGAACACATGAGGAGGAAGCAGAAACTTCTAGACTGGACAAGAACAGACATGATTAACTTAACCATCCAACAATAAATCTAAGTTAACATAAATTGATGTCATCTACTACATCTAAGTATTTCCTCAAATTCTGGACAATTTTAGAAACCATCAAAATTATTTGTTGAGGAAAAATAAACTTAGCCAATTTGCAAGGGCAACTAAAATGAAGAACTTTTCTTTAAAGTGTGGGAGTCACATCTTAGCAACATATTTAAATATATCTAAGCTTTCTTCAAAACCACTATCCACAAAAATGCAAAATTTCCAAAGAATTTCTCCTCTTCTGTAGACTTATTTTCTTCATCTTCATCTTTTCCAGGAGAATATACCATAAGTTTCTGATGGTACACATTTATTAGATGTTTTATTTACATTTTTTATCCTTGAAAACTCCTTTTATTTGCAACTATGCATCTTACTCAGAGATCTTAAAACATCCTTGTTTGTTAGATTACGTATTTCAAATTCATATACACTTTGGTAGATGCAAACATTTTTATTTGCTGAAGAACATAAGGGGGAAATAGAGATTCTTTATTTGAAGAAACAAATGATTTGATTTGGGAAATGAAATGAAAAGAAAAACATAGTTAACTAATTCGCTACTTCTTTTACTCATCTGAGGCCTTCAGATAGTCCCCCATATAGCCTTAGAGTGTTTAAAATATGATTATGCTCTTTCAGTCTATTAGAAATAAAAACATAAAGCTTAAAAAATTTCAAGGGAAGGGGCTTGAAGATTACTGACTAAGGGCAGCTGACACTCACCTCCTCCACAAAGAACCAAAATAGTAAGTAGAAAATCCCACATAAGAGAGAATTCTGGAATTCAACAGAGAAGTGACAGGAAGCATCTAAGGCAATGAAGGGGAGGGAAGCAAGGAAGCCTACCCAGTAGGGATCCTCTGTGAGGCCAGAGAGGCTCCCCAGTGCATCGAAAGTTAAGTGACTGACTCCCAGTGGTCCACATCTGCATTATGGACTCCAGGAATCCTAGCCACAGGAGAGTCCCTTGACCATGCAGGCCTTGAGACTATCATAAGGAACTGCCCAGCAATCGCACAAAGGCATTGCTCCAGAGAAGGAGCTCTCACTGGGTCCCACCCCTGCCATCCCCATTACTGAGCAGCAAGGTGCCATTTTGAGAGCCCAACACCCACCAGATGACATCGTTCCTCAGACCCCAACATCATCTGCATCTCTACATCCCTGAAGCTCTGCTGACATCCCCCACCCACAGCTGAGTGCTACTGCTGGCTGCTGTCACCAGGGATAAAGTGTGTCATTAGAAGTGGACTCCCCCACCCCCAGTAGCAGGGCTGCTACACATTTATAAGCTCCCTAAGAAAATGCTACCCCACTTGCAGCCACCATCTGGGGCTGAAACACATGCCCACCAGCAACCCATTTATAGCTGCTGCCACTGAAAGCAACACACCCCGCACCCCTTCAAGAGCAGGGCAACAATGCAGTAGCTGCTAATTCACTCAGGCATTCTGCTGGGGGCCTGAGGATCACTCCACTCCAGCCTATGATAGCCGGTGTCCACACACACCACTGAGTGGCCTGAGGTCAGGAACACCCAGCCTGGCTTTGCCTTCCTCAATGCCTAAGCAAGTTGTCTGGGAACCCAGAGACAGCCTTGTGCCATCCACCATGACTGGTACCTAAGCAACCCTCCCAGAAGCCTGATGATGGGCCTACCCAATCTGCCACTGCCATCACAACTGGCACCTCCTGCATGTGCCACCTGTGGGTCTGAAGACTGGCTCATTCAGCCCTTGCAGCCACCACCAACACCAGTGCAGACTGCTTGGGAGCCAGAGGGTTGTCCTGCAGTTGCTACAGCCATCACCCACACCACACCCACTGTCCAGAAGCCTGAGGACCCACACACCAGCCCAGTCTACTATGGCCACTACTGACACCCAAGCAAACTGCCTGAAGGCCAAAGAATCAACCCAACTAGACTCATTACCATCAGTGCCAATGTACACAGCCATGGGGCCCAAGGACAGGAATGCTAGGCCCACCACCACCACTGGGGCCAAGGACTGGCCCACTTGATATTCTTGTCTCCAGCACAACCTCATCACCACCTTCACTAACAAATGCACCCTAAGCCACTGAAAAAATCACAGACACTGATGATACTGTTGGCAGCTGAAAAAAAATAATATGAAGACTATGCTGCTGTATGCACCTAGAAATCAAAATCAAAGTGCCCTACTCAATCAACACCAAGATACATCTTCAGAAAAAAGTCTTCCCCTACAAAAACAAATTTACAAAACTGGAAGCAGCAATCATTACACCAGATGCAGAGATATCAATGCAAGAACAAAATAAACATAAAAAGGTGAAGAAATATGACACTTCCAAAGGAATTTAATAATTCTTCAGCAACATAAGCCAGTGGAAAAAAAAGACATTTATAAAATTCTGGAAAAAAGAATCCAAAATGTTGATATTAAGGAAGCTCAGTGAGACACAAGAGAACTCAGATAAACAATAAAAAGAAATCAGAAAAACAATTCAGGATATGAATGAGAAATTTACCCAAGAGATAGATACAACAAGAATGAACCAAACAGAAATTCTGTAACTGAAGAGTTTATTGAAAGAAATACAAAATACATTCAAAAACTTCAACAATAGATCAGATCAAGCAGAAGAAAAATTTCAGAACTTGAAGACAGGTCTTTTAAAATTAGCTGGTCAAATGATAGAAAGGAAAAAAAAAGAATGAACAAAGTGTATGTGACATATGAGGCACTATAAAGTGAACAAATATTCAAATTTGCAGTTTCCCAGAAGGTAAAGAGAACATGAAAGGTGTAGGAAACCTACGTAACAACACAATAGCTGAAAACTTGTCAAGTCTAGCAAGAAATGTAGACATCCAGACAAATGAAAATCAGAAATTCCCAAATAATATAATGCAAAAAGCTCTTCTCCACAGCACATTATAGTCAAACTGTCAAAAGCCAAAGAGTAAGAACTCTAAAACAGCAAGCAAAATGTCTAGTCACTTATAAGGGAACTTCCACAAGATTAACAGATTAACAGCAGATTTCTCAGCAGAAACCTCACAGGCCAGGAGAAGATGGGATGATATATTCAAAATAGTGAAAGAAAAAAATGACACCAAGGATGTTATACCCAGCAACATTGTTCTTCAAAAATGAAGGATAAATAAAATCTTTTCTGGGCAAGAAAAATTTGAAGGAATTCACTATCACTAGACTGGCTTTACAAGAAATATTTAAGGGAGTCCTACACATGAAAGTGACAGGACACTGCCATTATGAAGACACACAAAGGTATACAACTAACTGGTAGAGCAAAACACAAATAAAGAAGAGAAAGAACTCAAACGTTACCACTACAGAAAATCACCAAACCACAATCATAAATAATAAGAAAGAAAGAAAGAAAGAAAGAGAGAGAGAGAGAGAATGAAAGAAAGAAAAGGAAGGAAGGAAGAAAAAAACACAAAACAAACAAACTAAAAAAAAAACAAAACAACCAGGAATCAATTAACAAAATGGCAGGAATAAGCTCTCACATGTCAATAATAGCCTTGCATGTAAATGGATTAAATTGTTACTTGAAAGATATAGACTGGCTAAATAGATTTAAAACAAAAATATGACCCAGTTGTAAGCTGCCTATAAGAAACTTATCTCACTTGTAAAGATAAATATAGACTGAAAGTAAAAAGATGAAAGATCTTCCATACAAAGAGAAACCAAAAATGAGCAAAAGTAGTTATACCTATAACAGATAAAATTGACTTTAAATAAAAAACACTAAGAGACAAAAGTCATTACATAATGATAAAAGGAACAATTCAGCAAGAGTATATAACAATTCTAAACATTCACACTCAACACCAGAGCATCCAGATATGTAAAGCAAATGTTATTAGATATAAAGGGTGAAATAGAATCCAATACAATAATAGTTGGGGATTTCAACATTCTAATCTCAGCATCAGATAGATCATCTAGACAGAAAATTAACAAAGAAACATTGGATTTAAACTTGACTTTAGACCAAATGGATCTAACATTTACACAATATTTCATCCAACAGCTACAGAATATATTTATCTCATCAGCACATGACGCATTCCCCAGGATACACCATATGTTAGAACACAAAAGAAGTCTCAACTAATTTGAAATATTTGAAATCATATTAAGCATCTTCTCAGACCACAATGGAATAAAACTAGAAATCAATAACAAGAAAAACTTTAAAACCTATACAAATACATGGAAATTAAACAACATGCTCCTGAATGAACGTTATGTCAAGAAGAAAATTAAGAAGGAAATCAAAAATTTTTTGAAACAAATGAAAATTGAAATACAACATAGGAAAAGCCATGGGATACAGCAAAAGCAGTGCTAAGAGAGAAGCTTATCAATAAACACTTAAATTAAAAACATAGAAAGATTTCAAATATATAATCTAATCATGTACCTCAACAAGCTAGAAAAGCAAGAACAAAACCCAAAACTAGCAGAAGGAAAGAAAAAATGAAGAACAGAAGAACTTAATGAAATAGAGAAAAACAACAACAAGGGATTAGCAAAATGAAAAGTTGTTATTTAAAAAAGATAAAATGGATATAGCTCTAGCTAGACTAACCAAGAAAAAGAGAAGAGACTGAAATAAAGAAAATCAGAAATAAAAAAGAAAATATATTACAACCGATACCACAGAAATAGAAAAGATTATCAGAGACTATTATGAACAACCATACACTAAAAAACTGAAAAATCTAGAGGAAATTAATAAATTTCTGGACACATACCACCTACCAAGATTGAATTAAGAAAGAATAGAAAACCTGAACAGACCAGTAATGAATAATGAAATTGAATCAGTAGTAAAAAGTCTCCCAAAAAAGAAAATTTCAAGACCAGATGGCTTTACTGTCAAATTTTACCAAACTTTCAAAGAAAACTAACAAGTCTCCTTAAATTCTTTTAAAAATTAAACAGGAAGGAATTCTCCCTAACTCATTCTCTGAGGCCAGTATTATCCTGATTCCATAACCAGACAAGGATGCAAGTAAAAATAAAACTGCAGGTCAATATCCCTGATGGAACATAGGTGTGAAAATCCTCAACAAAATACTAGCAAACTGAATCCAACAGTACATCCAAAAGATAATACACCATGATCAAGTGGGATTTATACTAGGGTTGCAAGAACAGTTCAAATCAATAAATGTGATACATCACATCAACAAAAAGAACAAAAACCATATGATCATCTCAATAGATACAGAAAAAGTATTTGATAAAATTTAACATTCCTTCATGATAAAAACTATCTGCAGCCAATCATAGAAGGAACATATCTCAATATAATAAAAGTCATATATGACAAACCCACAGCTAACATCATACTGAATTGGGAAAAGCTGGAAGCCTTTCCTCTAAGAACTGAAACAAAATAAGGATGCCCACTTCCATCACTCCTATTCAATATAATACTGGAAGTCCTAGCCACAGCTTTCAGGTCAGAGAAAGAAAGAAAGAAAAGGCATGCAAATAGGAAAAGATGAAGTCAAACTGTCCATCTTTCCAGATGACATGATTTTATACCTAGAAAAACCAAGACTCCACCAAAGCACTCTTAGCGCTGAAAAATAAATTCAGTAAAGTTACAGGAGACAAAATCAGCATATGAAACAAGCAATGTTTCTACACACCAATAATAAACTAGCTGAGAAGGAAATTAAGAAGGCAATCCCATTTACAATAGCTAAAAAATAAAATATTTAGGGATAAATTTAACCAAGGAACCGAAAAACCTCTATTCGGAAAACTACAAAACACTGATAAAAGAATTGAAAAGGACAGAAACAAATGGAGAGATATCCTATGTTCATGGATCAGAAAAATTAATATTGTTAAAATGGCCATACTACCCAAAGCAATCTACAGATTCTATATGACCGCTATCAAAATAGCAATGTCATTTTTCACAGAAATGGAAAAACCAATCTAAAATTTGTATGAAATTAAAAAATAGCTCCAGTAGCCAAAGTCATCCTGTGAAAAAAGAACAATGCTAGAGGTATCATACTACCTGATTTCAAAGTATATTACAAAAGTATAGGAACCTAAACAGCATGATACTGACATTAGAACAGACACTTAGACCAATGGAAGAGAATAGAGAACCTAGAAATGCATCCACATATTTATAGCCAACAGATTTTCAACAAAGGTGACAAGAATATACATTGAGGAAAGGACACAGTGTTCAAGAAATGGTGCTGAAAAAATTGGATATCCATTGGATATCCATGTGCAAAAGAATAAAACTGGACTGCTGATATGGTTTGGATGTTTGTTCCCTCCAAATCTCATGTTGAAATATAATCCCCAACTTCTCAGGATCTTGGCGGATGGGAGGTAGGCCTAGATTGCAGCTCCAACTCAGATGGACAGAGCAGCATGTGGAGGCTCGCATTGTGAATTTTAGCTGCAGATAGACTGCAAGAACAAACCAGCAATCCTGAGAGGACCCACAGACCCTCTGAAGGAAGTAGATTGCTCCTGCAGGACCCAGGAGACACCCCAAATACTGTGAGTGCCCCAACTGCGGAAGTGGGAAAGGGAGATCCTCCTCTCCTAAACACACACTCCCACTGGAGAAACTGAAGGTCTGTTTGTGGGAGAAGTTTCTGACCTTACCTGGAGTTGAGTTAACTTAGAGAGCTGAGCAAAATACAGGTGTAGAGGAAGCAGTGAGAAAGGCCCTGGGAGCTCACTGGGTCCCTGAGCAGGCCATTCCTGCCTGGCATAGCCAGGCATTTACATTACTAACATTGAATGTAAATGGCCTAAATGCTCCACTTAAAAGGGTGAAAAAGGTATTTCATGCAAATGGCCACCAAAAGTGAGTAGGCAAAACAAACTTTAAAGCAACAGCAGTTAAAAGAGACAAAGAGGGACATTATATAATGGTAAAAGGCCTTGTCCAACAGGAAAATATCACAATCTTAAACATATATGCACCTAACACTGGAGCTCCCAAATTTATAGAACAATTACTAATAGACCTAAGAAATGAGATAGACAGCAACACAATAATAGTGGGGGACTTCAATACTTCATTGACAGCACTAGACAGTTCATCAAGACAGAAAGTCAACAAAAAAATAATGGATTTAAATTATACCTTAGAACAAATGGACTTAACAGTTATATACAGAACATTTCATCCAATAACCACAGAACACACATTCTATTCAACAGCGCGTGGAAATTTCTCCAAGGTAGACCATATGATAGGCCATGAAATGAGCCTCAATAAATTTACTAACAGACCAATAACAAGCAGTGAGATTTAATTGGTAATTAAAAAATTACCAACCAAAAAAAAGTTCAGGACCAGATGGATTCACAACAGAATTCTACTAGACATTCAAAGAGGAATTGGTCCCCATCTTTTTGACACTATTCTACAAGACAGATAAAGAAGGAACCTGCCCTAATTCATTCTATGAAGCCAGCATCACACCAAAACCAGGGAAGGACATAACCAAAAAAGAAAACTACAGACTGATAGCCTTGATGAACATAGATGCTAAAATCCTTAACAAAATACTAGATAACCAAATTCAACAACATAACAAAAAGATAATCCACCATGATCAAGCAGGTTCCATGCCAGGGATGCAGGGTTGGTTTGACATCTGCAAGTCAATAAGTGTGATACACCACATAAACAGATTTAAAAACAAAAATTACATGATCATCTCAATAGATGCAGAAAAAGCATTCAACAAAATCCAGCATACATTTATGATTAAAATGCTCAGCAAAATCAGCATACAAGAGACATACCTCAGTGTAATAAAAGCCATCTGTGACAAACCCACAGCCAACATAATATTGAATGGGGAAAAGTTGAAAGCATTCCCTCTGAGAACTGGAACAAGACAAGGATGCCCACTCTCACCACTCCTCTTCAACATAGTACTGGAAGTCCTAGCCAGGGCAATCAGACAAAACAAAGAAATAAAGGGCATTCAAATCAGTAAAGAGGAAGTCAAACTGTCACTGTTTGCTGATGATATGATCATTTACCTTTAAAACCCTAAAGACTCCTCCAGAAAGCTCCTAGAACTGATAAAATAATTCAGCAAAGTTTCCAGATACAAGATGAATGCACACAAATCAGTAACTCTTCTATACACCAACAGCAACCAAATGGAGAATCAAATCAAGAACTCAACCCCTTGTACAATAGATGCAAAAATGGCCTAATACAACCCCTATTTATTGCCATATAAAACGTACTCTCAAGATGGATTAAAGACTTAAATATAAAACTTAAAACTATAAAACTACTAAAAGAAAACATAAGGGAGACACTTCAAGACATGGCTTTGGGCAAAGATTTTATGGCCAAGACCTCAAAAGCACAGGCAACAAAAGCAAAAATAGACAAATGGGACTATATTAAGCTAAAATACATCTGCACAGTAAAGGAAACAATCAACACAGTGAAGAGACAAGCTGTTGAATGCGAGAAAATATTTGCATACATTTGACAAGGAATTAATCTCCAGAATATATAAGAAACTCAAACAACTCAACAGTGGAAAAACAAATAATCTCATTAAAAAATTGGCAAAGGATATTTTTCAAAAGAAGACATACAAATGCACAATGGGTATGGGGAAATTGCTCAACATTACTAATCATCAGAGAAATGCAAATCAAAACCACAATGAGATATCATCTTATGCCAGTTAGAATCATCATGATTTAAATAAATTAATAAATAAATAACACATGCTGGCAAGGATGTGAAGGAAAAGGCACTCGTAGGCACTATTGGTAAGCATGCAAATTAGTATAGCCACTATGGAAAACAATATGTAGATTTACCAAAAAGCTAAAAATTGAACTATCATAAGATCCAGCAATCTTATTACTGGGTATTTATCCAAAGGAAAAGAATTCAGAATAATAAACAGATACTGGTACCACACTGTTTATTGCAGCACGATTCACATTAGCAAAGATATGGAATCAACCTAAGTGTCCATCAATGGATGAATGAAGAAAATGTGGTGTATACACACAATTGAATATTATTCAACCATACAAATATAAAATCATTTCATTTGCAGCAACATGGATGAAACTGGAAGTCATTATGTTAAACGAAATAAGCCAGGCATAGAAAGACAAATTTTGCATGTTCTCACTGATATGTGGGAGCTAAAAAAGTTAATATCATGTAGGTAGAGAGTAGAATGACAGAAACCAGAGGTAGAGAAAGGTGTGTACGTTATGGGAGGAAGGGAGACGAAGAGAAGTTGGTTAATGGAAACAGGCAGTTAGATAGAAGGAATATGTTCTGATGTTCAATAGCAAAGTAGGGTGATTATAGTTAAAAACAATATATTGTATATTTCAAAATAGTAGAAGAAAGGTCTTGAAATGTTCCTAACACATAGAAACGATAAATACTTGAGGTGATGAATACCCCAAATACCTGACTTGATCATTATACATTATATGCATGTAACAAAATGTCACATGTACCTGATACATATAAACACGTCATATATCAATAAAAGAAAGTCGATCTCATATTGGTTGAGGCCTGATTGTAAGTAAATCTTTGTCCCTCCAGACATTTCCCTGTACTGTCTTGCTGTGAGGAGCTTCTTTTACTGCTATTTCTTATATTCCAACACCATTTTAGCCCTTTTTTGTCCTCCCCATATTTTTACCTCGGTTTTTACTGTTTATATAGCACACTTTGTGCTATAGTTTACCTCAGTTTTTACTATTTATAAAGCACATTTTGCCCCAAACTTCTCTCTTAACAAGCTAGAATATAAGTGAATGCAAGAGCATAGAGACAGGGTCATTCCTATTTTCATATTTGAGGTATAAACCAAGGAGATTTACATACACATATATATTTTTAAATCTGCAAATAAATGGTTTTATTCTGACATTAAAAAAGAAAATACTTAATATCATTAATGAATGATCGTTTTACCACAGCGTAGGTCATTGAATTTGAACTTAACCTTCACTTTCAAACAAGTACTTTGTATTTTATTGATCTCTATTTTCCTGGAACAACATGGGGGCTATGTTTAGCGTGAGGACAAAGTATCACAACTTTCACCTGAAAGAAAAGATGAGCTACCATGGTACATATAACAATGAGGTGGTTAAAACTCTAAGTCGTCATCTGGCAACACTGCCAATTTACTAAAAATCACTATTTCAAAGAAGTATAGAATAGATATCAGCCAAAATAAGGATCTCTTTCTCTGCCTCTCTCTCGCTCTCTCTCTCTCTCTCCCCCATCTCTCTCTGTCTCTCTCTCTATATATATGTATACACACATATATACATATTATACACATATGGAGAAATTTCACTATTTTGTATATGCTTAAAAATTACAGACTTTGGAAGTCATATGACTATTTCAGTGTGTGTGGCTACTAATCTCACCCTCCTGTTCCAAAACACAGTTGCAGAAGCAGAGGAAGTCATTATACACTTAGAACATCATTTTATAAGGCAGCAGGTCTGGTAGGAAGGAGATTAGGTGCTACTTGTGACAAAGGTCAGCAAATATTTGTGTTCCCAGCACTTTTCTAGATCCTCAGTTAAAATCAAAGCAGCTGCAGTCTTGGCAGTGGGAGGTGATACTCACACTTTGAACAAGACCACCTGCACTACCTACAATGGCAGCTCCAAATATTTTATATGAAAGGGGCCTAGACATAGCATGCTGAATGAAAAGGAAGTGAGTAGACTAGTGCTTTCCTTGAAGCTGTGCAACCAAGCATAGTTTTTACATAGATCGTGTGTTTCACATGGTGTGATAACAGCTTGAGATGCCATTGACATGGCCCACCGGCTTATCCACATCAGTAATTAGGGCAAAGAAATCCTAATTACTATGCATCCCGTGATTGAAGTAACATTGATGTATACATATTTTTTCCTATTATTTCTCTTTTTGTGTTTAAAAATGCAATTATGGACTCATTCAAAGTGAAAGCTGGTATGACAATACATGAGCTAACTTCCTCATTTTATGAATAAATTTTATAAAGAAATAAGCTAATACCTACAGAGTGTTTATTAAATGCTAGGCACAGTTCTGAGTGATTTACAACTGGTATTTCTTTTAATTTTCACAACATTATTACAGGTAGATTTTATATATGGAGAAACTGAGGCACAGAGATGCTATGTAATAAATCTCAACATTACCCAGGTGATGGTGGAGTTGGAATTCCAAATCATGCAGTCTGACTTTAGCTGTAGACAGCAAGATAGTAAGTAAAGGAATGGAGCAACAAATTGATGGATCTTTTTGCTTTTGCTTGTTTGTTTGAAACAGGGTCTCACTCTGTCACCCCGGCTGGAGTGCAATGGTGCAATCTTGCTCACTGAAGCCTCACTAGAACGCCTGGATTCAATTGATCCTCCTGCTTTAGCCTCTCAGGTAGCTAGGACTACAGGTGTGAGCCTCCATGGCCAGCTAGAGAAATTTTTTAAATTTCTGTAGAAACAGGGTCTCCCTATGTTCCCCAGGCTGGTATCCAACTCTTGGTCTCAAACAATTCTCCCACCTCAGCCTTGAAAAGTGTTGAGATTACAGGTGTGAATCACCATGCTGGGCCTTGATGGATCTTTAAAAGTGGTGGGGGGTAGGAGAAAAAGAGGAAGAACAAAAACAGTATCACGAAAGATAAACATCGTTAGGTCTCGGGAAGGATGGGATCCTTTTCATTTTGCTCTAGAGAAAAGCCATTTGGAAAACTTCTGTGTTAACAAAAAACAGCCGAGTAGCCTAGTATTAAACTTTAGAGCAGTTGTTCTTTACGGCAATTACAGGGGCCTTCAGGAAGCTGATGGAAGTGTGAAGTCCTCTTCTCAGAGAAAAGTACTTCTATATACGTGCACCTAATTTTTAGATATAATTTCTGAAGGTTTAGAAACTCCTTGAGTTCACTTATATCAAAGTCCTCACCTTTAGAACTCCTGTCCTAGAAGAGTGGACTCATTATTATAATTTCTTCCATAACCACTTTGACTCTAGTTTTCTGAATTCTTCCCTGTGCCACTTGTACCATGTAATTCAGAGGTGTAGTGTCAAGACTGAGGAGGAAGCAGGTAAATTATGTCCAGCAATACGTTGGCTTAGGCAAAAACAAATTGTTTCTAGTCCATTTTAAGAGGGAAGCATTTATTTAGGGACTACATCGCTCAAGTCTTTACAATTCTTAAATTAACTTTCATTATGTGTGACAACATTTATTAAACTTTTTTAATGATCCTAAATATCCTTAACATGTTAATTTCTCCAGAGTTTGTAATGTTCTGAGCAAGTGTGTGCAGAAGAAATGATTGTAGTAAGACCTGGGCAAAGGAGAGAGTAAACATTTTTCCCCCACATTTGGGCAAAACTTTCCATCCTGGGTCACACCACAGTCTAATTTCCCTCCTCTCCTCTCCCTCAACTGGTAACAGTGCTTCTTCCAAAACATACCTGACTACTTAGTACTTCCCACTACTGTGGATAGAATTTCAGTGACTCCTCATTCATTGTTCATACCCTGGAGACAAAACTCCTTAAGGCTATTAACTCCCCCTGAGCTTCACAATCTAGTCCCTGCAGGTCTCTCCCATCTTCTCTCATACTCCTCTCCTTTTCCCTCTCTGAGCCCCGCTCAGATCTTCGAACAGAGAACACTTCTGCATCTTGGCATATATAGTTCTCTCACATAGAACGCTTTCTCCCCTTTAGCTATTTATCCTTCAAGTGTCAGCTCAAACATCTCATCATTAGAGAGGTTTTTCCCAAACCTCTAGGTAACTAGGTTAGAAACCACTCCCCATTCCACGGTACACTGTATAGTCTTAGGACACCTGGTTCCCTTAGTCTCACACTCATCACATTTGACTGTATTGTATGTTCAATGTCTACCTTCTACAAATTTGTCAATTCTTGAAGATTAAGAATCAGTTCTGTATTCTTAACTCTATCTCCCTCGCCTCTCAGTGCCTGATACCTAATAGACACTTGATGAATCCTTACTGAATAATAAAATGGATTAATGAATAAAAGCAATAAATTTCAAGGTTAATATTAATAAATTAAAAAGGTTATTTTGAAGTCTGAGAATTAGTACCCAAAACTAACTGTGACTCTCTCATCTGTTATGTTTTTCACGTTTCCATTGTTCATGGGCAAAATTCTGGCAGCAAGGGATTCTTCTCCTAAGAAACCTTTTGTTTTCTTGGATGTGAATACATTTCCTTGTTTGCCAGAAAACATGGTAAGATAACTGGAGAGTATAACATTCATTTTATTCATGAAGAAACTGTTATTCAGTTTAAGGGGTTCTTTTTCAGAAAGTTTCAGAAATCCAAGACCTTTGACTGCAAGTACTGTGTTCTTTCATCTATAGGACATTTCCTTTGAAAACTGAGGTTTTAATATTTAATTCTTACATAATAGTAAAAAAGTGAATTGGCCTTGGAAAAGACCTAAATCCTGGTCCTAACTCTGCCATTTGCTTGATCATTAAATACCTCTACGAATCAATTTGCTCTATGAACTGGAGGAGTGGGATTCATGATCTCTAAGATACCTCATATCACTACTATGAAATGCAGGGAAGTAAAAATTCAAATCATTAAATTTAAAGAAACTATAGTGGCAATGTATTATTAGGAATAAACACAATAATTATCCATCTATATGAAAATCTCAAACCATACCAGGCTATGATAATATTAAAATAAAGATACATTGAAGATGATATCAACTTGTGTAAATCACATTGTGGGGACCTCTCCACAAAAACACTTCCCTTCCCCTTGAAAGGGAAATGATAGAAAATAAGTATTAAAGGCAGCTTAGGGGTTGAAAAACAAATTTTTTCAAAAAAAAATCCATTGAGCATTTTCTATGTACCAGGCACTGTTCTAGACCCTGAGATCAACACACATGCTACTGATTATAAGATCCATAAAATAACTTAGTTTCACTGGCGTGTTCCCAGTGCCCAGGTAACAGTGCTCCATTAATGTTTGTTAAATGATGAGAAAAGAGGAAAGCAGAAGGGGCTCTGCTCAGGTGCAGGAACTTGTGCAGAGATCTTCTGGACTGATTCCCAGTGCTAACAAGTCCCTTCCAGTTTTATCCACCAATAAGCTATGTCCTTGAGCTCCTGCCCACTCTCTAGAGAAAACTTTTATTTCAAGGCATACTCCGGGATTCACATGTGATAGAGATGGTTCTGTTCCCAGGAACTTTGGGCATATTTAAAAACTGGACTGGAAAAATTTGTGACTAGAAAAAGGACATTAAAAACACATGCTCATTTCAGGATAAAGATCTCTGAGGAAAAGAATACAAAATAATTTAAAAAGAAACAACAGAAACAGGTACACATAAAATACTTCACTTCTCTGTAATAAGGTTTCTGTCCTCCTAGATTCTTTCTCACTAAACTACAGAGAATAAGACCGTGCTTTGTTCTCTTATATGCATTCTGTCCACTTCTACATAGGCAAAATTGACTTTTAATTTTGATTTTATGAATGCATACACACGAGAACTTTGAACAGTTAGTATAAGGTGAATTCTGATTTTTCAGAATGCATGCCATATATAATGCATTTAATTTTGAGATTATGCTGGCTCTGATTAGCCAAAAGAAGGAAGTAATATATCACATTCTGGTTATTATTTCAGATCCTTTAGATTACTGTAATAGACATGAAATAGTAAACACAAAATGAAAAATAAATGTGTTATATATCACAACACATGACATAATTTCAGATCGTTTAAATCACACAAGTCATCACTGCCATTTACCCAGCAATCAGTTGGCTTGATTCTTCAAGATCTTGAGGAACTCAGCCTTCAAAACCATGACTTTTTCTTTGCTAATGTTCCTTCAATAGTCTTGACACTTTTAAACTAGAGAGTATAAACCCACAAGGAATTGTTTTATAATTTTACAGATGTCTTTATTTTCAAAATCATTTACATTGTGGTTCTCTACCTTGCCTTCTCTTACCCAGCACAGATGAGGTTATACCTCACTCGCAAATTGTTTTATCAATTTGATTTTCTTTATTTTATAATTCCTACATAAGCATAGCATTGAAGAAAAAAATTACTTTCATTCTGAAAGGAGCACAGTATTTTGCCTTTTGAGAAGCTCCTGAATTAAAACATTAATTCCAAGCTAATTGTGAATATGAAACATTCTTAAGCATTTCATATAATTACTAACAGAATGTAGAGTTGAGGTTTCCAACTGGTTCTAATCACATATACATCTTCCTAAAATAAAATGTTTAATTATACTATTTTGCTGAGAAAAATTTTAAAACAAAAAATGTAAATATTAACTTTTTATTTCTATGTTGTCATAATATGGATTTTAAATTTTAATTTAAATGCACATTCCATGGCAATGGCTAATATTTTCAACTTTCTCCCTCTTCAACACATACACAAGTCTGTATTCATAGCCTGTTGTAATAGACAAGGTTAAATGTAGCCTAAATATATATTCCGTTTAAATGCTTTCCTCACTCACTAGCAATTGGTTATCACTAGAGAGTTATCTGTGAAATCTTACTCTACATTCCTCAGTCACCTAGTGAAGGTGTACTGATCCACCTTCAGGAGCAGTACAAACCTTTATTGGTCACTTCCCAAGCAACTTCAAAGAGCAGTAACTCCTCCACAGGAAGTTCTTCGACTTCCCACTGGGGAAGCCCACCCAGGGATGTTACAGAGAGGGATCGGCCTCGAAGCATTCTTCTTACAGTCCTCCGAGACTCCTTTGAATTCCTGTTTCAATTAGTTGTAATCCCAGGAGAAGAGAACTTACAGGCACAAAAGTTAGAGTTGGTAGAGTTACCAGGCTTTGGTAGCTTCTCTTGGGAATAAACTAGTAGCATGAAATCTTATGTGCTTCCCACAGAATTCCTGGTGGAAGGAGGAATTCTTCCTCCTCTTTCTCGTCTTTCTGGGCAGGTATTGTGAGGACGGTATCTGCCCTGTCAGTATCTACCCAAACAATCCAGAGCTGTCAACAGAAAAACCCTCTGATTCAGGACATAGGTAAGCACTTCCTGGGATAGGCAGGGCATGACCCAAGTTCAGCCTTTTAGCCCTTGTCCTTTTGACCAGACTCCTAGATTCATACAGTTACCAATGCTTATTTCATCATTTCCAAAGTGATACAATATTGGCAACTCCCCTCATTAAGTTTGCAGGCCTCCTTAGATTACATGTAGACTGATTGGGACATATTTTTATGCTTTAAATCCCTTTGGATTTCCTAAATATTCTTCTTTCTTTTGATTCCTATTTCTAGAGCTTTTAAAAAATATTCCTAGTTATTTTATTCTACACTTACAAATTGAATTTTGGTGATAGCCAGAGATCTTGAGCCCCCTTTTCTCAATTACTTTTCTTAAAACTTTCCCTATAAAAAAGCATAAATTTGAGTATGTCTTTGGGTGTAACATGAAAAAAAACATAATTTTGACTGGTCAATAATCATCAGTCAATAATTTTAATGAGGTAGTAAAAATAAATCTTTGTCATGTTTGTACATTTCCTTCAAATATTATCAAATTGATAAAGAATAATTCAGTCAATGTAAATGTTCAAACATGGGAAGAAAAATCATCAGGATCAGACTGCAGATAAATGGCATATGTTTGCTTTTCCCTTGTGTTTCTATGTTTGTAAATATATATGTTCCAATTTATTTACACACCCATACACATATATCCTATATTGTACCTACAGAGAGTTGGTGCATTCACAAGCAAGCTTAATTTTGAGCCATCTTTACAGATGTAGCTAAAATCAATATTTTTACATTATTATTCTCTAAAGCAGCAGAACTGAAGCTCATACAAAATATCCTTTAAGTTAGAATTACAATCAGAATTGTAATTTGTTACTTGATAATACTATTTTAGCACCTTTTATTAGGTTTTAAATTATTTTCTATATACTTGGTCTTATAGACTTACACTTATTTTAATGACTCAAGATGGGCAGAACCACATTTCATTATATTACATTAATAAATCTATGTAAGCCAAATAGATTAAATATGTCAGCTTGATGTGGTAGTACACACCTGTTGTTCCAGCTACTCAGGAGGCTGAGGGGGATGAATCACTTGAGCCCAGGAGTTTAAGGCCAACCTGAACAACCACTCTCTTAAAAAATAAAATAAAATAAAAAATTAATTAAAACAAAAATAAATAAATGTCATCTATGATTTTGTGACACAGTTGATTCTTATCTTTGTCCAGAAAAGTACATTTAAGTACATAGTTTGTTATCCATTTGTTTGCGTTGTGAGAAAAAGATTATATGGCTAATAAAAAAAATCAAGTACTAAAATAGAAAACATATGATCCCAAATGATCAAAATGATTGTCTCCTTTATAAAATGGTTTGCTTATGTTCACATAACCTCTGAGAGTCCTGCAAGTGCACATTCCAGTAAAACCAAATCTAAGGACATGTTGACAGGAGTGAGAATGGGATGACAGTGATAGAGTTTCACGTTTGCAGTTTTCTGTTCCAGGAGCCTTGAGATTGGTTCATCCAGTGTCACACAGGCTACAGGAGCACAATGATCCATATTCTCCAGCTTACATGATAAGGCTGAATTATTTATTTGCAATCTGTTCCAGGTATCAACTGCTTAGTTGTGAGTTAGGCACTTGTGGCATCACTTATCTGCTGTGTAAACTTGAGCCAATTTCTTACCTAAGTTTTTGTTTTCTTGATAAAATGGGGATGAGATAATCTATATAAGTCACTTAACATTGTGCCTGGTACTATGCCAACCACTTTAGTAATCTTAGCCTTTTTTATAACACATATGATGGTTTAGTAAAAGCTTTCCCTAATGGCAGAGGTTACCATTGAAAAGGAAAGGGGTAAAAAGAAGGCTTTACTTTTCTTTCATTTTTTTGAAGTTGTACCACCTGTATATATTACCTGATCAAATGCCTAGAGAAAACATTTTTTTCAGAAAAATGACCTTAAGATCAATGAGTATATTTTATAACATCCTAAATGAAAATAAGTAGGATGTAAAATAAAATAAGTAGTATGATTGATTTAATTTTGTGAAAATGTACTCTATACCTCTGTTCATGAAGTATATGTAATAGAAGGCTGGAATAGACATAAACAAAAGACGGGAGGCTACATGTAAAAACTCTTACAATAGTTGTCTTAAACTGGTTGTAATTATGATTGATATTTGTGTGGTATTTTTATTTGTGTTCTACACATTTTCTGCAATAAACGTATACATATATATATATATATATATATATATATATATATATACCGTATATAGGATGAGTAACACAGTTTTCAAAAGTTTAATCATATAAATGAATTAAATACACATGATTGTTTCACACACTCACACTCATTATTCTGATTTTTCGAAATTTCTAGTCTTTAGTTCCCATTTGGCGTTTTTGTGTCAAGTACCAGCACTCTCAGCCACACGTCATCTCCTAATGATCCCTCATAGTAGACTTATTCTCTTGATCCTGTTATTCTCAACATGAGAACATCCTTTGCCAATGCTTTGCTTGTTTATGGTAAATATCATTTTCAAAGTTGTTCATTGGGTTAAGAGAGGTAAAATAAATGGAACCATATGAAGTATATCCATGAGATGGATATATCTTCATCTATCCATAGTATCTGGATGAATTCCCTTTGTTCAGGTATTTGTGCAGAGAAAGGCAGTCATTTGTGCAAAAAGATTTGAAGAGGAATCAGGGAAATTTCTCTTCCTCCCATATCCCTGAACATTCTCCTATAATGTTTGTGCTAAAAGCACAAATTGATGAGATGAGAGCAGAAAGAGAACAGTCATCCAGACAGAAAGGGAGATGGGTTTTCTCCAAGTTGGGAGAAGCACTCACAAAAGTCCCTGATACCAAATTTTATACTTATGCTAACATTTTATCACCCAATGAAAAGAAGTGAGAGGGCAAGTAGGAACAAATGAAGACTTGTATTTGGTTCCCTTGGTAAGTATTCCAGCAGAGGTCACTAAATACATTTAGAAAACCACACATTTGCTTTGACTTTTTGGAATCTTCTTAGAAGTCTTCCAAAAAGCCTTTAGACTTCCAAGGCTTGACTTGCCTGCAGCTGCATATCCAGAATAACTTAGTTAACATATTTATGGATCACCTACTATGTGCTACTATTCTCATCACTGAGAATATTTTCGATAAACGGTAGATAAGTCTTTGCCTCCATGTGGACACATAGACATTAATCTTGTAAACAAATTATGTTATTTCAGGTTCTGCTAAATTTCTGGAGAAGAAAAACTGCAAACAATAGTGAGTGCTATTGGATAGAAATGAGTGCTTTAGGTGGGGAGGTCAAGAAAGACCCTTGTGAGGAAGTGATATTTGAATTAGGATATAAATGATGAGAAAGTGGCCACATTTGAAGATCTGAGAGAAGTGATTGCAAAGCCTTTAACTCTTACAGAAACAGAAAGAAGACCAATGTGGCTGAAGCCAAAAGCATAATGAATGAGGGGAAGCCTGGAGGGGATGAGGTCAGAGGAAAGTAGGAAATGGATCATAGAGAAGCTGGTCAAGAGCTTGGATTTTATTTTGGTTGTAGTAGGAAGTCATTGGGAGGTTTTAAGCAGGGAACTTTTTGCTACAAAAAATGGAATGTTGAGAAGTATAAGGCAGGAGGCTTGGAGACTGAGGTTATGAAGCCTGCATATCACTCGTATATTCTAGAATGTAAAACTTTATTCATTTGGTAGATAATCCCTGCGTTCTTCTGAATGTCATAAAAGCAGAAATGAAAGTTAGTTATTTAGCATTTAGTCTTTGCCTTTTAAGGTTAGAGAGAGTACCTTTGTTTTCCCACATAGTGTCTCTATATAATTTTATGTTGTTATCTGTACATTGCTTGTATGTACTTTATTATGTGTGTAGTGATGTTGTTACTACAGAAACTGGAGAATTAAAAGCCATATGTCAGGTACTATGATCATGATTCTTGCTCTCATGAAGTTTACACTCTAGCACAGAAAGTATGTATTAAACAAGTAACTAAAGGACTTTGAGGGTGGTGAATGGAATACAGAATCTGTGAGAGCATGTAACAATAGAATTAACTCGATATGGAGTACTAAGAATGATGTCCCTGAGAAAATAATATTTAAATTGAGATCGAAAATGGGAAAAGCTAAGGAAGAGGTGTTTCTAGCAGACGAGCTAGTGCATGCAAAGACCAATAGAAATAAAGAATGTGGTAAATTCAAAAAACTGAAAGATCAATATATTTAGATTCAGCAAACTTGAGGTAGAAAGTGATATAGGAATGAACCTGGAGAAGTGGGAAGGGGCTAAGAATTTTGAATTTATCTTAATAATAAGGAAAAGCATGATAGGATTTGCATTATTTTATTTATTTATAGTTTTAACTTTTAAATGGAAGTGGAACACATAAATAGCATAGTGTAGAAATTATAGCCCAGTGAGTTAATACGAAGCAAACACTTTTGTGTAACTATTCAATAAAAAATTGGAACAAACAATACCAGAGTGAATTTTTTTCAGAGAACTGATTCCATGGTATGACATATTTCAAATAGTGGATCATTCTACAGATTTGCATTTTCCAAAGATCATTCTCACTGCATAACTGAGAATGAGTTAAAGGAGGGATGAAACTTAAGGTGATGTGTTTGTAGCATTATGGAGATGTATTATGTGAACATTTAACTCCTGAATATTTAATTATATCAGCTAGACAAACAGAAGATAGAAAAAAACAAGAAATAACACTTTACATAGCCTGGAATAATTTACTCAGTGAAGAGACAGGATGACCCAGACTGAGGAGCCGCTGGGAGACTGTGTTTTTTACAGTCAGTCTTTTCAGAATCTGAGTGTCTCACTGGCTGAATGTGGTGAAGGGTTGGCACACACATTTTGACCAGAATCCCTACCTTATATGCTGGCTTTAGAACCCAGCATCAGTTAAAATGACTCCAGTGTGTCTAGACTAGAGAAGGTGGCTGGTTGCACTAGAGTGATGGCAGTGAGATTAGAGAAGTGAGTAGTGAGGTATGTTTGAGGTAACAGTTTGTGGAGTTGATTGGTTGTGGGGAAGGGTCAATGCCTAGGTTTCTAGTTTGGACAACCAAGTGGATGGTCATGCAGTGTACCACAATAAGAAATATTGAGTGTGGGAGGGAAATAGATTTGCTTGAGACATTAGAGAATGACTTCTCTTTCCGATGTGGTGAGTTTGAGACACCAGCCAGATGCTCAGTAAGAAGTTAAATATTATGCCTACTAAGAACCTGAGATGAGAGATCTGGGGCACAGTTGGTAACTGAAGCCATGGGAGTGGTAGGTTCTGAGGAAGAGGAGGTGCAGGGTGGATAGGGTAAACTACATGAAGCAGAGCTCCAGAAGGGTCAACTTTTAAGGCAGAGGCCGCAATATGGTGCGATGAGTTTAGATTGGTACATGCAGTGTTGCCACAAAAGAGTCAAACATCTTTCAAAAGAGATTTCACATAAACCTTTGGATTTCTCTTCAAAAATCAGATCTGGCCACTCTGGATTCTATTTGCATGGCTTCATGAAATAATCAGCTGGAGCTGGGTAAATCTCTCCTGAAATCATCACAGTCATCTCAGTCTCCATGGGCCTACATTAACTGTCAGGTTTCTAGAAACACTTAAGCTCCTGAGTTAATTTTTTTTTCCACGTGCATTTGGAGTTGCTGATCAGGAAGCAGCCAAAGGCAAAGCAAGAAATTATCCTTAAATTAAACTTACAATCTAAGCTGACAATGCCCATCCATCACACTGAAGATCGTGAGAGAGATTTTTGACCTTGACTGTTGAGATTACCTTAGTATAGACTGAATTTTACCCGTATACTCAGAACTTGTTTTTGGAATAGAGCTTTTGGTTTGTGATCCCTCTTCTCTAATTTTATTTTAAACTCTTTTGCTACACAAGATGAAGGGATTAGGAAAGGTAGCTATCGCTTCTCGGCCTTTTGGCTAAAATCAAATGTAGGAAAGGTAGCTATAGCCCCTATGGATAAAGAAGTAAACAAATAAGATTTTGGGTAAGAGAGAAAGCAGAGGGATAATATCTCTCTGGGAAGAGATCAAGTCATCCAGTGACGTTTAATCAAATGTGTTGCTTTCGTCCTTATCTCGTTCTGTGACATCCATGTACGGTCCTCTATTCTCCCAAGGAATTTTTAATAAAATCAATATAAGAAATATTTTTAAATAAAAGTTTACAAAAACAGAGCCTGGAGAGAAAATGTGCAATGATAAGAGCTTACGTGCCAAGAGTGGAAGCCAAGGCTCGATGACACTTTGAGTTTACCAGGAAAGAGGGAGCAGAGTAAAATTGTTAAAAACTAGGGCTTTGGGCCGGGCGCGGTGGCTCACGCCTGTAATCCCAGCACTTTGGGAGGCCGAGGCGGGTGGATCATGAGGTCAGGAGATCGAGACCATCCTGGCTAAGAAGGTGAAACCCCGTCTCTACTAAAAATACAAAAAAATTAGCCGGGCGCGGTGGCGGGCGCCTGTAGTCTCAGCTACTCGGGAGGCTGAGGCAGGAGAATGGCGTGAACCCGGGAAGCGGAGCTTGCAGTGAGCCGAGATTGCGCCACTGCAGTCCGCAGTCCGGCCTGGGCGACAGAGCGAGACTCCGTCTCAAAAAAAAAAAAAAAAAAAACTAGGGCTTTGGAGTCAAGCCAGTCTCATTTAGAAGTGGACTACTTAGTAGACTGTGAAATGGGGGTGATGATATTCACTTCACGAGGTTGTTGTGGGGATTAAATGAGCATGTATGAATGCTCTTTGCACAGTGTCTGCCAAAGCCTGCATCGGCTCAGAGATCAGGGATTCCAAGCCAGATGCATGGAGTCAACCTGATGGCCAGCCAGCTCAAGCTGCTCATCTGCCTCCTGCAGGAGACCATCAGTTGGCTGCCATCTAGGCTCTCTTTTCTCCACGCTCTGCTCAGGTGAGAGATGCTGATATGAAGGCTAGGAATACTGAACAACAGGCTTACTTTTCTGACATTCTCCACCAAATTTAAGATATGAAATATTGTCAAATATTATTTACATGGTGATTTTGTATGAAGCAGAAGCATATATGCTATGCAGAGGCTTATAAAATATACAGTGGTATATACATATGAGTAAATGCCAAGTATTACAAAGATAAACAAGTCAAGTAATATAAGTGGCAATGTTAAACTTTTTTTTCCAAAATGGTGTCATGAAAATAGTTGACAAAGCCGGGCGCAGTGGCTCACGCTTGTAATCCCAACACTTTGGGAGGCCAAGGCAGGTGGACCACTTGAGGCCAGGAGTTCGAGACCACCCTGACCAAAATGGAGAAACCCCATCTCTACTAAAAATACAAAATTAGCCAAGTATGGTGGTGCATGCCTGTAATCCCAGCTACTCGAGAGACTGAGGCGGGAGAATGGCTTGAACTCAGGAGGCGGAGGTTGCAGTGAGCCAAGATCACGCCATTGCACTCTAGCCTGGGCAACAAGAGTGAAACCCTGTCTCAAAAAAGAAAGAGAGAGAGAGAGAGAAAGAAAGAGAGAGAAAGAAAGAAAGAAAAAGAGAAAGAAAGAAAGAAAGAGAAAGAAAGAGTCGATGAAAATTTTTTTTAATATAAAGAGGAAAATTCGAATGTTAGTACAGGTGTGGCACTAAATTAGTTTCTGTCAGGTGGAATGCCTTTTGGTAGTTACCTTTTTTACCTTCTGTGTTAATGCTCAATGTAGTTAGGCAAACCTGAGAATCAGTCCTACCCCACCTTGATGAAACCCACAACACATGAGATCCCAAGTAACTCCTTTACCATCAAAACAAGTCAAATATCTCCTTGAGAACACATTTTTTTTTAAATTTAGCTGTTTCTGTCAACCTAATCTCTATTTGCATATGGAGAAGGCATAAAAGCACATTCTCACTAAACGCAAATTCTGGATGTGGTAGTGTCAGACCAAGAGGAGAAGTCCTAACAGTCATAACATTACCCAGCCCTATTATTATCACGATTTTGAGGGAAAATTAGATATTAAGATTTAATGCTAAGTTATACTCACATTTAATGTTTTTATAAGATTATATCTTCCACAAGATCAGTACTGGGTTCTCAGTCACTATACTTTATGTGATTGGCTGTTCCATATGCACTTTGACTAGAAAACAAATGGTTCCTGTAACACTTAAATAGTTTCCAAGGAATATTGTGGAATCACTTTCCTGATAAGAGATAATAAAACCCTTTGATGTTGATTTAGGGTGGAAAGTTGATAAAAAGTAGAGGGATATTAGAAACTGTCAAGAGATTTTTTTTCTAAGTTTATATGCTAGCCCACAGATGCCAAATATGTTCTATTTGTTTTAAGAAGTCTTTCTAACACAGTATGAGGAAAACAGGTGGGGGTGTAAATACATGCTTCAACATAGGATATCTTAAGAAATAAGAGCATTGGTTTAATTTGGGGAGTTGCCTGTTTTTAGATGTGTGATCTCCAGCAAGTTTCTTTAAATGAAATCAGCTTTTCGCTAAATGTATGCATAGCTGCCTAGTTAAAACCACAATTGAATTAATAAATCAATGATGAATTAATGAATTAGAGATGAAAGTAATGCCGCTATTTATCCTACCCACAAGGCATATTAACATTTTTATGGCAAAAAAAGGTTTTATTTATTTTTTAAGACATAATATTTAGAACCTTTGGTTTTGCTAATAAACTCAAATGTATTCTATGAATGAAGGTAAACCTTAAGAATGCTTACTTTTTGGATTATGAACTAAGCTGGTTTCCCATTCATCCTGGAAACATGGTCACCTGGCTGGAGAACAAAAATACCACAGATTTCTGGAGATCAGGTATAGGCATGCAACTAATTTTCACCAAAGCAATTGGTGAATTGATTCATGACCTTACATTGCTTTCCCCCAAAACCTCATGATTTATAAAAAAAGATTTCTTCCTGAAAATATATTTTATAACATCCTAATTAGCTAAAAAGTAATTGATAAGAAAGGGAAGGTTATTCCTGAGGCTTGACCCAGTCAAAAATGATTGAGCTGCAATACAAGCAGATACCGCTTGGGTAATCAACACTCCAGATGTAAAGCATGCAATCTCTTCCAAAACAACCATGGAAGAGTTAAAAGTACGAGCAATATATTAGTGTTATCTATTTGGCAATTAGCCTAGCAGTTCTCATCTTCAGGGGAAAGATTGGCAAATACATGTAGACAGTAGCTATGTCATTAAAAACTGATTTTATGAGTCTTTAAGCCCTAGGACAAATTAACTTCTGGATTGAAGTCAAAAATACTGTTTGTTCTGAAAGCATTTATTGCATCAACTTTGCTACTGGTTAAAATTAGGCATTGTTGAGAAATAGGACATATAGTTTTCACAATATTACTTGTGGAAAAATAGGAAAAGACTTCGAAAGTAGTCTTTAAGGTTTATTTTGTCTTCAACCATATAAATCTTAATTATGAGTTTTAAAAAAGCCAAATACTTCTATAAGAGAAAAAAGTCTACACATTTGAAACTGGGTGAATTCTACAAATGATGAAGAATGGCTTTTTAAGTTTTTACGAATTACTAGTTCAATACCTGCCACAGTTCATTACGCCACAGGTGCTTTGGGGAGGTGCTAGAACATACATATGAAATTAGGAATTTTATATTGATTGTGTAAAATATTAGACATCACCTCAACCAAAATGCACCTTAAAATAAGTATTTTTGTCTCCTTTGGGGAGGAGTAGTGCAGTTTGCAGAATAACAGGAAGAGGAAGTTGTTATCTGTTCTAGATATCTGTTTCATTCTCTTTGGATTTTTTTTCTGAGGGCTTCAGAAGATTGTAATGACTAGAATTTTACTCTTCTTATGATGGTAATTATTTACCAAATGATATTTTTGAAAAATTTCCTCATGGAAAATTGGCCTCCTTATATCTGACCAGAAACTAATCATCTTCTGGTGCAATTAATTCATTCTCTAGAGTCAATGTAGCAGACAGAAATTGGACTCATTAAAACAAAATTCTATGAGGAATACTGCTCATCCAGTTTATTGGTGAAAACTCCAGACAGCAGAGGTTTGAGTGTAATTCAGGAGACTTTCGCCCAGTTAACATATTTAATGCATAATAATCTTTGGAGAATTTTGCTAATTCAGAATTTTATGAAGACTACAGGATTAGTTACATAAGAGTGAATTCACATTGAATAACATGAACAAGTTTTAAAAAGTTAATTTAGGCATAATCTATGCAGCAAAACACAAAAGATAGTTCCATTATTCATTCCTAGTTTCTTCCTTGCAAGGAATTGCTGAAAGCCCTGACCTAGAAACAACTGAGAGATCTTTCTTCACACCATTTCTGGACCTCTCTCTTTTTGGAGTTGCCTGGATTTTATTGATGCTTTTCCTAATGTTTCCTGGCAATCTGTCTGTCTCATGCCACACTGTCCTGGGAATTGTTATTTTTGTGTCAGAGTCCTTTATTAGTACTTCCAGTTTTTTCATTCTGCATCTGGAAATGTTCACAGTTTATGCTCTGAGTTGTACTGATTTTCTCTTAAATATATCTCAAAGGAGTGCATTTTCCCCCACTACCTGTTCTGCCACCGTGATCCAGCCACCTTTATCTATAACCTATCATCTGTAACCTTATTTATAAGGCAGCCTTAGCCTTCTGACTCATTCTAACTAGACTTCCCCCTTTTTCTTAGCTCTCCCTGCCACAAACACACACAGTCATTTCCCACATGGTAGCCAATGTAATCATTTCATAGGAAACTATGACCATATTTCTACTGTACTTAAAACATCTCATCTAATTCCATCACTCTTGGATAAGTCCAACACCACCAGAACAACCACCACCACCCTTTCCACCCTACCCAAAGAAAAACCCAAAACATCAATTCTGCTTGGCAATTCAAGCAATTTTATACTGGAAAGAATGGATATCTTTATGACATTGTCCTCCCACCCAGGAATATGAAATATCTATTTATTATTGCCTTAGTTAGTTTTTATTATTTTCTTCTTATAAGATTTCACTTTTATTATTTAATTTGTTCATAGATATTTTAGAGCTTTTTTCATTAGTGCAATATGTGAAGTGAGATTTTTCTTTTTTTTCAAGAAACAGGGTCTTGCTCTGTTGCCCAGGCTGGAGTGCAGTGGCACATTCATAATTTACTACAGCATTGGACTCCTGGGCTCAAGCAATCCATCAGCCTCAGCCTCTGTCTGAGTAGCTAGGACTACAGGCTCACAACATCATGCCCAGCTAATTTGTTTTTGTTTTTGTTTTCTGATGGAGACAGGGTCTCACCATGCTGCCCAGGCTGGTCTGAAATTCCTAGCCTCAAGTGATCCTCCTGCCTCAGCCTTCCAAAGTGCTGGGGTAACAGGTGTGAGTCACCACCCCAGACCCAAAATGAGATTTTTTATATTTCAATTTTTAATTTCTCTTTGTAAAAGGAAAGTTGTTGATATATACATAGTTATCTTGTATCTGCCATCTTATTGTATTGTCTTGTTAGCACTGATAGATTTTTAATAATGTTTCCTGGAATTTTTTTTTTTTTTTTTTTGAGATGAAGCCTCACTCTGTTGCCCAGTCTGGAGTGCAGTGGCATGATCTCGGCTCATTGCAACCGCTGCCCCCCGGGTTCAAGCGATTCTCCTACCTAGGTCTCTCTAGTAACAGGGATTACAGGCGCCTGCCACCGTGCCCAGCTAATTTTTGTATTTTTAGTAGAGACAGGGTTTCACCACCTTGGCCAGGCTGGTCTTGAAGTCCTGACCTCCTGATCCACCCACCTCGGCCTCCCAAAGGGCTGGGATTACAGGCATGAGCCACTGCGCCCAGCCAGATTTTTTTTTAGGTAGGCAATCATCTAAAAGTAGTAATTCTTTCTCAATGTTTATAACATGTTTCATTTTTGTTTGATTGCAATAACTAGAATATACCAAACATTGCCAAATAATAATGATAAGCACTCATAAAAGTTTCCTGGCTTTAATGAGACTGTTTTTAGTATTAATATTTTAGTATAATGTGTGCTATTGACCCCTAAAACAACTGTTGTCGTGTTTAGTAATTTTTCTTATTTTTCTCCTATTTTTACTTTTTCAATTGTATTCATTTTTTCTATTTGCTAACCTCAGATGTAGAGTTTAATTTTCAAAAATTTCTTGGCTCCTTCCTTCCTTCTTTCCTTCCTTCCTTCCCTCCCTCCCTCCCTCTCTTCCTCCCTTCCTTCCTCCCATCCTCCCTTTCTGCCTCTCTTTCTCTCTTTCTTTCTCTCTTTCTTTCGTTCTCTTTCTCTCTTTCTTTCTCTCTTTCTTTCGTTCTCTTTCTCTCTTTCTTTCTTCTTTTCTGTCTTCCTTTTTTACATCAATCTCCTACATGAACCCTTAGGCAGAGGGAAACTATGTGTCTTGATCACTTGATATTCCTGCACCTAACGAATTGCCTGACAAATTACAGGCACTCCACAAATACATGGTGAAAGAATGGATAAGCGTGTCTCAGTAACTTCCTAAAGGGGTTGCTGCTCGTTCCTTATTGTCCAAGAAACAGTTTCTAATCTCATTTTAATGTATGTGCTCTGTGGTATCCAGGCTGCTATTTGGTGCTCAGCAGTCCTTGACAGGATTGGGGTTGGCGTTGTTTTTTTTTTTTTTTTTTTTTTCAGATGGAGTTTGGCTCTTGTTGCCCAGGCTGGCGTGCTGTGGGTGGCACGGTCTTGGCTCACTGCAACCTCCACCTCCTGGTTTCAAGCGATTCTTCTGCCTCAGCCTCCGGAGTAGCTGGGACTACAGGCGTGCACCACCACGCTCAGCTAATTTTGTGTTTTTAGTAGAGACAGGGTTTCACCATGTTGGTCAGGCTGGTCTCGAACTCCTGAACTCAGGTATTCTACCTGCCTCGACCTCCCAAAATGCTGGGATTACAGACGTGAGCCACCATGCCCGGCCCATTCTTTTGTTTTTTATTACTTTTTGAAGGGAGAGTAATTTACTCATTCAGATCTGACCCGAAAAAAAGATTTTCCTATTGGGCAAGAACATAATCTCTTCCTGCAGATTGTTACTAGTTTAGAGTGTAATCATTTCTTGTCCTTAAACGAATAATTTTAAATGGATTTCAGCCATGTTTGAGTACAATGGATATAATTCCTGACAGTCCTCCTTGACTCCTCCTTCTTCTCCATCTACACTCTTCATATTCCAATCTAACAGCATCCAACATTACTAGAGCACTCACGTGTGCCAGGCAATGTACCAGGTGCTGTAAGTCTATTAAGTATTTAGTCCTCACAACAATCCTGGGAGGAAAGTACCACTATTATGTCCATTTTACAGATGATAAAACCAAGGCAAAGGTTAATGGACAGGTTCAAAGTCACACAGCTAACAAGGGTCAGGGCCATGACTTATATCAGAGGGTCTGGCTCTAGAAGCTGCACTCCTAACTGCTGTGGCCTAACCACAATGTTTACACTTAGGTCTTATTAATTTAGCTCCATAAATATCTCCAGAATTTTCCTGTTTCTCTACTTCTCTGCTACCACCACCCTAGTCTACATTACAATCACCTCTTGCCTGAGCTGGATAATGGTTTCCATGGATCCACTCTTGCCACTTGACAAATAAAGTGCTTTTTGAAAAATGCAAATCTGATCAAGTCATACTCAAACTCAGAATACCCAATTGCCTCCAAATTTTCTTAGGCTGGCTTACAAGATATTGCAGAATACAGTACCTGTTTATGTCTGCAGCTTCTTCTTCACTCTCCTTTTTTCTCCTCTGAGCCCCAACCACACTGTCTTTCTTTCAGTTTCTTGATTAGACCATAGACCTTTCCACCACAGAGCCTTTGCACATGCTGTGCATTCTGCTTTGAAAGCTCCTCCACTTTTTCACCTTCAGATCAAATGTAATGCTCCCAGTGGGAAGCCTTCCATGATTCCCCAAAATAGGGCAAGTTCATCTATTAAAGGTTCTTGTTAGCACCCTGCATTTTTCCCTCCTAAACTTAACACAGTTTGTAATCATGTATACCCTGCTGTGTGATAATTTCACCAGTGTCTTTTTCCCCACTGCTCTTCACGTCTCCTTGCCTTCCACTCTTTCACTGACACCTATCACATGTCCCAACACTCAATCAGAATTAATTACTAGATTCATGAATGAAAAAAATCTGTTTCTGGAAGTATAGGCAGAATTCTCCATACTTACGTACTTAAAAGCAGTATCAGGCAAATTTAAATGATTAAGCATGAGTAAAATGTTGAAATGTCACAGTTTAAAAAATAATGGAGTTTTCTTATAAGAGAAAAGAGAGAATATTTGGAAAGAATTAAGGAGGGAAAAGAGAAGAAGGAAAAGGACAATGCAGAGACACATTCAGTGCTTTGCATCCACCCCCTAGCATGTAAGACGGCTGAAAACATTTTGTCAGGACAATCTCTTCCTTCCAAGAGAAATCCCTTCCTTCTGGAGCTGATGCATTTCTATCTTGAGTCAAGCATCTCCATAGATAACAGTATCATTAGCAGTTAATTTTCAAGTTAAGGAATTGAGGAAGAGGAGAGACAAGATTAAGTGTTATAATGAAATCTATTTTTCAATTAATGTGTCTTGTTTAAGAGTTTACTAGGTCTAGGCCGGGTGCGGTGGCTCACGCCTGTAATCCCAGCACTTTGGAAGGCGGGCAGATCACGAGGTCAGGAGATAGAGACCATCCTGGCTAACACGGTGAAACCTCGTCTCTACTAAAACTACAAAAAATTAGCCAGGCGTGGTGGCAGGCGCCTGTAGTCCCAGCTACTCGGGAGGCTGAGGCAGGAGAATGGCGTGAACCACGGAGGCGGAGCTTGCAGTGAGCCGAGATCGCGCCACTGCACTCCAGCCTGGGCGACAGAGCGAGACTCCGTCTCAGAAAAAAAAAAGAGTTTATAGGTCGACCATTTTTCGGAAAGTTAATAATTCCGAAAAATCATGATTTTCAAGCAGTCTAATGTTGTTAGCATTCACTGCAGCTTTTGAGGTGCCAAAACAACTTTCGTTGCAGCACCACAACTTTGCCTCTGAAATAGACTCTGCGGAAGTAGGTCCTTGCCACCTGACCCAGCCTTATCATCTAACCCTCAGAACCAAAATGTTATGCTCCAGTGGCATCACAGCCCCCACACCATGCTGTGATTTGCTTCTCTTCCAGTGCTGATATTGTCCCCCACTCCTCTCTCATCCTCAATGACTCAATCAGGTGTCATCATGCCAAGGATTCTTAAGCTCCCACCCTCCTAGGTCGTGTTAGATATTTCTCCTTAATTCTCCTTGAATGCCCTATATATATTTATGACTACATTTGTCATACTTCATTTCATAGTAATTTTCTGTGTTTGCATCTGTTTCTCCTCTTTACACAGCCTGACTAAAGTGGAATTGTGTTGTTTTCATCTTTGAGCTCCAGACCCTAGCACACTGTTTGGCCATCAACACTCAATAAAAGTCTGCAGGTTTTGCTTGCTGCCGCTTTTGTGTAGTTTTATTTACTTAGAGTCCACCTTTTTTAGACATTATTTGAAACTATTTACAGCTATCCACAGGTTAGTGAGATGATAGCACAATTCTGAAGTAAGGTTAAAAAAAAAAAGGGATAAAACTTAACCAAGCATGAGGTTGAAGCTGAATATGAATTTAGCTAAAATTCCTTAAAAATCAGCCTCAAAATTTGCTCCTAATTTTCTATTAGTCCACATGAAACAAGATATTATTTATTTTATTCCAGTCTCAATGTTCACCAATAAAATCAGTTTCTTAGTAGATACTGCTTTTATCTGCTTAGTAGATACTGCTTTTTTAAACAGAATTTTGGGTGTCCAAATGCATTTTTATTACTAAAATTCAGATGATCTTACTATTTGTTACTCAGTTTGAGGCACCTGAGGAAAGTGTTTAAAAGTCATTTAATTTTATTTATTTTTTGAGACAGGGTCTTGTTCTGTTGCCCAGGCTTGAGTGCAGTGGTTCAACTGCAGCCTTGACCTCCCAGACTCAAGTGATTCTCCCGCCTCCACCTCCCAGGTAGCTGGGAATACAGGCACGTGCCACCATACCTAGCTAATTTTTGTATTTTTTGTAGAGACAGGGTTTCACCATGTTGCCGAGGATGGTCTTGAACTCCTGAGCTCAAGCAATTCACCTGCCTTGGCCTCCCAAAGTGCTGGGATTACAGGTGTGTGCACCACGCCTGGCCTAAAAGCCATTTAATTTTAAGGTGATATATAAATACACTATTTTTTAAATTATACTTTAAGTTCTAGGGTACATGTGCACAATGTGCAGGTTTGTTAAATATGTATACATGTGCTATGTTGGTTTGCTGCACCCGTTAACTCATCATTTACATTAGGTATTTCTCCTAATGCTATACCTCCCCCATCCCTCAACCCCATGACAGGCCCCAGCGTGTGATGTTCCCCACCCTGTGTCCAAGTGTTGTCATTGTTCAATTCCCACCTATAAGTGAGAATATGTGGTGTTTGGTTTTCCGTCCTTGCAATATTTTGCTCCGAATGATGGTTTCCAGCTTATCCATGTCGCTACAAAGGACATGAACTCATCCTTTTTTATGGCTGCAGAGTAGTCCATAATGTATATGTGCCACATTTTCTTAATCCAGTCTATCACTGATGGACATTTGGGTTAGTTCTAAGTCTTTGCTATTGTGAGCAGTGCCGCAATAAACATACATATGCATGTGTCTTTATAGTAGCATGATTTATAATCCTTTGGGTATATACCCAGTAAAGGGATCGCTGGATCAAATGGTATTTCTAGTTCTAGATCCTTGAGGAATTGCCACACTGTCTTCCACAATGGTTGAACTAGTTTGCACTCCCAACAACAGTGTAAGAGTGTTCCTATTTCTCCACATCCTCTCCAGCACCTGTTGTTTCCTGACTTTTTAATGATTGCCATTCTAACTGGTGTGAGATGATATCTCATTGTGGTTTTGCATTTCTCTGATGACCAGTGATGATGATCATTTTTTCATGCGTCTGTTGGCTGCATAATTGTCTTCTTTTGAGAAGTGTCTGTTCATACCCTTTGCCCACTTTTGACAGAGTTGTTTTTTTGTTTTTTGTTTGTTTGTTTGTTTTTTTGTAAATTTGTTTAAGTTCTTTGTAGATTCTGGATATTAGCCCTTTGTCAGATGGGTAGATTGCAAAAATTTTCTCCCATTCTGTAGGTTGCCTGTTCACTCTTATGGTAGTTTCTTTTGCTGGGCAGAAGTTCTTTAGTTTAATTAGATCCCATTTGTCTATTTTGGCTTTTGTTGCCATTGCTTTTGGTGTTTTACTCATGAAGTCCTTGCCCATGCCTATGTCCTGAATGGTATTGCCTAGGTTTTCTTCTAGGGTTTTTATGGTTTTAGGTCTAACATGTAAGTCTTTAATCCATCTTGAATTAATTTTTGTCTAAGATGTAAGGAAGGGATCCCGTTTCAGCTTTCTGCATATGGCTAGCCAGTTTTCCCAGCACCATTTTTTTTTTTTTTTTTTTTTTTTTTTTGAGACGGAGTCTCGCTCTGTCACCCAGGCTGGAGTGCAGTGGCGGGATCTCGGCTCACTGCAAGCTCCGCCTCCCGGGTTCACGCCATTCTCCTGCCTCAGCCTCCCAAGTAGCTGGGACTACAGGCGCCCGCCACTACGCCCGGCTAATTTTTTGTATTTTTAGTAGAGACGGGGTTTCACCGTTTTAGCCGGGATGGTCTCGATCTCCTGACCTCGTGATCCGCCCGCCTCGGCCTCCCAAAGTGCTGGGATTACAGGCGTGAGCCACCGCGCCCGGCCCCCAGCACCATTTATTAAATAGGGAATCCTTTCCCCGTTTCTTGTTTTTGTCAGGTTTGTCAAAGATCAGATAGTTGTAGATGTGTGGTGTTATTTCTGAGGCCTCTGTTTTGTTCCATTGGTCTATATCTCTGTTCTGGTACCAGTCCCATGCTGTTTGGTTACTGCAGACTTGTAGTATAGTTTGAAGGCAGGTAGCGTGATGCCTCCAGCTTTGTTCTTTTTGCTTAGGATTGTCTTGGCAATGCAGGCCCTTTTTTGGTTCCGTATGAACTTTAAAGCAGTTTTTTCCAATTCTGTGCAGAAAATCATTGGTAGCTTGATGGGGATGGCATTGAATCTATAAATTACCTTGGGCAGTATGGCCATTTTCATGATATTGATTCTTCCTACCCATGAGCATGGAATGTTCTTCCATTGTTTGTGTCCTCTTTTATTTCATTGAGCAGTGGTTTGTAGTTCTCCTTGAAGAGGTCCTTCACATCCTTGTAAGTTGGATTCCTAGGTATTTTATTCTCTTTGTAGCAATTGTGAATGGGAGTTCACTCATGATTTGGCTCTCTGTTTGTCTGTTATTGGTGTATAAGAATGCTTGTGATTTTTGCACATTGATTTTGTATCCTGAGACTTTGCTGAAGTTGCTTATCAGCTTAAGGAGATTTGGGGCTGAGACAATGGAGTTTTCTAAATATACAATCCTGTCATCTGCAAACAGGAACAATTTGACTTCCTCTTTTCCTGATTGAATACACTTTATTTCTTTCTCTTCCCTGATTGCCCCGGCCAGAACTTCCAACACTATGTTGAATAGTGGTGAGAGAGGGCATCCCTGTCTTGTGCCAGTTTTCAAAGGAATGCTTCCAGTTTTTGCCCATTCAGTATGATACTGGCTGTGGGTTTGTCACAAATAGCTCTTATTATTTTGAGATACATTCTGTCACTACCTGGTTTATTGAGTTTTTAGTATGAAGGGCTGTTGAATTTTGGTGAAGGCCTTTTCTGCATCTATTCAATCATGTGGTTTTTGTCTTTGGTTCTGTTTATGTGATGGACTACGTTTATTGATTTGTGTATGTTGAACTAGCCTCGCATCCCAGGGATGAAGCCAACTTGATCTTGATGGATAAGCTTTTTGATATGCTGCTGGATTCAGTTTGCCAGTATTTTATTGAGGATTTTTGCATCGATGTTCATCAGGGATGTTGGTCTAAAACACTCTCTCTCTTTTTTTTGTTGTGTCGCTGCCAGGCTTTGGTATCAGGATGATGCTGGCCTCATAAAATGAATTAGAGAGGATTCCCTCTTTTTCTATTGATTGGAATAGTTTCAGAAGGAATGGTACCAGCTCCTCCTTGTACCTCTGGCAGAATTCGGCTGTGAATCCGTCTGGTCCTGGACTTTTTTTGGTTGGTAGGCTGTTAATTATTGCCTCAATTTCAGAGCCTGTTATTGTTCTATTCAGCGATTCAACTTCTTCCTGGTTTAGTCTTGGGAGGCTGTATGTGTCCAGGAATTTATTCATTTCTTCTGGATTTTCGAGTTTATATGCATAGAGGTGTTTATAGTATTCTCTGATGGTAGTGTGTATTTCTGTGGGATCGGTGGTGATATCCCCTGTATCATTTTTTATTGCGTCTATTTGAGTCTTCTCTCTTTTCTTCTTTATTAGTCTTGCTAGCAGTCTATCAATTTTGTTCATTTTTTCAAAAAACCAGCTCCTGGATTCATTGATTTTTTCAAGGGTTTTTATGTCTCTGTATCTTTCAGTTCTGCTCTGATCTTAGTTATTTCTTGCCTTCTGCTAGCTTTTGAATGTGTTTGCTCTTGCTTCTCTAGTTCTTTCAATTGTGATGTTAGGGTGTCAATTTTAGATCTTTCCTGCTTTCTCTTGTGGGCATTTAGTGCTATAAATTTCCCTCTACACACTGCTTTAAATGTGTCCCAGAGATTCTGGTACGTTGTGTCTTTGTTCTCATTGGTTTCAAAGAACATCTTTATTTCTGCCTTCATTTCATTATTTACCCAGTAGTCATTCAGGAGCAGGTTGTTCAGTTTCCATGTAGTTGTGTGGTTTTGAGTGAGTTTCTTAATCCTGAGTTCTAATTTGGTTGCACTGTGGTCTGAGAGACAGTTTGTTACAATTTCTGTTCATTTACATTTGCTGAGGAGAGCTTTACTTCCAAATATGTGGTCAATTTTGGAATAAGTGTGATGTGGTGCTAAGAAGAATGTATATTCTGTTGATTTGGGGTGGAGAGTTCTGTAGATGTCTATTAGGTCTGCTTGGTGCAGAGCTGAGTTCAAGTCCTGGATATCTTTGTTAACCTTCTGTCTCGTTGATCTGTCTAATATTGACAGTGGGATGTTAAGGTCTCCCATTATTATTGTGTGGGAATCTAAGTCTCTTTTTAGGTCTCTAAGGACTTGCTTTATGAATCTGGATGCTCCTGTATTGGGTGCATACATATTTAGGATAGTTAGTCTTCTTGTTGAATTGATCCCTTTACCATTATGTAATGGCCTTCTTTGTCTCTTTTGATCTTTATTGGTTTAAAGTCTGTTTTATCAGAGACTAGGATTGCAACCTCTGCTTTTTTTTGCTTTCCATTTGCTTGGTACATCTTCCTCCATCCCTTTATTTTGAGCCTATGTGTGTCTCTGCGTGTGAGATGGGTCTCCTGAATACCACACACTGATGCGTCTTGACTCTTTATCCAATTTGCCAGTCTGTGTCTTCTAATTGGAGCATTTAGCCCATTTACATTTAAGGTTAATATTGTTATGTGTGAATTTGATCTTGTCATTATGATGTTAGCTGGTTATTTTGCCCATTAGTTGATGCAGTTTCTTCCTAGCATTGATGGTCTTTACAATTTGGCATGTTTTTGCAGTGGCTGGTATTGGTTGTTCCTTTCCATGTTTAATGATTCCTTCAGGAGCTGTTGTAAGGCAGGCCTGGTGGTGACAAAATCTCTCAGCATTTGTTTGCCTGTAAAGTATTTTATTTCTCCTTCACTTATGAAGCTTAGTTTGGCTGGATATGAAATTCTGGATTGAAAATTCTTTTCTTTAAGAATGTTGAATATGGGCCCCCGCTCTCTTCTGGCTTGTAGAGTTTCTGCCGAGAGATCCGCTGTTAGTCTGATGGGTTTCCCTTTGTGGGTAACCCGAACTTTCTCTCTGGTTACCCTTAACATTTTTTCCTTCATTTCAACTTTGGTGAATCTGATAATTATGTGTCTTGGGGATGCTCCTCTCGAGGAGTATCTTTGTGGTGCTCTCTGTATTTCCTGAATTTGAATGTCGGCCTGCCTTGCTATGTTGGGAAGTTCTCCTGGATAATATCCTAAAGAGTGTTTTCCAGCTTGGTTCCACTCTCCCCGTCACTTTCAGGTACACCAATCAAACATAGATTTGGTCTTGTCACATAGTCCCACATTTCTTGGAGGCTTTGTTTGTTTCTTTTTACTCTTTTTTCTCTAAACTGCTCTTCTCACTTCATTTCATTAATTTGATCTTCAATCACTGATACCCTTTCTTCCACTTGATCAAATCTGTTACCAAAGCTTGTGCATGCGTCACGTAGTTCTCTTGCCATGGTTTTCAGCTCCATCAAGTCATTTAAGGGCTTCTCTACACTGTTCATTCCAGGTAGCCTTTCGTCTAATCTTTTTTCAAGGTTTTTAGCTTCCTTGTGATGGGTTCAAACATTCTCCTTTAGCTCAGAGAAGTTTGTTATTACTGACTTTCTGAAGCCTACTTCTGTCAACTCATCAATGTCATTCTCTGTCCAGCTTTGTTCCTTTGCTGGCGAGGAGCTGTGAGCCTTTGGAGGAGAAGGGGTGCTCTGGTTTTTAGAATTTTCAGCTTTTCTGCTCTGGTTTCTCCCCATCTTTGTGGTTTTATCTACCTTTGGTCTTTGATGATGGTGACCTACAGATGGGGTTTTGGTGTGGATGTCCTTTTTGTTGATGCTATTCCTTTCTGTTTGTTAGTTTTCCTTCTAACAGTCAGGTCCCTCAGTTGCAGGTCTGTTGGAGTTTGCTGGAGATCCACTCCAGACCCTGTTTGTCTGGGTATCACCAGGGGGGGCTGTAGAACAGCAAATACTGCAGAACAGCAAATATTACTGACTGATCCTTCCTCTGAAAACTTCATCTCAGAGGGGCATCTAGCTGTATGAGGTGTCAGTTGGCCCCTACTGGGAGGTGTCTCCCAGTTATGCTACACAGGGGTCAGGGACTCACTTGAGGAGGCAGTCTGTCCGTTCTCAGAGCTCAAACACCATACTGGGAGAACCACTGCTCTCTTCAGAGCTGTCAGACAGGGATGTTTAAGTCTGCAGAAGTTTCTGCTGCCTTTTGTTCAGCTATGCCCTGACCCCAGTGGTGGAGTCTACAGAGGCAGGCAAGCCTCCTTGAGCTGCGGTGGGCTTCACCCAGTTCGAGCTTCCTGGCTGCTTTGTTTACCTACCCAAGCCTCAGCAATGGCGGATGCCCCTCCCCCAGGAGGCTTGCTGCCTCGCCGTTGGATCTTGAACTAACAGTGAGCAAGGCTCTGTGAGCATGGGACCCGCTGAGCCAGGCATGGGATATAATCTCCTGGTGTGCCATTTGCTAAGACCATTGGAAAAGCACAGTGTTTAGGGGGCTGTGTCCCAATTTTCCTGGTACAGTCTATCACGGCTTACCTAGGCTAGGGAAGGGAAATCCCCTGACCCCTTGCACTTCCCGGGTGAGGTGACACCCCGCCCTGCTTTGGCTCGCCCTTCTTTGGCCGCACTCACTGTCCAACCAGTCCCAGTGAGATGAACCAGGTACCTCAATTGGAAATGCAGAAATCACCCGTCTTCTGTGTAGATCCCCCTGGGAGCTGCAGACCGGAGCTGTTCCTATTTGGCCATCTTGGAACCAGAAATACACAATTGAGCTTACAACATACTCAAAATTAACATACAGTAAAAAAGTCTTCTTATATGTCTATATGGATATTACCTAAATATAATACTTAGGTTTAATATTGACTTTTTAATATCAAAATATGTTCTGTTAATATACAATTTATTAAAAGTCTGCTTGCGTCAAGCACGGTGCTAGCAACCTTCTCTCCCATCCCCACCACATACTAATATTAGGGATAGAAACAAAGTGTAATAAATTTTTAAATTTTAAGTAAGCAGCTGGCAATATCTCCTTGCAAAGCCCTTGGCTAATCTATATGTGTTATTTTTGTCACTGTTAAAAATATCCTGGGCACTGTTCTAAGAATTACGTAGCTGATTAGAAATGACCATTAAGTTTTCAGCATGACTTGAAAGCACCAGCTGCCTAGTGTCAGGTGAGAGTCACAATTTCCAGGTGGCCATGGAGTTTCTCACTGCTACAAGGGTATGCCCAGCAACCATCAATGTTTTGAGATGCGAGCAGCCAAATACAATGTCAATAGAACAAACAAGACATAGCTTGGGAAATGAATTTTCATCACCTTCTGATTGTTTATTTTTTCTTTCAGGAGAAAAAATTTCTGTATTATGCAACCCTTCTACACCTTAGGCTTTTCTACATTTATTAGAATGTTGCTTTTACCCCAAACTATATTCATCTCAGAATAATCTTATCACCTTTATGTTTGTTCTTCTCTGATCCCTAGTAATAAAATTTATTGGCTATTTAAAAATAGATTTAATTAAATCTATCTTCTAGGGATGCAAGATTTTGTTTTTCCTCCATATTACTCAGCTAAATTTATTGGTTTTGACATTGTGAAATCTGTCTTTTATTCTACGGGCATAGATAAATTAATATAGATCATTTAAAGAGAATGATGGCCCTTCCATCACTAACTTCTATGGGTTTCAAGTATATAGTTTAGAAATCAAGAAACCTATGTCTCAATGCTAGACTCAAATTATCCTGAAACACAATATCTAGTCAGAAAGAGCCTGTTCCAAGGGCTTTTAATGGGAAACAGAATTATTTACTACAACTAACACTTATTATGTGTTACACAATGAAAATGTCTTATATAGTGTAACATTTAATAGAATCTCAAACTTTCCAAAGGGAAAATTACTTGATCTTGAAGAAGCTTTGTGAACTCTAACTTGTACAAACAACAGTAAATAGATCTTATAATCTAATGACCTGATCAGCATGGGTTTCTTTACTTTGTGATCTAGTCAGGAACTTTGGGGGAAAAAAATCATCACCAGAACATTAAGAGTGCTTGTAAAGGACATTTCATAAAAGAATAAAGTTGTGGTTGTTATTTTTCCACAGTGTAGAAAGATGAAAAAAACAAAGAAACAAGGTGACAAAATTAATCTACCAGAATTTCTGAAGATTTCAAGGTCCTTGCTACAATTTTTGACTTTGAATGGAATTTCTGACATTTATTTTTATAAAAAGTTTAATGAACAATTTGTTCAGCGGATCCAAAAGCCATAAATTATAAAAAGTATATCCTAAAATGTTCTCTTGCATCTGCTTAGGTTTTACCATGCTTCCTCCCACCAACCACCACCCCCTTAACTCTAAAAAAGTCCCCAGACTTTTTTGCTGTCTTATCGTTTCTTGTTGTTTATACAATAAAATATAAAGTATATAATTTTTCTCCCTCCATTTTTCTGCATGCTGCTCTTTTCATGGGCCAATACATCTTTCTGTAATGATATGTGGAGAGCATGCTCATTCTTTTATACAATGGAGTAGCATGCTATTAAATGAATAAGTATACTTTTTAACAGTCTTCTGTGGATAGACATTTCCATTGTTTACTGTCTTTTGCTGTTGTAAGCAATGTGGTCTGACTAAAGTAGAACATACATCAAGTTGTTCTTGTGCTAGTGGTAGGATTAATTCTCAAAAATGGAATTTCTGAGTCAAAAGGCACGTACCTTTTCATTTTGATAGACGTGGCAAAATTCCCATCCATGAGGGTTAGACCAATTTATGCTCTTTCCAGAAATATATGAGTTCTATTACCCCACAATGGAGTGCATTATCAAACATATATATATTTTTCCTATTCTCTTTGGTGAAAAATGGTATATCAGTATATCCTTTTAATTTTCACTTCTTATAAATGGAGTTAAGGATTTTTCACATTTAAGAATCTTTTATATATTTAATAACAATTTGCTTCATATTCAATGAATGTCTATTTATCTCTCTGATTTTTTTTTTTTTCTGTGACATTTAAAAAATCAAGGCTGGGGCCAGGTGCGGTGGCTGATGCCTATAATCCCAGCACTTTGGGAGGCCGAGGTGGGCAGATCACTTGAGGCCAGGAGTTTGAGACCCACCTGGCCAACATGGTGAAACCCCATGTCTACTAAAAATACAGATATTAGCTGGGTGTGTTGGTACAGCTTGTAAGCCCAGCTACTCGGGAGGCTGAGACAGGAGAATTGCTTGAACCTGGGAGACAGAGGTTGCAGTGAGCTGAGATCATGACATTCATGGCACTCTAACCTGGGTGACAGAGTGAGACTCTGTCTCAAATAAATAAATAAATCAAGGCCAGTCACAGTGGCTCATGCCTATAATCCCAGCACTTTGGGAGACTGAGGAGGGAGGATGGCTTGAACCCAGGAGTTTGAGAGCAGCCTGGGCAACATAACAAGACCTTATCTCTACAAAAGTAAAATTAGCTGGGCATAGTGGCACACACCTGTGGTCCCAGCAACTTGGGAGGGTAAAGTGGGAGAATAACTTGAGCCCTGAAGTTGAGGCTTCAGTGCGTTATGAATCGAGCCACTGCACTCCAGCCTGGGTGACAGAGTGAAACTCTCTTCAGATTAAATAATAATAATGATAAATTTAAGAATTTAAGAATTCTTTATACAACAGGGAGGCTCACCTTAGCCTGAAATATAAGTTGATGTTTTTTCTCCAAGTTGTTGTCATCCGTTGACTTTGCTTGTGTTATGTTTTCAGGTAAGAAGTTCTCTTTTTCAGTGGTTAAATTGAACCAATCCTTTCTTTAATGGCTCTAGATATGGAGAAAAAAGCTCCTCATAACATCGAGGTAATGACAAAAATGTACATATTTTCTTTTAGAATTTATACAGGTTTTTTTCTGCATGTAAATCCTTGATCTATTTAGATTTGTCCTGGTTTAGGGTATGGATGTGTATATTACATTTTTTTCTAGTCATGAATTTGGGTTATTTATAATCATTTTCACTTAAATCCTGTCTTCTAAATTGTCTCCATGAAATATCTGTCAGTTCACAAAGACTGACTTTTCAGAAAACTTAGGCACTTTGAATTTTACTACCATATTGTTTTTATGATGATAACGTATGTGTGTAGGGCTTGACAACTTATAAAGACATTTTCTACATATTATCTCATTTATATCCTTACTTATTACATTTTAAAGTAAAGAATCTGACACTCTGATCACTTGGATTTGGAGAAAAAGAGCTATGACATTAGAAATGTAACATTTGAACACAAGTATAGCACTCTGCCTCCTATACTAGACGTATAAATGCCATGTTGGTACACATGTGTAGTAGGTCATTCTTGCATTGCTGTAAAGAAATACCTTTATATACATTATAAAGGTAATGTATAAAGAAAAGAGGTTTAATTGGCTCACAGTTCTGCAGGCTTTACAGGAAGCATGGTGTTGGCATCTGCTCAGCTTCTGGGGAGGCCTCAGGAAGCTTATAATCGTGTTGGAAGGCAATGAGGAAGGAGGCATGTCACATGGCCAGAGAAGGAGCAAGACAGAGACTGGCAGGGGGAAGTGCCACACACTTTCAAATCGCCAGATCTCATATGAACTCAGAGTGAAAGCTCACTTATCACCAAGGGGATGGCCCAAGCTATTCATAAGGGATCTGACCCTGTGATCCAATCACCTCCCAGCAGGCCCCACCTCTAACATTAGAGATTATATTTCAGCATTAGATTTGGGTGGAGATGAATATCCAAATTATAGTGACATTAATATGTTTTGTTGCTGTGAAGACCTGGACTATGTCTGCTGTCTTCCCACCATAACAACTAGAAGAGTTACTTATACCAAACAGATATTCAATAAGCATTTGTTTACTGGCTAATTTAATGTGTTATGGCTTCCTCTAATAATTGTCTGCTTAATTTTACTCATAGAGACCTCTTTGTTCCAAAATGGGATAAGAATTCCTGCTTTCTATTCATCTCTCAGTTTTCTAATGCAATGACTAGTATTTCTATGTGGGAGCTCCAATAATAACAGGAATCAGGTTGAGCCAGATACTAGAATGGAAAAGATAGAGATTTTCCCTTGAAAGGTCCACATTACACCTAAAAACACTTCACTGTGTCAGAACTCAGATACAACTGGAGGCGTTTATTATATAGCTGTTGGAAGACACTGATGCCAGGGAGTAAAACAGGTCGTAGAAAAGACTACTGATTTGGTGTCAGGATTTGAGAATTCCAGTTCCAGCTCAGCCATGAGAGATGACATCTATCTATCTATCTATCTATCTATCTATCTATCTATCTATCTGTCTTTAAAAATCACCCACTTCTATTTCCCCTTCAATGTCTGGAAATGCCTTTACTTTCTTGTGGGTTTCATCCCTTCCACCACTCTCAATTCATGGGCATTGGCTCCAGAAAAAACAAGTCATCTATCAATGAGAGCAATGCATTGCTCAGGCCATTGACATAGGTTCAATGATGTACATCTTATTCAGTCAGAGCCAGTAAGATGCAGTGAGATATTTTCTGGAGTTTCTAGGAAAGCAGAGGACAGTATTCTATTAGATCTGAACAAGAGAAGATACAATTCTGGAATTGCTATAGACAAGTTGCTACTATATAGAACCTGAGAATTAAATAAATGTACAGAGGAAAAAAGTTAGAGTTGGAGAAAAACTGCATACTTCTGATGACATCGATTGTTTTATCCTTGAATACGGTGTTGGTTAATGTCAGTTCCATTCCTAAGCTTTTCAGCTAGTTGCACCACTAAATTCCACCTTTCTTTGTTTTAGCCACTTTGCAGGAATACTCAGCAATAGATCCACAAAAGTACTTGGGTATCAATTTCTCTTCTGTAAAATAACTTGGACAAAAGTCACTTCCGCTTCTAAAATCATATGAGATCAAAGTACCTTCATGGATAAACTATCAGTGTCTGTCTCATTCAGTACATCGTTTTTGCATTTTGGATATTGACCCATGGAATATCTGGATCCATGTATTGACTAGCCAGGTGTTACTAGGCGTCTGCTCTATTCCTAAGGAATGTTATTAATTCCATTTTTCACGTTTCCCCAGACGGTAAGAAAATACAAGTGTTCCAACTGAATGTGTGAGGATTCAAGTCTTTTTTTTCTTGATTTTATAGCATCTTATTTTGTTATTTATCGTTCAAGTACATGCCCTCAATTAGATAAAAAGTTATCTAACAGGTACTGTGCCATATAGTTGGGAGTATATCATTTAGAATTAATTGGTTAGCTGAGACAGATACCTAAAATAACAGTGATAGCAGTTTATTTCCTCCTAATATAAAAAGCAATTAGGAGGCAGGCAGTCAATAGCTGGTACAGGCAGCTGCATGCAAACTGAAAGCCCAGCCTTCTTCCAGCTCTTGGCTCTGCCATCCCAAGGTTCTGCATTTCTGTCCATGGTCCAAGATAGCTGATACATTTGAGACTGTGGTCTTCCCATTATTTTGGCATTAAAATGTCTTTTCTTTTGTATGATAGTAGAAAATGGTAGTTTTTTCTCCATGTGCTTATTTGGCAAAATGAAAAGTTGGCAAAGTTGTGTTTGTGCTTCTTAACCTACACACGTCTATTCCCCCTTTTAAACAGTTTAAATAATTCTAAACTGATCCATGAAATTCAAGGTTGGAAACTATTGGCTTATTGCAAATTCAACATTCACGTAGAAACTGAAACAATGAAATAGAAGCATATATTAAATTAACCCTCCTCCTTACATCTAGACAGTAACTTTGGAAATATGATATAAAAAAGGAATTTAATAACTGTATCCATCTCCCATTCTGTAATATAGAAATAATAGCACCCTCATAATATGCTGGAGCATTAAAAAATTTCAATATTATTCTAAGAAGATACAAAAATTTGACAGTAAGTTTTTCTGCATTATAGTACACTGTGCTTAAGAGAAAGGATTTTTTTCCCCCCAAGACGGGGTCTCGCTCTGTTGCCAGGCTGGAGTGCAATGGTGCAATCTCAGCTCACTGCAACCTTTGTCTCCTGGGTTCGAGAGATTCTCCTTAGCCTCCCGAGTAGCTGGGACTACAGGGGCATGCCCCCACGCCCAGCTCATTTTTGTAATTCTATTAGAGATGGGGTTTCACATGTTGGCCAGGATGGTCTCGATCTCTTGACCTCTTGATCCACCCACCTCTGCCTCCCAAAGTGCTGGGATTACAGGCATGAGCCACTGCGCCCAGCAAAGAGAAAGGATTTTAAAGCTAATTGCCTAGGTTGAATCCTGATTCTGTTATTTGGTGGCTATTACCTGTGTGCCTCTTTATGTCTCAGTTTCCTCATCTGTAAAATGAGGATACATACTTTAGAGCAGTGGTTCTCAATCAAGGGTGATTCTCCTCACCCCTTCCCAGGGGATATTTGGCAAGGTCTGCAGACATGTTTGGCTACACCTTGTCGGCAGCGGTGTGTGACTGGCATTGGTTGGGTAGATGCTGCTAAACAGCCTACAATGCGCAGTTCAGCCCCCACTACATAGAAACATTCAACCCAAAAGGTCAATAGTGTTGAGGTGAAGAAACACTACCTTATAGGATAGTTGGGATGATTTAGCTAAGTTAACATCTATGAAGCACTTGGAACAGTAAGCACTACTTAAATGTTAGCTACCATGATGACCAAGCTATGTGCTAAGAGTTTTACATAATTTTCTCATTTAAACAACCCATATTGAAGAGGTGTTGTTATCATCACTGTTTTATAGGTGAGGAAAATGAGAATTAGGAGTGATTAAGTAGTTAACTTGACTAAGATCACAGTTAATCAACGATAAGGCCAGCACTCAAGTCCAGGTTTATATGACACCAAAACTCATGTTTTAAACACTACCTAAATTGACCCCTACATATGACATGTAAATTTGGAACTCTTTGTTAAAGGAAGTCTACCTAAGTTTCCCTGTAAATTCACATGTTATGCTATCTCCAAGTAGACTCAATCTGAATAATCCAGACCAAACTTTCATTTTCCTTCATTATTAAATAGAATTCTAACAAAGTTTCCATTTTAGGGGTTCTTCCTTTTAAAACGGGCTTCCTTTGTAAATGTCATATACATTGACATCCGTTACAACTTCTTCAGTTATAACCTTAAAAAGATAATCATATTCTCAGGACAACAACAACAAACCGTGGCACCTGTTGCAAAAAAGAATTTTTGTCTCATCCAGAGGGAGGAGTGTAGATGATGTTGGAATTTAGGGACATTTATGACGTGTGGTAAGAATGACTTGGCAGACTGACTGAAATCTTTCAGGAATCATTAAGGAAGGAATCCCAGAAACAGAAGCACACTACAATAGTTAATTTTATTTGTTCAAGAGCTCAGATTGCAAGCATTAAACCAAGCATAGGCTTTGATTCTGTGAGCCCAAATTCACATATTGAAGAAGATCAAAGCAAACTGTGATCCATGTACATGGATGAAAACTAAAGGCTCGAGTTAATCACATTGTAGTTTTTAAATTTCTACAGCCTAGAGCTCACTAGTCACAGGTCTTTTAGGTCCTTCTGGATGTCCCACAGGGTATCTGCACTTTTCTTGAGCTGAGCAACCTCATCATCCTTTAGCTTCTGGTTGATAACGCTGGTTAATCCCCGGGCATTGAGGATACATGGAAGGCTCAGGAAGACTTCATTCTCAATGCCATACATCCCCTGCCAGAACAACAAAGCATCGAGATTAAGACATGAAACTGTAAGTAAAAATGATCAAAGACAGGAGGCTGAGGTGGGAGGACTGTTTGAGCCCAGGAGTTTGAAGCTTCAGTGAGCTATGACAGCGGTACTACTCTCCAGCCTGGGTGACAGAGCAAGAACTAATCTCTAAAGGGGGGAAAAAAGAGAATAATCAAAGGTCCGATGTTCCAACAGAAAGAATTGTAGAAAACTTGATAGGCCTGAACTCATTCCCTAATCTAATTTTCATCACTTACAGGTCCACATTTCCCCAATACTTATGTTTTGAATTAGGTTTTATACATAGAATATGCAAACATACACTATGAGAAAATTAGATATTTGTAAGTAACAAGTACTTATTTAATTTTATTATATACGTATTTTATTGAACACTGCTCTATTTAAATACACTTTAATAAATTTTGATATATGAGTCTTCAAATTAAATTGCTTTTAATTGTGGTTCTTAATGGATTACTTTCTATGAAATTTTAAGTTGCTTAAAGACTTTTAGTTAGGAAGAAATTTCAGGTGGTAGCCAACTTATGAGGTCCTGGGTAATAGTTAGAGACCATTAAAAGGCAAGATGCTTGGAATACCCAAGAATTGCTAAAAAAAAAAAAAAAAATACAATTTCCAAAACACTTTACCAGTTCGTGTGGGTAATTTATTCACAGGGTCAATTTAACTATATAACTAATTATATTAAACATACCTTAATGTCAGTTTTTAAACTTTTAATTTCAAAAATTTTGTACATACACAAAAGTAGATAGAATAAACAAATTCCTATGTATGTACCCAAAGACTCAGTAATTACCCAATTATTGACACACTTGATTTACACTGACTTGTGGAAAATGAGTCAGTTGTCTTACAAAATATTTTAATATAATTTTAGTTTTGTTTAAAAAATCATTAATTTCTACCTGTTTTGTGCATTTGCTCCATAGCTTTTGAATTAAACTGTATTTGCTAAGGTATCAAGTGCTATATGAAAGGCAATCTAGAGTTTAGTACATCAACTTTAAATGAAACTCTATTACACTTATTCAAATGATCAATACTTTAAGAATGTGCTAAGATTCAGAGTTAATATTTAATTTGCAAAATTATATAAAGAATGACAACAATCTATTGAATGTCTTAGATTCTCTAAGTTTTCTGCCCTTGCTGTCCAAGACTTCTGTTGGAAAATGAGAATAGTTTACATAAAACTTTGAGAGACAGAAATAACCTTGAACTATGATTTTATCTGGTCTGAGCCTCTTTAAATGAATCTTTTTGTAGAATACAATGCGAGAAATCATATTACATTTTGTGGTAGTTTGTCTTACCTTTACCATTGTTGACACGGGATGAATCCTGGATAGATTTTTCAACATGGATTCAATAAGATCAGCCACACTTAATCCAATAGCCCAGTTGGTATATCCTTTTAGCTTGATGACTTCATAGGCACTTAAAAAAATTATAAAAGACATCACTGAAATAAGACTCAATCATTATTGAAACCAGACCTGACTTTGACTACTGCTCTGTCTCTAACTATAATCTTGGGCAAATTATTTACCCTTTATTGCCTTAGTGTTCCCTTTTTGAGTGTTAAATGAATTAATATATATGTAAAATGCTTAAAACTGTAAGCACTACACAGTAAACACTATATAAATGCTTGATAACTTTAGTTTATTGTATAAGTTAAGATTTATAAAGTCACTGTGGCAAAAATATACATTTTCCAATCATTGTAACAAATCTGTAAACATATTTCCAAACACATAAAATCAGGAAACAATAAAAGTGAAAGAACAAAATATATCTCAATTGTGAGGTCCCACTTGCCACTGTCACCTAACATAATCAACTAACTAATAAAAGGGATAAGAGTATCTTGCCTGACAGTTTTTTCAGCACAAATTGTAGCTCTTAAAACCCATAAAGGCCCTGGCACTTGAGAAGCAGCAGGAATAACTCTAGCTGAGTATTGGAAAATTAGGATTTAATGCAATTGACACCCAATCATTAGAAGACCTTGGACCAGTTACACTATCTGGGTGAGCCATAGTTTTCTCACTTGTAAAATAAAGGTATATGTTAATTGAAATTATAAAGACTCTTTCAACTTTTTTAAGGTTCCTTTTCTCCACATATAGTTCAAATTCCTGAAAAAAAAATTACTAAAATTGAACAAAATGATTCTATATTTGAGACATCAGTTAGTCCTGTTATTAAAACTTAAACACTGTTAGCAATCAGCAAGCAAGTTTATTTATTTGGGGCAATTATGAAACCAATAGTTTCTAAGTTTACTTTTCTAAATAAATCAACCTTATTTGTTGAGAGGTGGCAATTTGAAGACTCTTCTCACTTGTTAATTCCACATTTTGCTCCTGTTACCTCTACAATAGAGTTTCTCTAGAGAAAATATTTACTTTCCCTAGGGAGACTGGCATAGCAAGTTTGACCAGTGTAAAAGTCTTATCAGTTTCAAAAGATAACAGCTGCATAATTACTACATTAAGAGTTTATCTGAGCAGACAGCCATGGAAAATGTTTATAATTTTATTTAAGTAGAGTTGAAATTAATCATCTAAAATCAAGTTCCCTTTCACTTACCTTTCAACCACCATCTTATGCACTTCCTTCCAATTTTCACTATCATTGTCAGTTCCCATTTCTGGATTCAATTCCTGGAGAGAAACACCTGCCACATTCACACCACTCCACACAGCCACTGTTTAAAAAAAAAAAAAAAGACATTGCAGTTATTTCTTACATTATTTTAAAAAATATTTTCTTCTTTTAGTGCAATTTCACCTATGATGCAAATTACTGAATACCAACTGGAACTGCTCCAATAAGTGACTCTCCAGTAGATTCCAGTATAGTTCCCCAAAAAGGCTGACGTTTGCCTTCAAATAGCAACATGTCTGACCTTTTAACTTTCAAGAATTTTAGTGCAAAGCAGAATTGCTGTGTCATAGTTACAGAGAAAATAAAATTCTTTGCTTCTCTCTAGGTGTGTGAAATCACAGGGATTCTAGTTGGGGACTATGCTAAACTTTTGGTTTGAGGAATGTTTAACTTTTCTCCTCCATATTTTTCTAATATATGCTCCTTTATTCTACAGTAAAGAAAAAAAATCCTAGAATAAGACCCAAATAAAGCATAATTATGAAAGTGGGGTAAAAATTATAAATAAGGGTCTACTTAATTTAAAGGAGAAGAGTATCAGAAAGAACTACACAAAATGGGCCTTTGAATTGGACCTTAAAACCTAAGTTATATGTTTCTTGGAGACCTTTGGAGGAGTACATTGTAGACTCTGGAAATAGGAGCAAAAGTGTGGGGTAGAATCTACTATGACTGAAACAGATATGAAGGGAAAAGCTATTTAAAGCCAAATAAGATCCCCTATTAGTCCACAACTTCTGGCAAGTTAGGGTAATTGGATATTTTTACAATTTTGATGAAAATTATGAAATCTGCATAATCATGTCTAGTGAGCATGGTTTAATTCTCTTTCATTTTACGTACACAATATAGATCAACATGAAAAATTTTAAAAAGATGTTCTGGGAAAAATAACAGCCATAATGTAATAGAACATTGGACGGGAATCAGAAGACATAATTCTAGTGGTAGCTATGGCATTAACTAACTAAAAGTTCTTCAATAGCTACTTCACCTACTTTGCCTTATTTTTTTTCTCACTAAAATTAAAGTCCTGAACTAGAGGACATGTAATATCACTTTTTCTCACTAAAATTAAAGTCCTGAACTAGAGGACATGTAATATCACTTCTATCACCTAGCAATGTATAACTACACCTAGCATTTACTGAACTTTTACTGTACACCTGACATTGTACTAAGTACTTTTTACATAGTACATAGGTGGCATAATTATCTTTATTTTATAGATGAGGAAACAGGTTCAGAGAAGTTAAGAACTTGCTAGTCACATTATCTTGTTAAGAAGGGAGAGCCAAGCTTAAAGTTATGGAGTTGACTTGCTAAAAACTTTCCATGCTCAAATTAATCTGATCAAGAGAGACACATAGGACCATTACAATTAACCAGACAAAAATTCAGATGAGTCCCTGGAGGTAAACAATTCTTGAATAAAGTGATATGTGTCAGAAAAAAGTCAGCATTCTTATATAAAAAATCAGAAATAAATTATGCTACAACTTCAAGAACAAATTCTTATAGCACCAAGATAAACCCTTTACTAAAATTGCATTTCAAACTCCCACTGAATTCAAAGGAAGATTTATACTCTGAGCTTATTGGGAGAAAATAGTCCTTTACACAGGTGGCAGAAATGAATTTAGTAAAATAAAAATATTATTTATCATCATTATTATTAATAAAATATTTTAAATTATTAGTTTCAATATTGGATTATTTTATTATTTTTTTTTGCCATGAGCTTATTCAATATATTGTGGTTTAATAAACAGATTTAGATCTATGAAACAGAATCAAAATTGTTCAAAAACAGTTTTACATAAAATTGTTCAAAGAATAATTAATTTAAATGAGAAAAATATTAATTTAAAATAAAACATTTATAATATAGTTTTAAATTGTCTGAACACGAAGCACTAAAAAAAAGTGTAATGTGATTTTAATGTTGCTCTTTTTGAATTACTAATTTATGTACAATTCTTTACTTCAATTTAAGTTCCTAAAGAAACTATTTAGTTTTATCATACAGTCTCTTACTACTTAAATAATTGATAGTTATAATTAATAGTTTATTAAAAATAAGATTTCATTTGAGGTAAGGTTTATTTTACATTATAGAAGAGTAGATACAAGTTATTTATAAGCTTTTGTTACCTAACTCATTCCTCCTTCAGCAAATACAATGGATGTAATAGCTCTGTCTACTCAAAGGGCCTAGAAGCAAAGATATACCAGTAGCACAAGCACACCTATGCCCTGATCCTGGTTTCTAACTACCATTCCTCACTAAAAGGAAACAGGGCTCATTAGGGAAACAGCTGATTCTAGTGCTGGGAAGGGGAAAGTTCAAAATGAGGCTGGTGCAATTTATTGTGCAAGACAGTGCTCAAAAATGATGGGACATGTTAAAAAAAAAAAGACGTAAGAGTCAGTTTGAAAAGCCTGGGACAACTTGAGCATTACAAATGATAGTGACACAATATTTTGGGCATGAGATAAAAATCCGAGGCCACATTGATATCAACAAATAAATAAAGAGGGAAGATGAAAAATTTCTGTCTTACAGTGGAATGCAACTAATACAGAATAAATGATGGAATTAGTAGATCATGTTTGACAACTATCATGGTAATTTATTCAACCACAAATCATTAATAGATGCTAAATTTAGCAGAGAAAAATTGATGAGGAGTCAGACATTTTCCTAGTCAGCATCAAAACATCTTCCCACAAATTACTCATAAATTACAAAGGAAAAGCAGTAACTTCACACAGAGTAACCTGGCAAAATACAACCTTAACTGAGTTATCACAGTTAGTGTCACCAATTGTTGGCCACACTGACATTACATGCCTTTGGATGTGATGCCATGAGAAAACTATAGGGTCATTTCTGTGGTATTTGCACCAAAAGTTCATAGCTCAACCTAATGATAAAGAAACAATCAGACAAGTCTAAAATGATGGGCATTCCACAAAATAACTCACCTGACTTTTCAAAAATGTCAAGATCATGAGAAACAGAGATAGACTGAGAAACTGTTCCAGAATGAAGGAGGCTAAGGATATATAGTAGATGTAATGTGTGAGCCTAGAATGGATTCTGAATTAGGAAAAAAGCTTTAGAGGACACTATTGAGACAGTTGATAACTTGTGAATAATGGACTCTGGATTAGATAATATTGTTTCAGGGTTACATTTCCTGATTTTGGGAAGTGTACTGTGGTTATGAAAAAGAAAATCTTTGTTTTGAGGAAATACACAGTAAAGAACTTAAGGAGAAAAAGGTGAGGGAATTGATTTATGCTTAATTGATCAAGGTAAAGATAGATGATAGGTAGATAGAGAGATGAGAGAGTAAATGATAAAGCAAAATGGAATAGAATAGAAAAGTAACTACTATTTTTGCAACTGTTCTTAAGTACATCAAAGTCTATAAAAATAAAATTTGAAATAAAATGAAAAATTCAAAATGGCAAAACCAACATCACAAGTAATTATTTCTTTTTTTTTTCTTTACCACTTGAGTCGCCATGTTCCCCCAAAATCCATCCATGGCAGCTGCTGGGATGAATGCCAAGTTTTTCAGCCATAAGGTAGCGAAATCTAGCAGAATCCAGATTACATCCACTTCCAATCACGCGGTGTTTGGGTAATCCACTTAGTTTCCAGGTAACATACGTAAGAATGTCCACTAAAAATTTTGGAAATAATATATGTAAGTAAACCAAAACCAACTTCAACTGTTAGGCAGCTTGGGGTGCCCTGGCTTCCCTTTTCCCACTTCCCCACTCCCCAAATGAGATGTGGCCAGAAAGATTAAAGTAAATACTTTAACTTTTCATTGTTAGAGATACCAGGAATGACAGTGACAAAAACAAACTTTTAAGCCTTATATGAAGATTGCAAGACATGAAAAATGCAATACTGTGCTTTTACATTTGCATTATTATGTGAAACAAGAATATTTAAGAACCTTGCAGATTAATTAACTTAAAGTTGAAAAAAACAAAACAGGTTGAACCAGGTTGTCAGTTAAGTTTCCCCCAGTTGTAACATTCCATAATTATAATGATTGTCATCATAAACCAAGAAGCCTTTGATTACTAAACTACCAAATCTTGCTACCACAAATTTTTCTGGGCATGAGGTATTCTTCAGTAAACAACTGTGATAATACGTAGTATTAAAAATTTCTATTTAATAAAAGAACATCTATGTCAGAACCTTTGCTCCAGCGTGGCATAGCCTTAAAACCACAGACATAAAACTTTTGCTGATCCAGATAGGATCACAGCACTTGCAGGCTAAGCTGTAAAAAGTAAAAAATGTGCACACAAGGAAGGTGAAGAGCTGAAAGTTAATCCTGCAGCCTCCACCCCCACACTAATCTGTAGACAATGGCTAAGATAATTCAAGGACATTTGGGACTGGATAACTTTTCCTTGCCAACTTTGATTCCATGGAAGTGACTCCCTGGAAAATCCAGCTGTGAAGCTATATGTAGAAAGTTGCATAATCATTTAGTGACGCCTGCCTGAGGCACAGGATGCAGTAACTTACTATGTGCTAGCTACTTGTCATTCCTATTCTACATCTACCTGGCACATATATATTTATGAGAAGTTTTATATATAAGACTGAACCATTTAATAAACTCCAATCTTGGTTTGCAGAAGTAAAAATATGGAAATAACCTCTGTCCTTGCTGGCTCTCAACTCTCAATACTCAAGATACTGTGGGGATTCCCCTAGCTCTTATTCACAGTGTTTCTCTATGGGAAGTGTGAGAGATAATCAGTCCAGTTTCTTTACTATTTTCTCAATGTACCTGCTATGCTCACCAACATGCAGTAATTTTGGTGGCAAACTATAGATAAAAGCAGTATATCAAATAGAGCATATTTTAGCTGTTAAGGCTAAAAAAGTGCATTCTTTCTAGTCAGAAGGTTTAATGTTCATCCTGTAGATGTCAAGTTAGCAAGGAAAGCAATTTTTAAGTCAGAGCATTTGGTGTTAGCATATATTTGTCCATCAATTCAGTCTATTTCTATCTTTAAAACAGAATTGTTTAATGGCTTTCTTATATGCTTCTTTTCAAAGTTGATCTGTTTCAATTCTGTATAATGGGATTTTCCAGAAAATAAAAGGTCAAATATGTCAAAATGTTTCTTACAAATTGAAACTATGTTCGAATGCTTCATTCTCCATCCCAGGATAATCTTTATAAAAAAGTTTTAAAAGCCTTCAGAATCTATAACCAAGCCAGATGAAGCAAAAACATGAAATTGCTTTAGCTAAAACTCTTGTCACATTTTTTGAACATCTGGCCTGGGACAGAGGCATTTGTTTTGCAAACACCACTATTTAGGGCCAATGAAAGAAGACATGTAAACTGCTTCTGTAAATGAATACTGGGACTGATTTTAGTCCAAAACAATAACAACAGAAACACCAAAACACTGAACTTAACAGAACAGAGACTTAAAGTATACAATAATACCTGGGTTGGAAACCACAATTATGATGCAATCAGGACTGTACTTGACGATCTGAGGAATAATGAATTTGAAGACATTAACATTTCTCTGCACCAGATTGAGCCGACTCTCCCCTTCTTGCTGACGGACTCCTGCAGTTACCACTACAATCTTAGAATTGGCAGTCACAGAATAATCTTTAAAAAGAAAAGCAAAAACAGGTACTTTAAATGCAACTCTTCATTATAACATAACCTATATGACATGCTCTAAAAGCCTAACCATACATAAGCTTCTAGAACATATATGTGAATTAAGTTTTCTGTATTGTAAGGGCTTGAAGTTTAATGTTCCTGTGGCTTCTTTTTTCTCCCTTGAGCTACACTGCAATAATCCAAACATCAAACTGCCTCAGAAAATAAAGATGACCCGAAAGTATGTTTTTGGCTATGAATTCAATGAATTGTCAGGAATAAAATGAAGTGTAAACAGTGACTCCAATAGGTAGACATCAAAAAAAAAAAAAAAAAAAAACAAAAACAAAAACCAATTTTAAGTTACTTTTATCTTAAAAAGTTAAAATTTAGGAAGGGAAGGAAGGCAGTGAAGTGTTTGGTTTTGTCTGGAAACTAAAACTTGGATTTCTAATACTCAATATTTTTAGGAAGCTTATTTGCTTTTTAGCGCTGCAAGTTTCCCTGGAGATTTGATTTTTTTCTTAAGGAAGTGTGTCCTTTTTCGAAATATATGGATATTGCGATTTGATGTGATCATTTGACTCAACAGCTATGGATGATTCACATAATTAAACTGGGTTACAGTGCGGCTTTTGATGATTGGTAATACTTTGTAAGGTTCCTCTCCCATAAAATGGCAGTAATTATAGTCCCTACATTTCATAAGGTTGTTGCAAAGATGAAGTCAGATGAAATAATATGTGCAAAATGTTTCACACAGTACCCAGAATGTTAAAAATTTATACATAATAGCTATTATTTAGTTTCTTCAAGGCATTGAAATTACTTTGTACTGTGGGGAAAAGAAAGAGAGATCAGACTGTTACTGTGTCTGTGTAGAAAGAAGTAGACATTAAGAGACTCCATTTTGTTCTGTACTAAGAAAAATTCTTCTGCCTTGAGATGCTGTTAATCTGTAACCCTACCCCCACCCCTGCGCTCCCTGAAACATGTGCTGTGTCAACTCAGGGTTAAATGGATTAAGGGCTGTGCAGGATGTGCTTTGTTAAACAAATGCTTGAAGGCACATGCTTGTTAAGAGTCATCACCACTCCCTAATCTCAAGTACCCAGAGACACAGTACACTATGGAAGGCCGCAGGGACCTCTGCCTAGGAAAGCCAGGTATTGTCCAAGGTTTCTCCCCACGTGATAGTCTGAAATATGGCCTCGTGGGAAGGGAAAGACCTGACTGTGGGAAGGGAAAGACCTGACTGTCCCCCAGCCCGACACTGGTAAAGGGTCTGTGCCGAGGAGGATTAGTAAAAGAGGAAGGCCTCTTTGCAGTTGAGGTAAGAGGAAGGCATCTGTCTCCTGCTCGTCCCTGGGCAATGGAATGTCTCAGTGTAAAACCCGATTGTATATTCCATCTACTGAGATAGGAGAACACTGCCTTAGGGCTGGAGGTGGGACATGCTGGCAGCAATACTGCCCTTTAAGGCATTGAGATGTTTATGTATATGCACATCAAAAGCACAGCACTTTTTTCTTTACCTTGTTTATGATGCAGAGACATTTGTTCACATATTTTCCTGCTGACCTTCTCTCCACTATTACCCTATTGTCCAGCCACATCCCCCTCTCCGAGATACGCCCGATAATGATCAATAAATACTAAGGGAACTCAGAGACTGGTGCCGGCGTGGGTCCTCCGTATGCTGAGTGCCGGTTCCCTCGGCCCACTTTTTCTTTCTCTATACTTTGTCTCCGTGTCTCTTTTCTCCAGTCTCTCGTTCCACCCGACGAGAAATGCCCACAAGGGTGGAGAGGCAGGCCACCCCTTCATTGTACCAATACTTTTGGGGTCTAAAACATGCTAGTTCTCAGATACATATAAACAAGGCATTATAATACAATAGCCCAAAATGTTACATATCAAATGTGTAGAAGGTCTGTGGGAGAGGGTTAATGTAAGTGATACTTGAGTTTAACCTTAAGGATAAACTGGACCCAGATGAAAAGAAACTGCCAACACCAGATTCACCAGGATGGGAAGACTAATTTTATAACAGACTGAGGGAGGAGAGGAGAATGATGAGCCATGAGGAAATGCAGGTTATATCTAAATTGAGAGCTGTGCAGGCCCTGCCAGAGGTTTTAGAATACAGACAAAGGTTTATAAAAAGATAAGAAATCTTTAAAGAAAAGAATGCATTCAAACTTTCATTTTAGGGAAAGCATCTGTTTTAGGATAAAGATAACTAGTGTGGCAGTGTGGAGTGTGGAATACATAACCATTTTCTACATACACTTCCAATGGGAAAATGTCAATTTGCTATGTGTACATTTTAGCAGTAGCAATGAGTTTCTAGAAACGGATGAAAGAAAATTGGCCTATAGAAGAAACGTGGTAAAATAAGCCAAACAATGCGATAAATCCAATTTGTTATTTCCTGTTAGTGACATATCAGTGATCACTTACGGCTAGCAAACTCATTTTAGGTAGCTGTCCATTAATAAGTGAATATAAAATATTTGAGAAATAAAAAGTAGAATACAGTAGAGAAGTAAGAGCTTTTTATAAAATGAGGAAAAAGAGGGAAACATTTTATAATTATATAACAATTTTGCAATAATCTGAATTTGCTAAACTACATTATAAATATCTTATTAACAGTTATTGAAATAACTGTTCCAAAACTTCAACCTTTCCTACTTACAAATAAATCTATTATGCTGTAAGATGCATTCCAAATGTGTTTTGGGGCCATGAAAAAAATATTAGATCACTTTGGGCATTAAGTGAAATTACCTTTATCTGCCACAATTTTAGGTGTCTGAAGAAATAAGCTCCCATGCTGCAGATCCATCATTTCTCCTTTAAGCTTATCTTCCAAAACATCCACAAGAGCAAGTTCATCAGCCAGAGACTGTAAACGCAAAAACAGGCATTAGAACCCTAAGCCACTCTAGGATGCGTCAGCTCACAATCTAACCCAAAGAAAGATCTTTAACATGGCTAAGCACCAAAGATCTAAACATCTTGAGAATTTTACCATGGAGTTAGATACTCAATGAGGATTCAGTTCACATGATACAAACTATACTTTAAGAACATGTAGACTTAAAGATTCATTAGGAAACCAGCTTAGTTCAAGAGTAGGCCTAGTGAATACAAGTCTATATTAATGGAGAGGGAATGGTGAAAACAAAAATACACTCAGGCCCAGAAACAACCTTGGGCAATGTGTCCATCCTTGAGGTCACCCCAATTTGGAGGCTTTCTGAGATGGTAGATTTGGCTTAAATCACCAGGAGTGTGAGTTTACTTTAGAGTAGGATTTGAAACCCAGGTTGAAGCTTGGAATCTTCAGGGTGGCTCTGATCCACTCAAATGTCTTGGTGGGGAAAGGAAGATGAGTTTTATGGACAGAGGAATCTAGGATTGGGAGGTTTTTTCATGTGATCACTCCAAATCTGTGCCTGAGACTTGCCCAGTCTCAGATTTCTTTTGTTTTCTATTCCAATTGTCATTCTCTGTCCCCCATTCAAAATACAATCTAAAGTAATGAATATACTATTTAATCTTGATCTGGAGTCATATTTTTTTTTGAGACGGAGTCTCGCTCCGTTGCCGAGGCTGGAGTGTAGTGGTGCAATCTCGGCTCACTGCAGCCTCCGCCCACTGCAATCTCCACCTCCCGGGTTCAAGTGATTTTCCAGCCTCAGCCTCCTGAGTAGCTGGGATTACAGGTACGTGCCACCACACCCAGCTAATTTTTGTATTTTTAGTAGAGATGGGGTTTTGCCATGTTGCCAAGGCTGGTATCGAAATCCTGACCTCAGTTGATCCACCCGCCCCGGCCTCCCAAAATGCTGGAATAGGCAGTGCTGGGCCTGGAATCATAATTTTTTAAATTTTCTCAATATCTACATAAAAGTGAAAGAAAGGAAAAAAAAAAGGTGGTTGGTCTACATGCATCTAAGCAACCTTTCAGCTATGAAATTCCATTATCTTATGGAAGTCATAATTTATAAACTGTTTATAAAGTGGTTATCCCTCCTATTGAAACATCACCAGAGTCCTTGCTCTTACTGTTTTTATGGCTGTTAGCAAAAATATCAGCTAAGTAGAATACATCAATACTGGGGCCCAGTTAAAAATGCCAATACAGTCATTCCTCAATATACGATACTCAAGGGATTGGTTCTAGGACCTCTGAGTGTACCAAAATCTGGGCATAATCAAGTATACAGAAAGGACAGTATTCACCGGATGCAAAAGACTCTCCATATATGTGGGTTTCGCATCCCCTGAATACTGTATTTTCAATATACTTTTGGTTGAAAAAAAAAATCTGCCTGTAAGTGAACCAGCCCATGTTGTTCAAGGGTCAACCTCTTCTAAGAATAGTAGTGTGATCAGCTACACAGGTGAAGGGTATTAATGGGGGGGAGGGGCCAGGTAGGTAGGTAACTGGAGTTCAGGAAGCACTTTGAAGAATAAGGTGGAATAAGGTGGAGTAGCCCAGGCAGCAGGGGCCACCAGACGGAGATGCAGCAAAGAGCTGGGAGACAGTCAATAAGAAAAGTTGACCTACTCAGCTTGTTAGATAAAGCAAGTCTCCTCCCTGGAATACAATGAATAAACACTGTCCTCTGTTGCTAAAATCTAAGTGGCTGCCTGGTCTCATGAAGTGAGTTACAGTGGGCTTGCTTGTGAGGGTTTCTCTAAGACTGAAGCTTCCCGATGACTGAATGTGTCCTTAGCTCTGAGCAACCAAATTACTTGCAGATTTTTGAAATGATCATTCTGTGAGTTGGGGATCACGTACAAAACATTTCCTCATTTCCATGTGTATCAAATACTGGCGTTAATTTTTATCCATTTTTCCTTAAACACGTTTTGACACCTTTAAGGCTGCTTTTGTTCTTTGCAATCTCTGACAAGAACACACAAAATTCTCATTTGTATTTTTTAAGTCCTAAATTAATGCAACATAACTTAATAATAGCTATAATGGTTCTATTAAGGTACTGAGCACTGGGAATATCACTCTTATTTTAGTAACATCACATGTGTGCTGCTGAAATCCACAGGGCAAAACAATTTAGTGCTTAAGTAGAAAAGGATGTCACAGGATGTCAGATCCTGTCTCTGTTTCAGTGGGTGTAGAGAATTGCCTGAGAAGTGCATATTCGGCTGAAAAGGAAGGAAGAGATCCAACACTTAAATAATAATAATTGTAACACTGAATTTAGCTGCATCCGCAGCACTGAATATCCCCCAAATGGAGAGGCGTGATGTGTGACTAAGTACTGGTGCTATTGTTTGGCTTAAATAAATCTCCCTCTGTATTCACATATTTTATACAATGAATTTTCCATATATATATTTCACTTAAGCTGTAAGCATGTTTAAAATGTTTGAAACAGCAAGGTTTAGATTAACTGCAAAAGCAGTATTCTTATTATGGATCAAGGTCACTTAGATACCAAGAATACCACTGTTGAAAGCTTGCTTAATGTATCACTAAAATGGCTTTAAAAAAACCTATTTATTTTTACTCTACTCCTGTGACAGACTTAAAAAAAGGCTTTTAATCTAAAGTCCTGTGTGGACCAGACACAGCCATATATTCTGCCTCTTCCTCCTCCTAAGTAATAAATTACTACCACCAGTGCCTTAATATTTGATGGTTTCATTTTTATATCCAAGTGTTGGCCAGGGGTGGTGGCTCATGCGTGTAATCCCAGCATTTTGGGGGGCTGAGGCAGGCAGATCACCTGAGGTCAGGAGTTTGAGAACAGCCTGGCCAACATAGTGAAACCCTGTCTCTACTAAAAATACAAAAATTAGCCGGGCATGGTGGCATGCACCTGTAATCCCAGCTACTCAGGAGGCTGAGGCAGGAGAATCACTTGAATCCGAGAGGCAGAGGTTGCAGTGAGCAAAGATTCTGCCACTGTGCTCCAGCCTGGGTGACAGTAAGACTCTCTCTCTCAAGAGAAAAAAAATACACACACACACACACACACACACACACACACACACACACACACACGTCTCTCTCTCCAAGTGTTTAGTATGCATAAAATTTTGCGGGAGGAAAAGGTATAACCTTTCTCAAATAATTAACTAAATGGATATGTGCCATCTATTCAATAGTTTGTGTTTCTTCCCCTCTGAAATGCTACTTCTACATTATTATTAAATACTATTTGAGCATGTTTCTGGCTGAAATACCAAAGGTGGCTTGTACAAATACCAAATTTTCATTATGTTTTACTTTTAAGCCCAGTCTTGCACTGCAAAAACTACTTTGCAATTTGTCGTTGTACCTACCTTGCTCCTCCTAAGAGCTTTGTTATATACTGTGTTTGTCCACAAGAACATGGCTACAGTTGACTGAAGCAAAGATAAACACTCAAACCAAAGACAGACTTAGAAGCTAAGGATTTATGATAATCTTGCCTCAAAGCTCTTCATGACCCTTACAACATGATGAGTTCGACATTCAGATCCTCCTCTTGGTAGTTAAAATGCAGAGTCTGAGATGGATAATGGGATAAAAGTAAAGTCTGGTAGTAGAAGATGTAAAAAAATCAGAAGCCATGACCAAGTTTGACAAAACATGAGTGAAGCTTACAAGTAATAGCAGGAGTATTCATTTATTTATCATGTAAGTGCCTGGCATTATCCTCCTACTCAGGTATACAGTTACGATAAAGTCTCTGCTGCCATGGAACATATCAGGAAGGAAATAGGAATTAAACAAACAACAAATCAGGCTAATCTCTGAAGGTAGAAGTGCTCTGAAGGGCATAAGACAAGGAGATGTTGAAGCTACTGGGAAGGAAGTTTATTTTATATCGGAAGGCAGGGAAGGCCTGCCTGAAAAGGCATGCATTTGCAGTAAGATCTGAATGATAAGAAGGGGTCAACCCTGTGGCCTAGAGAAGAACATTCCAGGTGAAGGGAAATGCAAGCAAAAGAGTTTAAGCAAAAATGAGATTGGCATTTGGGAGGCAGAAAGCAAATAGAAGAGATGAAGTCAGAGATGGTACCATCATGTTGCACTGGCAGGTCTGCTGCCTTGGTGTGTATGGTGCCCCTGCAGTTGTGTGCTCCATTGCTCTGCTCTGAGAAACAGGCAGGGAGGATTTGTGAGGCCTCATGGGATTTTATGTATGTGTGTAGCATATGTGCACTGTAAAATGACTGGAGAGTTTTAAGTAGCGGAGCCACTAGTTTTACAAAAGCTCTCTATGGTTATTATATAAGCAATGGGCTGCAGAGAGTGGGCAAAAGTAGAAGCCAAAAATAATCAAGTCTTCATATGGTGGGACACTGTACAAAGGGGCCTTAGTGGGCTTCGCGAATCTGGCTAATGCATGTCCCTCCTCAACCTCTCCAATGCTATGCTTTTATTTAACTTCTGGGGGCAAGGTACACCATCTATGAGCTCAAAAAGGCCAGATCTGGCACTTACTATCTGTGTGATCTTAGGTGTTTGGTTTTTGTTGATTTCAGCCATATGATATAGATGACAATATCCTCTGACATGTTACAGAAAGGAATAAATGAAGTAATATACAAACACCAACATGCAGTTATATTCCTTTCTCTATTAAGCTAGTGGGATTTCTAATCTTTACCATGTATTAACATAATTTGGAACCACTTTTATCTTTAACCGTTAAAATAATATTTAGACATTCTTAATTGGTAAAATCATCTTTCAACAAGTCAGTCATTCTTTCCTGCATTTATTTTTTCAAAAATATTCATTAGATAGTCTCCACATAATTTCTAAGAAAATGTACTCCATTTTGCAAAAGATAAAGGGAAAAGAACGCTAGATTGAAAAACAGAAATCATAGTCTCTGAATCTGAAGAGTCCAACTGTGGTAGCAGCAGGGGCTATTCTCTCAAGCCCTTGAGTTGAGCCAAAGTGTTATATAACTCCAGGCACAGTCTCAATTAAACTACTTACTGAAGAAGATTTAAAATTTATGATTACATCATAGAGGTACTTCTTATAGAATCATGATAGCTCAGATATAGTTTCCTGAAAGGCTCAAATTTTGAGATTAACAGAAGGTAAGAAAAATCTCTAGCTAGTATTTAATTAATACATTTATTTTTTTCTAAATGCTTAAATAGTAGCATTGAATAAAAAGAAAATTGAAAAGTCACTATGGTGAAGAGTTCAGAGCCCTGGGTTCAAAATACAGCTCCACCACTGCCACATGTGAGACTGTGGACAGGCTCTTTAAGCATCAGCCATCTCATCCAACAGCAAGTATATGAACAGTTCCTATCTCCTAAGGTTGTTTAAAATAAAGTATTTTATCTTTGAACATGGCACATACTCAATGTCTTTTTCAAAATGATGTAAGCTGAAATAGTTTTTGTTTTTATTGGCACGAACAGTGAGCGTGAAATTGTGGTTACTTCAATTCCCTGTAATCTAGGGAGCTGCCATCTTAAATGGTAGTTACCTAGTCTATTGAAACTAGCTAGAAGGAAATGCAAAAGGATAGGGAGCTGCTATCCTAAATGATAGTTACCTAGTCAATTGAAACTAGCTAGAAAGAAATGCAAAAGGATAGGGAGCTGCTATCCTAAATGACAGTGACCTAGTCAATTGAAACTAGCTAGAAGGAAATGCAAAAGGATAGGGAGCTGCTATCCTAAATGACAGTTACCTAGTCAATTGAAACTAGCTAGAAGCAAATGCAAAAGGATAAAATGTTCATGGGTGTGCACTACGTTTTTTAGTTTATTTTTTTGATAACTGTTTCTTAGTAAAGACTCAGTTTGCTGCTTTAGAATTTAAATTTTGAAAAAAGACATGGCTTGGTTAGGGGTTATTCAGGCAGCCTTTACATATGATACAAAGGGACAGTGTGTTCTCCTGAAGGCAAGGCAGCATTTTTGTTGTTGTTTCTACATTTAAGGCAGCCATCAGAAGAAATAAGGAATCCATTCAGTGAAATAAATAAGAAAAGGGCTTCTTTCCTCAAGTCTTCGAGAACTAAAGAAAGCTTAACTGTGGTTTGAACTACAAAGGATACATATGAGGTAAGGCAAAAAGCCTATGGAGGTATGTAAGAAAAATTGAAGTGGAAGGTGATAATAGAATGGTATTAGTGTTAAATCTCCTGATGTTGATAATTGCACTGATGATCTCAGAATATGTCCTATTCTTAGGAAACGTACTCTAAAACAGGGGTCCCCAACACCCAGGTCACGAGCCAGTACTGAATCTAGAGAATCTAGCCAATGCCTGATGATCTGAACTGGAACAATTTCATCCCAAAACTATCCCCTCACACATCTGTGGAAAAATTGTCTCCCACAAAACTGGTTCCCTAGTGCCAGAAAGGTTGGGGACTGCTGCTCTAAAGGACATGTAAGTAAAGGGCATAATATCTGCAATTTATTCTCAAATGGTTCCAGCCATCTATAGATAGATATAGACAAATACGTCATGGACATCTATGTATTTCTATAGATCTCTGTATCTATAAATCTACCTATGAACATACACATATATATATATACACATATATGTATGTATATATGGTGAGAGAGTATAAATAACAACATGTTAAGAATTGGTAAATGTAGGTGAATTATTTATGAAAGTTTTATTTTCTTGCCATTCTTAAAAATTTTCTGTAAATCTGAAATCATTTCAAAATAAAACCATTAGGTAAAAGTTTCAGGGGCATAACAGAATATTCCCACAACCTCACAAAGCCATGCATGGCACAGATTACTTATTAATTAAAAGAGGGAAAGGGATCTTTGCAGTGGAGAAGGCTTGCTGTGACCACTTGAACCAGGGGATTAAGTTCAGCAGTAATGAGACAAGTTGAACATCATGTGTCTCCTGATGGTCTGCACAAAGAAGGACATGACATCACCTAGTTCCAATCCCACCCAAAAAATTCAACCCGAGCTGAATTACAAGAAAACATCAGACAGACAAATTGAGGGACATTCTGCAGAACTCACCTGGATGCTAGAAAAATGTCAATGACACAAGAAACAAAGAAAGGTTGAGTAACAGTTCCAGCTTAAAGAATGAAGAGACGTAAGTATATGAGACACATGATCTTGGACTGAGGTGAAAATAGCTATAAACGGCATGATTTTGACAACATGGAGAATTTTAAATGTTAATAGTGTATACTGGATGATAGTATTGCATCAGTGTTAAATTCTCTAAGTGTAGTAACTATTTATGGTCACATAGGGAGAATATAATTCTTTTAGGAGATACATGCTTAAATATTTGAAAGTGAAGTGGGATTACATCTACAACTTCAAATTGCTCAGGAAAAAAAGAAATCTTTTAAAGATATAATAAAATTCCAAGGTGCCCAAAGAAACTGTGTATACATGCTGAACTTCTCTATCATCTATGGTGTTCTTGAAATGTACCTTTCCCAGAATGCTGATAGCACACGCCATACCAACTTGTCCAACACCCACTACAGTGATCTTATTGTTTGGAACTGTTGCCTCTTCTTCCGCAACTGGTGCAATGAGTTTTTCCTTAAGAGTTGCCATTTTGCACTGCAAGGAAAGAATCAAAACATTACACGTATATCTGCATATGAAATCCAAATAGAAATCATCCTTAAAATGTTACTGTTGCAATTTCGAACTGAAGTACAACTTAAAATGAGCCTAATGATATTCTAGAAAGCAGAATATATTTTAAAGAACCATGAGACCCGGCTGGGCATGGTGGCTCATGCCTGTAATCCCAACACTTTGGGAGGCAGAGGCTGGTGGATCACGAGGTCAAGAGATTGAGACCATCCTGGCCAACATGGTGAAACCCCGTCTCTACTAAAAAAAAGAAAATTAGCTGGGCATGGTGGTGCAAGCCTGTAGTCCTAACTACTCAGGAGGCTAAGGAAGGAGAATCACTTGAACCCAGGAAGTGGAGGTTGCAGTGAGCTTAGATCTCACCACTGCACCCCAGCCTGGCAACAGAGCGATTCCGTCTCAAAAGGAAAAAAAGAAAAAAAAGAACCATGAGACCCATTTAATGGAAGAATTCATTAAGGTAAAAACTTTCATGAAGCCCATTAGAATTGGATTTCTTCCTTCAGCCTATGATTCCATGTGAGTATTTAGTAGGTTGTTAATATTTCTGGCTAAAAACCTGTGAACATTTGTTTAAATTAGCTAATTTGTTTGTTTCCTCTATTAAGAATGTATATGTAACTATGTAAACTAAGTTTGGGTCTAGTATTGACTCATACTTAAGCTTGGATAAAAAGAATAAATGGCCAATTATGAACATAATTTCTACTACTAATGGTTATCATTCTTGGAAGATAGGGACTGATTCTTCTACTCTGTCTCACATAAAATGTGTTACAGTGTACTGGACATAGAATGCATACTTAATACATAGTGACAATATAATGGCAATGAATAATTTTTATTCAAAGTCTGCAAAAATATCAACCTGAATTCCTTTTAGGGCACCTAAGAAGCTTCTTGGAAAGTAGATAGACACTTAATACATTGTCGTTTCAGGGGATCACATTAGGAGACTATCAGTCTCTGAAACAGTTTCTGTCTAACCATCCAAACTAAAGACCCCTAAAATGTAAAAAAAAAAACAAAACCGAAACCTGTTGGAAAATGAACGATCTGTACAGTAACACCAAATGTACTTGTGCCATCAGATAACCAGATGTGTTTTCTAGATAACTGAAAAAAAGAGCAAAACTTATCGAAATAAACATCAATTCCATGGCAATTTATAGTACACTAAATATATACCACCCTGTCTTCTTGAACAGAGAATACAGATGGCAAATAAGCCTTTTCTTCACAATTATTACTTATAATTGTAGTAGCCCATTGTAATGTCCATGATTTTCACTTGTTTTTTACTTTTTATGTCGCATCTGAGGTCACCATACCTGTCTCAAACTGTACCAGAGCTTCCCAGTCTAGTTTTTAATTCTAATCTGCAATGGACTAAGCAATAAGTCTAGTCTATTAACTGTATACGTAAAGTAAGAGTTAGCAGGACTCAAAGTTGGAATAAAGCATCTGAATTTGGAGACAACTGTGTAACAACTATTTTATCTTATAGTTTTTTTTCCAAAAAATATTTCCTCCCATCTGTAAGGATAAATTAAAAGGAGATTCTTTCGCCTTTACAGATCACATTTACAGTTTCCTAGTGGACGTTAAAGAGAGAAGATGCAATGTTGTGCAAGTGCCTCCACAAATAGATGACCTTAAAATGAAATAAATTCAGACATGGCCTGCATTTTAAACAGGCTCAGAAGAAAGAATGCTGCATCTCTTTTTGAAGGACGACACACATGAATAGTTGTTCTGCACTTAAGTTTATTGTTGTTAGATGGTCTGTTTACGACCGTTTTGGTATACAGGGGGCCCAGGAAGCAGTGGAAAATGAAAATGAAGAAACAGTGGCTATATAAATACAGATTCGTTGTTCTGATAGACCTTTTAATTTAGAAAACTTCAGGAAGTACAATTTAAAGGCTCGAACCAGATTTTCTTTCAGATATTTCTGGAGAAAGTGCTTTTCTTCAATTTTTCCTTAAAAAGAGTTTTAAGAAATGAGAAGAAAATGGTCTGCATGATATACAGGCCTGTGCCAACATCAGAGTGCAGGCTGTAAGGAACAAGAACGACAAACGGTAAAAATCTCTGAGTCTTGGTCCCTTATGTCTCCTCACTGCTGTGGATATAAATCATTAGAAATAAAGGAGCGCCTTAATTTCAGGAACAAAGATCTTCTTTGCAGAATCTTTCTCACCGTAATCTTTTAAAAATTCAGGTTTTGCTTTTGAATTCCTCCCCTCCCCCCATTCCCCAGGCCCTTACTGCAGCTTGTACTGCTCGCGGTGCGCACAAACCATCTTTTCCTCAGGGCACCGGCAGCAAAGAACAGCAGATCACGAGGGCATGCAGAAGCTAGAGATCTCCCCGAGTAAGGTCTGTGGGGACAAGTCTAGGACTTCCTTACTCGGAGCACCCAAGGCTGGTAAAGTAAACGAAGCCCCTAAGCATCCAGAAAAGAGGCCCTGCAGGAAAGAACTGGCGCATGGCTCCTGGAAAGACCGTCAGAGCCGGGTAAAAATAAGTGCAGCGCCAAACGTGCTGGTCATCTAGGTGCCTTTCTCCTCATCCCAGCGAGTGCAAGGGCATTTCTCTATTACCGTGGCAATATATTCAAATATTCGAGGTAAAGATCGTCCAGCCTTCATAGGCCACCTGGTTCCGTCCCCCTCCCCCAGCTACTCGGGCACGTGTCCCGACTCCCGCCAGCAGGCCGTGGGGGTGATGTGGCCGCCATGAACCCACCAAGGACAAGTAGGGCCTGGTTTTAGCTGCAAATGCAACAAGTCTCTCCGCTGAGCCGCAGCTGCTACCCTCTGCCTTCTGCTCCTCCGCCAGGGCACGGCCCCCCCTGCGCCCCAAACTGAGCGGCAAAGTCAGGGCCCGCGGCCGGATGCTCAGAGCTAAAGGCCGCGGAGGACAGATGTGCTTCTTCCTCCTTCCCGCGTCTCCCCATACAAGTACTACCCCGCACGTCCCATCAGGCTTGCCTGTGGGCCAGGATTCAGGGTCCTGAGCCGAAACCTACCAGGAGAGAGAAGGCTCTGGAGACCTCTGTAACAGTCGTGCGGAGAAGACAAAGTCAGCTGCGTGCGTCTCCTCCGGCGCCGGCTCTGCAAGGAGGGAGGAGGGGGCGGGGCCCCACAACCACCGCAGCCTCTTAGGTTTCTCCATTGTGATTGGAAATCCGAGTACCGCCTACCCCTCCCCTCGGCTCGCTCAATCCCCTTCAAGGACAAGGGCTCAAGTATGCACACTCCCTCCCCCACCCTCCAGATGAGGAGGTCTCCTTCCAGAGGCTTCCGCTCTCAGCTGGTCTCACATCTCGCAGGCTCTTCAATGCGGAGGCCAAGTTATTTATAAAACTTGCCCATCCCCGACTCTTCTGGACTTTAACGCTCTTGTTCTATTAGATTTAGTACAAATAGAAATAAATTTCTTTCCTTCTTTTTTTTATTTTGAGACGGAGTCTCACTCTGTCGCCCAGGCTGGAGTGCAGTGGCGCGATCTCGGCTCACTGCAAGCTCCGCCTCCCGGGCTCACGACATTCTCCTGCCTCAGCCTCCCGAGTAGCTGGGACTACAGGCGCCCGCCACCTCGCCCGGCTAATTTTTTGTATTTTTAGTAGAGAGGGGGGTTTCACCGTGTTAGCCAGGATGGTCTCGATCTCCTGACCTCGTGATCCGCCCGCCTCGGCCTCCCAAAGTGCTGGGATTACAGGCCTGAGCCACCGCGCCCGGCCAGAAATAAATTTCTATGTTGCATTTCAGTTAAACTTTAAAGGACTTAAAAAAATACATCTGAATTTAGATCATCTCCGTTTTAAAGTTCATTTGATGAAAATGACTATTTTTTTCAACCTGTTTCAACAAACACGCAATGATTGCTTACTCGTTGCCTGACAAGACCAATGAGGCTTTGTCCCTGCCATCTGAAGTTCCCCTACAATTCCACCTGGTCTCAAGGTCAGGCTTTGCCCTCTAGGGGAAATGTGGGACCACTAAGTGAGATGCACTTTCTTTTTTAGTCCCTAATCGACTCCAAAGCTGGATGTTGTCATTCATTCTGTCTTCAACACTCAGCCAGTGCTTGGTACCTAAATATAGCATTGATGAATAAATGAATGAATGATAAATTGGAGGAATTCTGAAGAGTCTGGCTTCAGTTCTGTTTTCTTATAATTAAAATGCTTTCAAATATAGCCATCTCACAAACTTCCTGTATGTGAAGTGTTTTTTTTTGTAAATGCATATTTCTTGTATATGACCACTAATTCTATAATTATTGCTTCAGTTTATTCTCAGTGCCAAGCATTGGTAAAAAACATAAATATAAGATTATGCCCTTTGAGGTGTTCCTAGTCCATTGGAGACAGACAAGTAGGCAACCTATTTCAATTACAATAAGTGGCAATAGAAATTTGGTTAAAGTACAATAAAAATTCAGAGTAAAGAATCACTAAGAGAAGGGTTTGTTGAGAAGAATTCATAAGCCTCAAACTCTCCTAGCATAAATCATTCAGCTAGTGGGGACTTTGACTGAAGATACAGTCCAATTACAAATTAAAATGTGATGGTGAGGAAAAGAGCTTGGAGGATAATCTCAAAAGTATTACATTAACCCTAAATCCAAGTTTGAAGCAAGAATAGCCAAGTCAGCCTAGCAAGTTATCTAGAAGGTACCCTAGATTTCTTTTTCACTTACTTTGCAAGTCAGATATTTAGACTTTACTTCTAAATATCTTTCCACTTATTCCTCTTCTTGCCATCCCCATTACTGTGTAACTTTGGAGATGAGGTAGGAAAAAATGAAAAGAGGTATCTATTTCCCTCCTCTACCCTCATTTCCATTCCTCGCCACAAGGTGTTCTAATCTGATTGAACAAAGTGAATGCTCTAGTATGTAACTCTAAATGCCAGGAGAGCATACTACCCCTCTCAAATAGTTGAGAATTGTATACCCTGGCAAGTTATCTTTTATGTGTAAAACACAATTTTATATATACAATGATCCAGAAAATATATGCCCCATACCATTCTATTTTGAAAAAAATCATTGGGAAACTATATGCCAACATATTGAAAAATAAGCAAAATTAGGAATCCAAGAAAGGGGGGAATTATGGCATAAAAATACAGGCAATGATGGCTAAACCAATTAATTTAGAGATAAGGACAAATAATTCCCAGAAACGTAGTTATAAAATTGAATGTTAATGTCCAAAATTGTCAAAACAATATTTGTCAAAAGGAGAATATTTTTCTTTCAAAAAATATTGAGGACTTCCTCTGTGACAGGCACTGTTTCAGTGATCAAGACAGATAAAATGCCTGCTCATGAGGAACATATATTCTGGTGGAGGATCATAGATAATAAACAAGTCAATGAATTTTAAAATGATTAGATAAAGGATGTAAACATAACAACATACAAGTTGCCCGTCTGGGCTTTTCCAGCCTGTGGGCTGTTGTCAACAATATTTATGATGTTGCAGAAGATGGAGTAATTCACTCCTATAGTAAATGACTCCATACTGCTGTGTTTTTTGACTTCTCATGCCTTAAAAAAAAAGTCTCCTGTTGTCAGATTGTGAACTGTTTTAAAACTGTATTCATAGAATTGGAGAACAAAATAGGAACTTTAAAATAATCTAATCCAAATGAATGCCTAGAGTTTGAGTGACTGGCCTCAAATTAGTCTGTGATTTAAGAATAGAACCAAAAATAATTTTGGTCTTGCAGCTATCTGTGTGCCTTTCTGTGGGATTCTTTGTAAATTCTATTTTGCTGTCTTTATTCTTCGGTAGCCACAAAACCAGATTAGCTAATGTTATTAGGACTGTAAGTTCTTTGAGGGTACTTTATTCACTTTTATATCTCCAAGTAGCATAGTATTTCTGACAAGATACATTTATATCTCCCAGCAGATACCTATTAAACTTGAGGCACAGTATGAGTAAATGAACCCTGAGTTAGGATTTGAAAGACATTCATTGATACATAGATTCTTTTACATCATTTTCCTTATTTCCTAGTTCTTCGGAATAGTTTGAGGAGCTGAAGTTCCTTGAAGCTGAGCTTCAGGTAGGTGAGGTATTACTATAATAGCAATATATGCTTGTAAATGGACAGCAACTGGCCTTGGTGGGTATCTCTAACAAGAAGAAGAAAAAGGTTCCAGGGAGAGAAAATAATACTAGTGGGGAAAAAGGAGAACTGAGGGTTTAATGTCTCAAAAAGCAAAATAATTCGATTCTAATTGTCTAGCCCTTCATTAGATAGTTGTAACATAGAGTACCTTTTTCCGTTTACATGTTAGCTGTTCTTTTTAGAAGACAGGTAGTTAAATTCTAAATCATACTAATAACTGTGAATTGACTCATTGTGGTGTCTACTTGGATATAGACTAGTTTGTGCTAAGCAGTACGTCCCTAATGTGCTTGAATGACAGATGTTTAGAAGTAGTTTATCGGTAAAAAATACCTAGGCTCAAAGCTATGAATATGGATACATTTTTATCTCTTGCTCTTGCAAGCTGTTTTCTCTGGGTATCTGAAAAACGTCATGGAAAAACTTTGACTATATTTATTCTACTTATGGAAAGATGCTTTCTTGCTGTCTCCTACTGAAAGGTGACAGCGTGCTGGCAGTCCTCACAGCCCTCCCTGGCTCTCGGCGCCTCTTCTGCCTGGGCTCCCCCTTTGGGGGCACTTGAGGAGCCCTTCAGCCCACCGCTGCACTGTGGGAGCCCCTTTCTGGGCTGGCCAAGGCCAGAGGTGGCTCACTCAGCTTCCAGGGGGTGTGGAGGGAGAGGCGCGAGCGGGAACCGGGGCTGCGCGCAGCGCTTGCGGGCCAGCTAGAGTTCCGGGTGGGAGTGGGCTTGGCAGGCCCCGCACTCGGAGCAGCCGGCCGGCCCTGTCGGCCCCAGGCAATGAGGGGCTTAGCACCCGGGCCAGCGGCTGCGGAGGGTGTACTAGGTCCCCCAGCAGCGCCGGCCCACTGGCGCTGCGCTCCATTTCTCGCCGGACCTTAGCTGCCTCCCTGCGGGGCAGGGCTCGGGACCTGCAGCCCGCCATGCCTGGGCCTCCCTCGCTCCCTGGGCTCCTGTGCGGCTCAAGCCTCCCGGACGAGCGCCGCCCCCTGCTCCACTGCGCCCAGTCCCATCTACCACCCAAGGGCTGGGGAGTGCGGGCCCACGGCGCAGGACTGGCAAACAGCTCCACCCGCGGCCCGGTACCGGCGGGATCCACTGAGTGAAGCCAGCTGGGCTCCTGACTCTGGTGGGGACTTGGGAGAACCTTTATGTCTAGCTAAGGGATTGTAAATACACCAATCGGCACTCTGTATCTAGCTCAAGGTTTGTAAACACACCAATCAGCACCCTGTGTCTAGCTCAGGGTTTGTGAATGCACCAATCCACACTCTGTATCTAGCTACTCAGGTGGGGATGTGGAGAACATTTGTGTCTAGCTCAGGGATTGTAAATGCACCAATCAGTGCCCTGACAAAACAGACCACTGGGCTCTACCAATCAGCAGGATGTGGGTGGGGCCGGACAAGAGAATAAAAGCAGGCTGCCCGAGCCAGTAGTAGCAAGTGGCTGTGGTCCCCTTCCACGGTGTGGGGGCTTTGTTCTTTCCCTCTTTGCAATAAATCTTGCTGCTGCTCACTCTTTGGGTCCACACTGTCTTTATGAGCTGTAACATTCACCGCGAAGGTTTGCAGCTTCACTCCTTAAGCCAGTGAAACCACTAACCCACCAAGAAGAATGAACAAACAACTCCAGACGCGCGGCCTTAAGAGCTGTAACACTCACCGCGAAGGTCCGCAGCGTCTCTCCTGAGCTAGTGTGACCACGAACCAACCAGAAGGAACAAACTCCGAACACGCCGCCTTTAAGAACTGTAATACTCACCGCGACGGCTTTTAAGAACTGTAACACTCACCGCGACGGTCGGCGGCTTCATTCTTGAAGTCAGTCAGACCAAGAACCTACCAATTCCGGACGCACTACCCGGGGGACATGATAAATCTGGGAAGGGCACCTCAGGTAAGCCTTTGACTTGCTAGGGGTTCAGCCTTGCTAGAGTTATACAGAGAATAAAATATGCATGTATAGTGAATTATACACAGTTTGAAGTTCATAGTTTTTGTCTGAAAGTGAGCTTTCAGGCAGAGGAGCTGAAAGATCAGCAGAGCCCATTAGAAACCAGAACTGCCCCACTTCTTTCCACATGGTGTTCTTCTCATTGTCTGGGTGCTGCTTCTGGGAACAGAAGCACCTAGTCTACATTCTCTGGGCATTGTGTGAAGTCGTCTGATGGCATCTATATTTCCCCTTCCTGGAACCATGAACTATTATCCTTTCTGGTGCCAAGGACTGCAGTTGCAAATACTTACTTTCTTATATCAGAGATCCTGAAGGAGATAGTAGCTTTTCTATGTTCTAGCTGTACACATTTCAAAACACAGATTTTTTTTTATTTGTTTAGTTTATGTTTTAGAAAATAAAAGGTTAATCAGAATGCAAATGCTGGTAATAAAACAAACAGTCCCGGCCAGCTTGTAATCACAGCACTTTGGGAGGCCAAGGCAGGTGGATCACGAGGTCAGGAGATCGAGACCATCCTGGCTAACATGGTGAAACCCCGTCTTTACTAAAAATACAAAAAATTAGCCGGGCATGGGCGGGGTGCGGCGGTTCATGCCTGTAATCCCAGAACTTTGGGAGGCCGAGGCAGGTGGATCACGACGTCAGGAGTTTGAGACCAGCCTGGCCAAGCTGGTGAAACCGCATCTCTACTAAAAATACAAAAATTAGCCAAGCACGGTGGTGGGCGCCTGTAATTCCAGCTACTCGGGAGGCTGAGGCAGGAGAATCACTTGAACTCCCTAGGCAGAGGTTGCCGTGAGCCGAGATCATGCCACTGCACTCTAGCCTGGGCAACAGAGCAAGACTTTGTCTCAAAAAAAAAAAAAAAAAAAAAAATTAGCTGGGTGTGGTGGCATTTGCCTGTAGTCCTAGCTACTCAGGAGGCTGAGGCAGGAGAATCGCTTGAACTCAGGAGGTGGAGGTTGCAGTGAGCTGAGATCACGCCACTGCATTCCAGCATGGGTGACAGAGTGAGACTCTGTATCAAAAAAAATAAATAAAGGAAAAAAAAAAACAGTCCGCCGCCTCTCTCTCATCCCCAGTCCTGATCCTCAGAGCAACTACTCATTCTTTCTGACTTCTTGAGTTGTAGTCCGAAAGTCCAGCTGCTGATTCCTTTCTCTCCCTGTGCTCATTTAAAATATGCATGAGTATCTAGTCCTTTAAATATACATTAATTTGTGAGGTGGAAAGTGTTATTACTGAGATTTTTTTGCTAGAAAACCCTAGAGTTCACTTGACTAAAGTTTTGTTAGAGTCCTGCAAAGCAATACACATCCAGGAATTTGTATTATATGATTTGTGTAAAGCTTTCATTTATTGAAAATAGTACTATGTGCCAGGCATGCAATGCATTAACTGCATGTAATAATGTGCTCACATGAACCAAGTATAAGTAATGCTTACTTTACTTATATTAACTTACGTAATCCTCATTTCAACCCTATGTGGTGGGTACTTTTATTTTTCTTATTTTAAGGATATGGGGAAACTGAATCACAGAAGGTCAATAACCTGACCAAGATCACACAACTAGTAAGCAGACTCTCTCTCTCCCTCTCTCTCTCTCTCTCTCTCTGTGTTTAAATTTTTGTTTTTTTTTTTCCTGAGACAGGGTCTTGCGCTCTCACCCAGGCTGGAGTGCTGTGGTGCAATCTGTGCTCACTGCAACCTCCGTCTCCTGGGTTCAAGCGATTCTCCTGCCTTAGCCTTCTGAGTAGCTGGGATTACAGGTACCCACCACCATGCCCAGCTAATTTTTGTATTTATAGTAGAGACAGGGTTTCACCATGTTGACCAGGCTGGTCTCAAACTCCTGACCTCAAACTCCTGACCTCAGATGATCCTCCCGCCTCAGCCTCCCAAAGTGCTGGCATTACAGGTGTGAGCCACTGCACCCCGCCGGATCATTCTTAACATACAGATTTATACAGATTTGTTTCCTTTTAAAAAATGGTTACTAAATATTCAATCATTCAGAAACACCATGATGTATTTAACTGTTCCCATATTTTGAGACATTATGCTTTTTACTATGATAAATAATGTTGTATAGATATCATTGTACATTGTAGTCATCTGTATTTGTCATTGCTTGGGTAGGTCTCTGAAAGTGAAATTCCTGGGTAAAAGAGTAGAACAGTTTTTTGGAAGGGCTGTACCCTTTGATTCCAAACCCCATCTGCATATGTCTTACTATACTGTCATCATATTGCATATTACTAAATTTTATTTGTCCAGTTTGTCAGATGAAAAGGGTATTTGGTTCTCTTCTGCAATTATAGAGGCAGTAGGAAAAAAAGTGATGTTTTGTTATAAATTTGTATAACTATGATTATTGGTTGTGTATACTTTCACATTTTTTAAACTTTCCATTATCTGCTCCTCTACCAAAGTGAGCATTCTTCTTGTTTTGTTTCTCTACTTAGCAACTATTCACTTTACTTCTGAAAACAGCCTCGGGGTTTTCTATCCTCTCATCTCTTCCTCTCCTTAAATACATCAAAGCTTCCCAAAGGAAAAACCTATCTAAAACTGGAGCCAAACAAGGGGAATAAGACGAGAGACAGCAAAAGAGAAGCCAGTGATGGCATTCGAGTTTCTGCATCAAGAGCAACGTAAGCCGGGCGCAGTGGCTCAGGCCTGTAATCCCAGCAGTTTGGGAGGCCGAGGCGGGCAGATCACAAGGTCAGTTCAAGACCAGCCTGACCAATATGGTGAAACCCTGTCTCTACTAAAAATATAAAAATTAGCCAGGCATGGTGGGTGGTGGTGGGCACCTGTAGTCCCAGCTACTCGGGAGGCTGAGGCAGGAGAATCGCTTGAACCTGGGAGGCGGAGGTTGCAGTGAGCCGAGATCACACCACTGCACTCCAGCACTCCAGCACTCCAGCCTGGGTGACAGAGCAAAACTCTCTCTCAAAAAAAAAAAAAAAAAAAAAAAAAAAAGGCAACATAATGCAGCCTCGTCCCTAGGCTAGTTTAGGTAAGCAAACTTCACTGACGATAAAAGAGGTCCTAACTGATGTATTATTTTGACCAGTTTGAAATTACAATGTCATTGTTATTTCAATACTGATAAAAGAAAAACTCAGCCAAATTAAATTTAAAGGAGTTGAATTGAGCAATGAATGTTTTGCGAATCGGGCAGCCCCCCCAAATCTCAGCAGATTCACAGAGGCTCCAGCGCAGCCATGTGGTGGAAGAAGACTTACAGACAAAAAAAAAGGGAAATGACGTACAGAAATTGGAAGTGAGGTACAGAATGGCTGGATTGGTTACAGCTCGGTGTTTGCCTTATTTGAACACAGTTTTAACACTCATCAGTGTATGAATGGTTGAAGTATGGCCTCTGGAATGGCCAAGACTTAGCTATAGTTACAGATGCATACTCTGAAGTTACGTTTTCAATTTTGTCTGACTACTAAGCTAGGTTACAGTTCATCCACAAGGACTCAAATATAGAAGTATGGAGTCTTTCTCGGGCCATATTTAGTTTGCTTTAATAATATCAAAATACTAAAAGTAAGGGTGATTTTAAAAAACGTTTTATTTTGTGTTAATTTTAAACTCAGAATAAGTTGCCAAAACTGTTTGGTGAGTTCCCATGTATCCATCACTCAGCTTCCTCCCATAATAACAACTTACTTTATCATTGAGCTTGTTAATATCAGAAAATGAACACTGGTACACTACTGTAAGCTAAACTAGGGACCTTATTCAAATTTTAGCAATTTTAATATTAATATGAGTATTTTTTTAAAAATACACATTTATTCATGTTAAGCAATTTGTGCATTGTGGATAGATTGTTTTTCTAACTAGAAAGTAAATATTAAAAATACTTAAAAATATATCAGGCACTACCTAGGTTTTTAGGCAATATCAGTGGACTCAGGAGTTTATTTTACTTTTAGAGTAGAAAACGTTGGAGAGAACATTTGCCTCAGGCATTCTGAGAGTGGATTGAGCATTTACGTTAATTATTATGTCTTACTCATTATTTCAGACAGGTTAAAATGTAACTTCTTGCAGTGTTCTCGTGTACCACGAAGGAATTTGTTCCTACCCTCATCCATCACCAGTGGTTGAAATCAGTCAGCTTAATGGGTTTCTAAAAGCCATTTCCAGGCAGCTGTGTTTACCCTTCTCTCCAAATGCTCATTGGGGCTTCCTAAGCAGAAATATGACAAGGAACACTTCACTCATCTGTATTTAAATATAAAAGCCTTGTGTATATAAATATAAAAGTTTAGTGTCTCTTTTTGTTTTCTCTGATTTTGGCCTATGGCAAAAAAGAAAATAAAAAGTGATAACAAACAAAAAACAATTTGAAAACAGGTGAACCAAAAGTAGCCCCTAAAATCCAGAGTTCTGATGTTGTAGTTGATTTTTTTGTTTCCTGTTTTTTGTTTTAGGGATGGGGGTCTCTCTATGTTGTCCAAGCTGATCTCAAACTCCTGGCCTCAAGCCATTTTCCTGGCTTGGTCTTCCAAAGTTCTGGGATAACAGGCATGAGCCATCACTCCCAGCCCTGATATTACTTGAATGAAATTTGTTAAATAAAAAATAGGTGCCACTGGGGAGTAGAACATAAGGGAGCTAATATTTATTGACATCTACTATGGCTAGATGTCATACTAGGTGCTTTGAATGGCTCTGTTTAATCTTGGTGGTGTAGTCAAAAGTGTACTCATGATGTTGACCTTGAGACAAATGTCTAATAGTATTTAATGAATAGGGATTACAGTGTAACGGGGCAAAAGAAGCATTGTAAAGCCAGAGGCAGAAGGTACAATCCAACTTCTGGCTAATTAAGTGATACTATACTGTCAGATCCTCTCACTTTAATTATCTTAATTTTATTCTCCAAATAATTCATGATCTTTTATAAAGAATTGAAAAAATACGGGAAGGTGTAAGAAAGCAAAAGTCCTTACTTTCCCCATACCCCGATTCCTCTGCCTAGGGGTAATTGTCTTTAACATATTAATATGCGTCCTTTCTGTCTCCCACAACCTAAAAATAAAAGATATAGTTGAAATTTTGTTAGTAAACAATAAGATTCTAACCAATCCTTTTCAGATGTAAATAACTTACTGTTCATAATGATAGCTTTACTTTTGGCAAATTATATTTCCTAATTTCAAATATTGGGTCTCTTAGATCATGTGAGGAATAATATAGCATTGTATGTATATTTTTCTTACTGGTTTAGAATTTAATAAAAATTGTTAAAATTTACTGAGTTTAAAAGTTACTAAAGTTTATTACTGTGTGCTAGGTGCTTTGCCTAAATTAGCATATGATAACGTGTTTAATCTTCATGAGAACCTTTTAAACTAGGTGCTAAAACTCTCCCTATTGGACAGTTGGTAAATTTTAGGCACCGAGAGGTCAAATAAATTGGCTAAGACCACAAAGCTACTAAGTGGTGATGCTAAAATTCAAACCCAAAAGTCAAGTTCCAAGATCCCAGAACCAGAACTCTTAACCACTATGCAGTACTGAAGATAATGAGCTAGTGAAAGAGCATGGTCAATACACACACACACACAGCTGGTAATAACCTAGAAATCACAGTTTTGCTACCAGACAAGGAGATTTTCTACTTTCTATGAAAAAATATATTGTTTGTTTTTTTGTGGGGGGTTTTAGAAAGAATTTGACTGAGGGTCACAAGGCAAAGAAAGAGACCAAAGCAAGTTTTAGAGCAGGAGTGGAACTTTATTAGAAACCTTTAGAACAGTAAGAAAAGGAAAGAAAGAAAGGAAGAAAAGCACACTTGGAAGGAGGACCAAGCAGGTGACTTGAGAAACCAAGTGTGCCTGTATTATTGTTGTTCTGAACTAATAAATTTGATGTTTTCTCATGAGTTTGGATCATAATCCTGAAAGACTTGAATACCATAATCCTGAATGTTGAAATCCCGAAAAATCAAAATCCCTAAAGTCCAAATCCCTGAAGTCTAAAATCCCCCCAAAATCACGATCACATTATAACGACATCATGTTTGGTGGAACTATTATCTTGTTATTTTCTTATTTGAAAATTCAGTGGCCGGGCGTGGTGGCTCATGCCTGTAATCCCAGCACTTTGGGAGGCTGAGGCGGGTGGATCACAAGGTCAGGAGTTTGAGGCCAGCCTGGCCAACGTGGTGAAACCTCATCTCTACTAAAGATACAAAAATCAGCTGGGTGTGGTGGCTGGTGCCTTGTAATCCCAGCTACTCGGGAGGCTGAGGCAGGAGAATCGCTTGAACCCAGGAGGTGGAGTTTGCAGTGAGCTGAGATCGTACCACTGCACTCTAGTCTGAGTGACAGAGTGAGACTCTGTCTCAAAAAAAAAAATTAAGTGTGGGTGATTAAGGAGATGCATGTGGGTGCCAAGTTGACAAGGGGTGAACTTGTGGACTCAATTTTGGGAGTCAACTTGACCAAATTAAGGAATACCAAAAAAACCTGGTAAAGAATTTTCTGGGGGAGTATCTGCAAGTATGTTTTGAGAGGAGATTGCTGTGTGAGCCTGTGTGGTGTAGGTGGGGAAGATCTGCCCTCAATGTTGGCGGCTCCATCCAATCAGCTAGGGACTTGGAGAGAATAGATAGAGAAGGCAAATTGGTATCTTTGAGAGTAGAGACTTTTCTTTTTCTGCCTTGGACATCAGAACCCCTAACTTGCTGGCTCTTGGACTCCAGAACTTACATCAGTGGTCCCCCAGGTCCTGACGCTCTCAGACTGAGAGGTACCTTTGCTTCCCTGGTTCTCAACATAAAAACATTGAAGCTTCCTCTATAAATGAAAAGATGTCCTTTTTGTACATATGCATTTGTGAAAGATAAAATTTCACAAGGTCTCGGCTCTTTGGGAGACTGCAAATGCGGTGGCAACCCATCACAATCTTTGATTCGTCTTGTCAAAAGACTTATGTTGTCCTTCACGGTACTTCAGATGACTGTAGTTACAAAACTAAGTGCACACAATTACCAACCATGGTGACATGCATTTATACATTTTGCTTTTTGACCTGTTTCTTTATGAATATGGTTTTTCTGCTCATAACTGTTGTACCCGTGAGACTCTATAGCTGAGTGTTTATGCTTGCAAAAATATGTATATTTTACATATCTTATTGTGTAAAGTGGTCTATGACAATAGATCTTTGCACAATAAAATAATTACAATAGACCTTTACATAATAAAAATATTTTACTTTATTATGTAAAGTGGTCTATGAAATATTCTTTTTTTTCTCAAATATCCTTTTAAAATATAAATAAATGTTATTTAAATAATTTTAAATTATCTTTACCAGAATTATATTTTCAAGATTTTGATCTTTTTTAAGATTTCAACATTTGGAATTATGGTATGTGGGATTGTTTCTTTCAGAATTATTATAGGCTCCCTTTAACCATAACTTTTATGGTTTTCTTTCCTCTCCTTTTGGCCTTTGGCAAAGCAAAAACAAAGTAAAAACAAGCCCTTTTGTGTCTCTTAGTGGTATCTATGCATGGAATCTCCAGAATTATATCTCATGGCCCAAGAGTTTTAGCCTTCATTAGCTTATTACGTCACATTTCCATTTAATGTCTAGTTTCAACAGTTAGAGCCTCTATCCCATAAGACCAAAGACATTTTAGTCATTTTTCCACTTTTCTGCTTTCCAGCTGTGTTTGGGAACTCCTGGGTAATGTGCACAGTGTTTCTCAAATCAGTCCTTGTTATCGCTCCCTGTCTCCATCAGTGGTAGGGCTTCAGTCTATTGCTTCATTCTCCTGCAGGTCCCCTCTTCCATTTTGAGACCAGCTTCTCCCAAGTGCCACTTGCTTTTCCTTGGCCTGTTTCACCTCAAGCATGATAACAGATCATTCTCTCCAGTGGGAGCAGACATTAGGCTATAATGTTTATTAAAATTTATCAGATAGTTTAAGAAGAACAGAAGGGAATTATAACACAGAAAGCCTAAAACTGGAACCTATAGATAGCCACACCGGAGTCCACAGATGCAAGCTCCCCTGCAGATGTCACTCTTAGCTCTGGACCCAACTACAAATTGTAGGGTACTGCTTCCCTCCAAAAAGGAGTAGCCTTGAACACAGCCAGGCCACTGATTCACAAACTCCAGAGAAAGGAAGGTGTTTCCTCTTCTACACTGTCTAAGCTGAGCCCCTAAAATCCCCATTTCCTGCCCCGATTATTTAGGGAGTAATTGCAGGTGGGGATAAAGTCTCATTCGTTGACAGAGAGCCCTCACCTCATCCCCACACTTATAGGGGTATGGACTTGCTCTTAGGAATCCCCAGACCACTGAGATGCAACAGTGCATTCCTCAAGCATGCCATTGTTTGGTCTTATGTGACTCCATGTGTAACTTCAACAATCCAGACTTGTTTAGATGCCTTTTAATTTTTTTGTTGTTCCTTTATTGCACTGGCACTTTTATTGAGTAGCAGTTAGGAGAGTAGACATCTATCTCTTGTTCCCAATCTAAGGAGAAAGCCCTTAAGTCAGTATTAAGTATGATACTAAATTCAGTGGGGGTGCTTTTGTTTTTGTTTTTATTTTTGTTTATTAAGAATAGGTGCTGAATTTAGCAAACATCTTATATGTATCTATTAATATGATGATTTAGTATTTATCTTTGATTACACTGACTTATTTTCAAATATTAAACAACCTTGCATTCTTGGAATAAACCCTACTTGTGGGGCCACGTGGTGGTAGTATTTTAGTATTTTGTTGGATTTCACTTGTTAATATTTTGCTGAGAATTTTTACATCTTAGATCTCTAGAATTAATCTGTAGTTTTCTGGTAACTTCTTGATGATTTTGTTACAAGGCTAATGCTGGCCTTTGAAGACGAGTTGGAAAGTATATCCTTCTCATCCATTTTCTGAAAGTTAAGTATCTAGATTTTACTGTATTTTATAAAGAGTGTGGAAGTTTGTTTGACAGACATTTAAATTACTTGTGGATCAGCTTGATGCTGTGGAGGCTTGTTTTTAAACTGTTAGAGCAGGTCTAGAGTGGTCTTGCTCTATGACTGGCTTATATGTATTACCAAGGTTTACACTTCTGGGCGATGTACTGAAACCCTGGGTCTTCAACAGGATCTGTACACTAATGGCTGACCCGAGTTTGAATATCTCTGGATTCCCTTTGGGTTCTAGAAACATTTCGTTTACAGCTCCTCTCAATGGTTCTTTGCTGCCCTCCTGTCTTATGTGCACCCCACACATTCCAGCTGCCTGAGCTTTTCTGAACTCTAGTCCCTGTCTTTTCAACTCAATGACACTGCAGTGTTCTGCTTGGACTTATACCTCCAATGTGGTCCAAAAAATCCCTTCAGGAAGAAAGTCAAGGCAATTATAGTGATCATCTTCTTTCCTAGTTTTCAAGGATCACATTCTTGTGCCTATTTTATAATGTCTAAAAACCTGTTTCTCCCGTCTTGTTCAGTTTTCTAGTTGTTTACATTGGCAAGCCCAGAATTGTTTCTATGGTGGCCCCAGAGCCTTTTTACATAATCAAGCCTTGTGAATAATTCTCAATTCCCTATATAAAATAGGTGCTTTAGATGGTGAAGATGCAGCCTGACTGCATGGTCTTGCATATTTAGAAGCATTTTCAGAAATTCTGAATTTTCCTTTAAACTGTACTACATTCAATATTTTGTAATTATAGTAGTGGAATTTTAAATACTATTGTATCACAGTTCAAACTAATATTTCTTAAATACCCTATAAAGATTCTGAATCAGTGGGTATGGGGTGGAGTTCAAGAGACTGTGTGTTTAATAAATATCCAAGTGATTCTGATACAGGTTTCCAAAGTACACATTTTGTGGAAAACTGTTCTAAGTTTCTAAAGAGTCTCAAACCTTATCTTTGGCTCTCTACCCTCACTGCCTTCACTCCACCCCATAAATAAGAATCATATTGTTTAATCCCAAATGCTTTGGTCAAGGTGATAGGCAACTATAGGAAGCAGCAAGGGTGATGATCACAAGTATATGTTCTCTGTTAGAGTGTCTGGAGTCAAATTCAGGCTTTCCCATGATTAGCTATGTCACAGTGAATAGATGGTGCCATCTTTCTTAACCTTCCTCATCTCTACACATAGCAATGGATTGTTGTAGAGCTCAGATTAGATAAAGTGGCAGGATATGCCCTATAACTGCAACCAAGAAAGGACTAATAGTTCCTAGTGTAAAATTCCCTGTATCATTTCTTTACCCCAAAACGGGGAAGGGTGACCTTTATTGCCTCTACATATATCTGTCTGGGCCATGGCCTGTGCACTTGTGCATGTAAAAGGGGCCCCTGGGAGCGGTGGGACACACTATACCTACTCATACTGTGTCCGGAATTGGTGGGTTCTTGGTCTGACTGACTTTAAGAATGAAGCCGCGAACCCTCACGGTGAGTGTTACAGTTCTTAAAGGTGGCGTGTCCAGAGTTTGTTCCTTCTGATGTTTGGATGTGTTCAGAGTTTCTTCCTTCTGGTGGGTTTGTGGTCTCGATGGCTCAGGAGTGAAGCTGCGGACCTTCGCAGTGAGTGTTACAGCTCATGAAGGCAATGTGGACCCAAAGACCGAGCAGCAGCAAGATTTATTGCAAAGAGCGAAAGAACAAAGCTTCCACAGTGTGGAAGGGGACCAGAGCGGATTGCCACTGCTGGCTTGGGCAGCCTGCTTTTATTCTCTTATCTGGCCCCACCCACATCCTGCTGATTGGTCCATTTTACAGAGAGCCCAGTGGTCTGTTTTGACATGGTGCTGATTGGTGCGTTTACAATCGGTGAGCTAGACCCAAAGTTCTCCAAGTCCCCACTAGATTAGCTAGATACAGAGTGTCCACACAAAGGTTCTCCAAGTCCCCACCAGAGTAGCTAGATAGAGAGTGTGGATTGGTGCATTCACAAACCCTGAGCTAGACACAGGGTGCTGATTGGTGTGTTTACAAACCTTGAGCTAGATACAGAGTGCCGATTGGTGTATTTACAATCCCCTAGCTAGACATAAAGGTTCTCCAAGTCCCCACCAGACTGAGGAGCCCAGCTGGCTTCACCCAGTGGATCCCGCACCTGGGCAGCAGGTGGAACTGCCTGCCAGTCCCGCCCCGTGTGCCCGCACGCCTCAGCCCTTGGGTGGTCGATGGGACTGGGCGCAGTGGAGCAGGGGGCGGTGCTCATCGGGGAGGCTCGGGCTGCACAGGAGCCCACAGAGCTGGGGGGTGGGGGTGGGGGTGGGGGTGGGGGTGGGGGAGGCGGCTCAGGCATGGCGGGCTGCAGGTCCTAAGCCCTGCCCCTGCCCCTGCCCCTTGGGGAGGCAGCTAAGGCCCGGGGAGAAACCGAGCGCAGCGCCAGTGGGCCGGCACTGCTGGGGGACCCAGCACACCCTCCGCAGCCGCTGGCCCGGGTGCTAAGTCCCTCACTGCCCGGGGCCGGCACGGCCGGCCAGCCGCTCGGAGTGCAGGCCAGCCCAATCCATGCCCACCCGGAACTCGCGTTGGCCCGCAAGCACTCTGCGCAGCCCCAGTTCTGCTCGCGCCTCTCGCTCCACACCTCCCTGCAAGGTGAGGGAGCCGGCTCCAGCCTTGGCCAGGCCAGAAAGGGGCTCCCACAGTGCAGTGGTGGGCTGAAGGGCTCCTCAAGCGAGGCCAGGGTGGGCGCGCCAAGGCCGAGGAGGCACCAAGAGCGAGTGAGGGCTGTGAGGGCTGCCAGTGCGCTGTCACCTCTCAATATCAGCAGGTATAGTCTGCTAATTTACTTGTACACTGCAAACTTCTAGAGGCTCATCTGTCATCTCTGTATCTTCAGTGTGTGAAAGAGTTCAAGACATATTATAGGAAATAATTTAATGGTTGTGATATTGTGAAGTGTGTATTTGGTCTTCTTCCCTGTTTCCTGGTATACAACCCCTAAAATCCATGGAATCTCCAAAGTGATGTGTCCTTTTGTTTGCTAATGAGTTGATTGGTGGCTGGTGGTCCTAGGTAGTTTCAGGACCAAGGCAGGATTAGAGGGCTGGAATTTTTCAGCCTTCTCCCCACACCCTGCCACCTCCAGGGAGGGGACAGGGGCTGAAGGTTTAGTTGATCACCAATGGTTTCATCAGTCATGACTCTGTAATGAAGGCTCCATAAAAACAAAAAAGGACTGGGTTCTGAGACTTTCCAGGTTCTTGGAGGGTGGCATGACTGTGGAGGACATAGAAGCTCCACTCTCCTTCCCACATGGCTTGTTTTATGTATCTCTTCATCCATATCCTTTGTAATATCCTTAATAACAAACTGGTAAATAAACCTGAGTTCTGTGAGCTGCTCTAACGAATTAATCAAACCTGAGGAGGGAGCGTGGGAATCCTGATTTATAGCCAGTTGCTCAGAAGCACGGGTAAAATAACCTGGGGCTTTTGGTTGGCATCGGAAGTGGGAGGGCAGTCTTGTGGGACTGAGCCCTCATTCTGTGGGATCTGATGCTATCTCTAGGCAAATAGTCTCAGAATTGAATAGAATTAAAGGACACTCAGCTGGTTTCTGCTGCAGAGTTGCTTGTTTGCTTGTGGCGTGGGGAAAATCTACACATACCTGGTGTCAGAATTGCTTCATTGCTGGTTAAGAGAAATCCTCACACATTTTGGAGACCAGACCAGAGGTCACAGAAGTGTTCCATGTGGATTGTGTTGTGGACAGTAGAGAGTAGGAAAAATGTTTCGGTTTTTCTATATCTTTACAATGGCTTCCTTTTTTGTTAAACAGACCAATGAATGAAGATGATATGAGAACATGGAAGCCTCAGACCCGTTGGCAATGCTCCTTCTCCCCCTCCTCCTTCTCTTCCTCCTATTCTTTGATATGTTTTGCATGTTTACCTTGATGCATTCCTGACCTCTCTTCCTAGACCCAAGTTTGAACAGGTTAGAAAATACATGTTTACAAGGCTTTCAAAATCTTCCTAAGTGTAAGTGGATGATTCACATCAGGGCAACCTGAGACTGATCTCTCCACTTTGAATGTTCCACCAGCCATGTGGAAGAAAGATCATCTTAGGGCATGCCTGCAGACTTACAATTTCACAGAAATTCGAACCTGTAAAAGGACAGTACCATTCCCTATTATATTCCCACATTCCTAGCACACAGTAATCGTCAATAGGTATTTGATGGATACTTTTTTTTTTCATCTCACTGAACTACTGATACTTTCTCTTTTCAGTATTCACAATACTGGCCTTTTTAGTGCATATCAGTGTAATTTAAAGAGTAGAGTGTAAAATTTTCTCTTCCTTTGATTTTGAAAATCTACTGCTATTAAATCTGCCGTTAGGGTGACCCTAACTTAGACTTCCTGGGTTTGGTTATTAGCTCTTCTTGCATCTGTCCTAAATATTGGTGGTTCCTAGGATTTAGTGTGATGCCAGCATCTCACCCACAGTCTATGGTGCTTGAGCTATTACACCATTCCAGTGGCATCAACAGTTTGTTACCCTTGATGGCTACCACCTGACCTTTTCTCCTGAGTCTCAGACCTCTATTTTAGCTATCTTCTGGATACATTTGCCTGGAATCCTTACAGGCACCTTAGACTCAGCCTGTCTCTGAAGAAGCACCTCTACATGCTATTTCTTCCTTATGGCAGCTGTCAAATATTGAGAAATATTTCTCTGAATGTATGTCTTAAAATGTAACAAAAGATGTCATTTATTTTTTAATATGCCTAGACTCTGTGTGAAAGGTTAATGAATACTACAAATGGTTGCTTCTGGGGAGGAAGAAAGGTTACTTTGTGTTGTTTATCTTTTGATATCTTTTAAATTTTATGCCACAGACAGGTACACTTCTTTATACAACGATAATAGTGTAATGAAAAGGAAAGGGAAATATTTATCATAAAAATTCACATACCAAAAACTGACCACTTGAGAACTCACCTATAAGGGAACTGGCCCATTTCCTTTCAAAGTATACTTTGCTGAAAGTGAGACAGAAGATAATTTATTCATGAGTACTTGCTCCTTTTAAACAAGCTTGTTCAAAGGCTGTGGTATTGTTTCAAGTTCTCTTGAACACAAAGTCAAGGGTTGTGAACTTTAAGCCACCTGAATTTAAATACTGAGTGCATGTATCACACGCATATGTGCACTGTTATTCATTCAAAAACATTTCTCAGTGCCAGGCACTGAGTTAAGATCTGAGGACACAGAATTAAATAACTCAGAGTTCCTGTACTCAAATCGCTCACAGTTTAGAGGCCCTATTGATACGGAAGGCCAGCAGGGAAGTGCTAGGTAGAGGAGGGCTATGGTCCCCGGCTAGGGTTCCGTTCCCGGCTAGGGTTCCATCCCCAGGCCTGCGCCCACAGACCTAGGTGAGGACAGGCATTTATGTTTTCCTGCCCAAATGTTGCATTTCCCAAGACCACCCTGGCCGGCCACGTCCCCATCCTGTGCCTATAAAACCCCCTGAGACCCTACCAGGCAGAGACACAAGCAGCTGGACGTCAAGAGGAGCACACTGGCGGAGGAACACACAAGCAGCTGGACGTCGAGAGCACATCGACAGGCACCAGCAGGCCATCGACAGGTGGAACAACGTGGGGTTTGGACGGGGTGGTCAGAGGAGAGCCCGGCTGCTGAGTGACCTGACTCCAACAGGAAAACCATCTTCCTACTCTGTCTCCCTTCTGGCTCCCCCATCTGCTGAGAGCTACTTCCACTCAATAAAACCTTGCATTCATTCTCCAAGCCCACGTGAGATCCAATTCTTCGGGTACACCAAGGCAAGAAACCCCAGGGTACAGAAAGCCTTCTGTCCTTGAGATAAGGCAGGGAGTCTAATTGAGCTAACGCAGGCTGCCTACAGATGGCTAAAATAAAAGAGCACCTGAAAAAGTGAGCCACACCCCCATCTCATGCCCTGCATGGGGGACAAGGGAACTTTTCCGGTTTCAACATGAAATGATGTGTTATTGTGCAGGCGATATCTGGGGCATCTGGCCTTGCTGTGAACAGAAAGGGTTTAGGCAGCCAGGTGAGGCTTTCTGAAAGACAGGGTCTGTGCTCTTAAGGTGGAGCTGAATTAGGAGAGAGAGGAGGTGAGCAGGAGCAAAAACACTGAGATCTGGAATGCCGAACTGTAAACTAGGGAGAGGAGCAATTTGGAGTTGTCAGAGCTTGTGTGAGGTAGCTAATGATGACTTTAGATGCGTCATCTTCCTAACTGAATTCAAGAACTCTGGCTGTGTGTGTGTGGTGGGTGTGTGTGTTATGTGTTTAAACCAGGGAATGTCTTATGTGCCTAATATTTTTATTTCCTGAAGAGTTTTAGTTTAACTTTTGCACTGCCTAAAGTCATGTCAATTGATGTAAGTCTTTCTAACCTTTGAGTAAACCCATAAAACCTCTGAATTTTATATAAAATTGTGCGTATATGCATGTGGACATTTTCCCAGGGTGAGAGTCCAGATAGCCTCATCAGTGGTTTCCCAAAAAGGATCTCTCTCTCTCTCTTTCTTTCTTTCTCTTTCCCTCTCTCTCTTTCTTGCTTTCTTTCTCTCTCTCACACACACACATGTGCGTGTGCACACAAACTCAAGACATGGACACTTCATTAGTTATAAACTTTTAAAATACAGATAACTCTGGAAGGATTAAAAAAACCTCTTATTTATTCCAGCCATTCCCAAACATTGAGCATTCCACTGCCAATGCATGAGAAACACTTTACCCATCTGAAGGGTAATACATTTACCAGCTGAATACATTTCTGGTGGCTTCATATTGGTTGATTATTCCAGGACGCATAGACTACACTATTTTTATACCTAGTAGCTATTGTACAAATTCATATAAACCCTTGGATTAAAGGTGTTTAGGATATAGAGCTATATCATTCCATGGAATCCTTCTGTCATTTTTACTGAGCCACAAAGTCCTCCCAGAAGCTGGGGAGTTTACTGTGTAAGCTTTCCTCATCTATGTGTGGGCTGTATAAACACAGCCTGTTAGCATGTATTTGAAAGTAAGTAGGTAATCTTGGGGGAAAACTATACTGCATAAATTGGGTTAGAAATGTATTTCCTTTCTTCCTAAACCACACTTAGTTTCTTTCAATGCTGTTTTTTTAAAGTCCTTTTAGTTTGTTTGAAAAATAAGTTACAGAACTATTTCTAACAGAAGATTGATTTTTTCTGCCTGTCACGATGTACCTACAAGGAAAGGGAAATGAGAATGTGTGTGAGACACAAACACATTATCTGAGCAATGATAAGCATAGTCATTTCCTAAATTAACTGACAGTTATGTTCTTCCTTTCCCCAGCTAGTTAATTATGTCAGAGCATTTCAAGTTTATTATGACTCTGGCAATGAAACTGACAGGAAGAAAATAATACAATGGATGAGTTTAATTCTGAGAGATACCATACAGAAAAGAAAACATAATGGACTTTGTCTTAATGAACTGACAACTTTCTCTTCTTTGGTAAAATCTTCCTTCTTGCTTACCTATACTTATGACACATGTTCAACTGAAAATTGCAAGATAAACATATACAACATGTACATTATGGGAAAATTGATTTTATACATTCCAAGAAAATACACAGTTGCAAAAGAAGAACACAGAAGCAGTCAAGGAATGATGCCTAGGGAATGTTTCGTAAAAAGTATTTTGAAGCAAGGTGTGTACATGGATTGAAAAAGAGTAAAGCAAGAAATTTTTTTAAATGGGAGAATGAGTGTAATGGATGGAAGTGGGAACAACAGTGATGATCACAGAAGGTATATGGTTTGCTAAACAGGACTGAGGGATGAGTGTTGCAGAGCAGAGAGAAATGCTGAATGTGGAATAGTTTGCAAGAGGTTTTAACTGTTAGGAAAATGTGGCAAACTGTTCTGTTTGTTTCTAGGCCAAGCATATAATGTAAGCCTTTTGAACGATTCCTGTGCATTGTCAACAGAGCCTGACCCTGTATTTCACATATTTTCTAGATATTTAAGAAACAATACAAAATAACAGCCATTTGAATACTGCTCTGAGGCTTAGGCCACAAAATTCCAGGGAAGGAACTGATATTTGGAACAACATCAAAGACCTTACACAATTTCCAAAGTAAGATTAACTAAATTTACTGTAATTTATTGAAACCACTGTTCCATATCTGCAAGTTAAAGTGAACCTCAAATTAAACAATTATAAGAAAAAGGTAATGTTTTAGCTCTTGAAACTTTCCAAGGACAATGAATAAAATAACTGGAAATTCAAGTTTGGGCCGAAGTTTAAAGACTTTTGTTTGGGCCGGGCGCGGTGGCTCACGCTTGTAATCCCAGCACTTTGGGAGGCGAGGCGGGCGGATCACGAGGTCAGGAGATCGAGACCATCCTGGCTAACACGGTGAAACCCCGTCTCTACTAAAAAAAATACAAAAAAATTAGCCGGGCGTGATGGTGGGCGCCTGTAGTCCTAGCTAGTCGGGAGGCTGAGGCAGGAGAATGGCGTGAACCCGGGAGGCGGAGCTTGCAGTGAGCTGAGATTGCGCCACTGCACTCCCGCCTGGGCCACAGAGCGAGACTCCGTCTCAAAAAAAAAAAAAAAAAGACTTTTGACACCCAATCTCTCTTTGCAGCAATAGCTGCCAAAGTTGTGACTACCAGTAATGTTCTTAAATACTGCCACCTGCTGGAAGTTCTCTAGAAATACTGTGCACAATGTTAAATGAGTGCTTCCAACATTTTCTATTTCAGTCCGAACGTATTCATCTCTATTCTTTCCGTGAAATCATTCACAGCTAGAGACAAAGGGAACTGGAAAATGTAGCAGCAGTGCTGAAAATTTGTATTTTTCTGTTAATTTATGATTTTTTATTGATTTTCATAAGCTTAAAATTGTTGTTTTGCTTATCTTCTCATTAGACGTCGAGTTACTAAGAAGATAAGTTTAAGACTGAGACATATAGTTCAACCAAGACTCCACTACTTGCTAACTTTGTAGTTTTAGGTAAATTGCTTAAACCTTCTAAGCCTCAGTTAACTCTTTTATAAACTGGAAAATTCTGAAGATTAGCGTTACTAAATGTAAAACACTAGTACCTAGTATGCATTTAATTACGGTTGTTTATGGAAACTATGATAATAAAGACAATAGTTTGGAGATTTGAAACGGCTCTTATTGGGGGAGGCATTTGGGATCTTAATCCAAGTCTTTTGTGTGGTGGTGGTGGTGGTATAGCTTCTGCAAGGCCAATGTGCAAGCTCTGATGCTCCCATTGTGGGAGCCTTGGTTAGGGATCACCAGGGAAAAAGTACTGAAGAGATAGCTATGAAGCAGTTATGATGTGCAAGAAGCATTTTGCTAGTACTCTTAGAGAACTTAGCATTGGCATCTTCCCTTGGAGCCACATACCCAGGAAACATTTGCTTAGGGCAAAATGAGGACTTTCCTTCACTCTATGCCCTGAGAGCACTCAACTTCCAACATGAGGGAAAATTGTGTTTTATGTTTCCTGTGTATGCAAGGAAATGATTAGGTGATATCTTTAAACACCAACTCCTATCCCTCCTCCCAATCTCAATGACAAAAAACAAACAAATCAGGCCAGGCATGGTCGGTGGTTCACACCTAAATCCCAGCACTTTGGGAGGCCAAGGTGGGCAAATCACTTGAAGTCAGGGGTTTAAGATCAACCTGGCCACCATGGTGAAACCCCTTCTCTACTAAAAATACAAAAATTAGCTGGGCATAGTGGCATACGTCTTTAGTCCCTGCTACTTGGGAGGCCTGAGGCAGGAGAATTGCTTGAACCTGGGAGGCAGAGGTTTCAGTGAGCCGAGATCATACCACTGCACTCCAGTCCGGACGACAGAGTGAAACCCCGTCTCAAAAAAAAAAAAAAAAAATTAGCCAGGTGTGGTGGCGGGTGCCTGTAATCCCAGCTACCTGGGAGGCTGAGACAGGAGAATCGCTTGAATTGGGGAGGCGGAGGTTGTAGTGAGTTGAGCCACTGTACTCCAGCCTGGGTGACAGAGTAAGTGAGACTTTATCTCAAAAAACAAAAATAATAAATAAATAAAAATGTTTATTCATGTTCCTTATATATGGCCTTTTGAGTTTCTACAAGGTGATATCTACTTTATCAACAAACTGAATGTCCTTTAAGCCCTTTGATTTCAGTTTTATAAGATAGTTGTCTTCAAGTTCTTGTTAGTTTTGCGCAATCTAGACCTCATACCACCTATGGTTAACTGACCAAAGGCACTATTTGTGAAGATCTGTCTGAAGCAGGTACAGGCACAAAAACAAGGCCAAAGCTGAGAGTAGAAAAAAATCACAATTCAACATTAAAGTGCTGGGGCATTTGAGGAACGAAAGTCTTTGTTGGCACATTGCTTTCACACTTACCTGGGATATTCTGCTCCCAGATATGTTCTGGGAACCTCAGGAGTATTTGACTAGCCTGACCCATGCTTGGTCATCAATTCTGGATGAAAAGTATCTACTCATAATCTGAGCATTTAATGGTTCTTGGATATTGTATCTTTTTTTGTTAAGTGGGGCTGTTTTTTCCTGTTTCTTTAATTTTGATACCAGTTTTCACAGACAAAAAGCTGCTCATTTTCTAGGAGCTAACTTACTTTTAATGGCTTAATTTATATTTATGGAATAAAGCAGACAACTGAACTTATTCTTTGATACTGTCATTTTTTTTTCATAATATAAATTGCCCTTCAGCCTAGACAAAACAGCTGAAGCCAATCTTGAGTTACCTATCTTGGGATTAAAGTGACTATAGTAGTGGTGGTAAAGCAGACAAGTTTCATCTAGCTCTTTTGTCCTGTTTTGAGTACTAAATTTTTGAAGGTTTTAGTTATTTTCATTGCCATATATCATAAATTCTGCAGAGTAAAGAATTCTGGCCATTGGAGAACATTGTTTTACATCCTTAATTACTGTACATTAATCTCTTATGGACTCAGTCAACTTTAAACTCTACTTCACAGGGATTGTTAGAAGAGGCAGCTAAGAAAGGTGAGCCTAGAAAAATCCTTTGTCTGGCCTCTCAGTAAATAGGTCTGGAGAACTGACTTACTGATAGAGAAAGAAGGGATACTCTACCTGTCCTCAGAATCCATTCCTCTTTTGCCCAGTAGTGTATTCTCTGTGTCTAGTACAGGGCTTGGAAAACAATGTATTTTCAAATAATGTGTTTGTTTGAATAAATGAGATGAATGGTATTAACAGCCCTCTGCCTTTTAAAAAGCAGCAAAATAGTGACCACCATTGATTTCTGAATCTCCAGATCTCATCACTGGAAAGTTCTCTGACCTATTTCTAGCAGAGAAAATGATTTTCTTGCTCATCATTTTTGGGAGTGCTCTTCTCTTGCCATGCCAGGCATATTCCTCTTCCCAATCAGTCAGAGATCACATGTGGAGCTATTCTTGGATTTTGAAACCATCGGCCCTTGCCAAGGTGTGTGGAATGGCTGCAAAATTATATAACTCTGTATGCATCCACCTTTCTGTTGCAATGTGCCCTTCGTCTCACTCTCTTTAAGGACGGATCTTTATGGCTGGCCCTGAACACAAAAGTAAAATTTGTTTTGTGTTCCTATAAATGAATCTTTGGGGATTAAAGAATCTAGTTTGCAGTCATTTTCTTCTCTGTTTCCTATTCTTATTTTTGTTTTGTTTTGTTGTTCTTTTGTACTTCACTTAAGTTCTCTTGATTCTTCACTCTTAAGTAACTCAGATGTCCCCACTTTTTTTTTTTTTTTTTTTTTTTTTTTTGAGATGCTCTGTCACCCAGGCTGGAGTGCAGTGGCACAATCTTGGCTCACTGCAACCACTGCCTGCTGGGTTCAAGCAATTCTCCTGCCTTAGCCTCCCAACTAGCTGGGACTACAGGCGTGTACCACAATGCCAGCCTAATTTTTTGTATTTTTAGTAGAGATGGGGTTTCACCATGCTGGCCAGGCTGGTTTTGAACTCCTGACTTCATGATCAGCCTGCCTTGGCCTCCCAAAGTGCTGGGATTACAGGCATAAGCCACTGCACCTGGCCCAGTGTCCCCACTTTTTAGTCTCTGTTTCTAAAGCCAGCCTCCCTCTTCAGTCTACTTCAGATCAGTTGCCTTGCAATAAGAACCATCAAGGAAGACAGTGCCTTTAGAAGACTTCTGAAATTGTATTGATAGCCATTTCATTCCATTCTTATTTCCACATCAAATTAAATAAGAAACAACTATTACTCCCCTATCATCTAGTGCACCTTAGCTCAAAGGCATCACAGAACCTACATTTGCTAAAAACTTCTAACTTGAGGCTTGCTAATGCTGGTCTCTGGGGTCACACAGATGATGCAAAACCCAGTCAGTCAGGATGGGATTGAGGAGATTATTCTCCATTGAAGTCCACCCAGGTGGTCAACTGCAGATTTAGGTTGGGTTTGGAGTGGAAGGTCTTCACAGAATGGAGTGCCTTAACAAGCTAAGGATATTAGAATTAATTGAAAAGTGGCAAATAATTACTGCCTCCTTTCACTTCTTGTATCTTTGTTTGATGTCTTTCAAAATTTTTGGAAAATTCTGTTATTATTTCTTTACATATTTCTCTAGACAAAGAGCTTGGCATATTCATAGAACAGAAAGGCTGTCAAAGTCACTGGTACAGAATGAGCAAGGGAAGAGTGATGAGATGAGGAGGGTGGGCATGGACCAGGTTATACAGGTCCTTGTAGGCTAATAGTAAAGATTTCAATGTTATTTGTCCTTTTTATTATGGAAATTTTCAAATGTACACCAAAATAGAGTTATGTAACTACTTCCAATATATACATCACCAGTTCCAGTTACCTTTTTCCTTTCTGCCTTTATTTACTTTCCTCCAACATACTAGGTCATTTAATAGCAAAATAAAGACATAGTTTTATTTGTAAATATGTTAGTATCATTGAAAGATAGGAATTCTTTTTTTTTTGACGGAGTCTCACTCTGTTTCCCAGTGCCCAGGCTGGAGTGCAGTGGAACCATCTTGCGGCTCACTGTAAACCCCACCTCTTGGGTTCAAACGAGTCTCCTGCCTCAGCTCCCAAGTAGCTGGGATTACAGGCATATACCACCACACCCGGTTAATTTTTGTATTTTCAGCAGAGATAGGGTTTCACCATGTTGCCCAGGCTGGTCTTGAACTCCTGAGCTCAAGCTGTCTGCCTGCCTCAGACTCCCAAAGTGCTGGGATTACAGGTGTGAGCCACCGCGCCTGACTAGGAATTCTTAATATAACTACAATTTCATTATTACACTTAGCATTAATATTGTTAAAATATTAACAATAATTTTTAAATATCATCAAGTATTGTCAGTGTTCAAATTTTCCCAGTTGTCTCGTAATTTATTTTCAGTGTGTTTTTGTTTTGCATCACATTAGAAATAAGCTTCATACAACATTGCCACTGGTTACTATGTTTCTCAAATATTTTTTAATCTATAGGGCTTCTCTCCATTACTTTTTTCCCACTCTTGCAATTTATTTGTTGTAGAAACTGAATTTTGCTGATTGCATCTCTATGGTGTCATTTTATATATTTCTGTAATTTCAGTAAATTGGTAGTTAGATTTAGAGTCGATTTGGAATAATAATAATAAGTTTATTATTATTATTTTGTCAAGCATACTTGATAGATTTTTTGCACTTCCATAGAAAGGTATATCTTGCCTGGTTAGTTTTCTTATTTGTGATTTTAGAAGCCCTTATTAATCATTACCTAAATCCATTAATTCATTATAGTTTACAAAAAAATTCTATCATTCCTTTCTGTTTTATTAGCTGGAATATTTCTGTATTTCTATACAGAGAAACCTATCCTCATTAGTCATTTAGTTACCTTAAAGTATAATTTATATAGAAAAAGCAGGATAAAATTTGATTTTTTTCCCTTTACGTACTCGTTTTCAAAATAATGACTTTGTTGCATATTATCCTCCAAAGTTGGCCAATGAGTTTGCTTGTTTGTTTGAATATTATTATAAACCATAGGTTTAATACATGTGATGTGATTGTATTTATTGTTCTATTGATGCTCTAATTGTCTAATTTCAGGGCAGTGGGAATCTCTTCAGGTTGGCCAGTGAGTCCTTTGGCATGATCTTGGCATTCCTTCTTTTCTGATTCAACAAGATAGTTCAAGTTTATTTTGTAAATTTCTTGCTCTAGCTTTGGAATCAGTCCTTTCTCCAGGAACCCCACTTTCCATATAGTGGAAAATCATCTTTAGAGACCACAACATGGGCACTAAAGTACTCATTACTACTAGGTTAGTAGTAGTTCTAGTACTACTCATTAGTTCTAGGCCTTTGCTGAGGACAGAGTTAAGGAACCCTTGAAATAATTTGTGTTTTAGGGTAAAATTCATCATAGGTTCACACCAGTATTTTCAATTAATATTCAGGAAGACAGAACTTTAATTTTACTTAATTAACCTTATGTTTGTAGCTACTTTTTCTCATGTTGAAATTCCTATTTGTTAATGACACAAATATATTTGCTTTATCCTATATGACACACTCAATGGTCTCAGAATGACAATATCACCACTACCATCAACAATAAGAATTACAGAGAATAGTTAATGTGTTTTTTCAGGTTTTATTTGTCTTTAGACTATTTGTCATTAAGGATGTTCAGAAAAGATTACTGTGTTCGAAAATTACTTGTACCTATTCATATAACTAATATATAATATTTATGTATGTATAAAACATTTAAAGCATTCACTGGCCAGGTGCGGTGGCTCACAGCTGTAATCCCAGCACTTTGGGAGGCTGAGTGGGGTGGATCACGAGGTCAAGAGATCAAGACCATCCTGGCCAACATGGTGAAACCCTGTCTCTACTAAAAATACAAAAATTAGCTGGGCATGGTGGCACGTGCCTGTAGTCCCAGCTACTCAGGAGGCTGAGGCAGGAGAATTGCCTGAACTTGGGAGGCGGAAGTTGCAGTGAGCCGAGATCGCGCCACTGCACTCCAGCTTGGTGACAGAGCAAGGCTCTGTCTCAAAAAAAAAAAAAAAAAAAACTTTGTAATTTAGCATTCCATTGATTTTTTAAAAATATATCTAGACACAAACACATACTCTGTTTTCAGATAATGGTAGCATAGTGTACAAGTTTTTCATTACTTTGTTTTTACTCCATAATATATCCTACGTAATTAATAGATTTATAGAGATATGGCTTATGCCTTTTTCACATCTTCAGAGTATTCCATTGTGTAAGGATACATTATTTAATCAGTCCAGTCCCCTCTTGATGGACATTTGACTCTTTCTAGTATTTTAATATTATAAATAATGATTCATTGAAGAATCTTGGAGAAGACCTAAGATAGTTGACTAGATGCAGCCAGGAAGAGCATCTCCCATAGAGGGACTACCAGCACACTCTGAGCAGATATTTGAAGGGAAGACATTAAGAGAGTGGAAGGAAGGAAGGAAGACGCAGACCCTGGGCTGAAGCGGGAGGAAGCTGGAAACCTTGCCCAGGGCAGTGAAACACCAAGGCTTGCTCCTGGCCCTCTGCAGTTCCTGGGGGAAGAGATAAGTTAAATAGGTAAGCAGTGGCCGACTCTTGCCATGGACCTCCAGACTCCTAGCTTCAGGAGACTCTTATGACCCCCACAGAAACTTGAGCTGATAGGAGAGCTACTTGGAGAGGTGGCAGGGACAGTATTCCAGCCTGTGCAGAGCCAAGGGGGGTTGGCATAGGAATAGAGGCAGTGGAGCACGGCCAGGGGCATTCATCCCCAAGGCTCACTACACTCCCCTAGGTGGCTTTGGCCTTTGTTTCCTGTCATACCTGGACAGAGTGGCACGGTTTTGCCCATGGGATGGGGCTAGTATGATCTGTGCACTCCCTTGCCTCCCAGTCTCTCCCAGCATGCCTGCCTGGCCGTGCCCATTTGCAGCACAGCCTTGGATGCCCAACTAGGGTGCTTCCTGGTGGCAGCTGCCATAGCTACTTCACCGGCAGACCCCACCTAACAATCAGGGAGCTTCAGCAGATGGGCCTTGCTGGTGCACACCCACCTACAACCTTCCCTCACCCCTTTGGCAGTGTGCACATGCACAGACTTCACTGCTCAGTTGTCACTGGCATGTGTGTGTGGACCTCCTGCTGCTGCCCCGCTCCCTCTGGCATGTGTGGACACTGCCTCATTGCAGCCACCTTTGTGAGCACTCATGAAAGGATGCTATCTCCCCACCCTTGTGAGCACATGTATACCCCATCATGCTGATGCTGCTGGCAGTGCATGCATACTCTGCTGCCACCACCCTGATGATGTGCTTTTGCTGGCACCCCCCATCAGAGTGTTGTCAGCAGACCAGAGCACTTCAGCCCGTCCTGCATAGCAGGTGCTTAACCTCAAGTGGACAGAGAACAAAGCTGTGGGCCTGCTACCAGCCCCCCAGGGTTAGCATGCAGCCCACAGTTGCTGAGCTGAGCGTTGGCCATCTGAAATCATTCAGAAATGAAGCCGGCTGACTGAACTCAACTTATACCGCAGTCAAAACTTCAAGGTCTTCAGAAAATATAAAAGCAAAAAGCTCCATCCAAAGTTTACCAACTTTAAAGGTTAAAGGAACATCAGCCTGCATAGATGAGAAAGAACCAGCACAAGAACTCTAGCAACTCAGAAAGCCAGAGTGTCTTCTTATCTCCAAATGATTACACTGGCTTCCCAGCAATGGTTCTTAACCAGACTGCCATGGCTGAAATGACAGAGATAGAATTCATAATCTGGATAGTAATGAAGATCATCTAGATTCAGGAAAAAGTTGAAACCCAACCCAAGAAATCTAAGGAATCCAATAAAATAACACAAGAATTGAAAGATGCAATAGCTATTTTAAGAAAGAAACTGATCTGCTAGAGCTGAAAAACACACTGTAAGAATGTCATAATACAATCATAAGTATTAACAACAGAATAGACCAAGCTAAGGAAAACAATCTTTTTTTTTTTTTTTTTGACAGAGTCTCGCTTTGTTACCCAGGCTGGAGTGCAGTGGCGCATCTCCGCTCACTGCAATCTCCACCTCCACAGTTCACGCCATTCTTCTGCCTCAGCCTCCCTTGTAGCTGGGACTACAGGCACCCACCACAACACCCAGCTAATTTTTTGTATTTTTTTTTAGTACAGACGGGGTTTCACCGTGTTAGCCAGGATGTTCTCGATCTCCTGACCTTGTGATCTGCCCGCCTCTGCCTCCCAAAGTGCTGGGATTACAGGCATGAACCATGAAGACTGGTTCTTCTAATCAACTTAGGCAAAAATAAATAAAAAAGAACAAAAAACAATAAAACCTCCAAGAAATATGGGATTATGTGAACAGACCAAGGCTATGACTCATTGGTGTCCTTGAAAGAGAGGGAAAGAGAGCAAACAACTTGGAAAACATATTTGAACATATTGTCCACAACATTTCCACAAAATGTCCCTAACCTCACTAGAGAGGTTGACATTCAATTTCAGGAAATTCAGAGAACCCCTGTGAGACACTATATACAAGATGACCATCCCCAAGACACATACATACTCATTAGATTCTCCAAGGTCAATGCAAAGGAAAAAATATTAAAGGCAGCTAGAGATAAGGGGCAGGTCACCTGCAAAGGCAACCCCATCCAGCTAACAGTGGACCTTTTAGCAGAAACCCACAAGCCAGAAGAGATTGGAGGCCTATATGCAGCATTCTTAAAGAAAAGAAATTCCAACCAAGAATTTTATATCCAGTCAAACTAAGCTTCGTAAGTGAAAGAAACAAAATCCTCTTCAGAAAAGCAAATGCTAAGGGAATTAATTACCACCAGACTTGCCTTACAAGAGGTCCTTAAAGGAATGCTAAACATGGAAACAAAAGACTGTTACTGGCCACCACAAAAACACACTTAAGTACATAGACCATTGACCCTATAAAGCAACCACACAAGCCTGCATAACAACTAGCTAACAACAGTATGATATGATCAAATCTGCTCATAACAATATTAACCTTGAATGGAAAATAAACACTCCACTTACAAAAACACAGAATGGCAAGTTGGGTAAAGAAGCAAGACTCATCTGTACACTGTCTTCAAGAGATCCATCTTACATGCAATGACACCCATAGGCTCAAAGTAAAGAGATGTAAAAAAATTTACCAAGCAAATGGAAAATGAAAAAGATCAGGGGTTGCTTTTCTAATTTCAGACAAAACAGACTTCAGACCAATAATCAAAAAAGAACCAAAGAGGGACATTGCATAATGATAAAGGTTCAATTTAACAAAAGACTTAACTATTCTAAATATATATGCACCAACGCAGGAGCACCCAGATTGATAAAACAAGTTCTTCAAGACCTACAAAGAGACTTAGATAACAACACAATAATAGCGGGAGACTTCAACACCCCACTGACAGTGTTAGACAGATCATCAAAGCAGAAAACTGACAAAGATATTCAGGACCTAAACACGATACTTTACCAGATGGGCCTAATGGGCATTTATAGAACATTCCACCCAGCAACAACTGAATATACATTCTTCTCATCTGCACATGGCACATGCTCTAAAATTAAGTATATGCTTAGCCATAAAACAATTCTTGACAAATTCAAAGAAACCAAAAACATATCAACCACACTCTTGAACCACAGCACAATAAAAATAAGAATCAATATTAAGAGGGTCTCTCAGAACTATACAATTATGTGGAGATTAAACAACCTACTCCTGAATGACTTGGATAAACAATGAAATTAAGGCAGAAATCAAGAAATTCTTTTAAACAGTGAAATTAAGGCAGAAATCAGATTCTTTAAAACGAATGAAAACAAACATACAACATACCAGAATATCTGGAACACAGCTAAAACAGTGCAAAAAGGGAAGTTTACAGTGCTAAATCACCACATCAAAAAGTTAGAAAGATCTCAAACTGACAACCTAACATCACACCAAGAAGAACTAGAAAAACAAGAGCAAACCAACCTCAAAGCTAGCAGAAAAAAACAAATACCCAAAATCTGAGCTGAACTGAATCAAACTGAGATGCAAAAAGCCATACAAGGCCAGGCATAGTGGTTCACATCTGTAACCCCTGCACTTTGTGAGGCAGAGGTGGGTGGATAACTTGAGCCCAGAAGTTTAAGACCTGTCTGGGCAACATGGAGAAACTCTGTTTCTACTAAAAATATAAAAATTAGCTGAGTGTGGTGGCACATGTCCATAGTCCCAGCTACTCAGGAGGGTGAGATGGGAGGATCGCTTGAGGCCAGTAGGTGGAGGATGCAGTGAGCCAAGATCATGCCACTGCACTCTAGCCTGGGTGACAGACTGAGATCTGTCTCAAAAAAAAAAAATCAATGAAACAAAAAATTGGTTCTTTGAAAGAATAATTAAGATTGATAAACCACTAGTTAGACTAATAAAGAAAAAAGAGACAATCCAAATAAACACAATCAAAAATGATTATCATTGACCCCACAGAAATGGAACACAGTATCATTCAGAGACTATTATGAACACCTCTGTGCAAACCAACTAGGAAACCTAGAAGAAATGAATACATTCCTGGAAATATACAACCTGGTAAAGATTGGACGAGGAAGAAATTGAAACTTTGAACAAAACAAAAATGAGTTCCAAAATTGAATCAGTAATAAAAGCCTACTAAGAAAAAGTCCTGAAGTAGATGGACTCACAGCTGTATTCTACCAGGTGTATAAAGAAGAGCTGGTACCAATCCTACTGAAACTGTTTTTAAAAATTGAGGATGACAAACTCCTCTCTAACTCATTCTATGAGGCTGGTATCATTCTGATAGCAAAACCTGCCAAACACCCAACAACCACAAAGTAAAACTTCAGGCCAATATCTCTGATTACCATAGGTGCAACAACCCTCAACAAAATACTAGAAAAGCAAATCCAGCAGCATATCAGAAAGCTAATCCACCATGATTAACTAGGCTTTATTGATGTGAAAGATTGGTTCAACACACACAAATCAATAAGTATGATTCATTATATGAAAATAACTAAAAGCAAAAACTACACAATCATCTCAATAGACACAAAAAGGCTTTCAATAAAATTCAACATCTCTTCATGTTAAAAATGCACAACAAACTAGGCGTTGAAGGAATGTACCTCAAAACAGTAAGAGCCATCTATGACAAACTCACAGTCAACATCATACTGAATGGGCAAAAGCTGGAAGTATTCCCCTTGAGAACCAGAGCAACCAGGGAAGAGAAAGAAATAAAAGGCATCCAAATAGGAAGAAAGGAGGTCAAACTATCTTTGCAGATGATATGATTCTATACCTAGAAAATCCCATAGTCTCTTCCCCAAAACTCCCAGATCTGATAAACAACTTCAGCAAAGTTTCAGGATACAAAATCAATGCACGAAAATCGCTAGCACTCCTATACGCCAGGAACATCCAAGCTGAGAGCCAAATAAAAAAACTTATTCCTATTCACAGTAGCCAAAAAAATAATAACATATATAGAAATACAGCTAACCAGGAAGGTGAACAATCTCTACAATGAGAATTAAAAAACACTGCTGGAAGAAATTAGGGGTGACACTAACAAATGGAAAAATATTCCATGTTCATGGATAGGAAGAATTAGTATTGTTAGATTGGCCACGCTGCCCAAAGCAATGTGCAGATTCAATGCTATTCTTATCAAACTACCTCAATGATATTTTTTCACAGAATTAGAAAAAAGTATTCTAAAATTCATGTAGAACCAAAAAAAAAAAAAAAAAAGCCTGAATAGCCATGGCAACCCTAAGCAAAAAAGCAAAGCTAGAGGCACTTTAATACCCAATTTCAAACTATACTACAAGGCTATTGTAGCCAAAACAGCATAGTGCTGGTACAAAAACAGACACATCGACTAAGGGAACAGGTTAGAGAACCCAGAAGTAAAACCACACATGTACAACTATCTGATCTTCAACAAAATTGACAAAAAACAAGCAATGGGGAAAGAACTCCTTATTTAATAAATGGGGCTGGGATAACTGGCTTGCCATATGCAGAAGATTTAAACTGGACCCCTTACTTTCACCATATACAAAAATCAACTCAAGATGAATTAAAGACTTCCATGTAAAACCCAAAACTATAAAAATTTTAGAAGAAACCCTAGGAAATCCCATTCTGGACATAGGCCCTGGCAAAGATTTCATGATGAAGACTTCAAAAGCAATTGCAGCAACAATAAAACTCGACAAATGGTACCTAATTAAACTAAAGAGCTTCTGCATAGTTGAAAGAAACTATTAACAGAGTAAACAGAAAACCTACATACATAATGGGGGAAAATATTTGCAAACTATGCACCCAACAAAGGTCTAATATACATAATCTATAAGGAACTTAGACAAATTAACAAGCAAAAACCAAACAACCCCATTAAAAAATGGACAAAGGATATGAAGACACTTCTCAAAAGAAGACATACATGTAGCCAACAAACACATGAAAAGAAGCTCAACATTACTAATCGTTAGAAAAACGCAAACCAAAACCATAATGAGATACTATCTCACACCAATCGGAATGGCTATTATTAAAAGGTCAAAAAATAACCGATGCATGTGAGGTTGTGGAGAAAAGGGAGCACTTACACACCGCTGGTAGGAATGTAAATTAGTTCATCCTCTGTGGAAGTCAGTTTGGAGATTTTTCACAGGACTTAAAACAGAACTACCATTCAACCCAGCAATCCCGTTACTAGGTATATACCCAAACTACCATAAAGACACATACACGCATGTGTTCATCGTAGCACTATTTACAATAGCAAAGATGTGAAACCAGCCTAAATGCCCATCAATGATGGACTGGATAGAGAAAATGTGGTATGTATATACCATGGAATACTATGTAGCCATAAAAAGAAGGAAATCATGCCCTTTACAGTAACACGATGGAGTTGGAGGCCATTATCCTAAGCAAATTAATGCAGGAGCAGAAAAGTAAATACTGCATATTCTCTCACCTGGGAGATAAACACTGAGTACACATGGACGCAAAGAAGAGAACCATAGACACCAAGACCTACTTGGTGGTGGAGGGTAGGAGGAGGGTGAGGACCAAAAAACTACCTATCAAGTCCTATGCTTATTATCTGGGTGACTAAGAAATCCCATGACACACAATTTAGCCATGTAACAAACCTGCACACGTACCCCCCCGAACCTAAAATAAAAGTTGCAAAGAAAAAAAAACCAGTATTAAGCAGGTATATTTCTGTTTTTACTAATGTATCTTTGGGTTGATTCCTAGAAGTAAGACAGCTGGATTAAGGGTCAGGATTTTGTATTGTTTTCTAATCTCAATGGGCAGTCTTGAGGTATGTAGCTTTTGCCATGGTCATAGTGAAACTGGAAAAGTTCCCTTGTCCCCTTCGCAGGGCATGCGAGAGAGGGAGTGGCTAGCTTCTTCAGTGTTTCGCTGCTCACATCTCTGGGGGAGCATACAGATGGGCAGGATGTGGGGCTTCGACCCCATGGCAGTGTCTAGGGGTGAATTTTTACAGCTCCTGAAGCCCCAGTGAGTGTGTGCTACTGGGGGCTCTTAGTTTTGCTGTCTATAGGCAGCTTGTGTTAATCAGCTCAATTAGACACTCTGCCTCGTGGCAAGGACAGAGGCCTTTCTGTATCCCGGGTTCTTGCCTTGGTGTGCCTGAAGAATCGGTTCACACGTGGGCTTGAAGAATGAGTGCAAGGTTTTACTGAGTGGAAGTAGCTCTCAGCAGATGAGGGAGCCAGAAGGAAGATGGTTTTCCTCTGGAGTTGGGCTGCTGGATGGCCTGGGCGCTCTCCTCCGACTGCCCCAGCCAAACTCCGTGTCAGTCTGCCAGTCGGTTGGTGGCTTGTTGGCCTGCTGGTGCTTGTCGGTGCGTTCCTCTCAATGTCCAGCCACCTGCGTGTTCCTCCAGTGATGTGCTCCTCTCGATGTCCAGCCGTTTGTGTGTCTGCCTGTTAGGGTGTTGGGGGTTTTCATAGGCATAGGATGGGGGAGTGGCACGCCAGGGTGGTCTTGAAAAATGCAACATTTGGGCAGGAAAACAAAAATGCCTGTCCTCACCTAGGTCCCTGGTCACAAGGCAGGTGGTGGAGTCCTAGTCAGGGACCACGCCCTTCCCTATTTCCGTATCATTTAAAGGGCCCACACCAGCACTTCCCTTCCCAGCACTTCCCTTCCCCACTTCCGTATCAATAGCAGGGGTGGGATTCTTAGGACATCAGTGCTCACGGGAGTGGGACAGTGGTTTAATAAATAATATTATCTTTGGAGATAGACACATACACACACATACCACACACTCAAGCACCAGGTAAGTGAATAATGTTTCATTCAACCTTGTTTTCTCATCGCATTGATGAGAAAAAATATCGCTTCTTCCTACGGCCACTGTCGTGTGAACCTTGAGTATTCTCCCCATGTCTGCATGGGTTTTCTCTGGGTACTCAAATTTCCTCCCACATCCCAAAGATACGCACATTCAGTGAATTAGCATGTCTAAATGGCCCCTGTCTGAGTGAGTGTGAGTGTGTGTGCCTGAGTGTGCCCTGTGATGGGATGGCGGCCTATCCAGGGTGGGTTTCTGACTGGTGCCCTGAACTGCTGAGACAGACTCACCCACCTACAACCCCGAGCTGGAATAAATGGGTAGATAATTATCCTGCTTGAGTATATTAATAGTTAAAAAATGTATATATAGTTCAAATATTTTTCTATGTTTAATATTAGAAGTGCTTTGGCTCTTTATTTAGAAGTCTGGTGATGTTTTTGTGACCAGAAATTTGTTGTAGGAACTGAATCTTATTTATATCAAGTAGCTGGTGGTAAAATTGGTTTTGTTATATGTCGTTTTGTTTAAACTTTTGTTTAACAAGCAATAGGTTCAAAGAACCTATTTAAGATATAAAGTGAGGAATTAATGTGTGTGTGTGTGTATATATATATATTTTGTAAAATCACTGCCTTTTTAAAGGGTAATTTGGGAACATTTTTATCATTCCTCGGAACGAAGGATAAACATTCCTTTCCTTAAAAATAACATTGGAACATCATTTTCCAGAAATATAAGAATTCTCTCACAGTGGTTGCTATTTTACTTTTCAATGACTTGCCAAAACTAGAAAGCAGAACATATAAAATTTCATCTGGAAATGATTTCTGGGACTTATGTGGTTTTTGTGCTGCTATTCTTTTTTGTGTGTTTTTATGTTAGGAAAAGTCATAGAAGAAGCCAAATTTGGTGTAGGAGCTGAATTAGTTACTGTGATTTACTAGAGATGGACAGGGACTGTGGCAGTCTTTGGCAGGCCTCGAGGAGCAAACTGACAAAGCTGTCATTTTCACATTTAGAATTTTCCATGTGTTCACTGCCAGCCTAGAAACCCCAGGAGCGTGGTGTCCCCTACATTTTCCAATATGTGAAGATGTTCTACCCAGATCTCTCATATGATTGATTCTACAGCCCATATAGAGTCTTGCCCTGTTATTCTAGAGTCACCATTCAGAGTCATCCAATATTCTGAAGAGCTCTTTTCCTTTCATAAAGGCCTTTTCATATCGCTGAAAACAGTTAATCATCAATCTGCATTGAATATCCAGTATATAAAAGAGACTGAAATAATAAACGCCAACTTTTATTGAGTGCTTAACATGTCACAGGCATGATGCTAGTTAAGCTCTTTTCATGGATTATCTCACCTAATTTTCAAAAAGGTTTATTAGTATTTCAAAGGGGCAAAACTGAAGATCTGAAGCCTAGTACTTTTGCAATACTGTAAAGTTGCTAGTGGTAGAATGCTTTCTGATTTTGAAATCCACACTGTTAACCAAGAGACCACTTCATTAGCTAATGAGGGTTCTCTGGAGTTGCTAAAGGAAATGTCATTCATACTTTCTTGAGAGGAATGGATCATATTGCACAGGAAAGGGATGTAAGAACATATATGTATTGTTCTTACATCATATATGTGTGTGTACTAAAGCCCTGTTAGAATGATGAGCAAGGAAGGAATGAGTTTAACCTTTAAATTAGACTGACCTTGCTTCAAAACTTGGTTTCTCCACTCACTCCCAGTGCAGACTTAGATGAGTTATTCATTGCTCTGAGCCAAGTTTTCTCCACGCTTAAATAGGAATAATAATTCTCCAAAGTTTTTTTGAGAATTTGGAAATACTAATATGTGCATAAAATGATTGAAACAGTGTCTGACATATAGAAAGCAAACCCTAAAAAGTAATATATAGATAACCTTTGAGGCATTTTCAAGTCAGTGAATTTTTACGTTTGGCAAGGACCTGGGTAGTTGAAGAGGATAATATGATAGGCAATACAAGTGAAAATAAAAGAAAGCATAAAGACTTGAAAGCAGAAACAAACAAATGGTGTGTGTGTGTGTGCAACGTAAGAAAGTTTGATTTCCTATATAGAGAGTTTAGTATGCTGTGTAATGTGAGATCACATTGCTTAGTGTGTGATAGAAGCTTGGGTGTAATAGAAGCTTAGATATGATGGGAGCTGCTGTGGAATCCCCCTGCAGAGTCAAAGTCTGTCATGTTGAAACTCCACACTGTCAAAAGCAATGGTATCTTGAAGTTTGTCTGATTTAATTATGTTGACAACTTCCTAGGAAAGACACCTTCAGAGCCTGATAGAGGCAAGCAGGTGATGAGATGTCCGTTTTGTATGCTGTGCCCACCACATAGCATGATTGTAAATACTTAGTTCTCTTGAAATAACAACTGTGAAGGAGGAGTGCCATGGGGAGGTGAAACGGATGCAATGATCATTTAACTTTTTCTATGGTTCTTGGGCCTGAAAAGTAGGAACACCTCTATGTTCCTGGAAATTGAGAAAAAAAAAATGTGAATCAGAAGAGATCATATATTCCGTATTGCGACTACTCTGAGTCATATCAGTAACACAAACATTTGATAATCATTTCTTAATTAAACTTCTGAACATTTTTTGACATTTTATAAAACAATGCTTTTCCCAAACTAATTCTATTTTGAGCTATCAGAATGTATATCCTGTTTTCTTGCATTTTCACCACCAGATGGCAGTGATAACCTATTCATTCATTTCTTTCTCTTTTTTTTTTTTTTTTAATCGTTCTCTTGTTTAATGTTATTCTAGAAATGAACCAGTAGCTCTAAATTAAAAGTGATGGCCAAAAATTCCCACTTTATTTTCTACGACAAGTCAGCATGCTAGAGTCACAGTTCCCTTGTGCAAAGAAGTGAACAAAACGTGCATGGAGGGAAGCACAGGAAATATCGTGATTTTGTGTGAGAGCTGGAATGCCACTAAGTAATAAATGACTCTGGTAAATTGTAAAAGACTACCTTGGGTTGTGTATATTAAAAGTATATAAATTTCCGTGTGTGTTTGTGTCAGAGAGAGAGAGGTCTTTGGGTTTGGGGTAGAGGTTGTATAAATGTGACTTCAAAATGTCGCCTGTCATAGGCTACCCTTGTCACATTCTAGGGTTAACCCTGTTAAGGGTGAAAAAGTGAAGTTATCAAAAAATGAAGTGGGCCCTTACACAGCACAGATGTACATGACCTCGGTCTTTACTCCACTTAATCACCACTTCCTTACTCAGTTTGTCTTAATATTGCTTATTTCATTTTTCAGATATTTTCTGCAAGAATAGTTTTCTTGTTTAACTATCCTGGATTTACAAATACATGTTTCAGCTTGGAAAACAAAATTTTTTGTTTAACTTTTTGTATTTCGTAGCAATAGCAATGAAAATCTTCTAAAGATTGGGGGAAAAACCTATAATTTTTTTGGACACACTTCTTTAAACTTTGCTTGATGAGGCTGTTTTTAAATGAAACATTCACATGCAAAATTCAAGAGACCGGGAAAAATAGTCTGAAATTGATAAAGTTGTTTGTCCATTGTATTTTTAGTCAGGATTATCTGGACCATTTTTTAACATCTTGGAGTCGTCAGTTGATCTGGTTTTAGTTTCAGCTGAAAAGGACAATTTTCTGTTCTCCTTCAGTTAACCAAGACGTGGTCACAGACCAGGCAACACAGGTTTTGTCAGTGAGATACCATGGAAAGGAAAAGAGGCCTTATAATTATAATCAATAGGTCTGGGTTTGATGGTGTACTTTCAAAGACCACACATATGGCTGTGGGCATGTTTTTATCATGATCTATAAAATGGGGATAATAACGCCTATATGGGGTTCATTGAGATAAAGTCTATGATCTTTTGGCATGCACGCAATAGTCAATAGAGAGTTTTCTTTCTCTCTCAGTTTACCCCCTGGATAAAAGTAGGTTGATTCTGGCTTAAGTTACAAAGAGGAAAAGCTGTGTCTTCCACATTTGTTTCTTCCAGAAGTTTACTCCATAACCATCCACTTCCATGCCTTTCTTTGGTCTGGAATTTTCCTGATGATAAGCTAATGGGGAAAATAATTTTTTATTCTTATGCTTTTTGCAGCCTTTTAAAACACATAATATGCATCTAGAAGTTAAGCTTCTTTACTTAATTGAATAAGAAACAACATTACAAATGAATGCAACATAGTGAAGATTAAATAAGGTAATTAACAGGTCGGTGCTTTGAAACGTTTATTCTGTTATAGGATTGGAAGGATGTAAGAGCATGCTTTAATATAGAAGGTTTCTAAAAGCCTATGTCTTAAAGGGGCCTCTAAGATCCATCTCCACTAAAGAGCTTCCAACTCTGATATATATTTCTGATATATATTTCTGAGCAGATATGGTAATTGGCCTTTATGTTCTGGAATGACACAGATTTCCAAAGGCAGGCAACATTCAGTCTTTCCTACAGTTTCGGCATTGACTGATTGATATTTTATTTTCAAATAGCTTTATACTTTATTTTTGAAATAGAGGATAATGTTCCTATGGAATCTTGGCATCCTGAAGGAATAACTTGTGTTTTAAAAATTTGCTTGGGGACATTGTGGTGTTTAGGAACTCAAAAACCACATGGCACTTTGACAAACCTGTGCAATCAAACCATATTTGTTCAATGAAAGCTTTGGGTTGCCTTATTCTAGAATGTTGAATGCTCAATAGCTTCCTGACTTTGATGTGGTGAAGTTGGAGAATTTTTCATGTGGGGAGTAGTAATCACTTTCTATCTTGCAATGGTGGTACAGGAATTTGTTTTTATGGGAGATGTTCCCTTTCATCCAGGAGTTTCCCAATGCTAATGTTGGATGAGAAGCTCTGAAATCCAGTGAAGGAACCAAAATGCAGTACAGTTCTTCCCTAGTAGCTAAAGGGGGTTGGTTCCAGTACCCTCCACCCCTTGTGGATAACAAAATCTGTGGATGCTCAAGTCCCTTATACAAAATGGCATAGTATTTGCATACAACTGTGCACATCCTCTTGTATATTTTAAATCATCTCTAGATTACTTATAATACTTAATATCATGTAAATGATGTATACATAGTTGTTATACTATGTTGTTTTAAAAATTTGTATTATTTTATTATTGTATTGTTATTTTTTATATTTTTGTCCACAATATTTTCAATCTGAGGTTGGTTGAATCTGAGACATTGGAACCCATGGCTATGGAGGATTGACTGTACCTTCAGACTGAAGCATTAAGTGTACTATTTAGTAATAGTAATTGTATCTATTGGCTGAACTTTGTTTCTGCAAAGTTAGAAATCCTCCCTACCCCATATTTTGATTTATGTAGCCTAAGGCCTCTTTGTTTTAGATAGGTGTGTAGATGCTTCCCTCCCCCAAGAATTTATTCACAGGAGATGGGAAGCTGAGACTCTGTTATCACTGACGGATGCAAAGACTGTTCATCATTTTATGAGGGAAGCCAGAGAAATGAGATGGACTGGGCTTAGTGGAAAAGAACCTTAACATTTGTCCTTCGCAAGGAGTTACGTGCAATTGACATTTGTGATTGTCTTGTCGGGAGCATGTAGCCAGAGACTCCTGTGGGAAGAGATGCGCAAGAGAGAAAATATTGATAGATATGAATGTAGACACACATATACATATACCATAGGCATATCTGTATGTACATACAAAATAGTTTATCAGATCTTACTGATATATTTCCAATTAAAATTAGGGAAAGAGATGTGTGTGTCAGGGATTGTTTTTACTTTAACTACAACTACTTTCTTCTGTATCAAGAATCTTGGTTCCCATGAATGCAGGAGATAATAAAATTAGAATTTCCCGTAATTATTACTTTATCCCATGTTATAAACAGAATAGTCTTAAAATAACCATACCAAAATCTCCACCATGAAAAATTACTGAGAATTGTTCAAATATATTTTGCATATTCTACACATTATGTCAATTTTTTATAACTTCACTACTTTGCTTAAATATAAAACCATTATATATTATACTCTCTTCCTTTAATCTTCACTTCATCTGGCTCTACAAGTAACTATATGTTTAATACTCCTCTTCAGTCCTCATACCGATAATTTTCTATTCATTTTGGTTGTCTAAAGTACCTACCATAGTAGATTCCTAAGGAGGAAAATAGAAACAACATTCCTTCAGTTTTTGCATGCTGATAAAAATTCATGTGTGCCCTTTATACTTGAAGGTAAATTTTGTTGGACATAAAATCCACGGCATACATACATATGTATGTATCTTCAAGTTTATTCTACTTTTTTCTGGGATAATACATTGCTGTCCAGAAGTCTGATGATAATATAATTTTCTTTCCCTTATGTCATTTTGTCTTTTTTGTACATTGATGTTTTGTGTGGACATAAACTGCACATGTTTAAAAGGTATGTGGTAGGCAGCATTCTACGATAGTCCCCCAAATTTCTACTCCTGAGAGTGTACACCCTGTATAATCCTCTCTGTTATGGACCGAATGTTTGTGGCCCTCCTGTTCCAATTCAAACATTGAAGCCCTAACCCCCAATGTGATAATATTTGGAGACAGAGCCTCTGGGAGATAATTAGGATTAGATTAGGTTATGAGGGTAGGGCCTTTATGCAATGCCACGATCTCGGCTCACCACAACCTCCGCCTCCTGGGTTAAGCGATTCTCCTGCCTCAGCCTCCCGAGTAGCTGGGATTACAGGCATGCAGCACCACACCTGGCTGATTTTTTTGTATTTTTAGTAGAGACGGGGTTTCTCCATGTTGGTCAGGCTAGTCTCGAACTCCCGACCTCAGGTGATCTGCATGCCCCAGCCTCCCAAAGTACTGGGATTACAGGCGTGAGCCACTGCACGCCTGTAAGGTGGGTTTTTGATGAAGTCAATTTCCATGTTGTGAGATGGCTACGTGACAAGAACCTGGGGGCAAGCTCTAGGAACTGGAGAATCCCTAGCCAGCAGCCAGCAAGATAATGGGGATCTTAGTCCTACAACCACAAGTCATTGAATTCTGAGACCCCTAAGTCTCAGATGTGATCACAGCCCTGGCTGACACCTTGATTTCAGTCTAGTGAGATCCCAAGTACAGGATCCAGTTAGCTCATGCTTGTATTTCTGGCCCACAGAAATGGTAAGATGATAGGTTAGTTTTAAGTCACTAGGTTTGCAATAATTTGTTATGCAGTAATAAAAAACTAATACAGGGTGCAATTTGATAAGTTTTGATATATGCATATGTATAGAAAACCATAAACAAAATTCAGATAATAAACATACTTATTACTCCCTTAGATTTCTTCATGTTCTTTTATAGTCCCTCATTCCAGTCCCACCTCAACCTACCATATTTCCAGGAAAGTATTGATCTGATTTCCTTCACTGTAAATTAGTTTGTATTTTCTAGTCTTTTTTATAAATGGAATCATACAGTATGTATTTGTTTGGCTTTTCTCTTAAAGAATAGTATTTTGACACTTATCTGTGTTATTATGTATACCAGTAGTTCATTCCTTTTTATAGCCGATTAGTATTCAATTGTCTCTATTTACCAAACTTTATTAATTCATTCAACTGTTGATGCACATTTGTGTTGTTTCCAGTTCTCAGTGATAACAAATAAAGATGCTACAAACATTTGTGTATACATTTTTTAGACATGTACTTTCAATTCTCTTGGGTAAAGACCTAGAAATGCAATGTCTTCATCATATGATAGATGTGTATTTCAATTTTTTAAGTGCCTAAATTTTTTTTCAAAGTGGTTTTACAGCTTCATATTGTCAGCAAAAGTTAATGAGAGTTCCAGATGCTCCACTTCCTTGCCAACACTTGACATGATTAGTTTTTTTAAATTTTAGGTATTTTAATAGGTGTGTAATGTTATCCCAGCATGACTTTAATCTCTATGACCCTAATGGGTAGTAATATTGATCACTATTTTATGTGTTTATTTGACATATGTATATCTTCTTTTTGGTGACGTATCTCTTCACATATTTTGCCCATTAAAACAAAATTATTTCAACAGCTTTTAGGGGTCCAGCCATTTTTTTGGTTATGTGGATGAACTGTATAGTGGTGAAGTCTGGGCTTTTAGTGTATCCATCACCCTAACAGTGTACATTTTACATACTAGGTAATTTTTCATCCCTCACCCACCTCCTACCCTTCCACCTCTGAGTCTCCAATGTCCATTATACCACTCTGTATGCCTTTGAGTAGCCATCTTAGCTTATGAGTGAGAACATGCAGTAATTGGTTTTCTACTCTTGAGTTCCTTCACTTAGAATAATGGCCTCCAGTTCCATCCAAGTTGCTGCAAAAGACATTCTTTGTTTTTTACGGCTGAGTAGAATTCCATGGCATATATAAACCACATTTTTATTACCCACTCATTGGCTGGTGGACAGTTAGGTTGATTTTATATCTTTGCAATTGTGATTTGTGCTATGATAAACATATACACATAGGTGGGGTTTTTTTTTTTTTTTAATATAATGACTTTTTTTCCTGTGGGTAGATACCCAGTAGTGAGATTGCTGAATTGAATGGCAGATCTACCTTTAGTTCTTTACAACTCTCTATACTGTTTTCTATAGTGGCTGTACTAATTTACATTCCCACCAGTAGTGTACAAGTGTTCCCTTTTTCTCATATCTATGCAAACACCTATTGGTTTTCAAGTTTTTAAAATGGCCATTCTGGCTGGAGTATGGTGGTATCTTCTTATGGTTTTATTTTGCATTTCCCTGATAATTAGTGATGTTGAACATTTTTTTCATATGTTTGTTGGCCATTTGTATATCTTTTTTTGATAAATGTCTGCTCATGCCATTTGCTCATTTAAAAATAAGGTTATTTGGCTGGGTGTGGTGGCTCAGGCCTGTAATCCCAGCACTTTAGGAGGCCAAGGCAGGTGGATCACGAGGTCAGGATATCGAGACCATCCTGGCTAACATGGTGAAACCCCGTCTCTACTAAAAACACAAAAAATTAGCTGGGCATGGTGGGGGGCACCTGTAGTCCCAGCTACTCGGGAGGCTGAGGCAGGAGAATGGCGTGAACCTGGGAGGTGGAGCTTGCAGTGAGCCCAGATCGTGCCACTGCACTCCAACCAGGGCGACAGAGCGTGACTCTCTCTCAAAAAAAAGATTATTATTATTTTTTTCTTGCTGATTTGTTTGAGTTTCCTGTAGATTCTGGATATTAGTCCTCTATCAGAAGTATAGTTTGCAAGTATTTTCTCACATTCTGTAGGCTATCTGTTTACTCTTGATTGTTTTTGCTGTGTAGAAGCTTTTTAGTTTAATTAGGTATTTATTTATTTTTGTTTTTGTTGCATTTGCTTTTGGGGTCTTAGTCATAAATTCTTTGCCTAGGCCAATGTCCAGAAGAATTTTCCCTAGGTGTTCTTCTAGAATTGTTATGGTTTCAGGTCTTAGATTTAAGTCGTTAATCCATCTTGAGTTAATTTTTGTATATGGTGAGAGATAGGGATCCAATTTCATTTTTCTACAAGTATATTTTGCCCATATTTTAAATTGGGTTATTTATATTTTTATTACTGGGTTTTGATAATTTTTAAATATATACTAAATAAAGATTATGTGATTTTCTTTCTTTCTTTTTTTTGAGACAGAGTCTTGCTCTGTAGCCCAGGCTAGAGTATAGTGGCGCAATCTCGGCTCACTGCTACCTCCGCAGGTTAGCAGTGATAATAAAAAGTATCCTCTCTATGAAACGATATTTCAAAGAACAGAAGTTTTTAATTTTGATGAAGTCCAATTTATCAATTTGTTCTTTTGTGTATTGTACACTTGATATCATATCAAATAAATTATTAACTAATCCAAAGTTACAAATATTTTTCTCCTATTTTTTTCATAGAAGTTTTAGGTTTCGCATTTAGCTCTGTGATCCATTTTGAGTTAATTTTTTACATGGTGCAAAATATGTATTGAAGTTCATTTTTAAGTTAATACGTAATATCTGTACATAATTATGAGGTACATGTGATACTTTGTTACATGCATATAAAGTCTAATAATCAAGTCAGGGTATTTGGGATATCCATCACCTCAAGTATTTATCATTTCTACATGTAGGAAACATTCCAAGCTGTCTCTTCTAGGTTATTTTGAAATATACAATATATTGTTGTTAACTGTAGTCACTCTACTTTGTTATCAAACATTACGATTCATTCCTTTTATCTGTCTGTACCCATTAACCAACTTTTCTTCGTTGATCCCCTCAACCCCTGCACACACTCTTCCCAGCCTCTGGGATTATTCTACTATTTATCTCCATGAGATCTACTTTTATAGCTCCTACATATAAGTCAGAATATGTGATGTTTGTCTTTCTGTGTCTCTTCCTCTGAGAGCTGGTTGTTAAAAAGAGCCTGGAACTTCCCTCCCTGCATCTTGCTTCCTCTCTTGCCATGTGATCTCTGCACACACCAGCTGCCCTTTACCTTCCACCACGAGTGGAAGCAGCCTGAAGCCCTCACCACAAGCAGATGCTGGTGCCATGCGTCTTGTACAACCCACAGAATTGTGAGCCAAGTAAAACTCTTCTTTGTAAATTACCCAGGGTCTTTATAGCAACACTAAATGGACTAAGACACTACCCCTTTGAGGTAAAATTGTCCCCACTACTCCTAACTCTGAACTGATCTGTTCTTCATCTCTGTAGTTTTCTCTTTACCAGAATTTCAAATGGATGTAATCTTAGTATGCAATCTGAGACTGACTTCTTTCACCTAGCGTAATGCATTTGGGATTTATCTATGTTGTTTTGTGTATCAATAGTTTGTTCCTTTTATTGGGGAGGAGTATTCCATTATATGGATGTACCAGTTTGCTTATGCATTCACTCCTTGAGAGAGATTTTGGTTGATTCCAGTTTTGAGTAATTTTGAGTAATGCTGCTACAAACATTTTTGTGCATGTTTTTGTCTAAACATAAGTTTTTATTTCTCTAGTGAAAATACTTAGGAGTGAGATTTCTGGATCTCATCACATGTGCATGACTTTATGAGAAACCGCCAAACTGTACCATCTTGCTTTCCCAGCAACATGCATTAGAGTTCTGGCTACTCTATATCCTCACCAGCACTTGGTGTGGTCAACTTTTTTCAACAGTCATTCTAATAGATTTGAATAGTTTATTTTTTAAAATTACATTTTCTGATAGTTGTTTGTTAGTGCATAAGAATATAATTTAAAAACATAAAATAAGAGTATTTTTTACAAGTGTTAAAAATTAAAATATATATACTGAAAGCATATTTATTATGACACCTTGATGAATTAAACACATCCTTGTAGCTAGTAACCAGATCAAAAGACAGATCATCACAAGAACCCTAAAAATCCTCTTTTTTTTTTTTTTTTGAGACGGAGTCTTGCTCTATCACCCAGGCTGGAGTGCAGTGGCGCGATCTCGGCTCACTGCAAGCTCCGCCTTCCCGGTTCACGCCATTCTGCTGCCTCAGCCTCCCGAGTAGCTGGGACTACAGGAGCCTGCCACCACGCCCGGCTAATTTTTTTGTAGTTTTAGTAGAGACGGGGTTTCACTGTGTTGGCCAGGATGGTCTCCATCTCCTGACCTCGTGATCCACCCACCTTGACCTCCCAAAGTGGTGGGATTACAGGCGTGAGCCACCGTGCCCGGCCACGTAAAAACCTCTTCTATGCTCCCTTTCATTCATTACCTATCCTTCCAAATCTATTTTAACTTTGAATAACGTTGATTAACTTTGCTTTTTTCTATGTAATATAAATGAAATCATGCAGTTTATGGTCTCAAGCCCACTGGTATTTTCTCTTACCCCTCTTAGAATGTTGGTCAGAAGGAAATAACCCAGGAGAATGAAAGCATTAAGATAAATTGCCATTGATAGTATTTTATTTTACATATGTATTTATAGTTATTAAGTGCATACCCTACATATTGTGCACATCCATTAAGATAGTGATAAGTGTTGTGCTACTGAAATATCGAAAGAGGAAGCAGATTATGGGGCTTAATATTGCCAAGGCTTTCTTTTTAATCTTCATTTCTTTAATAGTGATTTTTATTGTGCAACATGACCATGGCATAATTATGTTTCATAATTTATTTGGTTTATTGTGTGCTTTTTACAGGTTTTTTTCCAGTAAAAAATGTATTTTTCCCCTTTTGGGAAGTGTAGGGTAGAGGAATCCATTCCCTCATCACCTGAAGCTCCCGTATTCCCATCATATGTGGCCTCCGTGCATCAGCAGCTGCCGCATTTCCCACAATGGAGGTGGAAAAGAGAGATTAGGCAGCTTTTTAATTTCCATGTGGAGTTTTCTCCAGAGAAGTGCTACCATACCTGTTCTTTCCATTACTTTTGTTTTGTGTCAGAATGGCAGAAGCCTATGTTTGCTGTTATGAAATAAATAAGTTCCAGTTCATCACATGCTCTTGAATTAATCTGAATTAGACCATATGAACTCAACTTAGTAAGTCTATGCAAATTTAGCAACACATAATACCTAAAACTTTACTGCTGTATTTTTTTCTTCAGGAATTGCTGATAATAGGCTGTAATTTTACCTGACTTCCTTTGTATTTAGTAACTCATACACACATACACATTCACATAAGACTTACAGGCATAGGTAAGTTACCATTTGTGTAAGTTTTATCCTTCATCTATTCCATATTTTATGATAGTCTTGGCCAGAACAAATAGTAATTATATTTTAAGAAACCAGTACTCATATTTAACAAAGGCGTCTGCTAATCATATCTTTATAGGATCGAGGTATTTATGCAGTATTCACTTCTACATGTTTTGACAAAAGTAATAAAATATTAATAAATCAGCATTACTTTTTTTTTTTTTTTTTTTTTTTAAGATGGAGTTTTGCTCTTTTTGCCCAGGCTGGAGTGCAATGGCACGATCTCGGCTCACCACAACCTCTGCCTCCCAGGTTCAAGCGATTCTCCTGCCTCAGCCTCCCGAGTAGCTGGGATTACAGGCATGCACCACCATGCCTGGCTAATTTTGTATTTTTTAGTAGAGACAGGGTGTCTCCATGTTGGCCAGGCTGGTCTCAAACTCCCGACCTCAGGTGATCCACCCACCTCGGCCTCCCAGAGTGCTGGGATTACAGGCGTGAGCCACTGCGCCTGCGCCTGGCCAATCAGCATTACTTTTAAATCCCAGCAATCAGATGAAGTAATTTTATAACTAGGGAAAATATTTAAAAGATGGGAGGGCCTGGGGATATGTAATTAATAGTTCTGTGGGAAAAAAATAAATTTTAGTCTTCAAAATTCTTTTTTCTACCTGAAAAAGCACATCTAGGAAGACATGACATTTTGCATGAATGGAATCATTACCAACTGCTATAATAGCCAGGGGCAGGGTCTTTTCTCCTCTGGATCTGCATTTTGAAATTTGCACTAGCAGAATTGCAGAGTGATGAATTGAACACAGGGATTCTGAGCCAGATTGCGTGGAGTTTGAATCCCAGCTACATTGCTTGACCACTAGCTTTATAATCAGTGTACTTTTTCTTTGTCTTCTCAGTTACAAAACTGGGGTAATATTAGGACTTATTTCATGGAAATTTTAGATGGATTAAATGTATTTATACATGTAAAGTGTCAAAAAATGCCTGGCTCTATACATGTTGACCATTATTATTGAATTACTGAATTAAAACATTAAATAGACATTTATAATGCAGTTCATCTTCTACATCGCATTTTTGTTATTAGCCTGATAATTCATAGTGTTTTGGAACTAAAAAAGAACTTTGGAAATGATCTGTTTCAATTGTCTTAGTTAAACTTGTGGAAACTAAAGTTGAAGAAGGTCAAATTATTTGTTTTAATTGTCCAACTTGCTAGTAATAAAGCTAGGATGTTAACCAAAGCCTCTTAGTCTGTATTGTTTGAGAGGAATTGGGTAGTCTAATTATAACTGAATTTACAATGTAAATATTATAGTAATTTAAAGTAGGCAGTCAGAAACCTTAAGGGCAATTCGTCGTCCACTGAAATGAACTTTCCCCCTAATTACTCATTTCTTGTTTTCCAGATTACACATGGCATTACATTAGCTATTTATTTTAATGGTTACGGGTGCTTTAAAATATTTAGTTTCTTCTTGCATGATTTTTTATTTTTCATTGAATGCTGCTAATGCTTTTTGTTTGCCCACAAGCTCAGAGGAACAAACTTCAAAGCCTAGCTAAAGGGCTTTGTGTTTCTTAGGTAGTTTGAGATACCATCTGAACCCTTCCTCAACTTTTTTTTGCTTCTTTCAAAAAAAATAAATGCTAGCCAAAGGCTCCAATCAGATAGGTCCATGGGAGGGCAAGTGGAGTGACAGCTTTCCTCTAATGTGACCAAAGTAGACAAACTGGCTATTTTAGGCTCCAAATGTAAATGTCTTATTTGTGCCTGTTAGAACTATTTTAATCCATGGTTAATATATTCATAACATAACATTCATGCTGCTGTTCTACAAATGTCACTTTCCTAGGAGAAGCAGCTATTCTCACAAGTGATAAAGAGAAAGAAAAAAACAGAAATGGTATGCTATACCATCCTTTCAAAACATGTCTTGATTGTGTGGTGGTTGTGGGGGGCTGGGAGAGAGAGAGAGAGAGCCAAGTCCCCATTTTCTTCAAAAACAAATTAAGTGTTAAAAATTCATTACACTTTTATTACCAGTTTCTTAAGTGTCAGACCCTTTGGTTGGCATTCAGGATGCAGCAGTGACTAAGACAACGTGCCATAGCCATTAAGTGTTGGGACCAGGATTTAACCCAAGCCAGCTACCTCCAGGGTTGACTCTCTTAATCACTACCTCTCAAAACTTTCCTCTACAGGAAACTATCATTATTTTTTGATTAATGGTGAGAGAAAAAGTTGTAGGATTGATTTCCCACAAACTCTTAGCCTAAAAGTAACAAACATTGATATCTGGAGGTTACATCTTTGATTATTCAAAACATCTCAATGAAATTTAAAAACAGTGTTAAAGTATAGCTGTTTTCTAGTAAGTTGTTTTTGGTCATGTCTCAATTTCCACACGTCTTTCTGATAGGCAAGCCAATGTGCTTATTTTCTATTTTTTATGATATTAAATAGATCTTTCTAAGCACTTATTTGCAAAATGCTTAACTATTTTTAATCTCAGGCAAGTCCCAGCTCTTTTCTATTGAAGGAAGACAGAGCCAAATGCTTAAGAGGGTGCTGCTGGAATGGGTGACCCTGTCTTGAGGACTTTGCCATGACAGCTGTCTCGTCTCTGCCAAGTGGCTTAATTTCTCTATGCTTCCAGTTTTTGCATCTGTAAAATATTATGTTTCTCCTAGATATATTATTTACCTGCAATTATTATTTATCTTATAAATAAAGTATTGTTTACTTCAACTCTTAGGCTAGCTTGCATTCAAATGTCAGGTATTATTTCTGTAAAGTGAGAGTGGCAGGCCAAGAGCTCTCCTGGTCTAGAAACTCTGAGCCCAGAGACACTAGACTTTTCCCCTGCGGCCTATAGTGTACCTGACACTATTTGGAATTTGTATGGAATCAGCTGGCATCTTCTATTTTTGAACATTCTGGATAGTCCTCCTGAGCAGCAATCTTCTCAGCTTGCTCAGGACTGGTTGTGCCTCTTTGATTTTGAACACTGTCTTCATATTGCAGATAATGAAAGTGAAAACCCTGTGAGGTTAAGTATGATGTGCCATTTCCCTCAGAGAATTATCAGGATAGCTGAAGTTCTAGTCACCTACTCTTCACTCTGTACTCTTCCTGGCACACTGCCTTACTTCTTTATTAAAAGGCTCAGGGAGAACAAGCCATTTCTGTAGCACACTTACAACATTTTTGGGAGCGGCTCCATAAATCTCTCTAGTGTGTAACAATGGGATAATAAAACTCCGGGATTTGGAATTTACTGTGGTTCTCATCTTCTCTCCAGGCCTTTGTGACTTAGGAAGTCCATATGCTAAAATCTCAGAAAGGGTGATTCAGAGAGACCTCCTTTAATTTGGAGCTTGCTGGTGACCTCCTATTTATTTGCTTCCTCTTATTTTTTTTTCCAAACTAAGGTTTTTCACAGGACTTCATATAATTTTTCCAGCTTTTCTGGTATAAACCATCTGTGGTCACTTTGCAGAGTCTCTTTAGGTCATGGGAAAGTTCTGTCTTTCCTGCATAGCACATATATGAGCCCTGCTCACCACAGCCACTGTTAGTGGACAGTTCTATTTGTCCCTAAGGAGTTGAGATGTAGTCACAATGACAAAATGTTGCCTATCTACAATTGTGATAAAGTTTAGAATGCTCATACACTTAATTAACTCATTGGTCACTGTTAAAAATGAGTTTTACCTCTTTTCTCAGAGAGGCAAGCTATTATAGAATCTCTGCAAGAAAATGACAGTTGTAAATACTCTGATGTGTTAGTACAGTAGTACCTTTATGTTGGTTTTCCAGATACCTTTTAACTTTAAAATACCCATCAAAAGCGTACAAACATGTGATATATTGCCAGACATGCTTTGTCATTGTCTTCAGGATGTGTCATGTCCTGTCCTATCTGCTCTCAAGTCTTGATCACTTACCTGTTCTTATCAGACTAACTTCCTTCAAGACTCAGCCCCCTTGACTACTCTAATCCACAATGCCTCAGATTTCCAAAATACAAATTATTCCATGGGCTGATATTTGAATATACCTTGTCATCTACATGTGATTTGTCTTTCATGTGTATGCACATTTGTGAGTGGAACTATAAGCTTCTTGAAGATGGGGACTATCTCCTGCAATTCTCCTGAAGATCAGACATATGCATGGTTACTGCATGCACATGTTATTTTAAATAATAATTTCTAAAAATAACAATACATACCCCTTGCAGTTATTCTAAGAAATCCCAAGACAATAAGGCAAATCTGAATGATCAAAAGATTGCAAACAATGTATTTGCCTATTTTCTGTTTTTTTTTCTACAAAAATGTGTATGTGGATTTGTGTGAGAGTGTGATATCAAACTTGGATTATTCAATATACAGTTTTGTTACTGGATTTTTTTTTTAAAGTAACCGATTATGAATATTATCCAAGTGCATAATCTTACTAACCGTAATTTATTTAACTATTCCCCTATTGTTAGATATTTAAGTTGTTTCAGTTTTGACTTTATTATTAAAAATGTTTTGGCAAATATCTGTGTATCTTTCTCCCAGGAAACTTTTACCAATTTATAATTCCCCCAATAGATCACAGCGCTCTTTTCATTCCATTTATAGGCAAAAGTTGTCTTATTTTTAATTACATTCTTTGTTTCTTAGGGAGATGACCAATTTAATATGTTTAATAAACATTTAAATTTTTTCTTTGGTGAACTGCTCATTTGTGATTCTTCTCAATTTAATTTGTTGTGTGATATGTTGCTCTCAGGTTCATAAGAATTAATTATGTCTTAAAGACATTATCTGAATCCATATTTATTGGAAGTATTTTTCCATTTTAGAGTTTACCTTTAATTTTGATACTGGCAGTTCTTGATAGTATTTACAAATAATTAAATCTAGTAATTGTTTTCTTTGTGAGTTTTCCATTTCTTAAAGCTTAACTTTTCCATATAAAGCTTTGAAAATGTTTGTTTATATTTTCTCCTGGTTTTTATTTTTCTGCTTTGAATTTTTATTTATTTATTTATTTATTTTGGTTTTAAGGAGTAGAGAGTTTAGTAGACAAAAAACAAGGGAGAAGGCAGGAGGAAGAAGCTCCCCCGTGCAGAGACAGAGAGGGGGGGCTCCAAAACTGAAAGAGGAATCCCCCAAATTTTTAATTTTTAACTTTATGATACACTTGGAATTATTTGTTTTTTTACTCTCAAATAATTGATACATTTTCCAGGATCATTATGGAATAGTTCTTTTTCTGCTTATCAGCTATTTTCTTATGTATTATGCATTTTTTTTTGCTGATTATGTATTTTCTTACTGATCATACATGTAGCATATACTAGTTTTTTGTATGTGAGCATTCTTGGGGTCTTGATTATACTCCTTTGATCTATTCATTCCTGTTTAAGTTTCACAGTTTTGATTGTTGTACCTTTATAGTAAATTTTAACATCTAGTAAGACAAATTCCTCATGTTATGATTTTGTTCCTCACAAAAATCTACTTGTTTGTCTTGCTCATTTTATCTTACAGAAGTTTAGAGTTATTTGCCAAGTTAAACATGTCTGCTTGGGATTCTGCATAGAATTGCACTAAACCTTAATATTCTTTGAGATGCAATAACAAAAATAGTTGATAGCATTTAGTATATTCTTCTCAATTGGACTAACACTCCTCCCATGCTGGAAGATAACTAACTTCCAGGCTATGCACTAGTCTAATGGTGTAAAAGGTAGGGTGTTCAACTGATGGTAACTTACTTCTAAAAGGACATTTTAAGAAGAGACTTTCCAAAGTAGCTCTCACAGCTTCTGTATTATTAATCTGTTACCTTTCTTTAAAATACTGACACGAGATTTTTGTCATTAGTAAACCTCAAGCAAATATTTTAATTCTGATACTTTTTAGCACACGGATGGCCCTTTAAAAGCCATGTTTATTAAAATATTAAAGTAAATATCTTAAACAACTTTCTTATTTGAGTAAAATTAAAAAATTTATCGCTGGAAAATTGTTCTAAAATCTATTTGTAAGACTACTACATAAACAACAAAAAGTAGTTTTCACTCATTTAAACCTCCTTATCTGTCTATTGTTTTTGGGTCCCGTTCAGTTTTTTTGTTGTCTGAAATGCATGTGTCCTGTTTCTGATGGGAATTCTTGCTAAGTGATATGTGTCCTTCTCTTCCTTTGGGATTTGAACTATCCCAGAACCATCTTTTCTCTCTTTCTTTTCCCATAAATTCTGCTTCTCAAATGACAGTGTCTGTGTTTGGTTTCACAAACATCTGAATGAAAGTCGTTTATTTTCATTTAGAAACACATATTGTAAATTGAGTGCACTTTTGTTTTTAGAAAAGTACAAAGTGATAATTCAAGGTCTATACAGACAAGATTTTTACTTTCAGAGTAAATACAAGAAGTGTAGCCTTATTTTCCAAGACTGTCTGTGTGGAAGAGCATCTTTAGATAATAAATAAATTCAATTAGTTTGACTAATACTATTTATTAATTTGGCTTTCTGTCAGCAATTTTGAAGAGCAGATTTTCTGTTGTTAAGAATGATGATCATTTTCTTAATTCTTATTTTATGTTCTTATGAGAATAGTGGTCTAGTAATGAATCACAAATGTCTAAATGTATGTGGCTGCAAATGCTAGTAAAGTGTTGAGTGCAGAAACATTTTGTGTTTGGGGAACTCATTGCAGTCTTTGAACATTTCCTGCATTTTCTGTGACACTAGGAAAAGGAGAGGCCTTGCTATTTTCCCATAATGACTTCTTTCAGGAGCACTAGGATGATGCTTTTAAGATGTAATTTGGGAACACAACAGAGGAGATCAAAAAACTTCAGGAAGACAATACTTTCTTTAACTTCAATATAAATCGTAAAATTGAAAATTTTTATATGGCTGGAAAAATAAATAAGTAAATTATAGACACTGATACTTCAGCCTGAACATATCCTGGAAGCAATCAGAGTAGATATAGACAATTGCCAGTAAGATGGGCTGCTGAGAGTCAGACATTTTTCATCTATTTTTGAGTTAACAAATGTAGAGTTTCATGGCAGTGGGATTTGATGGTATTGGGGCAATCTTCCACTGGAAACAACTATACAAGGATTCATGTGGGTTTCCCAGCATGATGTATATTCGGGAGCCTGAGCACATGTGCATCTTCCATGGTTTGTGAAATGACCATTTTCCTTGTGTAGCAGTAAAACAACTTCCCTCAGAAAAATGGATTGTGATCGTCAATATTTAATTTTACTTTATTTTAAAACATTGAACATAGATTTGATTATTGCATGGCTTGAGTATGCTTTGTCCCAACAATAACTCATGTTGAAATGTGGTCCAATTTGGTGATGCTGGGCCTAATAAGAGGTGTTTGGGTCATGGGGGTGGATCTCTTACAGATTTCTTGGTGTCACCCTCCTGCTCTGCTGGTAGTGAGTTCTCACTCTTTTGAGAATGGAATAGTTGCTTTGAGAGTGGGTTGTTACAAAGCGAGCTTCCTCCTTCTGTTTGGTTCCTCTTCATGCCTGTCTGTTTCCCCTTTGACTTTCCCTGCCACGTTTTGACCTCACTCATGGCCTTCACCAGAAGCTAAACAGATGCTGGCTCCATGCTTATCATACTACCCAGCCTGCAGAACCATGAACTAAGTAAACCTCTTACCTTTGTAAATTAGCCAGCCTCATATATTCTGTTATGGCAACACAAAATGGACTAACACAGTTATTATCCAATTTGATTCAGATTCAATTCCATTTTTAATTTTTAAGAAAATGCAATTCAAAGGTACCAAACAATAATAATAATGTGCCTAATCATAAAACATGCAGAGGATTGATTTTATTTTTTCATAAAGAGAATCTAAAAAAGTCCACTAGCTGGATTTTTCTTTCTTCAACTAAAACATACACAATTACTTCTTGAACAACAAAAAATATCATTTGGTACTGCTCAACCCATTCAGAATATCACAGAAAAAAGTAACAATTACAAAAATAAGACTAAAAGAGAAATAGATTTATGTAACATTCAATATTTATTTAAAAATGTTAATTCACTATATACTATGCCTGTTAATTGATGATCTACTATTAATAAAAATCTTTGCCATCAAGTGTTTACATTCTAAACAGACTAGGTTCAGGAAAGAAACAGGAGCTGTATAATGCAAGTTGCTACAAACTACAGCTCACAGACCAAATGTGGCCCATGCCTATTGGTGTGCATATAGTTTATTAGAACACAGCCTTGCAAGTTTTTTGTATATTATCTATGATTGCTTTTGCACTACAATGGAAGAGTTTCATAGTTGTTACAGAGTGGGTTCAACAAAAATAGGATATTCAGGGAAATAATATAACTGTGGAGCAAATTGAAAGACTAAGGATAGATAACTCCTATGAGAACTTTTTCAGTAAAGACAATCAGGGAAATGAGGCAGTAGCTAGGGGAAGATATGGGGTCAAAGAAGGACTTTTTTCTTTAAATAGGCACTGTTAGAGTATATTTGTATACTAATGGAAAAGATGTCTGGAGAAGGAGATAAATATTACCTTAAGTAAGTGAGAGGGGTAGAATCCAGTGTGCAGTGGAAGAAGTGGTGTTAAATAAGAACACAGAGGATTTATCCACAGAGCATGAGGGAAAATGGAGTATGTAAGCTCAGATGAAGATGGCATAATAGGTTTGGGGTAGACCCATATGAATGTTCTCTCCCAACTGATTCGTAGTTTTCAGCAGAATAATAATCTAGGTCATCAACTCAGAGTGAAGAATCACCACTCTGAAAGTGGGTGAGTGAACGAATTAGGAAAATGAATCAAATTGCCTAGCAGCACTGAGGGCCCACTTGAGGTTAATGGTCATAAAAATGAGCCCAGTGAGCATGGTTGAGTGCATTTCTTTTTTCAGCTCTGTGCTCCTCCATTGGTGCATGTGAGAACTACATAGAGAATGCTATCTAGCTAGGTTTAGAGTTTTTCCAGAGGACTACGATGGAGGGGAAAATGGGCTAAGAGTCAAGAGTGTATGTAAGGGAGTGTTTACACTGGTGACTTCTAGAATCTAATCTGGATAAGAAGCAGGTGAGAATATGACTTGGGTAAGGCACAGTAAAAAGGTGATAGAATAATAGGAGGAGGTCCAAAGTCAAGTAATTTTTTGAGTAAGGGACAAGATAAATGATCTAGAAAGATATGATGTGGTGGCTGGAGAGAGGCCTGATTGAACTTGAGGTTGGGAATAATGCAGTTATTGGTAAAACATACAGAGATATGTTTTGAGAGGTGACTTTGGTAGAGTGAAAGATAACCACAGTTCAAAAGAGGAGTCAAGAATCTGAAAGGATAAAATGTTGAAAGGATTATGTGCCTGGACATGGAAATCGCCAAGAATTATGGCAGTAATCGCTCTGGAGTTACCACTGCTAACATCTTCAAAGAATAGGAGGAAGGTCTTGGAGGTCCTCAGATGACTGGAATAAGCAGGGATGGTGAGTAATATAGTCTGATAGCAGGAGCTGGGGAGTTTTGGAGATTCAGTCCAAGAGAAGTCTAAACAATTACTAGGACAGTGGTAACCAAATTTTGCTGTACATTAGAATAATCTGAGGAGCTTTAAAACACCTGGCATTCCAGTTCACAGCCCATACCAACTAAATCAGAATTTCTGGGGAGGTAGAAGCAGGATTCGAATAGTGTAAGATCCCTAGATGATTTCAACATCAGCAAAGTTTGGGAACCACTGCCACAGAGTCCACCTTATACATTTTGATGAACCGTTTGGTGAGAATTAAAGCAGGACAAATTAATTTGCTGAAGGAAAGATTTATTCTGAAACCAACTCTCTGTAAATGGGGTGCAGGAAATGAAAACATCGAGAACAATAACAAAAACAGCTGTTGGAAATCAACCGGAAATGGCGAGGTTATTACGATAAGAAAGTTCACAATTTGAGAATTTGAGGGGGTGCTTTAGTTTAGATGATAACTTTAATAGCCATGTGGCCTTGCTCCAGGTACTTAACTTTATCTTTAGTCTCTTTATTTTAAAAAAGAGATCAAAATATATACCTTTCAAATACTGACAGAATGTGAATGTCCACAGTGCCCTTAATAAATGTAAATTCTTCCAATGAAAACATTTTTGTACCTTCCCCACAAATGTTTATATAATGTTCCTTTGTTACATAATTTTTATATACTTTTTCATATATTTGTATATAATTTTTATGTTATATATAATTTATACAAAAAAATCACAAGACAACAAGTGATGTGCCTGGTGTGTAACAGTTTGTCAGTCTGAAGTCAGGTTCATTGCTCTTCCCTTAAAACCATTGTATGACAAAATATGACCATATCAAGCTCCTTGTCTTCTCTTGCCTTGTGAGAGGATTATAAATAATATCTTTGGAGAAAGGAGAGGGGAAATTGGTTATTGCTCACCTTCTAGATTCATTCTGGGAAGGCTGTACTGTTGCATGATTAAAATCACAATGTAGAGTGAGTCAGACATGGTTCTGAATTTTAATTGTATTGCTTTTAATCTAACTTCTCTGAATCTCTTGTTGGAGCTGTTGAGAGCATATATGTGCCAACCGTATAAATTAGTAAGTGGCTCATAGTGTGTGTGTGTGTTCAATGAATTGTTGCTGTCACTATTTATTTATAGCCACTTTAATTGAGGCCATTTACAGTTTTGCAAGTTAGTAATACCATTAAGAGCACTAAAAGTAGTGTGTGAAAAAATATAAACATTCTTAATATTTAAAAAATTCGGTATTTGATGATTTCTGAAAGTTTTTCTTACACTTTGTTTACTCAGGACATAAAGATTTCAAGGGAACTTATTTAATTTCCTCTGATAAAGTGTCTGGCAGGAAGTTGAAAAAATGGAAAAGATGAATTGCTTCATAAGTGCTCAAAGTTAAGACATGAATATCACTATGACAGAGACCTGTCTACGGAAATGGTATTTTTAAAATGAGATAATGACCTATTGTCCCTTTTTATAATTTGCTAAATGTGAATTTGCTGAAGAGTAATCACAGAGATCCAGTTGTGTTGGATTCCAGAAGCAGCCTTTCAGTGGTGATGAGCCAATGGCAACATACTGCAGTGCTCACAGGAAATCACTGCTTTATGGATGAAAAAAGTCCTCCAGAAGTATCTTTAATAGCAATGGTATTATTTTACAAAAAGCTATTAAACTGTCTACATGAGAAAGAGGCCTTCACTCCAAAGGTCTATTTAGTTCCTTTCACTTTTATTTTTCTGGCTATTATATAATAAGCATATATAAATGCTGTTTGAAAATTTCAAGTCTTGTAAAGGCCCAGAAAATTTCAGGTCAGTTAACCCAGTTAAGCAGTCTCTTGGCGTGACTCTCTAATACTTACACATTTCCCTGGGCCATAAATTAAACAGGCCTTCACAGGAATTTATATAGCTTATTTTCGGGGTGGTCTTTGACAAATTCAGCCTGAGAAGGATATCTTCCTAGGGAAAAGGATGATTTAATGCCTTTTTAAAATTTTTTCCTAAATGAAAAGGCCTTATATTTACAAAATTACTTGGTATATATCAATACTAGCATATTCTTGGTGGATTAATGCATTGTCGTCATCAGAAAGGGGTAATGCTTGCTTGTGAAGGTCTTGTTCTGCTGAGTGTATAAAAGACCAAGAGCAGGAAGGGCTTATTTCCCTCTAAATCTAATGAAGAGTTAGTAGGAGTTTCTAACATGGCTTTGAAAGAAGACAAACTCAGCAAGATGGTCTTCACTTTAATTACAGCATATAACCTTTTAAAAATCTTGTATTAAAGAGTCATGATGGAAGAAAAAATTTAAGTTAAATATTTGCTTGTTTAAAGAATGAAGAACTTACATCTGTTTATTTTTTGCAGCATTTCAAGTCCTATTCTTTTTAACTTATGTATTAATGGTGGGATATTTGGCAAGTTACCTTAACACTTTGAGATATTAGTCTTTTTGGAGTTAACTATAAAGACTAAATGAAATAATGTGGATAAAATGCCTAGTACTTAATAGTCACTCAACAAGTGCTTATTCCTCATCACTAAATATAGGCCTTGTAGGATTCACCATGACTAGAAGAGCACAGGCACCTTGCTGAATCAGTTTGCTCACTTTATTTGACATATAATCTGCTTATCCCATTTCTTTTTCAAAAAGCTATACTTAAGATGGAAAGCTGAGGTCTTCTTCACTGAAGGTGGATTTTCCCTCTAGATTCCTGCTCATCTAATGGTGGGAACTTTTTCTAATCTATTATGTGTGCTGCATGATAGATGAAACATAAAAAAATTAAATAGGTAAAAATACTTAATGTTAATCCTATGCCACTAGGATACACACTGGGCTTCACCCTGGCTCCTAATTGGAACCATTGGAAGGGCTTTTTAAAAAATACAGACTTAAAAGTATATTTTTAAAGGTCTGCAAGTGTTTTTGTTGCTGAAAAAAAATGGTTTAAAACGTAAACCTAACAGACAAAAAGTGTGAGTAATAAATCAAGGATATTATACCCACAGGAAAAATTTTATTATGCTTGCAAAAAGCAAATGGAGGCTGGGCACGGTGGCTCACGCCTGTAATCCCAGCACTTTGGGAGGCGAGGCGGGTGGATCACCTGAGGTCAGGAGTTCAAGAACAGCCTGACTGACATGGCAATAGTCCATTTCAACTAAAAATACAAAAATTAGCCAGGCATGGTGGTGCATGCCTGTAGTCCCAGTTACTTGGGAGGCTGAGACAGGAGAATCGTTTGAACCCAGGAGGCGGAGGTTAAAGTGAGCCAAGATTGTGTCAATGCACTCTCGCCTGGACAACAGAGTGAGACTCCATCTCAAAAAAACAAACAAACAACAACAACAACAAAAACAAAAAAACCCCAAATGGAATGCGTTTTAGATGTATATTTGTGCCTTCTCTGAAGTCATTTGCATGTGTGAAGTTATTTGCAGGAATCCTGCCTTTAACAGAGCATTTTACAGACAGACACAGATTGACTTAGAGTCCTTCTGCACCACCTCCACAGTAGAGTAGGGAGGGGGTGAGTTTTAAAATCCCCAAATGTAAGATATTAGACTTGCTGAATATTAAAAATAGCATATTTATGTAAAAAATCACATGTACTGAGAACTCAGTTGTTGATGAATATTGTAAAATATGTAAAGTTTTACTTATACTCTTAAAATCTGGCAGTTATAAAAGTTAGTGTTCTCACAGTAAACAAATGACACATCTAGATTAGGATAATTTCAAGATGGTTTAATAATGGATCTATTTACATGGGTATGGGCAGGGTGTATAGGAACCACAGAGGATGGTGTAGTCATGTGGCTAGTGTCAGCAGAGCTGTTATCATCCTTTCTCCCAAAAGAACGAGGGGAAGAATTGGTTACTAGAGTGGAAAAGAAGAGCTGCCTGCACACAGCCACCTTGAAAGAATTAGTGACCTTAGGCCAAGGGACACAGCCAATTCAAGGTGACCACACAGGGAGGGAGGCAGCAGGGGAATGTACACTCTGAACTCACTCTTCTGTCTCCCTCCAGTCTCCTATAATAGCTCTCCATTGGCCAAACCTAAGAAGAAGTCAGTACAAGGAGGTAGACTGGGGCCAAGAAGGGGGAGCAGAGAGAAGATATCCAGTAGAGGAGCAGAGGTGGAGAAGTGGAGGTCTTGAAAAGATTAATATCTCTTGATAACACTGTTGATTTATCAAACATATACTGAGTATTTATTATTTGTCAAGTTCTATTACTTGTCATTGAGAGGACAACAATTAATGGCACCAAGTCCCTAGAATAAAGGAGCTCACATGTTACGTGGCAAGAGTCACAAGCACATGCAAGAGTGAAAATTTTATGTAAGTGAAAGGTTAAACTTCCAAACAAATGACAAAAGTTTTGAAGAAGGATTTCAGTAACTGCTTTCAAAAGAGTATTTTCCTGCAAAGATTCCCTAAAGATAACAGGAAATCCACTTCCAGGAAGAACATTGAATCTGATGGGTATAAAGGGAGAAAAAACAATATCAGGATGTTACATCAAGACCTGAGAGGAAGGAGTGAAATTGACAAAAGTGTTCAGTTAAGGAAATTTCTACACACAAAAAAATTCAATCACATATATTTCTTTAAAAAGCTATTTGTAACAAGTTTGTCATGTCTTTTATAGATATATAGAAAACTTTGTAAAGGTTATGTTGGGAATTAATCATAAAAAAGTGTTCCTCATCAAGCAGCCATCGTGCTTCTCCTTCCTCTCCCCTTGTCCTCTTCCTTTCTTCTCTCTCCTTCCAGATTTTCCCCCAGAAACTTCCATTATTTCCTTCTATCATTGTTAATCTAGTAAAAAGTACTTTAGCAAATATGTTTACTTCGGAAAGTTTAGTTGTTCTCAAATGTTAGCATTATCACGATCACCTAGAGGATTTGTTAAAACAGATTTCCAGGGGCTGAGAATTTTTATTGTTAAGTTCTCAGATGACACTGATGTTGTAAGTCTGGGTACCACACTTTGAGAACCATGGCTGTAAGTTACAACACAACACATCTCTGATGACCACTTTAATTATCAGGTGATTTAATTCCTCTATTGATGTCACAAGAGCAGGTGCAGAAAACTCCAGTAACTTTGAGAAAGAACGTTTCTTTTCACAAGACTGAATTTTATCCTCTACCCTGGCCATTTTGAAAATGTTTCATCAGGACATGGCCCTTTTTTGATTAGGACTTACATAAAACCAAATCATAACATATTCCTTGATTTAATTAGTTTTATGAGAATCAAGGGAAGATAGTGATAATCTGGAGATCATTACATGATTTTTAATATTAGTCTGCCACTTGATAGTACTGACTAATACTTGATATAACTCTTTATTTTACTATTTAGAAAAACATCTTGAAAGCAAGTGTTGAACATTAAATAGCTAGCAAAAGCTACCAAAAATGTCTCTCAGTGTTCAGGTTACTCTTGGATTTATTGTATTTTATTTAGGAAGTACTTAAACATTCCTAGCATATGCAGAGTACTTTCTTCTTCTGGAAAGCATAAAAAAATTAGTGGAAGAAACAAATATACAAAAGAGAGTGAACAAAGGGCAGAAAGGGAAAACATTGCATTTTTGGTGAAGTATGGCAACAGCTGGCATCAGAGTGCCAAGCTCAACATTAATTCTTTATTTTGTGCAATATTTAAGTCTTTGGTTGATGGTGTTTGGGATGTAAGAGTTGAACAGATGGAGGAGAATGGACCCCAAGATAAGGTGAGTTCTCCTGTGTCAGCTACTAGTAAGACTATCTACAAGTAACAGAATATCCAGTCAAAAATAGCTTAAATAAGTAAAGACTTCTAGGCAAACCCCATTTTACTGCACTCTGCTTTATTGAGCTTCACAGACTTTTTTTTTTTTTTTTTTCAAATTGAAGTTTGTGACCACCCTGCATCAAGCAAGTCAATTGGTGCCATTTTCCTGAAAGCAGGTTCTCTCTTTGTCTCTGGGCCACATTTTGGCAATTCTCACAATATTTCTTTTCTTTTTTTTTTTTTTTTTTTTGAGACGGTGTCGCTCTGTTGCCAGGCTGGAGTGCAGTGGCGCAGTTTCGGCTCACTGCAACCTCCACCTCCTGGGTTCAAGCGATTCTCCTGCCTCAGCCTCCCTGGTAGCTGGGATTACAGGCATGTGCCACCACACCTGGCTAATTTTTGTATTTTTAGTAGAGATGGGGTTTCACCATGTTGGCCAGGCTGGTCTTGAACTCCTGACCTCGTGATCCGCCCACCTTGGCCTCCCAAAGTGCTGGGATTACAGGCGTAAGCCACCACTCCTGGCCAATTCTCACAATATTTCAAACTTTTTCATTAGTATATTTGTTATGGTGGTCTGTGATCAGTGATATTTTGATGTCACTATTGTAATTGTCTGGGAGTGTCACGAACTTCACCTATGAAAGACAGTGACTCTTGTTAGGGGCTAGTGCAGCTGTTGACTTTAATTTAAAGTCAATGCTCATTGGCTATTCTGAAAATTCTTTAAGAATTATGCTAAATGGGCTGGACGTGGTGGCTGATGCCTGTAATCCTAGCACTTTGGGAGCCTGAGGCGGGTGGCCTCACCTGGGGTCAGGAGTTTGAGACCAGCCTGACCAACATGGTGAAACCTCGTCTCTACTAAAAATGCAAAAATTAGCCGGGTGTGGTGGCAGGTGCCTGTAATACCAGCTGCTTGGGAGGCTGATGCACGAGAATTGCTTGAACCTGGGAGGCGGAGGTTGCAGTGAGCCGAGATTGTGCCACTGCACTCCAGCCTGGGGGACAGAGTGAGACTCCATCTCAAAAAAAAAAAAAAAAAAAAAAAAAGATTTATGCTAAATGGACTCAGCTTGTGCTCTATAAAAAGAACAAAACCTGAATGACAGCCCATCTGTTTATAGCATGGTTTACTGAATATTTCAAGCCCACTGTTGAGACATACTGCTCTGAGAAAAATATTGCTGCTCATTGACAACACACCTGATCACCCAAGAGCTCTGATGAAGATGTACAAAGAGATGAATGTTGTTTTCATTCCTGCTAACACAACATCCATTCTGAAGTCCATGGATCCAGGAATCAATCTGGCTTGCTGGTTTCTAGTTGTATTACTTAAGAAATGCACTTTGTAAGGTTATCATTGCCATAAATACTGATTTCTCTGATGGAGCTGGGCAAAGTTAATGAAAAATCTTCTGAAAAATATTCACAATTGTAGATGTCATTAAGAACATTCATGCTTCATGGGAACAAGTGAAAATATCAACATTAATATGAGTTTGGAAGAAGTTGATTCCAACCCTAATGGATGACTTCGAGAGGTTCAAGACTTCAGTGGAGGAAGTCACTGTAGGTGACTTAGGAGGAAATAGCAAAATAACTAGAATTAGCAGTGGAGCCTGAAGATGTGACTAAATTGCTACAATCTCATGATAAAACTTGAACAGACGAGGAGTTATTTCATATGGATGAGCAAAGAGTGGTTTCTTGAGATAGCATCTACTCTTGATGAAGACAACGTGAACATTGTTGAAATGACAACAAACGATTTAGAAGATTAAATAAACTGAGTTGAAAAAGCGGTGGGGTTTGAGAGGATTGACTCTAATTTTGAAAGAAGTTCTAGGCTGGTTTCAGTGATTCATGTCTAATCCGAGCACTTTGGGAGGCTGGGGCAGGATGATCGCTTGAGGCCAGGCATTGGAGATTAGCTTGGGCAACATAGTGAGACCCTGTTGCTATTAAATCAAACAGCACCCCATGCTATAGAGAAATCTTTCATGAAGAGTCAATCAATATGGCAAACTTCATTGCTGTCTTATTTTGTGACGTTGCCACAGCCACCCCAACCTTCAGCAACCACCACCTTGATCAGTCAGCAGCTGTCAACATCAAGGTAAGACCCTCAACAAGCAAAAAGATTATGACTTGCTGTAAGCTTAGATGATCATTAGCAATAAAGTATTTAAAATTAAGGTATATACACTATTTATTTAGACGTAATGCTATTGCACACTTAGTAGACTACAGTATACTGTAAATGTAACTTTTATAGGTACTAGGAATCCAAAAAATGTGTAACTGGCTGTATTGCAATACTCAGTCTATTGCAGTGGTTTGGAAGGGAACGTGTGATAACTCCAAGGTATGCCTATATTTTCTTTCTGTGATAAGATGTCTGAGGGTAGGCGGTCTGCTGTGGGTTCAGCAGTTCAAATTCACTGCCAAGATCTCTGTGATTTGCCTTATGGCTTTAAGATGGCGCCTGCAGTTCTACCAGCTTCTTGTCTACATTTGAGAAAGGAATAAAGGAGGGAATATTCTGGTCCAACTCGTCCCCATTTATTAGGTAAACATAGCCTTTCCCAGAATTTCTTTCAGCCTTTTATTTAAATATTATTAGTCATGTGTCACATAGCCAACTCTAGCTGGAAGGGATGATAAGAAAAATATTTAGCTAGGTACATTCCTATCTCAAATAAAATCAGACTTTTTTTTTTTTTCCCGAGAGAGGGGAGACATATAAGATTTTCTGCCTCAGGGGGCCCCTTGGGAAGCTGTTTAATATTGTCAGGCTGACACTACCAGCCCCTGCCTGATCCTGCTCTCCTATCAGGATTAATACTTAGGCATGTGGAGAATATAACAAAAATCTCAAGTTCTCGTATCCTACAGTTTAATTCTGTATCCTACAGTTTAAGCCCCACAGTTTAATCCTGCTTTGGGAACTTAAGCTATGTAACTCTGAACAAATTATTTGACATATCTGAGCTTTAATTTTCATAAAACAGGGATAATAAGATTACCTTCTTTCCCAGGTTATTGGTGATTTTAAAAGAGGCACTGTGTGTGGCACCCTTCCTTCAGGGCCTAGCATAGAGTGAACATTCAATAAATTAGAGACTTAGAGTTTTCGTCGCTGAGATCTGTCCCAGGGAAGGGAAGGAATGGATGTTTGCAGAACAGCTGCAGGAAAGGATCATGGTGAGATGCAGGAATAAATGACGGGCTAACCCACAGCTCATTACAGCCTCGCAAATTATTATAGTTGTATATATTAGCAAATTCTTTCCAGTCTTACTTTTAACCTGGGCACTGTTCACACTACTCAATTTTAGAGACTTGAATGTTTATGTGAGCCAATGTAAATGAACTATAACTCATGAAATGTACATAGAAGAGATACACTTTTGTAACATGCATGCCATAAACTGTTGAGACTCTCTGAATTGCGTTCTCTTCCTTGTGAAATATAGAAGGTGAGTTTCTAGGTAATTATAAACAATTTTCTCCTTATTCCAATTCAATTAACTTAATTGACTGCTTTATGACTGTTGCTTGATAATATGAAAAATAGGAAAAATAAGTGCTATATTTTTCCTTATATTTGTCCAGTGTAGACTAACTGATTTGTGCCAATTGTCATTATAAAATGACAGTGCCATTACTGTGGACTCTGTAGAGCTGGTCATGTAAAGAGATGTAAGTTGTGGTACCTGCACCTGCACCTGAGGCTGAAATGAAGTTCCTGGCAGGAATGCACTGCATCAGAGCTCATGGGCTGGGAGACACCTCAGGAGCAGCCTCTTAGAGTTGCTGGGAGTAGGAAGTTCATTGCTGAGCCATGGATTTAGTAACTGAAGAGAACAAAGTCAAAGTTACGTTGAGTGGGCAGGACAGGACCAAGGGATCAGATGCCCCATCCCAAGTAAATGCCACAGTGGCTTTCAGTGGTCATGGTGGCATCTGGCATTGCAGAACCAGATCACCTCTCTGGAAGATGCATCTGCTCCTCTGTTGTTTGTTGAGTGTCCCATCACCAAAAGAAGAAAAGAATGACTCTCCTCCTCTTGTCATTCCCCAAAACTCATCTTGCTTAGCCCAACACAATTTTCCTTTTCATTGAAGAAATATTGGAGATACTTGCTCTATGCCAGGCACTGTTCTAGTCAATTTGAACTTGCTCTTCCCTCTTCTTGGCATGTTTGTTCCATGGACATATGCATGGATTGCTAGTTTAAGATTCTGCTTCTTCAGATATTTGATTTCAATATCATATTCACAGTGAGGTCTTTTCTGGTCTAGATCTTTAGAGTTGCATCCTTCATTTCTCCAGCTCATTCCCTCCCCCTTCCCTACTTTGTATTCCATACCTCACACCACCTTTGAGTATATTAGGAGACTTACTCACTTGTATGTGTATTTTCTGTGTTCTCTGAATAGAAGGTAAGCATAATAAAAGTCTTTGTTTGTCTTATTTGTTTTTATTGTTTCACCTACTCTGTTTCTTTTGTATTCCCGGTGCCTATGAATCCCTGGCACATAACAAGTTTTCAAGAAGTATTTGTGGAATGAAATAAATAGAATCTAGACAAATCCCCTTGTAATCTACATTAACTCCAGTATTAAACAACCTGTGCAGGGATTATTCTGTGTGTCTGGACAATGTGTACCCTACTTTTGACCTTAGTCTTGATACTAAGGCCATTGGTAAGTAAAACCAGCTAAGCAGCACATTTTATAGAATGTGATCTTATAGGATCTTATTCTAACTATATGTAGGTATCTGTATTACATTCTCTGGGCACACACGTGGGTCTTCTTGGTTGGACATCCTGCCGTTATCTACATAAATGTTACTTCACGCTCATGGGTTTCAACAATTCCCTTTCAAAGCACTAACCTTAAACTTGCATTCACTCCTGTTAAACAGCTATGAACTTTATATAGAATTGTTCTTAAATGAAACAATTGTGTCTCTTGGAGATTTCTCCCCTAATTCTTAACCTTTTATTTCTCCAAAAACGTAAAGCAAATACTTTCCTTTCCTTGGGGTTTTACTGTAAATAATTCTGTTTCTGTTAGCTCTGGTTTTTGTTATATTTTTCTAGCATGATAAACTCATACATGCAGAAACATTATTATGTTATTTAAATAATAGATACTTGCTCACTGTTATTTTTACCAAGGCCACCTGTTTTATAGATTTCCCATATTTAATTCTTATAAAACTCTGTGTATTACCCATATTTTAGGTAAAGGAACAAAGGTCCGGAGATGTTACGTTAGTCAAAGCCTAAAAACCACCATCTAAAACCACCTAATTTCCACAGCAGTGTAACACAGAATATTTATGAATTAAACCCTAGCATAGGTTTCTAATCTCAAAGCTGACTATTGTTTAATACTTTTAGCACTCTTTGGAAGGGTGACAACAATAAAAATATTTGAAGTTTCTTGAGCATGGGTGACATTTACATCCATATGATTGCATATAAAAATGTGCCCTTAAATAAAAAACAGAAAATTAATCTAACTGGCTTACTCTTTTTATTTATTGAAAGACCAGTGATCATGAAGGCAAGAAAGAATGAAAAAATGGGTGATAGTAAATGTATGCACACAAAGAAGGTATGAACATTAAGCGTAATTTGCTTTTCATAACATCAGCATGTGATAAAATGTTTTATAAATGCTGCTGCAAAAAATACTCATTCTCATGATTGTTAAATGTCACAAATTTGCTTTTTAAAATTCAGTCAGGTAGCTAATTCTGGGGCTAGATTAATAACACGCATTGACAATCTTTATGATGATTATTTCTGGCATCTCTTAATTTTTTATTGCTAATAAAGTAAATCAACACCCAAATTCATTCCTGTGAAATTCACACAATTTTCTTAGCTGTTATGATTTATTATTTCAATGTTTGTGTGTCTGGCTTAAATTGTGAGTTCAATGGCTACAGTCCTATTCTTTTGATGTGTTGTCTAATGCTAAGCATACTGTTGGCTCTCAGCAAACAATAAATTATTTCAGTCATAACCCCTAACATTCTTGTCTAGACAGTCTTCCATATGGTGCAATTGTTCTTGTTTCCATGTTTTCATCAATAATGGCAGAATGAATTCTGAGTTTTATATGTAGATTTTTAAAAAATCGCACCTTCTCAAAATAACCAGTATGAACTATTTTGGGAACCATATTTTATAAGAAAACATTTTTGAAAATGCTCTAATTACTTTGGAAGGTTTAAAGAGTCATTTTCATACCAATTAGATTTTACCAAATAGAGATTTTATGGTGTAGAGATCTGAAGATAAGCATTTGCTATTTCTCGCCTTTTTGGCTCTGCTTAATTATTAATTCCTGGACTACTCCTACATAATGAATTCTCCATTATGTAAACAAGAATTCAGTTTTCATTAAAGGTCACACAAATTAGTTTTGTGTAATGTTAGAATTCAGAATTATGGATTCATATTTCCTAAGGTGGGGAGCTCTGCTACCAGTAATTTATTTATTATTCATATATGTTGAAGTATATTTAAGAAGGGCTATAAGATGTAACAATATTGTTCATTAAAAGACAGATCTGAGACTGTCAAACAAGACCTGGTAACTTCAAGAGGAACAGGATTATGCATGCTATATATAGTATGTTGTCATCTGCTTAAAGATGATCCAAAACAGCAAAAAATACTGTTTATTAGAACCCAATTGGTGCCCTCAGTCATCTTTTGTATGCCTACCTCTATGTTACTTTCATATCTCCTTGTCTTTTAAAAATAGACAATATGGCTTTGAAAATGGAAATATATTGAAAATGTTTGAAACTAATGCTGTGAAACACATTCTGATGAATTCAGCTCTTGGGAAAACCTCGCTAGCATTCCCTGGTGGCTCTCATTGCTTATAACAGTGATTTTCAATAAAATATTGCCTGAATCCCCAAAATAAATGGATAAAATGATGTCAGTCTACTGGAAGAGAAACGGCCTGGATCTTCATCTATTTGTCTCTCTTTGGATTCTGCAGGGGTGCTTGAAAATCCATTGGGTTCTTTTGAAAACAATCAGCCTATTGAATGAAATCTTGGTTCGTTTATTATCTGGTCCATACCAATCTAAATAACCTAATTTTCTACTTTTCCTTTTTTTCATGCTTCAGCAACATGAATATTGTAATTTCTAGTATCCACTTTTTTTTTTTTGCGTGTTGTAAGTCAATTGCATAAGTTATTCTTGTAGACTAGAATGCCTGGTCCTTTTGATGCTTCTCTCTCTCGTAGCTCTTTGACGCACCTCTCTGAAGTTTTCCCCAATTTTCCCAACAATACTTAGAAACAACTGCATGTAGTTCCAAAATATCTTATATAAGTGTTGTGCATCTCAGCAGTTATGGAACAATTCTGTAATTGTGGATTGCATAAATGTCCTAAAGTATAACCTCCTTCAAGTTAGATTTGTATCTTTTCATCTTTCTATCTCTGTGCTTGTCTTTCTGTAAGTGATCACTAAATACATATTTAGTAAGCAAATTAACTCAAAATTTATTGACACGAATTTAAATCTATTGTTAATTTTATATGGTTATAATTGTTTACCTATGATTGTGTTTCATTCTTGGAAACTTGGCTCCTGCTGAAAACATTGTAATGAAATTTAACGTGAAAAGAAAATCATCTAGTATTGTACTGAGTGGAAGCTACTATGATAGTGGAGTACAGGTAGACTATTTTTTATCGGTTGAAGAATCCCTAATTCCAACTACCTACAGTTAAAATTTTGAAAGTTAATGTGTCGGGGGGGAAAAATCATTTTGGTGCTTCCTTGCTCACTTGGCTCTGGAAGCCAGTTCCTTTAATTCACTTAGTAAAATTTTCTTCTGCTTTAACATGAGACACTTGATTTGAAATTCAGCAGAGTACAAAAAAGATAAACAACCAAGAAAGGTCATGTGAGGATAGTAAATTTGGCTGACTACTCTGTCCTCTTCTGGAGTTTGATCAATATCTGTAGGTGAAAATAACCCTCATTAGGTTCTTGAAATGTTTATGAGCTAGTTTCAAGTTTTCTGCTTTCCTAACTTTCTGGCACTATAACTTTCTATAATTATCTAATGGCAGTTTTTGAAAATCGGATATGGGTTTTTTAAAAAAAGACTTATTTGGGCATCATATAAATACTGGAACTTTCATGATATTTATCTTCACGTGCATATAAATGAATATTGATCTCATATCACAATCATCTAGGGACTATTGAATTTTGGTTGTAAATTTAGTCTGCTGATTTTCTTCCATGTTCCTTCCTTGATGCCAGAAAAATCCTACTTGGCTCCAGTTATTCCAGAGTATTCCAACAGCTTCTTAAGATTAATAAATATCACAGACAAAGACTATAAAGACTAAGAGGGAGAACAATTAATAAATTATAACTAATATATTGTGATGAGTGTTTATTATATGAGTTAAACCCACTAATTTTGTGGAGTATTTTTACCTAACATTTTTAAGACTTATTATTGTGTCAAGACTTTTACATGATGTTTAACTCTTAGTAAATTAATTAATTTAGAATTATATTAAAACACAAAACACTTGAGATCACAATTAATTTCTATATAGTGTCCAAATATGCTACCGTATATGATCTTACAGTAATCCTGGTGGTATGACTATTATTTCTGTTCTATAGATAACATTTCTAAAAGTATGCTTAAATTTAAAAAATTTTATCCTTAGAAAGCTGAAATTGATTAGTTAACTCTGGGTTTTTATAAGAGATTTTAGAATCTGTGGTTTTATTCACATTGAGATATTCTTAGTTATTATCTCTTTAAATATTGCTTTTGACCATTTTCTCTCTTTCCTGTCTCTGTGAGACTCCATGTCTTGTTACTTATTAGATTCTTACTCTATCCTCTGTGTCTTCTACCTTCTCTTCTAGGTTTTCCCCCCATTTTTTTGTGGTTTCATTATGGATTTTTTTCTTCTGATCTCTCCTTCAATTCAGTAATTCTCTCCTCACCACTTTTTACCTGCTGCTATACCCTTTCATCATGTTATCCATTGAGTTCTAATCTGTGATTATATATTTCCATTTCCAATATGTTGCTGAAATTTTTGTCATTTTCTTGAACATAATGACTATTGTTATTTTAAAGTGCCTCTCTACTAACTCCGCTGTGTGGAGTTTTTGTGGGTTCATCTCTACTGTCTGTTGTTCCTGCTGATTTGTTCATGTCATTTTATCTACTGCTGGGTCTGATTACTATATTGTATGTCAGACTTTGCATTATAAACTGCATATTTTTTCCCAAAATTCATGTGTTGAAACTGTAATCCATAATGGATGATAATAAAAGGTGGGCCTTTGGGAGGTAATTAGGTCATAAGAATGGAGCCCAAACTGACTGAGATACCTTGTAAATTACTTATAGAAATAACTGGAGGCCTAGGATGAAATTATTTTACTCCAGGAAGGACTTACTTTTATTTCTGGTAGATGACTAGGGTTACTAGCAATGTAGGATTATATTAGTTCAATTTGAAATATTGAAAGTATTGTACCAGTACCATGCTGTTTTGGTTACTGTAATTCTGTAGTATAGTTTGAAGTCAGGTAGCATGATGCCTCCAGTTTTGTTCTTTTTGCTTAGGATTATCTTGACCATTCAAGATCATTTTTTGTTTCATGTGAATTTTAAAATAGTTTTCTTCTAGTTTTGTAAAGAACCCAAATGGTAGTTTAATAGGCATAGCATTGAATCTATAAATTGTTTTGGACAATATGGCCATTTTTATGATATTGATTCTCTCTATTCATGAACACAGAATGTTTTTCAGTTTGTGTCATCTCTGATTTCGTTGAGCAGTGTTTTATAGTTGTCCTTATAGAGATACTTCACCTCTTTAGTTAGCTGTATTCCTAGGCATTTTATTCTTTTTGTGGCAGTTGTGAATGGGATTATGTGTCTGATTTGGATCTCAGCCTGTCTCTTGTTGGTGTATAGGACTGCTAGTGATTTTTGCACACTGATTTTGTATCCTGAGACTTTGCTGAAGTCGCTTATCAGCTTAAGAAGCTTTTGGGCTGAGACTATGAGGTTTGCTAGATACAGGAATAGTTTGACTTTCTCTCTTCCTATTTGGATGCCCTTTATTTCTTTTTCTTGCCTGATTGCTCTGGCCAGGACTTCCAATGCTATGTTGAATGGGAGTGATGAGAGAGGGCATCTTTGTCTTATGCTGGTTTTCAAGGAAAATGCTTCCAGCTTTTGCCCATTCAGTATGATGTTGGCTGTTGGTTTGTCATAGAGATGGCTCTTATTATTTTGAGGTGTGTTCCTTCAACACCTAGTTTATTGAGAGTTTTAACATGAAGGGGTGTTGGATTTTAGCAAAAGCCTTCTCTGTATCTATTGAGATAATCATGTGATTTTTGTCTTTAGTTCTGTTTATGTGATGAATCACATTTATTGATTTGTGTATGTTGACCCAACTTGCATCTCAAGGACAAAGCCTACTTTATTGTGGTGGATAAGCTTTTTGATGTACTGCTGGATTCAGTTTGCCAGTATTTTGTTGAGGATTTTTGCATTGATTCATCAAGGATATTGGCCTGAAGTTTGCATTTTTTGTTGCATCTGTGAGATTTTGGTGTCAAGATGATGCTGGCCTCATAGAATGAGTTAGGCAGGAGTCCCTCCTCCTCAATTTTTTGGAATAGTTTCAATACAAATGGTAGGGACCAGCTCCTCTTTGTATATCTAGTAGAATTCAGCTGTGAATCTGTTTGGTACAAAAATAGACACACAGACCAATGGAACAGAATAGAGAACCCAGAAATAAAGCCACATGCCCACAACTATCTGATCTTCGACAAACCTAAGAAAAATGAGAAGCAGGGAAAGGATTCCCTATTCAATAAATGGTGCTGGGATAACTGGCTAGTCATATGCAGAAGACTTGAAACCAGACCCCTTTCTTACACCATATAAAAAAATTAACTCAAGATGGATAAAAGACTTATACGTAAAACCCCAAACTATAAAATCCCTGGAAGACAACATAGGATACCATTCAGGACACAGGAACAGGCAAGGATTTCATGTCAAAGACCCCCAAAGCAATTGCAGCAAAAGAAAAAATTGACAAATGGAATCTAATTAAACTACAGAGTTTCTGCATAGCAAAAGAAACTATCAAGCAAGTGAACAGAAAACCTACAGAATGGAAAAAAATTGCAAACTATACATCTGATGAGAGTCTAATATCCAGCATGTATAAGGAACTTAACAAATTTGAGAAAAAACAGACAACCCCATTAAAAAGTGGGCAAAGGACATGAACAGATGCTTCTCAAAAGAAGACATACGTGTGACCAACAATCATATGAAAAAAAGCTCAACATCACCGATTATTAGAGAAATGCAAATGAAAACCACAATGAGAAACCATCTCACACCAGTTAAAATGGCTATTAAAAAGTAAAAAAAAAAATAACAGATGCTGGCCAAGTTGTGGAGAAAAACGAATGCTTATACACTGTTGATGTGAGTGTAAATTAGTTCAACCATGGTGGAGACAGTGTGGCAATTCCTTAAAGACCTAAAAACAGAAATACCATTTGACCCAGCAATCTCATTACTGGGTATATACCCAAAGGAATGTAAATCATTCGATTACTAAGACATATGCCCATTTTTGTTCATTGCAGCATTATTCGCAATAGCAAAGACATGGAATCAGCCTAGATGCCCATCAACGACAGACTTGATAATGAAAATGTTGTACATATACACCATGGAATACTATGCAGCCATAAAAAAGAATGAGATCATTTCCTTTGCAAGGACATGGATGGAGCTGGAGGCCATTATTCTTAGCAAACTGACACAGGAACAGAAAACCAAATACTGCATGTTTTCACTTATAAATGGAGCTAACTGATGAGAACACGTGGATACATAGAGGTGAACAACACACACTAGGGCCCTTTTGAGGGTGGGAGATGGGAGGAGGGAGAGGATCAGGAAAAATAACTAAGGGGTACTAGGCTTAATGCCTGGGTGATAAAATAATCTGTACAACAAACCTCCATGACACAATTTTACCTTCGTAACAAACCTGCATGTGTACCTCTGAACTTCATATAAAAGTCAACAAAAAACGAGAAAATATTGGTAGCTAAGCTACCATCTCTAGGAGGGCCTATTTTTGGTTCATCCTTACTCCCAAAATGTTCACATAAATCCTTTTCTTTTCAGCAGGCTCTGGAGTTAATTATCTGAACCCTTATCTCCCAGAGGCTATTAAAAGTGCACTTAATTTGGGAGCCCCTGGATAGAGTTGGTGAATTTCTCCCAGGAGAAAAGTCCCTCCAAATTCTAGCTCACCTCCTTAAGCCTCCATCTTTCCATGGATCTTGTCTCATAATTCTTTACTATTTTATTAGTTCTCTGACATTTTTAAGCAGAATTAAAAAATACTTTGCCAGACTTCCTATTGCCTTCAGCAGGAGGATAGTTCTGAGTTATTTAGTCTGCTATTACCTGGAAGAAGGAGACTTTAGTTATTTCTCTGCATATGTGTTTACCTGGGCTATTTAATAATAAAACCTGAAAAAAAATGTTTCTTAGTTTTAGATGCATACACAGGCTTATTTTCAAAAATGTTTTAATAGATTGGTTGTTAGAATTTGAAATGCATTTTTCTATAAAAACACCTATATACTGGCCGAGCACGGTGGCTCACGCCTGTAATCCCAGCACTTCGGGAGGCCAAGGTGGGCGGATCACGAGGTCAGGAGATTGAGACCATCCTGGCTAACACGGTGAAACCCCGTCTCTACTGAAAATACAAAAACAAACAAACAAACAGAACAAAAAAAACGAGCGTGGTGGCGGGCGCCTGTAGTCCCAACTACTTGGGAGGCTGAGGCAGGAGAATGGCGTGAACCCGGGAGGTGGAGTTTGCAGTGAGCCGAGATCACGCCACTGCACTCCAGCCTGGGCAAAAGAGCAAGAGTCCATCACACACACACAAAAAATAACAAAACCTATATACCAATTAGATTCCAAGGCAATTAGATTTAGAAATCTATTTTCTCCATGTCTTAGGTTTGGTTCCCTGGAAGAGAGTCTGATACCAGGGTATTTTTTGCAAGTTGTTTATTGAGGGAGTGCTGACATGGGAAAAAGCTGTGAAAAACTACCGACAGCAGGATAGGGCAGAGGGGAAGGCCAAACGAAAATAGGCTTCGGATAAAGTCTGGCTTCACCCATCACATGAGAAGCTCTAGAGCATAAAATAATACCACAGTATTATCCCAAATTGAGGCAAAGGGGTTGAGCTTTTGTAGCCCTGAATTATTGAGTCATCAACCGCAAGCTATGCTTATAACTTCTCAGGCTTCCTTCTCTTCCTTCGTCCCTTCCTTCCTTCGTCCCTTCCTTCCTTCGTCCCTTCCTTCCTTCGTCCCTTCCTTCCTCCCTCCCTCCCTCCCTCCCTCCCTCCCTCCCTACCTCCCTCCCTCCCTTCCTCCCTTCCTCTCTTCCTCCCTCCCTCTTTTCCTTCCTCCCTCCCTTCCTCCCTTCCTCAACGGAGTCTCGCTGTGTCGCCCAGGCTGGAGTGCAGTGGCTCAATCTCAGCTCACGGCAACCTCCCCCTCCTGGGTTCAAGCGATTCTCCTGCCTCAGCCTCCCAAGTATCCGGGATTACAGGTACCCACCACCATGCCCGGCTAATTTTTGTATTTTAGTAGAGACGGGGTTTCGCCATGTTGGCCATGCTGTTCAGGCATTTTTATACAAGGCAATTCCTGTCAGCTCACAACAGTACTAGGAGAAAAGTGGAGCTGTATCCTTTTTGCAGCCAGCTCACGGTAGGTTGGTGCCCCCTCATAGTAAAGGGGACCTAGGCAGGGCATCAACAGCAATCCCATAAGCCATCTAATGTATAAGGCAGTATTTTTAATACTATGGAATTTAATTTCTAAGAATGATAGTGTTTGTTTGAGAATATGCATTTAGATATTATACTTGGAATACTTTTCTGTCTCTACTGAGGTCTGAATAACTCTCCCAGACTTCCCAACTGCCAGACAGAGAAATAGGGATTTCTTCAGAAATAAGTCATGGTGGCAGCTCCAGTAGCCTGGCAGAGACAGTGTCTTAGATGGAGGTAATAGAAAGGTGAGACTCGTTAGGGAGCCAGAGAATAATGAGTTGTGGGCTGTTTGTAAGGAGTTGAGAGTCAGAACTATTCTTATAATTTCTCATTTTCTGATTACCTTCTGTTATCTCCCGGCCACCCCGAAGTTGTCTTTTCTGCTTTCCGTATTTCCACCTATGTCTTCCTCACAGAACGTCTTCCTGGTCTTCTATGGAAGAGAAGATTAATTACTTTCCTTCCTTTTCCTTAAGTAAAAATACAAATCTTTTGAAGATTTTCTCAGATGAACATTCTCCTTTTCCTTTAGTTCATGTGTTAGAAAAACAACGTAAAACTAAGCTGCAAAGAAAAAGTTACGTTTGTATGGTAAAATGTGCACAGATTTGGAGTTATACAGATCTGGCTTCATATCTATTTTGGTTCTATTAATTACTACTAGTATTCTGAATAATAATTAGAACTATTGTTAAAATGTGTAGATACTGAGAGAAAGGTCTGGAGAATCTACAAAGAGAAAAACGTATATGAAATATTTTTAAAATTCTACTGAGTATACTTTATGAAATTGTCTTTTTTTCACGGTGAAAAACAAAAAAATTTACTAGCTTACCATTCTTAAATATACAGTTTAGTAGCGTTAAGTATATTTACATTGTTGTGAAACAGATCTTCAGAACTTTTTTATCTTGTAAAACTGAAACTCTGTACCTATCAAACAACAACTACTCCTTTCCCCCTCCTCCCAACCCTAGTAACAATTATTCTACTGTTTCTATGAATTTGACTAGGGGTATCATATAGTATTTGTGTTTTTATGACTGGATTATTTCACTTAGCATAATTTTCTCAAGATTTATCAATGTTGTAGTGTGTGTATCAGAATTTCCTTTTAAGGTTGATTAATATTCCACTGTATGTATGTACCACATTTCATTTATCCATTTGTCATTTGATGAACATTTACATTTCTTCTGCCTCTCAGCTTTGTGGATAATGCTGTGTGAACATGGGTGTGCAAATATCTCTTCAGGACTCTGCTTTCAATTTTTTTAGATATATGGTTAGAAGTTGAATTGCTGGATAATATGGTAGCTCTACTTTTAATTTTTGAGGGACCTCCATATTGTTTTCCATAGCAGTTGGACTATTTTACAATCCCACCAACAGTGCACAAGGTTTCAATTTATCGACATTCTCACCAATGCATGTTGTTTTCTGTTGTTCTGATAGTAGCCACTCTAATGGGTATGAGTTAGTATCTCATTGTGATTTTGATTTGCATTTCCCTAGTGATTAGTGATGTTGGCCATCTTCTCAAATGCTTGTTGGCCATTTGTATATCATCTTTGGAGATAAATAGATATTTGAATGTCTATTCGAAATCTTTGCCAATTTTAAAAATTGGGTTATTTGATTTTGTTGTTGTGTTGTAAGAGTTTTTATGTATTCTGGATATCAACTCCTTATCAGATGTATGATTTGAAAATATTGTCTCCCATGCTGTAGGGTGCCCTTTCACTCTGTTGATTGTGTCCTTTGATGTACAAAAGGGTTAAAGTTTGATGTAGTCTCATTTGTTTATTTTTGCTTTTGTTGCCTGTTCTTTAGTTTTCATACCTGAGAGAAAACATTGCGAATTCCAATGTCATAAAGGTTTTTCCATGTAGTTTCTTCTAGGAGCTTTAGAGTTTGGGGGTCTTACATTTTGACTTTTTATTCATTTTGAGTTAATTTTTGTATATAGTAGAAGACACAGTGCACCATTCTTTTGCAAGCGAATATCTAGTTTTCCAGCACTATTTGTTGAATGGTGGTGTTTTTCCTCATTGAGTGGTTTTGACATCCTTGTTGAACATTGTTTGATGATACAAATGAGGGTTTATTTCTGGGTCATCTCTTCTATTCCACTGGTTTATATTTGTTGTTATGTTAATACCACACTTTGATTATTGTGGCTTTATATGTTTTGAAATTGGTAAGTGTGAGTTCTACAACTTTGTTCTTTTTCAAAATTGTTCTGATTATTTGCTGTCCTTTGAAACTTTAGTATGAATTTTCCTAATTCTAAAATAAATTTTAGTACAAATTTTTCTATTTCTGCAATAAAATGCCACTGGGATTTTATTAATAATAGGGATTCCATTGAACCTGTATATCACTTTTGGTAATATAGACATTTTAACAATATTGCCTTCCAATCCATGAACACAGAATATTGTTCAATTTATTTGTGTCCTCTTTAACTTTTTTCAGCAATGTTTTATTGTTTTCAGCAATGTTTTGTAGTTTTTGACATGTCTTTCTCCTCTTGGTTAGGCTTATTCCAAAGTGTTTTCTTCTTTTTGATGCCATTACAAATGGAATTGTTTTAATTTTGTTTTGGTTTGCTCATTGTTAATATACAGAAATACAACTCATTTTGTGTGTTGATTTTATACCCAGTAAATTTGCTCAATTCATTTATTAGTTTTAATAGTTTTTATTTTTGCAGAATGTTTAGGTTTTCTACATATAAGATTATGTCATCTGTGAATAGAAATAATTTTATTTCTTCCTTTCCAATTTGGATACCTTTTATTTTATTTTATTTTTTTGCCTGATTGATCTGACTAGGACTTTCAATATTCTATTAAATAGAAGTGACAAGTGCTGGGATCCTTACCCTGCTTTCAATCTTAAAGAAAAAGTTTTCAGTTTTCCACTATTGAATGTGATGTTAGCTGTGGATGTTTCATATAAGGCCTCTATTATGTTGAGGTAGTTTCCTTCTATTTCTAGTTTGTTGAATACTTTATTGAAAGGGTATTAAATGCTGTCACATACTTTTACTATATCAATGATCATGTGACTTTTGGTCTTCATTCTGTTAATGCAGTATATTAATTTGATTGATTTTTACATGTCAAAACATTCTTGCATTCCATGAATAAATTCCACTTGGTCATGGTGTAAAATTCTTTTAATGTGCTGTTGAATTCAGTTTTCTAGTATTTTGTTGAGGATTTTCTCATCAACATTAATCAGAGATATTGGTCTGTAGTTTTCTTGAGCTTTGTCTGGCCTTGGTATCAGAGTAATGCTGATCTTATAGAATGAATTTGAATGTGTTCACTTCTCTTTAATTTTTTAGAAGAGTTTCAACAGGATTTGTGTTGATTCTTGTAATATTTCATAGAATTTTCCAGTAAAACCATCTGGTCATATACTTTTCTTTGTTGGGAGGTTTTTGATTTTTGATTCGATCTCCTTTCTAATTATTGGTCTGTTTAGATATTCTGTTTCTTCATGATTCAGTCTTGATAAGTTGTGTGTTGCTAGGAATTCATCCATTTCTCCTAAGTTATACAATTTGTTGACATAAAATTGCTCATAATATTCTGTTATTATTCTTATTTTTGTGACATTGGTTGTAATGTACAGTCTTTTATTTTCAATTTATTTGAATCATCTCTTTTTTTCTTAGCTAATCTAGCTAAGGATTTGTCAATTCTCCTTATCTCTTCAAAAAAACCAATTCTTGGTTTAGTTGATTTCTTTCTGTTGTTTTTCTGTTTCTGATTTCATTTATCTCTGCTCTAAGTTTTGTTAGAACTTTGGGTTTAGTTTGTTCTTCTTTTTCTAGTTTCTTGAGTTAGGTTGTTGATTTAAGATCTTTCCTTTTTTTTAGTGTACAAATTTACATGTATAAATCTTCCTTTTAGCACTGCTTTCATTGCATCTCATAAGTTTTGGTTTGTTGTGTTTTCATTTCCATTTGTCCCAATATATTTTCTAATTTTCCTTGTGACTTCTTCTGTGACCTGTTTGTTATATAAGAATTTGTTGTTTAATTTACATTTATTTGTGCATTTTTTCATTTTGCTATTGATTTCTAATTTTATTCCATTGTGACTAGAAAAGATACTTTGTATAGCTTTAATCTTCTAGAATTTGTTAGACTTGTTTTATGGCCTAACTTGTTGTATCTTGAAAGATCTTCCATGTACACTTGAGAAAAATATATATTCTGCTATTGTTGGGTGAAGTGCTCTGTATATGTCTGATAGATCCAATTAGTCTATCGTAGTGTCTGAGTTCTTTATTTTCTTATTGATCTTCAGTCTGGTTATTCTATCTATTACTGAAAATGAAGAAATGAAAGTTTCCTACAACTACAGTGTTGATATTTGTTTCCTCAATTCTGTCAAAATTTTATTTACATATTTAGGAGTTTTGAGGCTTGGTGCATAAATATTTATAAATATTATATCTTCTTCATAAATTAAGCCTTTCATTAATATATAATGTCCCCTTTTACTTTTTGTAACATTTTTGACTTAAAGCTTATTTTGTCTGATATTAGTATAGCAACCTCTGCTTCCTTTTGGTTACTATTTGCATGCAGTATCTTTTTCCATCCTTTCAGTTTCAGCCTATGTGTATTTGTACATCTAAAAAGTGAATCTCTTTTAGAGAGCATGTAGTTGGATCATGTTTTTTTTTTTTTAATCCATTCAGCCAATCTATGTCTTCTGATTGGAGAGTTTAATTCATTTACATTTAAAGTAATTACTGATAAGGGAAGACTTGATATTGTCATTTTGTTTTCTGTATCTTATACCAAGCTTGTCCAACCTGCAGCTTGCAGGCTGAGTGTAGCCCAGGATGGGTTTGGATGTGGCCCAAGACAAATTCGTAATCTTTTTGAAAACATTATGAGGTTGTTTTTTGTGATTTTTTTTTTTAAAGCTCATTAGCTATTGTGTTAGTGTATTTTATGTGTGGTCCAAGACAATTTTTCTTCTTCCAGTGTAGCCCAAGGTAGCCAAAAAATTAGGTACCCCTATTTTATACCTTTTTGTCCTTCCTTTCGTCTCTTACTGGCTTCCTTTGTGTTTCATTAATTTTTTGTAGCAACAAGTTTTGACTCCTTTTTTATTTCCTTTCGTGTGTATTCTATAGGTATTTTTGTGGGTACTATTTCAATTACATACAACATCTGAAAGGTATGGCATTCTATTTTAAATTGAAACAAGTTACTTTCAATCACATCAAAAAACTGCTGCTTTACAGCTCCATCCCTGACTTTCTATCATTAATGTTACAAAATACATTTTTACATATTATACACCCATTAACATAGATTTACAATTATTTTTAATGTTTTTAAATTTCATGCACCAGAATTACTATAATACAGGTTACTGTATTAGTCCATGTATTTAGATTACTAGAGAGCCTTATATTTTTGTATGGCTTAATATTGCTATCTACTGTCCCTTTGTTTCAACTTGAAGGATTCCTTTTGGCATTTCTTACAGAGCATGTCTAGTGGTAATAAACTCCTTCAGCTTTTTTTTTAATCTGGAAAAGTCTTTATTTCTCCTTTATCTTTATATCTGAAGTATAGTTTTGCTGAAAACAATATTCTTCCTTAACAATTTTTTTTCTTTTAGCATATTGAATATATCATCACACTCCCTCAGACCTGCAAGGCTTCTGCTGAGAAATCCACTGATATTCTTATTAAAATTTCCTAGCTTGCAATAAGTCACTTTTCTTTTGCTTCTTTCAAAATTATTTATTTTTCTTTGATTTTAGACAGTTTGATTATGTTGTGTCTTGTGTCTTGGGATGGTTATCTTGGGTTTATCCTGGTTGTATTTCTTTGAGTTTCTTGAATTTGTCTGCCCATTTTCTGCTCAGATGTAGCAAGTTTTTCAACCATTATTTTTTCAAATAATCTATGTGCCCCTTTTTTTCTATTTTCTCCTTCTGACGTTCCCATAATGTATAGATTGGCCTGTACAGATCAAGCATATAGTGTTTCATACATCCCTTAGGGTTTCTTTACTTTCCTTCTTTCCTTTTTCCTCATTTGAATCAATTATTTCAAATGATCTACCTTCAAAGTCACGGATTCTGTCTTCTGCCTGATCAAGTCTTCTGTTGAATCCCTCTAGTGATTTTTTCTATCTAATTATTGTGTTTTTCTGCTCCAAAAATTTGTTTGGTATTTAAAAATCAATTTCTAACCCTTTGTTAATATTCTCATTTTGTTCATTTGTTATTTTTCTGATTTTACTTAGTTGTATATCTGGGTTCTTTTTCAGTTTTATAAACATCTTTATAATATTTATTTTAAATTATTTATTTCAGTGCATAGATACGTATTTCTTTAGGGTAGGTTTCTGGAGTTTAATTTTAGGCCTTTGTACCATGTTTTCCTGTTTCTTCATATGCATTGTAATCTTTTGTAAATTGTAAAGCAATTTTTTTGTAAATTATAAAAAAAAAAACAAATTTCTGGAGCTGAAAAATACAGTAACAGGACTGAAAAATTCACTAGAGGGGTTCCACAGAAGACGTCATTGTTGTAATTTTTTTGTTGAGATTTGGGCATTTGAAATACATGACCACCTTTCTGAGACTTTGCATGCTAGCCTTGTGCAGGGAATAATAAACTTCACTAATAAACTCAGAGGTCCTAGGACCTCTCAAAACTTTTCTTATCTCTTGCTCCTGCTGGCATCTGCTCAGAGAACTATAGCTCTAATATGCTGCAGTGTTATCGTCTGTTTTCAGTGGCTTCCATATTATGCCGCTGGTCCTGTCAGCACCTGGAGTTAGGAGAGACAGAAACTAGTCTTTTGTGTAGCCCCCAAACAAGCTAGAATGTAGATACACGGTCTATTCTTATGTTTCCAACGAAACCTTGTTGTTAACTCAGTGTCTCTGTCAGGGAAAGAGAGCGTAAAGATTCCTAGTCTGTCATTTTGTTGACATCACTCTATGAAACTGTATTCTATAAAGTAAATGACTACCTCAAATTTATGTGTTTTGTAAATCTCTATTGTTTTAAGTGATTTTTTCTTAAAATTGAATACACTACCATAAGATTCTCACTACTTCTTGCTCTTCACCTTTCTTGGAGAACCTATGCTTGTATTACTAGTAGTGTTTTAACACACTACCTTCCCAGTACATTTGTCTCTTCCCTTTACATATTACAAACTGTAAGTGAAGTTGCCAGCCAATGTCTTCTGTGTCAAGCTATTCATTCTACCTGTTTGGGAAAACATTATTTTCATTAAAGCTATAGCTGCAAAATATGTTTTTAACCAATTTCTTAAATGCCAACATATTTCTTATTGGGCTTTTCGAATCCAAGAATTGAATTTTATGATCCAAGCATTGTGAATGAACAAGTCACCTGTGTTTTACTATTACTTTATAAGCAGATTCAATCATGGCCTAAACAAGAGATTCCTGGTTCTTAGATTCTTGCCAAAACTTATTTTGTATCTCAGCTATTAGTTGGTGAATTGCAGGGCACTAAATGGTTTCCACAGACCCTGATAAAAATTTGAGTACCTCTCTAAGGAAGCTATTTTCTAGTATGCTGCTTTTATTAATACCTTACCACTAATAAACACTGAGTGCTGTGAGTATAGAACATGAGATAGGACAATTTTCATTTTTGAAAATCTGAACTGCCAAGAAAACACCACCTCCCTCTTGGCCTGCTCCAATATAGTTGGGGAGGTGCTACAGTTTTTGTGTGGGTAAGCAACTTTTCGTTTTTGGTTATGAGAAGACGGGACTTGCACTTATTCCTTCCCCCATTGAATTGTCATTTCAGTCAGAATGCCTCAAGTAAACTTTCCAAGAGAGTGGAACACTAGCAGATTATTTTTCCATTCAGATTTGGGGTTTTTGTTTGTTTCATTCTTTTTTTAGAGATTGTGTCTGAGATAGCTGAAAAATTATTCGGGAGATTAGTCTATGAATCTGAGCATTGAGTTTATGTTGCCTCTCATTCCTCGTTTCGCTTTTGCAACTTCTGCCCTATAACTAACAATAGCAGAAGCAGCAGTGCTGGTCTGATGTATCTGACAGATTCTGTTTTGCACAGATTACCGTTTCTAGCCTCGGCTGCTTCACCTGGCACAAAAATAGAATCATCTTGAGATCTTCACTAAGGAGCCTATTCTTATACTGTTTCCAGACAAGCTGTTGCTATCTTAATGTATCTTCAGTAAGCCTCCTGGTCAAAGCAATTTTTACATGACGTCAAATGGAAGACAAGACTGTATTTGCAGAAACTAGCAGTGGAAGTCTGGCTCCTAGAAATTGACTATTTATAATGTGTCAACTGGATGGCCTACCAGGTGTGCCCCAGCCTAATTTTGTCTGTATTGTTTTATTACTCACTTTTGTCTCTTTTTATTTTCTTACCTTATCTTTCTTTTTCTCTCCTCTGCTCTCCAGACACAAAGATTTCCAGGGATAGTAAGATCATGGTTTACAGCCATGTTCAAATAACCCTCCTTCTAAGCTTTTTCAAGGGCTAAAACCAGCTGCACCAAAATTGTCCCTGTGGTATCTTCCTCCCAGTCACAAAGCTCTTCTTCTGCAGTTTTCTTTCTTTAGCTAAGAAAAACAATCATCATTGTGGGGGTCTCCATATTTCCTGAATTTGAATGTTGGCCTGCCTTGCTGGGTTGGGGAAGTTCTCCTGGGTAGTATCTTGAAGAGTGTTTTCCCACTTGGTTCCATTCTCCGCGTCACTTTCAGGTACACCAATCAAACGTAGATGTGGTCTTTTCACATAGTCTCATATTTCTTGGAGGCTGTGTTCGTTTCTTTTTACTCTTTTTTCTCTAAACTTGTCTTCTCATTTTATTTCATAAATTTGATCTTGAATCACTGATATCGTTTCTTCCACTTGATCGAATCACCTATTGAAGGTTGCACAATGCATCACGAAGTTCTCATGCCATAGTTTTCAGCTCCATCAAGGCATTTAAGGGCTTCTCTACACTGTTTATTCTAGTTAGCCATTCACCTAACCTTTTTTCAAGGTTTTTAACTTCCTTGCGATTGGTTAGAACATGCTCCTTTAGCTCGGAGAAGTTTGTTATTACTGACCTTCTGAAGCCTACTTCTGTCAACTCGTCAAAGTCATTCTCCATCCAGCTTTGTTCTGTTGCTGGCAAGGAGCTATGATCCTTTGGAGGAGAAGAGGCACTCTGGTTTTTAGAATTTTCAGCTTTTCAGAGAACACCACAAAGATACTCCTTGAGAAGAGCAACCCCAAGACACATAATTGTCAGATTCACCAAGGTTGAAGTGAAGGAAAAAATGTTAAGGGCAGCCAGAGAGAAAGGTCGGGTTACCCACAAAGGGAAGCCCATCAGACTAACAGTGGATCTCTTGGCAGAAACCCTACAAGCCAGAAGAGAGTGGGGGCCGATATTCAACATTCTTAAAGAAAAGAATTTTCAACCCAGAATTTCATATCCAGCCAAACTAAGCTTCATAAGTAAATGAGAAATAAAAGCCTTTACAGACAAGCAAATGCTGAGAGATTTTGTCACCACCAGGCCTGCCTTACAAGAGCTCCTGAAGGAAGCACTAAACATGGAAAGGAACAACCAGCTAACATCATAATGACAGGATTAAATTCACACATAACAATGTTTACCTTAAATGTAAATGGGCTAAATGTCCCCCATTAAAAGACACAGACTGGCAAATTGGATAAAGAGTCAAGATCCATCAGTGTGCTGTATTCAGGAGGCCCATCTCACATGCAGAGACACACATAGGCTCAAAATAAAGGGATGGAGGAATATCCCAAGCAAATGGAAAGCAAAAAAAAAGCAGGGTTTGCAATCTTAGTCTCTGATAAAACAGACTTTAAACCAACACAGATCAAAAGAGACAAAGAAGGCCATTACATAATGTTAAAGGGACCAATTCAACAAGAAGAGCTAACTATCCTAAATATATATGCACCCAATACAGGAGCACCCAGATTCATAAAGCAAGTCGTTAGAGGCCTCCAGAGAGACTTAGACTCCCACACAATAATAATGGGAGACTGTAACACTCCACTGTCAATATTGGACAGATCAACAGAAGGTTAACAAGTATATCCAGGACTTGAACTCAGCTCTGCAACAAGTAGACGTAATAGATATCTACAGAATTCTCCACCCCAGATCAATAGAATGTAAATTTTTCTCAGCACCACATCGCACTTATTCTAAAATTGACCACATAATTGGAAGTAAAGCACTCCTCAGCAAATGTAAAAGAACAGAAATCACAACAAACTGTCTCTCAGACCACAGTGCAATCAAATTGGAACTCAGGATTAGGAAACTCACTAAGAATGGCACAACTACATGGAAACTGAACAACCTGCTCCTGAATGACTACTGGATAAATAAGGAAACGAAGGCAGAAGTAAAGATGTTCTTTGAAACCAATGAGAACAAAGTCACAATGTAACAGAATCTCTGGGACACATTTAAAGCAGTGTGTAGAGGGAAATTTGTAGCACTAAATGCCCACAAGAGAAAGCAGGAAAAATCTAAAATCGACACCCTAACATCACAATTAAAAGAACTAGAGAAGCAAGAGCAAACAAATTCAAAAGGTAGCAGAAGTCAAGAAATAACTGAGATCAGAGCAAACCTGAAGGAGACAGAGACACAAAAAACCCTTCAAAAAATCAATGAATCCAGGAGCTGGTTTTTTGAAGAGATGAACAAAATTGATAGACCACCAGCAAGACTAATAAAGAAGAAAAGAGAGAAGAATCAAATCGATGCAATAAAAAATGATAAAGGGGATATCACTACAGAAATACAAACTACCATCAGATAGTACTATAAACACCTCTATGCAAATAAACTAGAAAATCTAGAAGAAATGGATAAGTTCCTAGACACACATACGCCCTCCCAAGACTAAACCAGGAAGAAGCTGAATCTCTGATAGACCAATAACAGGCTCTGAAATTGAGCAATAATTAATAGCCTACCAACCAAAAAAAGTTCAGGACAGAACGGATTCACAGCTGAATTCTACCAGAAGTACAGAGAGGAGCTGGTACCATTCCTTCTGAAACTATTCTAATCAACAGAAAAAGAGGGAATCCTCCCTAACTCCTTTTATGAGGCCAGCATCATCCTGATACCAAAGCCTGTCAGAGACACAACAACAACAAAAAAGAGAATTTTAGACCAATATCCCTGATGAACATCAATGCAAAAATACTCAATAAAATACTGGCAAACCGAATCCAGCAGCACATCAAAAAGTTTGCTCATCATGATCAAGTTGGCTTCATCCCTGGGATGCAAGGCTGGTTCAACATACGCAAATCAATAAACGTAATCCATCACATAAACAGAACCAATGACAAAAACCACATGATTATCTCAATAGGTGCAGAAAATGCCTTTGACAAAATTCAACAGCCTTTCATGCTAAAAACTCTCAATAAACTAGGTTTTGATGGAACGTATCTCAAAATAATAAAGAGCTACTTATGACAAACCCACAGCCAATATCATACTGAATGGGCAAAAACTGGAATCATTCCCTTTGAAAACCGGCACAAGACAAGGATGCCCTCTCTCACCACTCCTATTCAACAGAGTGTTGGAAGTTCTGGCCAGGGCAATCAGGCAAGAGAAAGAAATTAAGGGTTTTCAATGAGGAAAAGAGGAAGTCAAATTGTCCCTGTTTGCAGATGACATAATTGTATATTTAGAAAACCCCACAGTCTCAGCCCAAAATCTCCTTAAGCTGATAAGCAACTTCAGCAAAGTCTCAGGATACAAAATCATTGTGCAAAAATCACAAGCATTCCTATACACCAATAATAGACAACAGAGAACCAAATCATGAGTGTACTCCCATTCACAATGGTTACAAAGAGAATAAAGTACCTAGGAATCCAACATACAAGGGATGTGAAGGACCTCTTCAAGGAGAACTACAAACCACTGCTCAATGAAATAAAAGAGGACACAAACAAATGGAAGAACATTCCATGCTCATGGGTAGGAAGAATCAATATCATGAAAATGGCCATACTGCCCAAGGTAATTTATAGATTCAATGCCATCCCCATCAAGCTACCAATGACTTTCTTCACAGAATTGGAAAAAACTAAAGTTCATATGGAACCAAAAAAGGGCCTGCATTGCCAAGACAATCCTAAGCAAAAAGAACAACGCTGGAGGCATCACACTACCTGACTTCAAGCTATACTACAAGGCTACAGTAACCAAAAGAGCATGGTACTGGTACCAAAACAGATATATAGACCAATGGAACAGAACAGAGGCTTCAGAAATAACACCACACATCTACAACCATCTGATCTTTGACAAACCTGACAAAAACAAGAAATGGGGAAAGGATTCCCTATTTAATAAATGGTGCTGGGAAAACTGGCTATCCATATGTAGAAAGCTGAAACTGGATCCCTTCCTTATACCTTATACAAAAATTAATTCAAGATGGATTAAAGACTTTAGACTTAAAACCATAAAAACCCTAGAGGAAAACCTAGAGAATACCATTCAGGACATAAGCATGGGCAAGGACTTCATGACTAAAACACCAAAAGCAATGGCAGCAAAAGCCAAAATTGACAAATGGGATCTAATTAAACTAAAGAGCTTCCGTGTGGCAAAAGAAACTACCATCAGAGTGAACAGGCAACCTACGGAATGGGAGAAAAATTTTGCAATCTATCCCTCTGACAAAGGGCTAATATCTAGAATCTACAGAGAACTTAAACAAATTTACAAGAAAAAACCAAACAATCCCATCAAAAAGTGGGCAAAGGATATGAACAGACACTTCTCAAAAGAAGACATTTATGCAGCCAACAGACACATGAAAACATGCTCATCATCACTGGTCATCAGAGAAATGCAAATCAAAACCACAGTAAGATACCATCTCATGCCTGTTAGAATGGCAATCATTAGAAAGTCAGGAAAGAACATATGCTGGAGAGGATGTGGAGAAATGGGAATGTTTTTACACTGTTGATGGGAGTGTAAATTAGTGCAACCATTGTGCAAGACAGTGTGGCAATTCCTCAAGGATCTAGAACTAGAAATACCATTTGACCCAGCCATCCCATTACTGGGTATATACCCAAAGGATTATAAATCATGCTGCTATAAAGACACATGCACATGTATGTTTATTGTGGCACTATTCACAATAGCAAGACTTGGAACCAACCCAAATGTCCATCATTGATAGACTGGATTAAAAAAATGTGGTACATATACACCATGGAATACTATGCAGCCATAAAAAAGTTGAGTTCATGTCCTTTGCAGGGACATGGATGAAGCTAGAAACCATCATTCTCAACAAACTATCACAAGGACAGAAAACCAAACCCCACATGTTCTCACTCACAGGTGGGAATTGAACAATGAGAACACTTGGACACAAGGAGGGGAACATCACACACTGGGGCCTGTCAGTTGGTGGGGAAATGGGGGAGGGATAGCATTAGAAATACCTAATGTAAATGATGAGTTAATGGGTGTGGCAAACCAAGACAGCACATGTATACCTGTATAACAAACCTGCACATTGTGCACATGTACCCTAGAACTTAAAGTATAATAATAAAAGAAAAACAATCATCAAATTAACAAGTTAATGATTGAGATATCAAAAGGTACTATCACCTTGAGGAATATTTACAAGTTAGAAGTGTGTACAGGAGAGGCCTGGTACCTAACCAATGTCTGCATTGCAGATGCCTTCCTAACTGTGTGTTGGGGTGGGAGATAAAGAAGGAAAGGGTGTTACTCTAGAGTGACCACAGGCTCCACATTTACATGTCAACCCAAACCTGCTTTCTGCTCCTTCCAGATGCCCATGTTATTTGCAGTTGGCCTATTTGTCAAGTTGCTTCATACCCACAGAGCATCCGTAGAATCATCTGGGTTTCCTCTGACTGTATGGGGGTTGTTACTTCTATCACCTTTGGGGCACCAAAAGTAAAAGAGAACTAAGTAACTTAGGTAGCACTGAGCAGTTCTCAGCTGTGATTTTGGATGATGGGGATGAGGGTGTTGGAGGATGAAGGGAAGCGTTAAAATTTCCAAGTCTTCCTACTTTTATTTTAGAAAGTCAAAAGCTTTGTCGATGAAGTGAATGAGATGATCATGCTAGCTGAGTATAGGCTGCAACTTTCTTCATTCCAGACACATTCTGGAATAAGATTCCACAGCATAAGAAGCTTCCCTTGGGCCTGAGATGAAAACAAGGTCATTTTCCCAGGGGAGTAACCCATCGAGCAAGCGTTTAAAATAAACAAACGGCTTGGCTCTAGCTTGAAACAAGCAGTAGTTATCAAGATTTACTGCAACTGACTTTGGACCTCATCCAAATGTTGAATTAATGCAAGCTTCTTTCTAACTAAAATGGAGTTTCCTTTTTGGTAGATGCAATATAAAAACTCCTTTTCTCACATTCTGGTAGACTCAATTGTACTGTCACCCCCAACATGGGTCACTACCAGTTGTAGCAAGAGAAGCAGTACTTTCTGTAAGCATTGTTTAAGAGGTCTGATTTCAACTCTCATAAAACAAAGAAGCACAATTCATTTATAATATGCAAGCTTAGGACAGACTTCCAAACAAGTTTTTTTTTTTTTTTTTTTAACAATGTAGCAACTCTCAGTTAAAATCCCACCATATATATAGTATGTGGTTTTAATTGTATAATACCTGTAATATATGCAATTTTGGTAAATACGGTATGATCTTAATATTTTTTTCCAAACAACTGTATTATACAGTAGAAAAAGCAGTGTACTTTGAGTAAAGCAAACTAATTTGAACTTCTCCTAAACAACTTTTCCTTTAGGATCCTAATCTGATAAATGAAGAGGGCTGACAATCTCAGAGTTTCCTTTTAATTGTAACAGTCAAAGAGTCTATAGTTTTTCATTCTTTTCTACAAGGTGAGAAATGACTTAGCATTTCTAAGGAACCTCAGCTCTTCTACGCATGCTCTACTAACGTGCATTTAAATATAGGGATGCACAAATGAAGATGTGATTGGGGCTTGAGGCTCAGATTTCACAGTTACTGAATAATTGAAGCTTTGGAGTGAATGAGATTGTCTTGTTTTGGGAGAATGAAAAGACACAGGATAGAGAGGCAATAACTAAGAGTGCAAAACCTAAATATCACTAGGACAATGGACAAAGTGACCACTTTTTAAAAAATGTCAACTAAATATAAGATATGGCAGGAAGTAGATAAAGTGAGACTATGGGACCAGTACTTAGATTGGCTACAAGGATCCAGGATTACAGGTTAATGGTGTAGAGGAGGCTCTGGTAGCCTAACACCTAGAGTTCTTCTTAGACTTGCACATATAAGAGGATGCTTAGGGAGATTTTTCTCAGAATTGGCAACTAGGGCTCTACTCCTGGGGTCAAAGAGTATTACATACCACTATGTCCTATTAAGCGAGGGAAAACTTATATCCTCTTTACCCTGAACCCCTTAGCACTTATAATAGATGACAAAACCTGCCTCTGGTCACAGCCCTCAAACCTTCCTGCACTTTCTGTGCTTGTACAAGAAGACTGTGAGATGAGGGATAGTGGTTAAAGTCAAGTAGCATCAGATTGGTGGGAAGTTCTGTGGTTTTTCCTCCTACTCTCTATGAGACCAGTTTAACAGAATCATTCATGAAGCTTAGGGGTGTCTGTAAAATATGAAGACTGCCATCACATGCTCTGAAGGATGTTTCCTAACTTGCAGAACTTACAGGTCCTCTCAGATGGAGAGGGTGGGCCACTTTTTGACAAGCCTTTACTTGTGTTCCCTAGAATCTGCAAGGAGTACATGAATATAAACTCTAGCGTCAGCTTGTCATTTGGAGAAGGTATAAGGCTTGCTGGAATTGATTGTGACAACAGAGAGAAGAAACAGTGGTATAGTGCCCCTGGGAAAGTGGGAATGACCCCTCACCCCAGACAGGTTTTTTGTGGCCATTGCAAGATGCAGAAGAGAACTTCAATTCTTTTGAAGCTCCACATGAAGAACGAAGTGAAGGAAGATAGAGAATAAGGTAGGAGGATGGGAGTGGTCCAGGCTTACCCAAAGGAGACTGTTACAGATTGGAGTCTAAGATGGCCCCTAGTGACCTCAGCTTCCCTGTATTTACAACCTGTTACTCTCTTCTATCCAACAGAATATAGTAAAGATGATGGAATGTCACCTCCAGTATTTCATTATCAAGATCATAATTTGCACCTTGCTAGCAAACTCTCTCCATTGCTTTCTTGGCTTGCATGCTTTGATGAAGCAAGCATCCCTGTTGGGAGGCTCTTGCAGCAAGGAATTGCAGGTGGCCTCTGGCCAACAATCAGCTAGAAACTGGTCCTCAGTCCAATAGGTGCCAAGAACTTGAATTTTGCCCACAACCACATGAGCTTAGAAGCAAATCCTTTCCTAGCCAAGTGTTTAGATGAGACTTGCTTAATTAAGCCTCATGAGAGAACCTGGCTGACACCTTGTTTGAGCCTGATGAGAGAGCCTGCATCAGAGGATCCAGTTGCACCATGCCTAAATTTCTGAACCTCAGAAACTGCAAGATAATAAATGTTTCCTGTTTTAAACCATTGCATTGTGGTAATTTGTTATAGAGCAATAGATAACTAGTACAGAGACAGTGAAGGCATGGCCACTGGCAAAAAATAGAGAGTAGAAAGCCCCTTGCTGATGGGGTGCTTAGTAATGTAATAACAGTGCTAAGTCATCCCAAGAAAAATACATACACATCTTGTGGGTAGAGAGCACGACATTGGCAGACGCCACTAGAAACAGATGGAAACATATTGGATACCAGTTACATAATATATTTTCTACCAGCTCTTTTATTCCCTCCTCTCCTTAACACCCAGGGTGTCAAAAAGGAAGAGGAAAGCGATGTTCTAGCAATAGGCTGTTCCTCCAAGGTGAGAGAAGGGGAGAGGGATAAAAAGAGCAGACTACTCCCACCCCACCCATTCACTTCAAATCTTTTGGGCCACAGCCTTTCCAGTGATAGGGGAGTAAAAGTTTTCCATCTGATATATTATTGGAATTTTTAAGTAGACAAAGTTTTTGGAAGTCCAGAGATTTTTCTGCCCAACCTGGGAAGAAATTTGACATAGCATATACATAGGAAATGCTTGGAGAAAAATCAATGTGTTTTATATATATAATCCACCAAATTTAAACTCTTCAATTAACAAGTCACATATGAGTGCAGCCAAAAAGAAGTTTAAGGCTCTGAAAACCACAAGATGCTTTGGGAAGAGGCTTTAGACTCTGAGCTGTGACAAAATGCTTCAACATTTGAGATGCACCAAGAACTGCCTTTGTCTTCCAACACAGCCAATTAATATAACATGGAAATTCTCAAATGTTTGACAGCAGTTTGTCCATACCTGTACATAGACTCTGAGGAAGCCTGTCTAGAAGGTTTCTTGAATTATATATACCTGAGTCAAATCAGGATTTTGAATCATGGCAAGGTGGAAAAAGAAAAGGTCTTTCTAGAGAACAGCAAGAGGGGTAAGATTTAGCCTGTATAAAGGAAATAAATGACAGGAGGAGGGAGACTGATGGATTCAGAAGGGAGATTAGTGAATGTCAAAGTGAGGAATCTGAATTTAAGAAGGAAAGAGAACACCTTGGAGTTTTTTGAAGAAAAAATATGATCGTAGTTTCACTTCTATGAAAATTTCATTGCTAGTATGTTGAATGAGTGGGAAAAAAGGGTTGAAGATCAGATCAGAGTTCATTGCAATAGCCCAGGCAGCAGGTAATGAGGGCCTGGACAAGAATAAAGATAGTGTAAAAAGAGACAGATGCACGGGACATTGTGCTAGAGGAAATCTGTGATATTTGGAGACTGATTTATTAAGAAGGCCAGGGATAATTTAGGGGATAAGAAAAAGCAACTATAATTCAACACTGGTTCTCACCATCAAAAGATTACAGATGAGGGGGTGACTCCTAGAAAATACACAGAATTTGTTTTTTGCTATGTTGAGCATGCTCTCCAGCAGAATGTTTACAGTAGGTATTGAGTTAGAGGAATAAATGTATGTGTGTGGAGTGGCATCTAAATAGACAACTCAGATGAAACCACAGAAATAGATGGCCTGTGAGAGGGTCAGAAAGGTCAGGAGAACACCCTGCAAAGTAGATCACTGAAGCCCTAAAAGATAAGAACTTCCCAAAGGATGAGAGTGATCAGTAGTATTAAGTGGTAAAGAACACTAAGACATTGTGTTCAGTTTCATATTATGTTTTAAGATGATTCAAAATCCTGATTTCAGAGCCTTAATCTTCTTTTTGGCTGCACTCATATGTGGCTTATTAATTGAAGAGTTTAAATTTGGTGGATTGTATACATAAAACACATTGATTTTTCTCCAAGCATTTCCTATGTATATGGAGGTAAAAACTAGTCAATAAATCCAGTTAAAGGCAAGAAAGGTAAAAATAAAACAAATACATAAAACAGGGGGTGGAAAATCACATAATTAAGTTGAATTGTGCCAACAACAAAAGAGAGACACCTCTTGAAATGTGCACTATAGGGATTCTAGCGAATTAAAGTTAAATATAGTTTTGGTATTTGGTCAATTTTAGGTAGAATAGTCAAGCTATTTATTTACATCTACTTTTAAAATTCAAGTCAAATTCATAGTATGGTTCCCTTAGACCTATTAGATGCCCATATACATGGAACCATTTATTTTACTCAAAAAACAAAAAGAAAAAAAATCTTTGTCACTGATTTTTCTCTTAGAATTATGTGATTTATCTGCCTTTTCAACTACTAATTGGTACCATTGACTATCACAAAATAAATTCTTATATCAATGATTAGCTCCATAGAGACATCCTTTAAACCCTAAATCCAACAGAACTGTGAATTCCTTTGTAAAATCTTAGCATTAATTCTTGTGATATTTCTTGCCTTTTAATTCAGTGTATCAGCTGTTGACTCAACTACACTTTTCTTGTCACAGTAATGAAATATAAGATGAATGTAAAGAAGCCCATTGCTAGAGAAAATTGTAGTCTAAGCGATAAGGGAAGGTTAAAAATAACAAAGCAGAACCTGGCAAGGGCCAGGTAACCAAAGCAGAATAAATGGCATTGATTAATTAATTCATATATTTATCAAGCAAGGATTGGAACTGTTAAATATTGGAAACACAATAGTAAGCAAGATAGAAAATGTTCCTGGCCTCATGGAACTTGTAATCTTATGCTTCGGTTACCCTCCTTGCCCATCTCTGCCTGTTGAAATAGTGTCCATCATTCAAGACCCATCTCAAAGTCTTTTCATTCTTTGGACTTAATCTCTAAAAGCTATTCTCACATTAAAAATGTTCACATAGTCCTTTGTTTGCACAACACCTGGTACGGCCCTTGCCAGGTTCTGCTTCGTTATTTTTAAACTTCCATTATCGCTTCCATTACTACGAGAAGAAAAGTGTAGTTGAGTCAACAGCTGATAAATTGAAAAAGGATTGGCCCTAATGTGGTCATTATTGAGGGGGTGATTACTATGTGCAGTTCATTATACTAAGCTCTCCACTTTTGTATATGTTTGAAATTTTCTGTAACAAAAGGCTAAAAAGAGAAAAGAATCACATTTTTCCTCAATAAAACACAATTGGTTTAAAGGGTAATTTGCAAAAGGAATTCTGGGGCAGAATAATTTTACTTTGAATAACCACACAGGAAATCTTTTATTCAAATGTCAAAAATTTCATTTAAATTTGATAAGTTCCCTCTTGTTTCTTAGTTATATTTACCATATTCACCATTCCAGCATTCCGGATTAAGCTTTCTATGTTTCCCTGTAGCTTGTCTCCATTACAACACACATTTCTACAGCTACTGCAATGTTCTGAAAAACCTAGTTCCCCGTTCTTGAAATGAGTTCACCTTCTCTCCCAAATCCAGGGTAATACTATTGAGCTACAAAGACAAAAGTCATGCTAGAAATCCTTTCTGCTTACGAGTAGTTCCACCTAAAATGGAAATACTGTAAGTTGAATTATGTGTCTGGGTGATTTTTTAAAAAAGATTTATGGTGCATGTCAAATTAGGCCCTTTAGAGAGTGCCAAAATTGTGACCTGTCAAAGAAATATATTCATATAATTATAAACGTAAATTGCAACCAAATGTTAAGAAACTTCAAAGCATGTTGAATAAAACTTTAATTCAAATGCTCAACTCCATCCGTCTTCTTTGTCTATCACTTGTGGTAGCCCAAGTTATCTGAGGGCCCAAAGTACCATTGGCATTCCTAGAAGTCTCAGGCACTAGTTCCCCAGTTACTTACAGTGCAAATTATTGTCTGTCTGCAGACCAGTACAGATCTACTACAGCTCTGCAATGTCCCGAAATTGCTGTCTGCTCTGGCTTCTGTTCCCAGCCACTAGCTACCACCTCTGAACTTTGGATAGTTCCTGACTTTTGTTGCAAAACCCCTGTTTAGCGACTCTATACCTTCTTTTGAGTGAATCTGGGTAATAGGTCTCAGCTGTGATTGGTTTTCCCAGCAACTCCATTCTATCCTCTTTATCTTTTCCAGGAATTTCTAAAAATTTCTTTTCCACTGATAAGCCTTTCTTGTTTACCCAGGCTGCAGTAGATTAAGTGTGATTTTAATTTTTTTTTTTTGGGGGTTATTTCAAAGATAAGGGGATCAGCTGAAGGGATAGCTTACCATTTTGGGCTAAAAATCCTTCTCAGGCTCACTCTGTTTTCTAATGATTCTCTGGTTCTAAATTACTTAACCTCTGAGTGTACCTTCGTAGCCTCTGCTATAAAGCAGAGGAATATCAGAGAATCAGAGAAAGGGGTTTGATAGCCACTCTTGTTATCTCTTTTCCTGGCTTAAAATACTGAGCTCTAAGATATTCATGTTGTTTATGAAATTAGACACATGACTTGAGGAAGTGGTACCTTATGAGTTGAAGGCTGGGTAGGAGTTAACATTTTTGGTAGAAGATGGGGCCCATCCCTTATTGTTTTCCCGTGTAGTCACGATGGTTATTTTAGGACCATATAGAATAAATTCACTGGTTCTTTCCTTTTCATTCGTTCTTTATTGCCCTGTCTGTTAGAGTCTCTTTATTTCCTGCCCTTTAATTGACACTACCTTAGGAGCACCACCATACTTCTCCTGCTGCTCCTGCTAAAATAATATTAATAGTAATCATAATAGTTAAGATTTATTGAGCACTTACTATATTCCAGACACTGTGCTGAACACATTCTCATCAATACTTCAAAATAACTATATATATACATATAGTATAATAAGTATATGTATATTATATATAATATATAGCATACCATATAGTATATATAATAATATAAACTAAGTACTATAATACTAATTTACTCAATATATTAAGTAAATTGAGGCTCAGGGGAACTTGTTCAGGGTCCCACTACTGTAAGTGGCAGAGAAGCCAGGGCTGCCTGACTCCAAAGTTCCTGCGTGTAACCACTGTCTTGTAATATATCTTTGCAGGCACTTTTTGGTAAATGTCTTTGTTAGGCTATAGTCTATAGGCACCTTGTGGTGACTTGGTTTATAATTTGTATCCCCAGGTTTTATCACAATGCCTGGTACAGAGCATTGTGTAGTAGTAGTCCTGTAGTAGTTCTGTAGTAGTCCATTGTATAAACATATTGATACTTACATATCCATTTTATTGTAAATGGACATTTGGGTTGTTCCCAGTTTGGACCTATAGTAACAGTGATACTATAAAAATTTTTTATATAAGTATCTGTAGATGTACCTAAAGTGGAACTGCTAAGTCATAGCATTTGTTGTATTTTATTTTACAAGACTCTGCCAAACAGTTTTTCAGAGCAGTTATGACAATACACTCTCCCGCTTGTAGTATGTTTAAGTTCCAGTTGCTCCTCATCCTTTTCAACACTTGCCCTTATCTTTTTCAGTTTAACCATTCTGGTAGTGTGTAATGGCATTACATTGTGCTTTTCACTTGCATTAGATTACTACTGAGATCAAGTACCTTTGGATATGTGTGTTGGCTTTCTGGATTCTCTTTTTTGTGATGTAATTTTTTCCTATTGTTTGTCAATTATTTCTATTTGGGTGCCCAAGTTTATTTTACTGATTTCTAAGAGTTTTTTATACATTCTAGAGATGAATTTTTGTAGAATATGAAATTGAAGATATCTTCTGCCATTCTGTGGGTTACCTTTGCATTTGATAATTTAGCATTTTTATTATTCAGAATAGAGGCCAAACTGTAGTGTAGTAAGAAAACATGCAAACAAGCAGTCAAAAAAAAGAAAAAGCCAAAAACCTACCAAAATAAAATAGATGTTTATTCTCATCTGTGTAACTGGCTAAAATTAGGAAGCCCAGGCTTGCAAGGCCCTGTTGCACAAAGTGATTTGCTGTGCCAGGTTACTTCCGTCTTATTTACTCCACAGGTTTTATCTTCATCAGCCTGGTCAAAGCTGGATTTCCATCACACATGTGCTCACTCCACGGAACGTGCAAAAGGTCAAGACATACAAACTCAGAGTTTTTAAAATCAAGAATTGAAAGTGGTCCACTAGCTTCTGTTCATAGGACATTGAGCCCCAGATTTGGCACATGACCGTAAGTAACTGACACAGCTACTGGGAATGTGTAATCTCTCGCTGGATATTCATATGTCCAGCTTAAACTCTGTTTCTATGAAGGAAAATGAATAATGGATTTTGGGGTGGTAACTATCAGGCTACTATCGCCATCTATTTAGGCAAGCACAGTGATAAGTAATTGGGGAAAGGACTTACAATCTAGTGGAGAGAGATGTCTAGGATATTCAAAAGCTATATAATACCAGTTATTATGAAATAACCAATAAATAGAGGTAAACGTTGTAGGGATTAAAAAAAGGAGTGATTTAGGTGGAGAATTTGAGAAGGTTTTGTAAAAATAGTAGTTTGTGGTGATAGAGAAAGCACAGAATTTCAATCTCAGCAACTTGCAGAATGTGAGTGAAGCATTCAGTAAACTTGAAGCTTCATAAGGTGTTGTGGGTAGGGTTAGAAAACCAGGCAGGAAAGGTGTGTTGGAATCAAACCACAAAGAGTCTTGACTATCATGTGTAAAGAATGTGAACTTTCTTCAACAATCAATGGCAAATAAGTGAAGCCTTTTGAAGTACTATAAACTTCAGTTTTACAGACAACTGTTTTAGCCTCCACTTTTCCATACCCACTGAAGCAATCCACTAGTATGTGGAAATCTAGCTTTAATATTTTTGTTCCTTCAAATAATTAAGATAAACTCAATGTAAGGCAATAGTTTCATTCCAACTACCCCAGGGAGTATTGGAGTGGAGGAAGGAGTGCCATATGGTACAGCCAAGAAAATCTTCATGAGAACGGGAACACTTCTTGAAAAGAGTATTCATGAAGATGTAAATAACCTAAAATGAAAGTGGGCTCCAACGTAATATTTTGATCTGAAGCTAAAGACTGATTAAGATTTTCTTGAACTTAAACTTGAATCAGTGTGATTATCAAGGGGTGTAATTAAGAGTCACATCCTTTCTAGGTCTGTGGGGAAATTCCCATCACCATTGATGAGAATTGTGCATAAAGATCATGGGAAGAACATGGCCCTTGGGTTTCCTCTTAAACAGCCTGTAGGATTTGTTATGGTTACTTTAATGCACTGGTCCTTGGAGACACTAACTACAGTTCTGCCTCTACCTTCCATGCTGAAAATAACAAAAGTTGGGAGTGGGAGCCCCAGGAGATGTAGATATCTTTTCATTCTTTCTTCTTTATCTACAATTGATTTATTATCAAAGGGAAAACTGGCTCCATGAATGCCAAGTCGCTAAACAACAACAACAAAATGAATCCAAATATTGGAGGGGAGAAAATGCTGCCCTATGTTCATTAAGCGAGTAACTTTTCTGCAAGTTAGACTTTCTTTGGGAACTAAGGTCATTTCCTTCAGCTGCTGGGAAACTGTCGGTTCTGAGACACACTTATGTGTCAGAACATTTTGGCCAGGGATATTTAGAAATGTCTGTGAGCAAGGGCAACAATGATTTTCTTTAGAGAGAGTCTTGAGCTGAGATGCAAACAATAAGGAATTGTCGAAATAAAACTATGGTATGGGGATAAAGCAGGAAAAATGATAGTTCTAAGGACAATGTTCTATTTTCTCATCCAGCTCTCAGCAAAGCTGTATGTGCGACAGTTCTAGGTCTTCCGTTGTCTTCCCATGCCTACTCAGTAACTAGCAGTATGTTTTGATTTTGATTTTGAGATGAAAGTGTCTCTTTTCAAATTCTGGCATGTATTCCAGTTTTTCTTACCTGATACTTTTCATCTCTGATTACTTACTACCAGAATCAGCATGTACCCGGGCTATCAATTTCTGCTCCTCCTTAAAGAAAATAGACACACCTAGTTATTTTTGGCAGATGATAAATGTCAGACATGGCAGACATTCAATATATATTACTAAATGAATAAATAAATGATAGACAAGTGCAAGCAGAAATCTCTGTATGCAAAATGTTTCCTTTTTACACGTTGTAGTATTTTACACATGACAATGTTTGAGGACAGGCAAGTGTCTGTTAAAGGTGTCAAAGGATCAGGAAAAGCAACTGGGAGTGGGCAGATATAAGGGCCTCTGCTGCAGAGGTTTTAAGAGATCAGATTCATGTTGCAAAGTGCTTTTATCTCTGTCCTAGAAAAGAAGAGTAATGCAATGACTCAGTCATTTACTAAGAAGCAAATTAGTTGAAGGTAATCCTTCTTTTTTTTCTTTTATTGCCTTTTGCCTTTTTTGAAATAAAGGAAATCCTTTATTTCAAGTGTTTGTCCTGGGCCACTGAATTATACTCTTTTAAGCCCTTTATATATGTTAACTCACTTAATCCTCACAACAAATTTGTGAGGTAAATACTATAATCATTCTGATTTTATATATGGGGAAACTGAGGCACAAAGAAGTTAATTTTGTCAAGGCCTTACAGATGCTAAATGTTAACATTGAAATTGACACCTAGGGAGTCTGGCTTCTGGGTCTGTTTTTATAACTATTACACTGTACTTCCTCACGAGGTGACACTCGAGCAGAGACTAAATAATGACAGGGGAGACTCATGAGGCTTTCTGAGGGAAAACTCTCCAGGTAGAAGCAAATCTATGATGCAGGAGCCATATGTCTCTTTCTCAAAGAGCAGAAAGGCCAGTGTGGTAAAGTGTAGGAGTCTCTGAGGGGAAGAGCGCTAACAATGAGATGTAGTGGCTTGTTGGCCTTGGTAAGGATTTTGGTTTGCATTTTAAGAAAAATAAAAAGGGCTGGGCACGGTGGTTCACACCTGTAATCCTAGCACTTTGGGAGGCCGAGGTGGGCAGATTATCTGAGCTCAGGAGTTTGAGACCAGCCTGGGCAACATGGTAAGACCCCGGCTCTACTAAAAATACAAAAAATTAGCCAGGCGTGGTGGCACGCACCTGTAATCCCAGCTACTCAGGAGGCTGAGGCACGAGAATCTGTTGAACCTGGGAAGCAGAGGTTGCAGTGAGCTGAGATCGTGCCACTGCACTCCAGCCTGGGCGACAGAGTGAGACTCTGTCTGCAAAAAAGAAAAAAAAAAAAGAAAATGAAAAAGGCAGAAGAGGGCTTTAAGAAGAGGTGTCATGTAGTTTGACTTGTGATTTAAAAAAATATTGTGGCTGCTGTATGAATTATGGAGGTGGAAGAAAGGGTAGAAGCAGAGAACCAAAATACTGAATATAAAATAATATTTAAACACAATATGTAAGTCAAAATCATACATGTACACATATATATGTACAGAGTCCGTCTTATCTTCTAAAACTATGTAGTTCTCAAAATTGCTTACCCAGTGAAATATGTTTTAGCAAAAATAGGTCAGAAAATCATTTTAATACTCTCTAAAACATTTTCAGACTTTTAGAAATTGTTGATAGAACCTTTTGTTTGGTGTGGCTGTCTCTAGCTAAATGATGTCCCTGTCTGAGCCACAGCTTGACATAGGGAGCCCCTCATAACCTTTCGTTGACATGCCCATTATATTGACAGTCATTAGGTCCTTGACACTCAGCGTTTAGTTGCAGCTGGAAGGTGGCTGGGGGAACTTCCCGTACTCCATAGCTAGCTTTGCCCCTGGTGCCAGGGAATTCTCTAGACCCTGGACTCAGAAATTTTGCATCTCAGCTCCACTATGTCCTGACATCACCTGTTGCACAGCCTGTGTCACCTCTACAAAGTTGGGCTACTACTGAGCAGCAGGAAGGCACTATCCATGTTCTTACTGCTGGATTGTGTGGCAGCTACCTCTGGGTCTGCTCAGCTGCCCTGGGGTGGGAAGGTGGGAACCTGCATCTGTTCCAGAACTGCTTTGAGGTCTGATATCCACCTCCATAGTTGCTGTTGGGTTAAGTTTTATTAAGATAGTCTTTAGCAACCTAGACAGAAATGTTTTAATATTCAAACAATTGGTACAGATGCATGCATATATACAGTATCCTTGCTTGGACTATGAAGGAAGTGGTGGAGTAAAGAGAATTGGTCATATTCTGGATATATTTTGAAGGCAGAGCCGAGAGGTAATTGCTAATGGATGGCATGTAGGGTATGAAAGAGGCAGCAAGAATGACTTCCAGGTCATGGCTTGATGCCTGAGTGATTGGAAGAAAGACTGGGAGGAGGGCAGCTTTTGTGAGTGAGAATGAAGTATTTGGTTTTAGACCTAGTAAGTTTGAAATGCTTGTTCAATCTCCAAGTGGAGCCTCAGGTGCCTGTTTGATCTGTGAGTCTGGAGTTCAGAGGAACAGTTAGAACCCTTTCAGGAATGATTAACTCAATGACGTGATAAACAGTTTCTGTTCACCTGGTTGGAATCATGAGTCTTAAGATAGAACATTTCATAATTACCTATTTCAATGTTCATAAATACAAACCCCCAAATCTGTGTGAAAGATTTCACAATAGCTCAGCTTTCTGATGTTTAGCTATAAAATGTAAGAATAAAAGCATATATAGTTTATTAACCTAGTACTTCTCTCTCCTGTCTCATCCCTTCCTTGAAGAAGCAGGCACTAAATATGCTTAAATGAAGCTTTGATAGAAAATCTCACTTTAGCAAATGAGATGATGCTAAATCTATAAATGCCAAGCCTAAATTCAGATACTACTGGGAAGGAAGTATAGTTTTAAGATGGGAGATTGAAGATTAAAAAAAAAAGCTTATAGGATTTTTATGGTATGTCAGGCTTAGATTGAAAAACCAAGAGGACATTTTAAAACCTGAAATAAAATCAAAACAAAGCAAAAAAAAGCTAGTTTTGGAGCAAACAGACTTGAGAGAGAGGAATCTCAGAGTGAGTGTTATCACTTTGACATCTCTTTTACATGGCTCTAAAAACATCTTGAGTTTTAACTTGGGATGATTTTGTGAAAGAGGAATCACAAAACTACAGTGAGTACAAAGAAAATGTTTTAATAAAATATTCAATACAGTATTTCCCTGTGGGGATTCTAGAAGAAGAAGTGAGATGCTGAAGGAAGTGACTGTCACTGTGGGGAACCCAGTCCTAAATGAGACAAGACTTAGCTTTCCTTCAAAGACACCTTGTCCAGCTCTGCCCAACAGGCCGCAATGAGATGGACCAGGAAACCTTCAGGAGTCACCGACAGACAAAGCGAATGAACTGAATCCACTTACAAACAGATCCACTTAAGCAGTTTTTGCCTCAGGCTTCCTACCAAATGCAGTTATCATGGAGACAGGAGAAGGCTGATGTACAAAACGCATTAACATGATTTTGTTTTTTCCCCTCCTATTCTATTTGCATTTCCAGAGTGATCATTAGTAACACAGCGATCTGGGTTTCACCAACTAAGCATTTCAAACAGACTCATTTCTTGACCAAATTTTGTGCTCAAGGCCTGTTACTATTAGTGTAATTCTTGTGTTTCAAATTGAGAGAAACGAGCATACCCACCCCTGCACATAACTTAAGTATATCACTGCGAATTCTACATGTATGAAACAAGCATAAGCCATGAATCCTCCACTTGGTGTGTTACTTTTTATTACTACAGAAAGTGCTGTTGCTTGAATATGAATATCATTTAGTGTAATAAAATGTAGAAGGACACATTATTGTGTTCCAGCTCTGGTTCAGTCTGGCAGTGCCCAGCATAAACCGTCAAAACTTGATAAAAGACTGTCTTGGGGTTATCTTGCTGTCATGATTCCGATGTGTTTTGATTTCCTTCTGGAGTCATAAATTGCACCTTTGGTACCATGAGGGAAGAATTGTTCCTTCGGATAGAATTGTTCCTCCTCATGGAATTGTTTCTTCTCATGGAGTTGCGCTTCCTCAGAGAATTTTGATGAGACAGTTCACTCTTTTGGAGGGTCTGAATAAGGATGGAAGGTTTCTCATCCAGCTCTCGGGCACTGCACCGTGGAGCAGCTACTTTAACAGTGTTGCCAAATTTGGAGTAATCCACAGAATACACTCCTTCTTCCTCAGTCACAATGGACACAAAGCGGTGGCCCCATTGGATCTCCTCAGCAATGTAGGAGGTTCGTGCTTGTGTGGTGATGCCAGTAGTTTCAACCACTCCTTCCAGAATAACTATGACCTCCAAGTCTTGGTTGGCCAGGTCAGTTGCTGAGATGTCATACAGGGGACTGCGCTTGTCAATCACGTGGCAGATGATCAAAGGGGCCACCAGAAAAATGTTATTGCTCTCGATTGGGTTATCAACAGGAATGTCCAGTTGGTGAATAGGAACCACCTCCCCTTCAGGTGTAGTTGTTTTCTTGACCACCTGGATGCGCACAGAGGCACTAATGATCATGCTTTTCCTCAGGTCACCCACTCGGAACATGAAGCACAGCTTGCCATTTCGGACGGCAATCACAGCATGGCGGCTGAAAATCAAAGTTTCTGCCCTTCTGTGAGCCTGAGCTGTTTTCATGAAAATGCAGCCTAACATGACTGCATTGATGATCAAACCCACAATATTCTGGAGAATCAAAACCGTGATGGCCAAAGGGCATTCCTCTGTCATCATCCTCCCTCCAAACCCAATGGTAACTTGAACTTCAATGGAGAAGAGAAAAGCAGAAGTGAAAGACCTGTGAGGAATGATATCAGAAAAGAACACCATCAGGTCACATTTTGAATAATGAAATATGCCAAGCTGAGCTTTTCATTTTCTTCCACCAAAGACTATTAAATGCTTGCAGAAAGACTAGCCAACTTAAACTTGTAAAATGCCTAATTCTAAACTGTGTTTAGAACAGTCTCTCTCTCTCTTGCATGCATCTACCTCCAGACTTCTGGAGATTAACATTCTATTAATTAAGTTCCCTTAAGCTAAGGCCTAATTCTATTAACATTCTATTAATGTTTCATAGGTCACATAGTGATGGGCCTAATTTGTGTAAAAGATTAATATATTTTCATATATATGCATATTTTACCTTGCGAAATACTTCACTTTCACAAAGGCACAGTTTACTTTGTAAAACTTTCTACCAGGTAGATGTTTATTATTTATTGCGTATCTATGTTTAGGAGACTTGAGTCATATGGAAGGTACTGAGTACTGAGTGAATTTATTATTTATAATCTTTAAAATCATATTCATTAGCTAATACTTATTTTGTGTCTCATATAGAAATAGCACAGTGCTAAAAAAACTAGTATAAAACACATTATTCCAAACAACTAGTATTTTTAATAGAAGGGAGTTGTTTTCCATTTGGAAAGAAAAGTGTCTTATTGATGATCTAATTTTGTTAAGTCAGGGGTCCCCAACCCCCCCCCCCCCCACCTCCAGGCCAGGGACCAGTGCTGGTCCATGGCTTGTCAGGAACTAGGCCACACAGCAGGAGGTGAGTAGTGGGTAAGCCAGCATTACCGCCAGAGCTCTGCCTCCAGTCAGGTTAGTGGAGGCACTGGATTCTCATGGTATAGTGAACCTTATTGTGAATTGCACATGTGGGAGATATAGGTTATCCCTCCTTATGAGAATCTAATGCCTCATGATCTGAGGTGGGACAGTTTTATCCCCACACCATCCCCATCCCCCACCCCCATCAGTGGAAAAATTGGCGTTCCGCAAAACCAGTCCCTGGCTCCAAAAAGGTTGGGGAGCACTACTCTAGGTGTTCTGGAGAATACTGAAATGATTAAAGGGAGAACTAGGGGCAGAAACTAGTAAATGACTGTGTCAAGGTCACATACAGATATGCCTTATTTTATTCTTCTCTGCTGTAATGTATTTTGCAGATACTGCATTTTTATAAATTGAAGGTCTGTGGCAACCTTCATCCAGCCAGTCTATTATCACAATTTTTTCAAAACGTGCTCACTTTGTGTCTGTGTGTCACATTTTGGTAATTCTCACAAAATTTCAAACTTTTTCATTATTATTACATCAGTTACCATGATGTGTGATTAGTGATATTTGATGTCATTATTGTAATTGTTTAGGGCAGCAGTCCCCAGCCTTTTTGGCAACAGGGACTGGTTTTGTAGAAGACAATACTGGGGGGTGTGTGTGGGGGGAAATGGTTTCGAGATGAAACTGTTCCACCTCAGATCATCAGGAATTAGATTCTTACAAGGAGCCCGCAGCCTAGATCCCTCACCTTCGCAGTTCACCGTAGGGTTCACACTCCTATGAGAATCTAATGCCCCCACTGATGTGACAGGAGGCAGAGCTCAGGAGGTAATGTTTGCTCCCCCACTGCTCACCTCCTGCTATGTGGCCTGGTTTCTAACAGGCCACAGACTAGTACTGGTCTGCAGCCCAAGGATTGGGAACCCCTAGTTTGGGGCACCATGAGCCATGCCCATATAAGATGGCAAACAATCGATAAATGTGTGTGTTCTGAGTCCTCCACTGACCAGCTGTTCCCTTGTTTCTTCCCCTTTCATCAGGATTTCCTATTCCCTGAGACACAGCACTATTGAAATTAGGTCAGTTAATAGCCCTACAAAGAACACTAAGTGTTCGAGTAAAGGAAATATTCGCTGTCTCTCACTTTAAATCAAAAGCAAAAATGATTAAGCTGGTGAGGAAGGCAAGTCAAAAGCCACGATAGGCCAAAGTTTAGGCCTGTTGTGCCAAACAGCCAAGTTGTGAACAGTGGAAAGAAAAAGTTTTGAAAAAAATTCAAAGTGCTACTCCAGTGAAGACACAAATGATAAGACAGCAAAATAGCCTCATTGCTGAGATGCAGAAAATTTGAGTGGTCTGGATAAAAGACCAACTAGGTCACAACATTCCCCTAAGCCAAAGCCTGAATTAGAGCAAGGCCCTAACTCTCTTCATTTCTATGAAGGATGAGAGGTGAGGAAGCTGCAAAAGAAAAGTTTAAAGCTAGAAGAGATTGGTTCAGGAGGCTTAAGAAAAGAAGCCACCTTCAAAACAGAAAAGTGCTAGGTGAAGCACCAAGTACTGATGGAGGAGCTGCAGCAAGTTATCCAAAAGATCCAGCTAAGAAAATTAGTAAAGGTGGCTGCACTAAACAACAGATTTTCAGTGTTGAAAATGAAACAGCTTTCTATTGGAAGAAGATGTTACCCAGGACTTTCATAACTAGATAGAAGTCAATGCTTGGCTTCAAAGCATCAAAGTTCAGGCTAACTCTTGTTAGGAACTAATGCAGCTGGTAACATCAAGTTGAAGCCAATGGTCATTGATCAATCTGAAAATCGTAGAGCCCCAAAGTATTATGCTAAATTGACTCTGCCTATGCTCTATAAGTAGAACTATAAAGGCTAGAGGACAGCATATCTGTCTGCAGCATGATTTATTAAATATTTGAAGCCCACTGCTGAGACTTACTGCTCAGAAAAAAAGATTCCTCCAAAATATTATTGCCCATTGACAATGCTCCTAGTCACTCAAGTGCTCTGATGGAGATGTAGAAGGAGTTGATTGCTGTTTTTATGCTTATTAACACAACATCCATTCTACAGCCATGAGTCAGGGAGTAATTTCGACTTTTAAGGCCTATTACTTAAGAAATTTACATTTCATAAGGCTATTGCTGACATAGATAGTGAGTCCTGTGATGGAGCTGGGCAAAGTAAATTTAAAACCATCTGGAAAGGATTCACCATTCTAGATGCCATTAAGAACATTTGTGATTCACGGGAGGAGGTCAGAATATTAACATTAACAGGAGTTGGGAAGAAGTTCATTCTAATTCTCATGAATGAGTTTGAGGGGTTCAATACTTCAGTGGAGGGAGTCACTGCACATGTGGTAGAAATAGCAAGAGAATTAGAATTACAAGGGCATTCTGAAGATGTGACTGAATTGCTGCAATCTCATGATAAAACTTGGATGAATGAGGAGTTGCTTCTTCTGGACAAGCAACCAAAGTGGTTTCTTGAGATGGAATCTACTCTTGGTGAAGATGCTGTGAACACTGTTGAAATGACAACAAAGAATTCAGAAGATTACATAAATTTAGTTGATAAAGCAGTGGCAGGTTTTGAGAAGATTAGCTCCAGTTTTGAAAGAAGTTCTACTGTGGGTAAAATGCTATCAAACAGCATCACACATTACAGATAAATCTTTTGTGAAAAGAAAAGTCAATTGTTGCAGCAAACTCTTCATTGTCATATTTTAAGAAGTTGCCACAGCCACCCCAACCTTGAGCAACCACTACCCAGATCAATCAGCAGCCATCAATATCAAGGCTAGCCCCTCCACCAGCAAAAAGACCACATCTTGCAGAAGGCTCAGATGAACATTAGCATTTTTTAGCATTAAAATATTTTTTGAATTGAGATATGTATATTTTTCAGCCATAATGGTATTACACACTTACTAGATTACAATATAATATAAATGTTTTATATGCACTGGGAAACAAAAGGTTTGTGTAACTGTCTTTATTTTGATATTTGCTTTATTGCAATGGTCTGGAACCAAAACTGCAATATCTCTAAGGTATACCTGTAATTAATATTATACTAACTTGAATTTTCTCACTTTGGCCTAATCCTGTGAAAGAAGCAGAGGGAAGGAACCAAGAAGTTGTAGGATTTTCTTGGGAAGCTTTTTCAAATTGCACATCTACTCCCTATCTTAGTGAATAGACATTGATTTGGTAGGCTGAGGTTGGATCTGGGTAAGATGCTTTTGAAAAGTTCTCAGGGGATTCTGATTTACTCCCATATGGGAAGCACCACATTTGTTACTATCAATTTATAACACTTAATTTCACAACAAGTACTGCTGTGGCTTCTTCATAGAAACAATATTAGTTCTATCTTTGCCCCCAACCACAATTTCAAACTTCTCTAACTTTATAGAAGACAAGCCTACACATTAGCAATCTCTCAAAGTATTACCTATTTATTAATGCTACAGACAGCAGGTGAGAAAAATGTTTAAACATTTGAGTACTTGGTATGTACAGTGCACTTTGGTAGAAAATTATGAGGGATAAGCAAGAATACATGGATTATTCTTTTGATTAGCTTTTAAGTGAAGTGCGAAAGTTGCCTTTCTCTTTTGTTGCTAAAATGATTCATGGAAAACTACAGTAATTGCCTATTGCACTAACTACCCACAAAAAGATATCTGGTATAGCCCCAAAACATGGCAAGAATAAAAATGGACCCCAGAGAAGGGGTATGGATACAACACTGATTTCTGATAATGTATCCATACCTCAGAGAGCAGTCTAATGATAAATATCCCAAATAGTTTGTTTTAATGGTTTAAGAGACTATTCATGAGCCACATTTTGTATATTGTTTATGAATTCTAAATATTACATATGGTACAAGACCCAGCTTTTTACTGACACTTGCTATGCTAAACAATCTCAAGAGATAAAAGTGTTTAGCTGTTTCTTTGTTCTGTTACAGAAAGAGGTAGGCTGGATAATATCGAGAAAGAGGAAATATATTGGTCTATTTTTTGACTCATATTAAATGGAGTCAAAGAGACTCCTTGCAGGAGAAAATACATGGAGGAGAAAATGAGTCACCCTAAGAGAAGAATGGTCAAACATTATTTGGAAATACTGGTGAATATTCAATGAAAAATGTTGTTTCCAATTTTAGTGATATGGTTGGACATTGAATTCACAAAGGGAAAAATGCAAAGAATTAGAATTATTATTAGTCACCTTTTACATTCTCATTGGGAGAGAATGAAGATTTTTAAGGTTTGCTGTTACCATTTCTTTTTTCTCTTTTTATCAGTATCATATAATTTAGATTAAAACTTTATTTTGATATGAAAATGATTCACCAATTATCAGTGCCAGTAAGTTTCTTAAAGATATATATTATAGATAATGATATTTGATCTTAGAGTATCTATTGAACGTTTTAACGGATATTTTAAGTATTGTGTTTTCTTTATATCTGGTATACTGATGATCTATGTTTTCCAGCTGCATTTTCTTTGAGACAACAGTTTGTGAGAAGTTTGAAAAAAGAAAATAATATCTAATCAATATTAAAAGCAATAGATCAATTCAATACAGTTTTTGCTGCTCAGAATTTGAGCTGAAATCTGTGGTGTGTGATCTCTGCGCACTAATGCTGCCTTCCTCCTTGAAAGGCTGGCATTGTAGTTCCTTAGCAAATGGAAGGGTGGACAAGTTCACAGTCTGGGGTCCACTTTCTGCAGTGATATGCTAGCTTAATAAGGTTTCAGGGTCACTAGAGGTCCCATTCTTTACAGTTTCCTGGTATCATAATGCTTTTTCAAGTTTCTTTGCTTTGTGAATTATGTGAATTTAAAATGTTCTTTTAAAAATGTTTTGGAAAATTTTCCAGTATTATTACTACTCTTTTGCTTCACAGTGAACATCTTGGTAATTGATATAATTTATCTCTTTCCACCTCCCCCCGAAAAAAACAAAGAAATCACCTCAACTAAATGTTCTTAAACCATGTGAAAGCAAGAGAGGTGAATCACTGAAATCAATTTACCTGTCTTTGAGATACTTATGATATGAGAAAGAAGCCAAAGTTAGGTAATCTAAGAACTATCTTGTCCCTATTCTATTTAAACTTTGAAAGAAGAGTACAAAATTAAATTGCTTCTATATAACCCCTTCCATAAAATTTTGGACTAATTGTCATTAAAAATTAGCAATTTCTAGTTCTGAATCTTAGCATAACTTTTAATTTCTGAATCCAGTGCAAGCAATCAGCTATGTTATGATAATCTCGATAAAGAAGGGATGATATTTATTTCATTTTTTAGTAGATTTTTAATCTAGGACACTCTCCCCCTAGGGCCTTCCCATTTTTTTCTTATTATTTCTGAAAATGTCATGGGTTAGAAGAGTCAAGAAAAATGTCCACTAGCACAATATTTTTTGTTGATCAGAGATATTTACCTGTGGGCACTGAAACTATGGACAACAGCTTTTTCATACTGAACTCAATGTGTGCGCTTTTGGAGTAAAGCACTCTGTGTAATCCTTTGAATTACAATTTTTTTTTGATAACTGGTATAACATTTTCAAGGCTAGTCCAAAGGACTGAAGCTCAGGTTTTCAGAGACTCTTCTCCATAAAGCTGCATTTAAAAAATACTTACTGTGTTAGGTGTTGTTCTTTATTGTGCTTTTTTGTTTCTGAAGATTCTAAAACAAACCCTTTATTTCACTTTCAATTAAATAACAGAATGATAAGAGAAAGGGCATTTTGACATTTTTTCTCTACTGTTTTCAACCCCTGCCTCATCCCACTACATTCTTACCTGACATTAGTCACACACACAGTGGACTCCAAACCACTTTTCTCCATTCCACTTTTCTCCATGTAAGCATAGATGTCCCCATGGGCAAAGGCCACCAGCCACCACATGATAGCGAAGAGCAGCCAGCTGCAGAGGAAGGACATGGTAAAGATGACCAGCGTGTGGCGCCATTTCAGGTCCACCAAGGTGGTGAAGATGTCCTGTAGAAAGCGTCCTTGCTCACGGATGTTCTTATGCGCCAGGTTGCAGGCCCCGCTCTTGGCGATGAAGCGGGCTTTGGGGAGGCGGTCTCGGATGCGCGGCTTGCGCAGGTTCTCTGCGGCGATGCGCGCCAGCACATACTCCTCCGGGATGATACTCTTTCTGGCCAACATCGTCCTGTCACCATAGCCAGCTTAGCCACCTCCCTCTCACCTGCCTCTCCGTCCCTGGACACCCGTCCTCCTGCACGAGGGAAACATTTATTAAAAACTTAAAAACCCACCCTATCCTCACCTCTTGGGTCCTTGTATTCAAGGATATGTCTGTACATGTGCGAGGTGACATGCAAAACCAAAAATGTGATTTTTACTAACCCAAACATGAATCTAGCTTGTGCTTGAGTTCTGGGATCTCAGAAAAATTACTTGGTTTTAATAAAAAGAACTGTTTCAATTTTTCTTATTCTGAGTACATATGGACATAGCCTTAGTTAAACAAAACCAGGAGCCTTCCGGTAAACAGCAGGCTCAAAGATAATTCTCTGCGATTAACCGCGTCTGTAAATTAGTGCAAGGCTACAGCACGTGGCGTCAGTCATGAAGATTAAGACCAGTTGGGTGCACGATCTACTTATTAAAGTACTTAGATGATGTAGCAATATTAAAAGTAAAGAGAGAAAATTCTTCCTCCGTTATTTTTAGAAGTAAGCAAAGGCCATGACTCCTTGCGCAGTCTAAATAACGTGTAATCTGACAAAATTATAATAAGTGGTGTGCTATAGAATTTATAAGTTATAAGAATTATTTTAAATGCGAAAGAAGTATGAGTTGCATCTAAAAAGAGTTAAAAAGGTTCCTGTGGAAATCATAATATTATAAATTGAAAACTTTTTTTTTTTTTTTTTTTTACAACGAAGGAATCAAATATACAAGGTGCGGGGGGGAAAAAACCCAAGACAACAGCCTGCGGGTTGCAGTAGGGAGTGTGCCCCGAAAAGTCCATCCATCACTGCAAGCCTCTGCGGTGTTTTGCATTTTAAATCATTTACGGGAACACGGACAGCCTCCCCCCTCCGCTCCCCCGGAGCAGCTTTGAAACTTACAGACTCCGGGTAGCGGGCGCGGCGGCTGGACCTCCTTGCACACGCCGGCGGGCCGCGGGCAGGTCCCTCGCTCTCCCATGCTGGCGCGCGGGACCAGGGGCCGCCCAGGCCGGAGGGACAAATTGGGGGCTGCGTGTCCTAAGGAGAAGAGTTAAAATAATAAAAGGTGCAACTGAATCTAAACGCAGGGAGGGCTAGAGGAAGGGGGATGGGTGTAGATCTTCCCCTCCCCCTGCTCAGCTCAACTCCCTTGGCCACTTCAGTGGAAGGAGGAGGGACTGGGGGGGCGGGGGCGGGGGGGCGATGCTCCACAAATCAGCCTCCCAGTTAGGGCTTTGACGCACGCCAGACCTCGGAAGCCGACGTTGTCGCGGAGTAGGGGGCGGGCGGGGAGGGGGCGAGCGCAAGTCCCCGGGAGGTAGGGAGCAGGCCAGAGGGAGGGACGACCCGGGGGAGGGCGGGACCTGCAGAGCCAGCTCCTTTCCAGTAGCCGCGACCCCCTGCCGCCAGCGTGACACACAAGTCTTTAAAAGGCTCTCTGCTCAGGGGAGAGAACTTTCTGACTCCAAGTTCACTGACGTAAGGAGATTTAATTTTAATTTTATTTTGTAATCTAGGTAGATAACTGGGCTACTTCATGATAACTGGGCTACTTCGGACTGAATAAAAGCAGAGAGGTCAGAAAATATTCTTCCAAAGCGTTCAAGCTGTGGGCACACACAATTATTTACATTAAATTTCCACCTGCTAGGAGAGATACAGGTGGAAGATGTTCTGAAACCCACTATAGTAAAGTATTTCTTCACCAGCCAAAGCCAGTTCTCAGGGAATTAAACACACACACACCTCAAAACAGCGACTGCCCCCCACCACCCCCGGCCCCTTAAGGAAAAGAAAGAAAAAAAGAAACCACTGACTGGCTCCCAATGAAGAAATTTTACCCCAAACAGGGACGGCCGTTAACACTTCAGCGCTGATAAGGCCAGGTCATTCGGTCCTCAGTAATTGGTTGCTTTCTGAAATGTTGCAGCTTCTTCCTCTGTCTAGATGGGTCTGAATGATAAAACAGCATTTGCGCACAAAAAAGGTTATACAATAAACATCTATAGCTTTTTGAAAAGGAGCCAGCGAAGACAAATGTGCTTTTTCCCACAGGTCAAGCCTCCTGATTTTGGCACTTGCGTTAATGGAAACTTTAATTCTTGGAAGTTCCACGTATTTTCCAAGACTCGAGCCGAAAGTGTATGGAGCATAAACAATGTATTCATTTAATTAGCCAAAGACCTAAAATTAGTCTTTAATGAAGGCAAATTAAGAACTTTTTTTTTCTCCTTGTGGTTAGATCTCCTTAACCCCTGTAAGCCCAGGATCCTAGTTTGTTAGTGGTAGTCCTCCTTTCTACTGTCATTAATTTTTGCAGTAATTTATGTAGTATAATAGTTTTACAAGTCTATGAAGAATCAGTTTGTATAGTCAATTCCCGCCATTGTTCTATTTTACCTTTGACTTTGTACACATTATTATTCATTATTTTAGCCTGGGGAACATTTACTGAACACCTTTGTAAGCTTTTTTTAGGTTTATGTGTCTAGAGATATATAAATATATGTCATAGTTGTTGCTTTTAAGAGGCAGACAGTTGTAGTAAGAGAGATATTCTCTAATACAAGCAGGGATGTGATTAGAATAGGAAAGGAAATTTTAAAATGTCATGGGAATTCAAATGAGAGATATTTAAGAGTAGGAGACTAAGGAAAAATCCATGGATTATTTGGCATCTGATCTAGGCTTTGTAAGCCTAGATATATTTAGGGTATACAGAAAAGCAGAGAAAAGACAGCCCACGTCAGCATTGATGAAGCCAAGTTGGCTACACAGCAGGATTGGACACTTGAGTTCAGTGCTCCCTGGGCAGGCGCTGTTACCACCTACTCTCAATACTTAATGAGATTTTCATGTACTCGTCACACCCATTCCCACCACTCCTGTACCCCCTCCCTTAAACTGGGGACTGCTAGAGGGCAAGGCTGTGACTTGTTCATCTTTGTAGCAAGGCCCTAGCACCATTTAAATTATAAATGGGCTCAAAAAATATTTTTGAATCAATGAATGAAAAATACAAAGTTGAAAAAGCATATTGGGGCCTTAAAAAATGCATAGACAGCCTTAAATGCTCAACAAAAGAAGCTGAGGAGTCCTCAGTATGTAGTGGTAAGCCATGGAAAGATTTTGATCAGAAAACTACACAATAAGAGCCTGTTTTAAGAGGATTGATCCAGAAGCAGAGAATATAATGGCTTTAAGGGTTGCATTTCTTGAGTATAGTCCCTCTGGGCTCCAAAATTCTGTAACTGGCAGAAGAGGGTGCTGGAAACTGTTACATTAATTAGAGAAGGAATGAGGTCTTGGGCTAATAGGTAACATCAGTGGGCACTATACAAATACATACAAAAGGAATGTTATACAGAGTCAATATTGGAAAAGGGAAAAGTCAGAGGTGACTGTGATGTTTATCATAGTAACAGAAAAATAATAAGAAAATTGGAATGAGAAGAGCTGAAGTACTGTGGAGAATTTATGAGAAGATTTGCAACAAAAAAATCCATATCTGAATTCTCTGAAAATTCTGTTCTTTTGGTATAATACATATTTCAGACTCTTTTTTTTCATTGAGATGTATTCTTCCAAATACGCAATTTTAAATCGTTTCAACTTGCTTTCATAACAGAATGTCATATTTTTATTAGTCAGTAATTTAACTTGATTGATTCAAAATCAGGGCACATAATAAAGATCAAATTTGAAGAAATTAATAAGTAAATGTTTGACAATAGTAGGCCTAAGAACAAATAGTAATCATTTTAAATGGTAAAGAATGTGTGCTATAAGAATATTACAGATATATATTTTTCTTTGTATTCCCTTTCTACATTGTTTCCTTAAGCAGTGTATGTCTTTGTCCTTCAACTAGTTTTTCTGCACTAAGTGGAAGCTGCATGAGAGCACATTGTTTAATATCACCACACACCCAGGGTCTCAAATTGTTCCGAGATCCCAAGAGTAGGTACTCAATAAATACTTGTCAAATGAAAAGAAGTAGGAATAGTGTTCAAAACATGGTATTTCTCTCTCTTGCATTTTCTCTCTCATCTCTCTCTACCCTTCATGGTTTTGCAACTATTTCTCAGAACCCACATAGGAAATGTGAACTTTTGGAATTCACTTTGAAGTCTGTTTCTATAGCTGTCTACAAAAATTTTCTTATTCTCACTTTTCTCTTTACTATATTGCTCTACCTTTAAATCAAGCTTGTCCAACACGTGGCCCGCGAGCTGCATGCAACCCAGGAGAGCTTTGAATGCTGCCCAACACAAATTCGTAAACTTTCTTAAAATTATGAGATTTTTTTGTGATTTTTAGCTTATCAGCTATCGTTAGTGTTATTGTACATTATGTGTGACCCAAGACAATTCTTCTTCCAATATGGCCCAGGGAAGCCAAAAGATTGGACACTCCTGCAAAATTATCCATTTCTCCCTTCTTTAGCAACTTCCCTAACTTCCCTAATTGCTCTAAGTCAGCAATACTTAAACTTGTCTGGCATTTGCTAGCTAAGTTTCTCTTTACAACTTGATTTTAAGCTTAACTGACATATACCTCTATCCCCCAAAAGTCTTTCTGGACACATAGTAACTGCTCAATAAATATTTATTATTGACTGACCTCTAGCTCTCCCTCATATTATGGTCCAAACAGTGAACATTTAAATTTGCCTCTGGCTGAGAAATTGGCAAAAAAAAATCAATTAATTTTCAAGAGCACATTTACTACTTAGGGCTTATTTTATTCATCTGCTTATTCAATCACTATATGCTGTTGTCCACTAAAAGTTAGGTATATTTTCTTAACTGTTCAATAATTTTCTTAATTGTTCTTTCAGGAGTGAAGACTAATTTGCACACTACCAGAGGATATCAGTAATAAGTTTAGAACACAGCTAATTTTATTTACTATTATAATTTTCTTGAGTATGCAGGAATCCTGTTAGAATTTACTCATGTTGCAGAAATTTATGCAATTAAAAAGCAATTAAAAGATTTTGGTTCAGTTGTAAGTCAGCATCTGCCAGGTTCCTTTTAGACCCTATGAGCATTTTTCTTTGGGTTTCTGACATTCTCATTCTCTTAAGAAACAAAGCTTGTCAAGTGCCTTTAGACAAGTAGAGAAAATATTAGGTTGATGCTTTTCCTAATTGTCTGCTGCTTTGATTACCAAATGCAAATCAGTGAAGTTTCTGAAAGTACCCTTGAGAGCAAGGGTGAAATTCTTCCAGTTGTTGACTTTGCCTTTGACATGACTTGTAGACTTCAAACTCTTGGATTTCCTGAGCCATATTAGACTTAAAAATTTGGAGGGTCTTCAAAATGGCAATGGAAACGAGTCATGTTAGCTGAACAAATAATGGTTGGTCTATTTGCTTAGTATGCTGCTTTACTAGTGTCCTCGTATAAACCACTTTGGAACATATTGCTTTGGAATCAACTTAATAAAATTGTTACATAAACTAGTAATCAAAACAGCATGTTATAAACTTACTTTTTTGGAGTTATCATGGAATGGGAATGACAGTATAACTCTTCTCAGTTATTTGTTCCAGTGAATTCGGAGAACATTTCTTTTTGAGATATGTATCTATTTATGTGCAGAAAAGCATCACTCTGTTTTAAATAAGGTCACCCCATTTCTTCTTTGCAAGCTCAGCTCCTCATACTTTAGCAAGCTCACAGGTGTGAATCAGAAAGGTCAGGAAAGGAGGCACTCACAACAATAACTACCCTTTGATTTGCATCTAGGTGAGCAAAACAACATCCCTGCTCCAAGGCATTCTTGGGGAGAAAGCTGTTAGCAAACAAGTAATACATTACATAATTATTAATAGTGGTAAAATATATAAAGAAAATAAATTGAGATAAGGATCAAAAGTAACTAGGGCCAGAGATGACAGTTTTAGATAGGGTTCAAAAAAGACCTCTTTAAAACAGTGACATTTGAATAAAGAATCAACTGTATGATCAACTTGGGAAAGAGTGCTTCAGGCAGCCCAAGAGCAAGTGTAAAAGCTTTGAGGCAGGAAATAGTTTGATGTGCTTGAAGAACAATAAGAAAATCAGTATAGCAGATGGATAAGAGGAAAGGCAGAAGAAGAGCTGGGAAAACTGGGAAGTGCCTTCACTGTTCTCTCCATTTACCCAATGAATAAGGATTGGGAGTCTGCCAGGTAACTAGGTTATGAAAATCACTGACCCTAATCCTTGAGACAGTTGCATGAAAATTAGGTTATTTTTCTCATTTTGCACACGAATTGATTAGAATTTAGCAAAATGACTTTCCAAAGTCACTTACCAAGCAAGTAGAAAGCTATGACAGACTCAGAACATCTGATTCCAAATCCTGTGCTTTTCTTACTAGACAATATCTCAAGGAGATGATTGTCCAACTATGGTCCAGCTGCACGAGAAACACCTGGTAATATGATTTCATGCCCCACCAGACTTCTATTGAGCAAGGATAGAATAAGAAGTATGATCTTTGGCCCAGAAATTAAAATATCTTTAATGAAAAGGTATAAACACTTCTAATAAAATAAAGCACATTTAAAAGTTATCCTGGAGATTCTCTTGCCCAGCCAGGTATTAGAACCTCATAGAATTATTTTTAGGGCAAGATGAGATAATATAAGATGCTTAGGATAGTTCCTGGCCTGTGATAAGTACTTAATAAATATCAACTCATTAATATCTTAGGGCTGGTTTTAGTTTGGTGATGGTCAAGAAGGTCTCAGAGCAGGCTGTGGGGGTAGGAAGGAAAAGCTACAGCTCACAGATTTATTTTATCATTTTATAGACCTGAATATTTTTGAGATCTTACCAACCCTCAGAGTGCTATTATAACTAACCAATACTTGTACTACCGTCTCCTCAACTCTTGAACTTAATTAAGACACTGGGGACTAAAAAGGAGCCAACCAAGATACTGGTAATAAAATAAGGACTCAGAAATCAACACATGTGTTTTACTGTAATAGTGTTTCCAAGAGAAAAGTAGTTCCTTCCATCAAAGAAAGAGTACCCATGCTGATTATGTTCTACTGGTAGGCTACAAAATACTAATTATAAATAAAGCTAGTAGGCCCTCTCCCAAGAGAAGATGAGAAATAGTGGCTGTCACTGTTGATTTTTTTCAGGGCCTGAAATTATGCTTTCATGTTCTCATGCCAAAGAAAGGTAAGTTCGCGTGAGCCTGGGATCTGTCCTGCCATAGGAATTCTTCACAGGAACTCTTCACAGGATTTCTGAAACTCAGGGAAAAAGCAATTCCCAAGGATCACCTGATCCATTGCTATGCTTTCATGTCATTATGTTTTGCCAAAATTAGTGACTCACGCAATGCTTGGAAAGAGAAACCTGACATTTTCCAGAACTCTCTGTAGAGCAGGTCCTTATTGCCACCTTTCAAAACTGTCAGCTATAGAAAGGATTATAGAGGTTGAAAGTTTTAAAGTGATATTTAGACTTGTTGGGCCCAATGAAGCCAGGATATTTTTTCTGCTGTTAAATGATTTTTTTTTAAGGTAAAAATGTTCTGTGCCAGAAAAACTTTCACCAGGTCATTTTTTCTAAACAAGTTCACACTGGAATTACATGTTTGAGAGTTGTGTCTAATTTAAAATGTCAAATTACCTCATTTTTTGTTAGAATTGATGGGATAATAAAATGATCTCCTCTTGAAATTTATTATGGATTTGAAAGTCAATCTTTCTTTAAAAAATTGAGAAATTATGGGAGATGCATGAGCTATAGTATAACCTTCCATTTAAGTTCACAGAGGTTTACAGTCAGAAAGACGAGATCAGGTGCCAGTTCTGCCATTTACTTGGTTGATGACTTTGAATAACATACTTAACGACTCTGAGCCTCAATCTCCTCTTCTGCGAAATGGACTAACATCTACCTCTCAGAGTTGTATAGATTAAATGAGTTGAGTATGTAAAGGATTTAGCACAGGCCCAGGACACCTAAAACTACATATATATATATATTTTTTGTTGTTATTGTTGTTGTTGTTTTCTGAGATGGAGTCTTGCTCTGTCGCCCAGGCTGGAGTGCAGTGGCGCGATCTCAACTCACTGCAACCTCTGCCTCCCAGGTTCAAGCAATTCTCCTGCCTCAGCCTCCCAAGTAGCTGGAATTATAGGCACCTGCCACCAAGTCTGGCTAATTTCTGTATTTTTTTTTAGTAGAGACGGGGTTTCACCATGTTGGCCAGGCTGATCCGCCTGCCTTGTCCTCCTAAAGTGCTGGGATTACAGGCATGAGCCACCTCGCCTGGCCCTAAAACAATATTTTTAAAAATAATTATAACTTGGATACAGCATCCTTAATAATTAGGATGTAATTCATTATTTATTATTTTATTTTTTCTTAGCCTGAATTTGTTAGTATTGTTAGATTATTGATAAACAAAAATGGTGATAACAGGCATGCTTTCTCTTCTTAGTGATTTTAATAAAATGCTTCCAGAATATATAATTTATATATTTATCACTTTAAGGTGGTATGTTTTTACTACTTTTCTGTTTTTTAAATCAGTGATGGATAAAGAATTACACAAAATGCCTTTTTAGCATCTACCAAGTTTATCTATTTTTTTCTTCTTTGACCAGTTAATATGGTGAATTAAGTCACTAGATTAAAAAAAATTAAACTATTTTTACATTCCTGAGGTTAAACTCCAATTGGTCACTGTGAACTGTTATTTTAATATAATGCTGGATCATGTTTGTTAAACAATTTACTTAGGACTTTTGCATAAATATTTGTGAATGAGATTGGTCTGTATTATTTTTTTCTGTGTTTTCTCTGTCTGGTTTTGGGTAAATGTTATGAGTCTTTGTAAAAAGAATTGGTGTGTATTCTTTCTCCATCGGTTGAAATAATGTATATAGAGTAGGGATTAGCTGCTTCTTGAAAGCTTAGAATAATTTTGAAATCATCTGAGTCTGAATTTCTTTATTATTATTATTATACTTTAAGTTCTGGGATACATGTACAGAACGTGCAGGTTTGTTACATAGGCATACACATGCCTTGGTGGTTTTGCTGCACTCATCAACCCGTCATCTACACATTAGGTATTTCTCCTAATGCTATCCCTCCCCTAACCGCCACCCCCTGACAGGCCCCAGTGTGTGATGTTGCCCTCTCTGTGTCCATGTGTTCTCATTGTCCAACTCCCACTTATGAGTGAGAACATGCGGTGTTTGGTTTTCTGTTCGTGTGTTAGTTTGCTGAGAATGATGGTTTGCAGCTTCATCCATTTCTCTGCAAAGGACATGAACTCATCCTTTTTGATGGCTGCATAGTATTCCATGGTGTATATGTGCCATATTTTCTCTATCCAGTCTATCATTGATGGGCATTTGGGTTGGTTCCAAGTCTTTGCTATTGTGAACAGTGCTGCAATAAACATATGTGTGCATGTGTCTTTATAGTAGAATGATTTATAATCCTTTGGGTCTATACCCAGTAATGGGATTGCTGGGTCAATGGTATTTCTGGATCTAGATCCTTGAGGAATCACCACACTGTCTTCCACAATGGTTGAACTAATTTACACTCCCACCAACAGTGTAAAAGCATTCCTATTTCTCCACATCCTCTCCAGCATCTGTTGTTTCCTGACTTTATAATGATCACCATTCTAACTGGCATGAGATGGTATCTCATTGTGGTTTTGATTTTCATTTCTGTAATGACCAGTGATGATGAGCTTTTTTTCATATGTTTATTGGCTGCATAAATGTCTTCTTTTGGGAATAGTTTTTGGCTCTTTGAACCCTCCTCATTTTCTCTTTCTCTCCTCTGAGATCCCTAGTTCAGACCTTTTCATTTTATCCTCCATATCTTCTGGTTGTTCTTCCATGGTTTTTATCTACTTATTCTGCACTGCATTCTAGATCTGTTTCCAATGGAAATAATTCTCTCATCATCTAAGCTTAATTATGGTTTGATATATCCACTGAATTTTAATAATAATTTTAGAGGTTTTTTTCCTAGAAGTTCTATTTTTTTTAACCACCTTTTAAAAACCTATATGTACAACTAATTAACTACCACATGGATCAGATATTAAGATATAAAGCATATCTATCACCATAGAAGATTTCTTTCTGCCCTTTTTAGACTGTAATTGCTCCCTAGCAGAGCTCACCTTTTTATGGCATTTCATCAGCAGTTTGTTTTGTTTGTTGTTGAGCTTTGTATGCATGGAATAACACAGTAGGTACTCTTTAGTACCTGCTTCTTTCACTCAACAGAGTGTCTGTGAAATGTGGCCAGGTTGTTTTATATTCCAGTAATAGTATTTCATTTTGTGAATATAACACCATTTATTTATCCATTCTCCTATTGACAGGCATATGGGTTATTTATGTTTGTTTGACTATTATAAATTTGACTATTATAAATAAAGCTGCTATGGAACATTTCTGTACAAGATCTATTGTGGGCATAAGCATTCATTTCACCTGGATATATGCCCTAGCATGAAATTGTTGGGTCCTGGTATAGGTACCTATTTAGCCTTAGTAGAAACTGCCAGTATTCCATACTGGTTGTGCCATGCACGCTCCCTTCTGCAGTTATATGAGAGTTCCAACCTCACCCCACTTGGTATTGCCAGTCCTTGTCATTTCAGCCATTTTAGGGGATAGTTTTTTAAATTTGCATTCCCAGTGAGGAATGATGTTGAACACATTTTCACATGCTTACTGGCAAACATACATACTTTAAAACTTCTTATAGATTGTTTTATAATGATTTCTAGTTATTGTGCTAATATTCCTATTGGTTGTGTCTGGGTTCCAATCTTGGTATGTGTTTTCTCATGTGGTTTTAATTTTGAATGTGAGTTAATTTTCTTGTTTTTTTTTCCTCCCTATGGGATCTAGATTGTACCCCAGCAGACTGATTTTGGATTTTCCCTTTCCAGGACCTCTAGGGTATCAATATTCTGGAGCTATTTTTATTCAATTTCTTATCTTGAATATACGATCTCACCTTTGCAAAGTTGGATAGTCAATTTGTTTTTAGAGGAAATAAAACACTTATTCTGTGATTTTAAAAATCTCATGTAGTGCTCATTAAGGTATGGTCAATGTAGTGGGCTCTCATACTAACATTCCGTATTGGAATGTGCTTTTCAAGTTATAAAGTTATTTTCCCATCATTTTATTTGAGATTAATAAAAACTCAGTGAGGCCAACAGGGTAGTTATTGTCATGTCTTTTGGTTTTCCTTTTGCAAATGAGGAAATGGGGACCCAGCCTTTAAATGATAAATCCAAGGCCATATATTCAATTGATAGAATCAAGACTAGAAGTCAGGTCTCCTGGTCCATTTCTCTTTTCAATAGTATTCTACATAGATTCACATAATTATTCTTTATTATATGTCACATACTGTATTAGTCAGGGTTCTTTAGAGAACAGAGCTATTAGGATAGATGTATATATAAAGGGGAGTTTGTTAAGGACTATTAACTCACACAATCACAAGGTGAGGTTCCACAATAGGCCATGTGCAAGCTGAGGAGCAAGGAGCCAGTCCAAGTCCCAAAGCTGGAGAAACTGGAGTCCAGTGTTCGAGGGCAGGAAGCATCCAGCACGGGAGAAAGATGTAGGCTGGGAGGCTAATCCAGTCCAGTCTTTTCACATTTCTCTGCCTGCTTTATATTCTGGCTGTGCTAACAACTGATTAGATGGTGCCCACCCAGGTTAAGGGTGGGTCTACCTTTCCCAACCCACTGACTCAGATGTTAATTTCCTTTGGCAACACCCTCAGACATACCCAGGAATAATACTTTGCATCCTTCAATCCAGTCAAGTTGACACTCAGTATTAACACATACAGTATAAATCATTTATTCCCAAAACAAATAATTGACTTCACTAAATTAATCTTTATTCTAGTATAGCACACGACTAAGAGTGTGGCCTTGAAGTTGGATTGCTTGAGTTTGCCTCTGAGTTCTGCTAAACCTTGCTCAAGTTAGCCTTTATGAATCTCAATTATTAAATGGAAATAATAATATCTACCTCAGGGAAATTTTTTCAAGATCAAAAGAGATTATACTTGTAAGGCTTATATCATATCTGCTCAATGTATGTTAGCTATTATTACCCTTACAGCAAATTTTTAATTAGATGGTATATGCAATAAACATTCTACTGATATCTCAATTGATTTCATGTTGCTCTTCTCTTCTTTTCCCCAGTGATTTTTCCTCTTTCATATTGTTTGATACAAAATGATACCAGCATCACAGAGACTATAATGATATTTAAATCATAAATCAGTATGTCATCTCTATGCTTTATTGGCATATGTAGCTAAGCTTTATTAAAATATTATTTAAGCCAAGAATTTCCCATGAAATATTAGGCTTTCTATTTTTTTCCCCTACATTTTTGGCCAAAGGCCTGGATGCCTTGTGTTTCCAATATAATGTTTTTGTTACATTGAATATATGCTGGAAGTTCAGTCAAGTGGGAATAAAGAAGAGACGCTCCTATTTTCTAGTGAAAACTTGTCACCCCAAATCACTGCCTTTTGCCGTCTTCTCCTTCCTGTTTGCCAAGGACATAGGAATTGTGCTGCCTGGGCCAAGTGCTTGGCACATATAAGTGTCCACAAGTGATAGGTCACTGGGAAAAATGGCTGCTTCTGTCCAAAATGTGCTTGTAATGATCATATGTGTTAGGGATAGTGCAATTCTGTAGTGGTGGTGGTAGGGTGTTACTGCTTGTTTTGAGTGGGAAGTTGTGAGAAAATGTCTCGTAAGCTATGTGTTATGCAGTAATTCCCATAGAGAAATGAAACTTGGGCTTAAAAAGTCAATATTTGGAGTCTTATGGCAAGAGATTTTGTTTTGTTTTCATGTTTTAAAAGAAAAGTACAGCCTTCTTTAGACTTTCCCTTTCTCTGGAACAAAGATAGGTTGAGAGAACATGAGACGAAAGGCCAAGGGTTTTAGACAACAGCTCATTTTAGTGCTTATGTGATAGAGGAAAGGTTTTTCCTCTCTCAATCTCTTTTTTTTTTCCCTCAAAGGAAAATAATCAGTAGCCAGCCCAGTCTCATTAGTCTTTTTTTGGAACTACTGGTTGTGATTTGTGTTTGCCTTCTTGCTTTCACATCACTCTCTAGACTGTGCTAGTTTCTCCTCATTACTCCCAACCGGCATATACTACCTGACAACAGCTTCTTAGGTCAGAGGTAGACTCCTGACCCAAAGTGATGTGTAATGCACAGTTGTCTTTGTCATGTATAAGATTAAAAGATGAGCTGCACAAGGTAGATTCTTTGCTTGATACTTTGAAATAGACAATCTGAGAAATGGAGATAGTTGTGGACTGAGAAGCCAGAAGATTTAGTCTTAGGGATAGGAATGGTTCATAAAGGTGAGAAAGAAGTAGGCAGGGATAAGAATGGGGCAGAAGAAAAACGAGAAACTAGAGACAGGGAGTTGGAATTGAGGGAGTGGACTGTCCCTAGACAGGTCCCAGTCCTCACTTTCCCTGAGATCTCATAATTCTGCTTTTCCTAGATTCCAGTGCAGATATAACATTTCAATACCAACCTCCTCTCCACACCTACCCCATGCTGTTTAAAAGGATAGTTTCTAGAGTCAGATGGTCAGAATTTAAATCAGTGATTTGGGGATAAATCATTTAAATCCTAGCCTCAGTTTCTCATCTGTAAAGCAAGTATAATAAAGATACTTATTTCTTAAGATTTTATATTATTTTAAATATACTACATAGCTATGCACTACACCAACAAATAATATCCCTGAATTATATTTTGTTACTCAAAGATGAACACAGCAGATATTCAACAAATTATCAATCAAGATGAAATAACCAAAGTTTATTTTCACACAGCATCCCCTAGTAGGGAGACAACCACTTTTCATAGATGCCCAGTTCAACAGCTTTCATGACAATCATTATCATCCTTTCATTGAACTAAAAAGAGCCTCTTCACTGTAACCCAGCAAGATGTTGCCAGTGCTATCTTAAAGGGTAGTTTAAAAAGAAAGGTTGGCCGAGTGCGGTGGCTCACGCCTGTAATCCCAGCACTTTGGGAGGGATTACACCCAAGGCGGGTGGATTACCTGAGGTCAGGAGTTTGAGACCAACCTGGCCAACATGGCGAAACCCCATCTCTACTAAAAATACAAAAATTAGCTGGGTATGGTGGCACATGCCTGTAGTCCCAGCTACTTGGGAGGCTGAGGCAGGAGAATTATTTGAACCTGGGAGGCTGAGGTTGCAGTGAGCTGAGATCGTGCCATTGCACTCCAGCCTGGGCGACAGAGCAAGACTCTGTCTCAAAATACATAAATAAAATAAAGAAGAAGGGCTGAATCTCATATCACTGGAAACACATTTTATGATCTATTTAGAAGTGAAATTTCTTTCTAAGGTGATTTAGGTCTGAAAGATACACTTACAGATTACTGTAAGAATATTTCTCTTTATGCCATCTATTTTAACTACCTGCATTTATCTATGCATTAGTGATATAAAGTTTCATACCAACTATAGCCTTATTTAAGGCAGCAAGTTAAGCTAAAATGTGAGTGTATATGTGTGTGCATGCAGTGCACACACACGTACTGAGGGGTTGGAGGATAGGTTTAGGTTGTAACCTATAAAATAGATTTAACAGACAGTTTAATTGATTCAAATAGCTGGAAATTCTGTTTACGTCCAAGTTCAAATAACTGATGAACATTTTGGCTGTCTGAAAAAGTTTAAGAATTTTAAAAATTACTTTTTACTTCATGAGTGTTGAAACAGAAAACTCAAACTACTGTGAGTCAAGGAGCTGGCCTAGATATCAAAGAGCTGGCCTAAATCCACTTGGCTCTGATAATATTAAAGGTCAATGGCCTTTCACTTAATAATAACTGATAATGTTGTATAAACAGTACATACTTTAATCATTCTTTTAGAGAAAGATGGGAATGAAATAGCATTAAGCTACTGCATCAAAGTTGCACTGTTGATATATACGAACGAGTTACTTATTTTTTTTTAGTTGATATCTTTCTTTTATTTATTTATTTTTTTAGAGATAGAGTCTTGTTCTGGAGTCCAGGCACCATTATGGCTCACTGCAGTCTCTAACTCCTGCGCTCAAGGGATCCTTTTGCCTGAGCTGCCTGAATAGCTGGAACTACAGGTGTGCACCACCCAGCCCAGCTAATTTTTTATTTAAAAATTTTTATTTTCGTAGAGACAAGGTCTTGCCTTTTTGCCTAGGTTAGTCTTGAACTTCTGGTTTCGAGCAATCCTTCCACTGCAGCCTCCCAAAGTGCTACGACTGTAGATATGAGCCACCGTGCTTGGCCTAGTTAATGTCACTTACACTCACTGTCACATTGCAGTATTGTAGATTTACATTTCCAACTATAAAATATGAAAATATCTCCTTTATAGTACACTCTTCAATTTTGAATATGATTTTTAAGTTTTGCAATTTGGTAGGTAAAAAGTGAATAATCAAACAATAAAACATAAAAAATCCCACCAAAAGCTGAATTGTGTTTGTATTTTGAATAAATGCAACTTCTTATAGCATTAAGCAACTCAATTATTTTGGACTTCAAAACTTACATTTGTCTCTATGCAGTAGAGAGGACCTGAAAAGAAGCATTGAGGAATGAACAAAAAGTGAACCCTCAGTGGTCGTTTGTACCTTTTAGGTGGTTAGAAAATAATGTTTCTTGCTACTTCCCTCAAATCTCCCAGTCCATAGTAGTTGTGGTAGCTTGCCTGCAAAATGGCTGCCATCAATTCCTTCAATTCCTGCATGTGCTTACTATTCTCCCATTAAGAGGTGGAAACTATTTCTCCACCATCTTTTTTTTCATTGTACACTGATGACCTTTAATTCTTTTTTTTTTACTTTAAGTTCTAGGATACATGTGCAGAACATGCAGATTTTTTCACATAGATATGTGTGCCATGGTGGTTTGCTGCACCCATCAACACCTCATCTACATTAGGTATTTCTCCTAATGCTATCCCTCCCCTAACCCCCACCCCCCAACAGGCCCTGGTGTGTGATGTTCCCCTTCCTGTGTCCATGTGTTCTCATCGTCCAGCTCCCACTTATGAGTGAGAACATGCAGTGTTTGGTTTTCTGTTCTTGTGTTAGTTTGCTGAGAATGATGGTTTCCAGCTTCACCCACGTCCCTGCAAAGGACATGAACTCATCCTTTTTGATGGCTGCATAGTATTCCATGGTGTATATGTGCCAAATTTTCTTTATCCAGTCTATCATTGATGGGCATTTGGGTTGGTTCCAAGTCTTTGCTATTGTGAACAGTGCTGCAATAAACATACGGGTGCATGTGTCTTTATAGTAGAACGATTTATAATCTCTTGGGTATATACCCATTAATGGGATTGCTGGGTCAAATGGTATTTCTGGATCTAGATCCTTAAGGAATCACCACGTTGTTGTCTGCAATGGTTGAACTAATTTACACTCCCACCAACAGTGTAAAAGCATTCCTATTTCTCCACATCCTCTCCAGCATCTGTTGTTTCCTTTTTAATTATTGCCATTCTAACTGGCATGAGATGCTATGGCCTTGTCATTTTGAGTTGCATTTCTCTAATCACTAGTGATGATGACCTTTTTTTCATGTTTGTTGGCCACGTAAATGTCTTCTTTTGAGAAGTGTCTGTTCATATCCTTTGCCCACTTTTTGATAGGGTTGTTTGTTTTTTTCTTGTACATTTGTTTAAGTTCCTTGTAGATTCTGGATATTAGCCCTTTGTCAGAGGGATAGATTGCAAAATTTTTCTCCCATTCTGTAGGTTGCCTGTTTACTCTGATGATAGTTTCTTTTGCTGTGCAGAAGCTCTTAAGTTTAATTAGATCCCATTTGTCTATTTTGGCTTTTGCTGCCATTGCTTTTGGTGTTTTAGTCATGAAGTCTTTGCCCATGCCTATGTCCTGAATGGTATCGCCTAGGTTTTCTTCTAGGATTTTTATGGTTTTAGATCTTACGTGTAAGTCTTTAATCCATCTTGAGTTAATTTTTTTATAAGGTGTAAGGAAGGGATCCAGTTTCAGTTTTCTGCATATGGCTAACCAGTTTTCCCACCACCATTTATTAAATAGGGAATCCTTCCCCATTTCTTGTTTTCGTCAGGTTTGTCAAGGATCAGATGGTTGTAGATGTGTGGCATTATTTCTGAGGCCTCTGTTCTGTTCCATTGGTCTATATCTGTTTTGGTACCAGTACCTTGCTGTTCTGGTTACTGTAGCCTTGTAGTATAGTGTGAAGACAGGTAGTGTGATGCCTACAGCTTTGTTCTTTTTGCTTAAGATTGTCTTAGCTATACGAGCTTTTTTTTTGTTGGTTTCATATGAACTTTAAAGTAGTTTTTTCTAATTCTGTGAAGAAAGTCAATGGTAGCTTGATAGGGATGGCATTGAATCTATAAATTACCTTGGGCAGTATGGTTATTTTCACGATATTGATTCTTCCTATCCATGAGCATGGAATGTTTTTCCATTTGTTTGTGTCCTCTCTTATTTCTTTTAGCAGCGGTTTGTAGTTCTCCTTGAAGAAGTCCTTCACATCCCTTGTAAGTTGTGTTCCTAGGTGTTTTATTCTCTTTGCAGCAATTGTGAATGGGAGTTCACTCATGATTTGGCTCTCTGTTTGCCTATTATTGGTGTGTAGGAATGTTTGTGATTTTTGCACATTGATTTTGTATCCTGCAACTTTGTTGAAGTTGCTTATCAGCTTAAGAAGATTTTGGGCTGAGATGATGGGGTTTTCTAAATATACAATCAGGTCATCTGCAAGCAGAAGCAATTTTATTTTCTCTCTTCCTATTTAAATACCATTTATTTCTTTCTCTTGCCTGATTGCCCTGGCCAGAATTTCCAATACTGTATTGAATAGGAGTGGTGAGAGAGGGCATCCTTGTCTTGTGCAAGTTTTCAAAGGGAATGCTTCCAGCTTTTGCCCATTCAGTATGATATTGGCTGTGGGTTTGTCATAAATAGGTCTTACTGTTCTGAGATACATTCCTTCAATACATAGTTTATTGAGAGTTTTTAGCATGAAAGGGTATTGAATTTTATTGAAGGCCTTTTCTGCATCTATTGAGATAATTATGTGGTTTTTGTCATTGGTTCTGTTTATTTGATGGATCATGTTTATTGATGTACATATGTTGAACCAGCCCTGCATCCCAGGGATGAAGCTGACTTGATCGTGGTGGATAAGCTTTTTGATGTGCTGCTGGATTCGGTTTGCCAGATTTTATTGAGGATTTTCACATTGATGTTCATCAGGGATATTGGCCTGAAATTTTCTTTTTTTGTTGTGTCTCTGCCAGGTTTTGATATCAGGATGATGCTGGTCTCATAAAATGAGTTAGGGAGGAGTCCCTCTTTTTCTATTATTTGGAATACTTTCAGAAGGAATGGTACCAGCTCCTCTTTGCACGTCTGGTAGAATTCAGCTGTGAATCTGTCTGGTCCTGGGCTTTTTTTGGTTGGTAGGCTATTAATTCCTGCCTCATTTCAGAACTTTTTATTGGTCTATTCAGGGATTCATCTTCTTCCTGGTTTAGTCTTGGGAGGGTATTTGTGTCCAGGAATTTATCCATTTCTTCTAGATTTTCTAGTTTATTTGTGTAGAAGTGTTTATAGTATTCTCTGATGGTAGTTTGTATTTCTGTGGGATCAGTGATGATATCCCCTTTATCATTTTTTATTGTGTCTATTTGATTCTTCTCTCCTTTCTTCTTCATTAGCTGGCTAGTGGTCTATTTTGTTAATCTTTTCAAAAAACCAGCTCCTGGATTCATTGATTTTTTTGAAGGGTTTTTTGTGTCTCTATCTCCTTCAGTTCTGCTCTGATCTTAGTTATTTCTTGTCTTCTGCTAGCTTTTGAATTTTTTTGCTCTTGCTTCTCTGGTTCTTTTAATTGTGATGTTAGGGTGTCAATTTTAGATCTTTCCTGCTTTCTCTTGTGGGCATTTAGTGCTATCAGTTTCCCTCTAAACACTGCTTTAGCTGTGTCCCAGGGATTCTGGTACGTTGTGTCATCATTCTCATTGGTTTCAAAGAACTCATTTATTTCTACCTTAATTTTGTTATTTACCTAGTAGTCATTCAGGAGCAGGTTGTTTAGTTTCCATGTAGTTGTGTGGTTTTGAGTGAGTTTCCTAATCCTGAGTTGTAATTTTATTGCACTGTGGTCTGGGAGACTGTTTGTTATGATTTCCATTCTTCTGCATTTGCTGCGGAGTGTTTTACTTCTAATTAAGTGCTCAATTTTAGGATAAGTGTGATGTAATGCTGAGAAGAATGTATATTCTGTTGATTTGGGGTGGAGAGTTCTGTAGATGTCTATTACGTCTGCTTGGTCCAGAGCTGAGTTCAAGTCCTGAATATTCTTGTTAATTTTCTGTCTTGTTGATCTAGTATTGACAGTGGGGTGTTAAAGTCTCCCACTATTATTGTGTGGGAGTCTAACTCGCTTTGTAGGTCTCTAAGAACTTACTTTGTGAATCTGGGTGCTCCTGTATTTGGTGCATATATATATAGTTAGGATAGTTAGCTCTTCATGTTGCATTGATCCCTTTACCATCATGTAATGCCCTTCTTTATCTTTTTTTAATCTTTTTTGGTTTAAAGTCTGTTTTATCAGAGACGAAGGTTGCAACCCTTGCTTTTTTCCTTTCAATTTGCTTGGTAAATATTCCTCCATCCCTTTATTTTGAGCCTATGTGTGTCTTTGCACGTGAAATGGGTCTCCTAAATACAGCACACTGATGGGTCTTGACTCTTCATCCAATTTGCCAGTCTATGTCTTTTAATTGGGGCATTTAGCCTGTTTACATTTACGGTTAATATTGTTATGTGTGAATTTGATCCTGTCATTATGATGCTAGCTGGTTATTTTGGCTGTTAGTTGATGCAGTTTCTTCATACTGTCAATGGTCTTTACAATTTGGTATGTTTTTGAAGTGGCTGGTACTGGTTTTTCCTTTCCATATTTAGTGGTTCCTTCAGGAGCTCTTGTAAGGCAGGCCTGGTAGTGACAAAATCTCTCAGCATGTGCTTGTCTGTAAAGGATTTTATTTCTCCTTTGCTTATGAGGCTTAGTTTGGCTGGATATGAAATTCTGGGTTGTTTTTCCTTAAGAATGTTGAATATTGCCCCCCACTCTCTTCTGGCTTGTAGGGTTTCTGCAGAGAGATCCGCTGTTTGTCTGATGGGCTTCCCTTTGTGGGTAACCCAACCTTTCTCTCTGGCTGCCCTTAACATTTTTTCCTTCATTTCAACCTTGGTTCAATCTGATGATTATGTGTCTTGGGGTTGCTCTTCTCAAGGAGTATCTTTGTGGTGTTCTCTGTATTTCCTGAATTTGAATGTTGGCCTGTCTTTCTAGGTCGGGCAAGTTCTCCTGGATAATACCTTGAAGAGTGTTTTCTAACTTGGTTCCATTCTCCCTGTCACTTTCAGGTACACTAATCAAATGTAGGTTTGGTATTTTCACGTAGTCCCATATTTCTTGGAGGCTTTGCTCATTCCTTTTCATTCTTTTTTCTCTAATCTTGTATTCACACTTTATTTCATTATGTTCATCTTCAATCTCTGATATCCTTTCTTCCGCTTGATCAGTTCAGCTATTGATACTTGTGTATGTTTCACGAAGTTCTCTTGTGTGTTTTTCAGCTCCATTAAGTCATTTATGTTCTCTAAACTGGTTATTCTAGTTAGCCATTCGTCTAACCTTTTTTCAAGGTTCTTAGCTTCCTTGCATTTTGTTGGAACATGCTCCTTTAGCTCGGAGGAGTTTGTTATTACCCACCTTCTGAAGCCTACTTCTGTCGATTCGTCAAACTCATTCTCTGTCCGTCCAGTTTTGTTCCCTTGCTGGTGAGGAATTGTGATCCTTTGGAGGAAAAGAGACGTTCTGGATTTTGGAATTTTCAGCCTTTTTGTGCTGTTTTTTCCTCATCTTCGTGGATTTATCTACCTTTGGTATTTGATGTTGGTGACCTGCAGATGGGGTTTCTTTGTGGACATCCTTTTTGTTGATGTTGATGCTTTTGCTTTCTGTTTGTTAGTTTTCCTTTTAACAGTCAGGCCCCTCAGCTGCAGTCTGCTGAAGTTTGGTGGAGGTCCACTCCAGACCCTGTTTGCCTGGGTATCACCAGTGGAGGCTGCAGGACAGCAAAGAATGCTGCCTGTTCCTTTCTCTGGAAGCTTCATCCCAGAGGGGCACCACCAGATGCCAGCTGCAGCTCTCCTGTATGAGGTGTCTGTTGACCCCTGCTGGGAGGTGTCTCCCAGTCAGGAGGCACAGGGGTCAGGGACCCATTTGAGGAGGCAGTCTGTCTCTTAGCAGAGCCCGAGCGCTGTGCTGGAAGATCCACTGCTCTCTTCAGAGCTGGCAGGCAGGAACGTTTAAGTCTGCTGAAGCTGTGTGACAGCTGCCCCTTCCCCCAGGTGCTCTGTCCCAGGGAGATGGGAGTTTTATCTATAAGCCCCTGACTGGAGCTGCTGCCTTTCTTTCAGAGATGCCCTGCCCAGAAAGGAGGAATCTAGAGAGGCAGTCTGGCTACAGAGGCTTTGCTGAACTGTGGTGGGCTCCGCCCAGTTGGAACTTTCCAGCAGCTTTGTTTACACTGTGAGGGGAAAACCACCTACTCAAGCCTCAGTAATGGTGGACGCCCCTCCTCCCACCAAGCTGGAGTGTCCCAGCTCAACTTCAGACTGCTGTGCTGGCAGCGAGAATTTCAAGCCAGTGGATCTTAGCTTGCTGGGCTCTGTGGGGCCGGGATCTGCTAAGCTAGACCATTTGGCTCCCTGGCTTCAGCCCCCTTTCCAGGGAAGTGAACAGTTCTGTCTCACTGGCGTTCCAGGCACCACTGGGGTATGATAAAAAAAAACTCCTGTAGCTAAGCTTGGTGTCTGCCCAAACGGCTGCCCAGTTTTGTGCTTGAAACCCAGGGCCCTGGTGGCATAGGCACCCGAGGGAATCTCCTGGTTTGCACGTTGCGAAGACCATGGGAAAAGCATAGTATATGGGCCGAAGTGCACCATCCCTCACGGCATGGTCCCTCATGGCTTCCCTTGGCTGGGGAGGGAGTTCCCCCACCCCTTGAGCTTCCCTGGTGAGGTGACGCCCCACCCTTCTTTGGCTTGCCCTCTGTAGGCCGCACCCACCGTCTAACTAGTCTCAATGAAATGAACCAGGAACTTCACTTGGAAATGCAGAAATCATCCCCCTTCTGTATTGATCTTGCTGGGAGCTGCAGACCGGAGCTGTTCCTATTTGGCCATCTTGCCAGCCACCAAGCTACTTATTTTACACAGTGGGCAGATTAGCAAAAATAATGGCCTGAAAACGAAACTCTTGGTCATGAATATGGAGTGTGTAATTGGTGATGGTCTGTGATGGTTGGTGGCACTGAGTCATAGAGTCCATTCCTTATGGCTAATTAACTTATTTAGCCAGATATGGCTCCCTTTATCTTTGTCATTTTAGAAGTAGGGCACTGGTGACCATAGTGTGACTGGCTAAGGGCAATTTGCTACTGTCCATAGGAAAAAAATAACTTAAATCCCATTTATTAGATATGTAAAATGAATATATCAGCCTTTATATATCAGCAATGATGAGACTTGCAAAAAACATAAGATGGGAAAGAGAATAATCATCACAGATAATTTACCTTCCTTCCATATTGTGAAACATCAATAGTGAAATCTCAAATTGGTCACATACACATACAATTAATGTTTGAAACACTTTGCATCTTTGTGGAAAAAGTTTTATCTTCAGATCCTTTGTTGCTGATTACACAACAAAACTAAAGAAAATAAGTCTTTGAGTCCCTGTTGTGGTAACTTCTCAGCTAAGATTCAGTTCGTTAAACAATGTTTCCTTTATGATGAACTAAGGCAATTAATTCCGTGACATCGAGAGGCTTGTTTTAGCAATTCAGGATAAGGCAATGTCAGCAGGGAAAGGAAGCATGTGAAAATTACCTTTAGTATTTTATGATTCTATGTTCAGCACAACAAAGGGAAACTAGTGTAATGATTGATGTAGCTCAGTGATTCCCAAACTTGGTTAATTATGTATCTCATTTGTCGGCACTTACTAGAAATACCGATACAAGCTCTTTCACTGGAGAATTTGATCCAGGTGAATCCTGTTAATACTTAAGATAATCTGATATAAATGATATGTAGTTACTGAAGAACAAATTAAACATAAAGTACAGGATACATCCCCTTGGCTATTGCTTCTTATGCCAAATAGCTAAGATTAGAAGACTGCATCTAACTTTGAATAATGAGTCAATAAGGGAATTATCATAGTACTATAAATCACAGACCTCCAAAGAATGTGTTACAAAATAAATGATAAAAGATATATTGGAAGACAACTATAAAAATTGATAAATAAACGTTGGGATAAAGTCCAGACATCCAATTATTTAAATAAAGATATATTTAAAAAATTAATATAGCTGTTTCACTTAATGGAAACTTCTCTGGAGCCTATATACAAAAGTAAGGAAGTGCATGACTCTGGCAAACGTGAAACAGGATTGTCAAAGCAGGGCCAGGTATTGTCTCTAAATTGGGATTGATTTCCATCTATTGACCAGTCCCGGTTGCTGCTCAGTGGAACGGTAAGTGAAAAAATAATCACCCTCTTTAAGCAAATAAAAGAGTAATTTAATTATGTAATAGTAGTCCAATATGTTTTTATATATTGTAGAGAATAAACACATTTATTGTAGAGAACAAATACATTTTATATATTGTAGAGAATAAATAGAATAAACACAACATAGAAAAGGAAAGAGAATAACCTATAGTTATAGGCACATGGCAGTAAAACTAATCAGTGAATCAATCAACCCTACTGTGGGTTAGGCACTTGTATTAAATTCCAAGGGCACAATGGCAAACAAGACATGGTCCCGAATCTCAGTTATCAGTTACTTAGAGGGTCTTCTGGTATCTAATCTAGAGCTGAGTAGACTTTTAAATGGATCATGAGTAAGAGTACAAAAATAGATGGTGCATAATTGTTTATACAAAGTCTTTTCCCTGTCAATGACATAAGTAACCCTGGTATTTTAATATAATGCTTTATGCATTTATTGCTTCTTATGAGATTAAGGAGTTATGATTTAAAAATTGATTTGACTAATTAAATATAAAATTTATAAATGTAAAATCTGATTTAGTTAAGGTGGTCATCTTTTACAGATATGTACCTATATAGTCAAATATTATTTCAAGGTGAATCTTTTTATATTCAATAGATTATATGTATAATAAATGGTTAATCAATGAAAAACATTATCCTTGACCTTATTTAGTCAATTTAGTTTGTAAACAATTAGACATTTACTCAACTTAAGTAACTAAAAGTTATGAGGGGACCAGCAACCACTTGGCTGTAAGAATGGTGAATGTGATCTTTAGTTTAGTGTAACTAGATAGGCTTCTACTGATGTTGCCTGTAGCAATATAATAAGAAAATATCATTAAAAGATTACTTCCACAATGGTTGAACTAGTTTACAGTCCCACCAACAGTGTAAAAGTGTTCCTATTTCTCCACATCCTCTCCAGCACCTGTTGTTTCCTGACTTTTTAATGATTGCCATTCTAACTGGTGTGAGATGATATCTCATAGTGGTTTTGATTTGCATTTCTCTGATGGCCAGTGATGATGAGCATTTTTTCATGTGTTTTTTGGCTGCATAAATGTCTTCTTTTGAGAAGTGTCTGTTCATGTCCTTCACCCACTTTTTGATGGGGTTGTTTGTTTTTTTCTTGTAAATTTGTTTGAGTTCATTGTAGATTCTGGATATTAGCCCTTTGTCAGATGAGTAGGTTGCGAAAATTTTCTCCCATGTTGTAGGTTGCCTGTTCACTCTGATGGTAGTTTCTTTTGCTGTGCAGAAGCTCTTTAGTTTAACCATTGTGGAAGTCAGTGTGGCGATTCCTCAGGGATCTAGAACTAGAAATACCATTTGACCCAGCCATCCCATTACTGGGTATATACCCAAATGACTATAAATCATGCTGCTATAAAGACACATGCACACGTATGTTTATTGCGGCATTATTCACAATAGCAAAGACTTGGAACCAACCCAAATGTCCAACAATGATAGACTGGATTAAGAAAATGTGGCACATATACACCATGGAATACTATGCAGCCATACAAAATGATGAGTTCATGTCCTTTGTAGGGACATGGATGAAACTGGAAACCATCATTCTCAGTAAACTATCGCAAGAACAAAAAACCAAACACCGCATATTCTCACTCATAGGTGGGAATTGAACAATGAGATCACATGGACACAGGAAGGGGAATATCACACTCTGGGGACTGTGGTGGGGTGGGGGGAGTGGGGAGGGATAGCATTGGGAGATATACCTAATGCTAGATGACGAGTTAGTGGGTGCAGCGCACCAGCATGGCACATGTATATATATGTAACTAACCTGCACAATGTGCACATGTACCCTAAAACTTAAAGTATATTAAAAAAAAAATTAAAAAAAAAAAAGAAAAAAAAAAGATTACTTCCATGGGTAAAAACCCATTTCTCTATGAGAATGAATTATTACTTGCTAACAGGCAATATGCATATTCTGCCCTACAAAATATTTAAACACCATTTTAGGAGAGTGGTTGAATTTTTAGAAAATATTTGCAAGACATAATTAATGAGTACCAATCCTATTCTGTTTAGCTTTAAGAAAACAATAAGGTTATTTTCTTCCAAGGAAGTTTTATATACACAACAAAAGGTTACAATTTAAGCTAAATATCATGGACCATTTTTGTCCATCTTGTGGAACTTATTTTTTTGTAAATATAAAGATTAAATATTCAGGTGAAGACACATATTCTGGATACACAACTATTACATATTTTCCAAGAGTGAATACACCATACAATAAACAGAACACAGAAACTATAGGAAAGTGGCATAATTTCTCTTAATTCATCAATTTTATATATCTTCACAATCTTACAATGCATGTGGATCTTCATATGAAAAAGAAATCAATGATATTGACACTGGATGGGCACAGAATAGTAGAAACTGGTTGCTAACGTGACAAAGAAGGTGACTTTTAGTATTTTTGAATTTATTAATTTTCATTTAAGCAAAACCTAACACTAATATCCCATCAATTTTTGATACACTCTTTACATGCTCATTAAAATTACAATAACATTTTTGGTATATTTTTTGTATGCACATTAAAATTAGAGCAGGAGCAAATGATCATGTGTGACACCATTGGGCATAAATGTCTAGAAGAGGTAAACTCTTTCAGCTAGAAATAGACACTTGTTTTATATATATATAACTTCAAAGTGTAAGATATCTCCAGCCTGCCAGTGGACTGTTTCATAGGAAATATCTCACACCTGAGAGGAATGTTCACCTGCCATTATTAGCAGTGCCAAATGAAGTCACTTGCCTGTGTAAATCTTGAGTAATGTGGCATGTTAGGGCTCAAGATCATAACCACAGCTAATCATTAAACTATAGAAAGTTTAGCTGGCCTGCCACTGAAAGATTGAACCTAATCATTCTTTGAACTTCAGTCTGGAAAAGGTACATACATTATGCCTGATATCTTAAGAATTCTCTCTTTACAGGACAGGAAAAAATGAAAATTCGAGTATAGTTTTAAAAATATCCAAACTCTTCATGATCTTTCTAGATAAGGCTTTGGCCTTATAGAATAAGTATAAGTGTGATAACTTCTTGGTGACAAGAAACAAAAGGGAAAAAAGAAGGCTCTTAAGAAAAATAGGTATTACTAATGTTAATGAATACAAATAAATTCTCATGAAGTAGATAATGAATTTGAGAGTTTCGTTAGAAAACATGTCCTTTTTTATTCCTTCCAATAACCTCTGGAGACTCCAACAATAAGGAAAATATATTCTTACAAACAAGAGTATAGTAATACTGACTACTCATTGACACTTCCATTCCTGAGAGATATTTACCAGACTTAAAGTTAGGAGAAAACTTTAGCTATTGATTTATCACTTAAAGTAGCTTACATGTTTTAATACAACCTAGCTATTCTTAAAGCTAGAGTGGCTGGATCACTATAAAAACATCAATAATGAACATATTAAGCAATAATATCTTGAAAAACTGTTTTAAAAACAGGAAAAATAAATGTCCACTTTTTGTGCAAAAATCTGTAAAAGTTTTAAGATGCCACTTTACAGAGGTCAAGCTGATGATCCATTAATTAGGTTATGACTGCATTATTTTAAATACATGTATTGTTTTAAGACACTCCTTCACATGTCTGCGCGAACAAAAGAAGCAAATACTCCATTTTCCTGAGCCAAGAGGCTTTCTGGAGTGTCATATTCTAAAATATTTCCTCGCTTCATCACAATAACCAGGTCTGCCGTCAGAATAGTGTGTACTCGATGCTGTGAGTGAAAAGAAAACATGTATTTGTTACACATTTCAGGGCACACGCCAAAACAATGGAATATGTATATTTCATGAATTATTCTGGGACATTTGTTTATCTTGGTGAGTGACAAGATGTAGGGATCACAGACACCTCCCCTTTTTTCCTTATTTAAATTATCATTTATTTACATATTTTTAAGCAATGGCCAATATGGCTGGGTTTTCTATGGGCTGTACTAACTTGAGTGTAGCTAATATATCAGCGTCATCATTTTCATGAAACCTTAAGTTTAAGTAGGGTAAAATTGTTTATCGAGTAATTAAATTAAGAGAGGCCATTGTAAACCAGTTGGGTTATACTTTAATGTCAACAATAATTATCTCTTGTGTACAGTCACTAATTATTTGGGCTATAACACAATTCGAAGAACCCTGGAAAGTGGTTTAGTTCCGGGATGACAATATGGGGAAGTCCATTCTGGCATGCAGTAATAGAATGGATTACCCAGGCCTTTAGACATGCAGTCTCAGTCTTTGGAGATCACTGCCACTGACCCATTCCTTCTTTCCACGCGATGCCCTTTGGATTAATTAGTAACTAACAATGATAAAAGCTACCACTTTCTGAGCATATGCCATATATTAAGTTCTCCACACACATTCTTGTGAATCATTAGACCATTCCTCAGCTGTGGGTGTTATGTCTCTCCACTTTATAGGGGAGACCATTCACAGAGATAAAGCAAAATCAGGAGGTCACATAGATAGTAAGTAGCAGAACCAGTATCAAAATTAGGTTTACTAATTTCAAAATGTGAGCTATTTCCATCCTGTCATCTAACTGTTTCATAAGGCTCTCTGATACCTTAGAGGAGCATTCACCTGCCATGTCAGTGTTATGGTTAAGAGAACAGGCTCTGAAGATAAACTGGGCTTGTGTATTTTGGCTTTACCACCTGTTAGTAGTGCAATCTTGAGCAATATACTTAACATTGTATAGTTCCAGTTTCACATCTGTAAAATTATGGTATAGTACCTGCCTCAGAGAAGGGTGATGAGGTTCAAATGAGATAATCCATATCAAAAATTCAGCACTTTGTCTGACATATACAAACAAATAATAAATGTCAACTACTATTATTTTTTATGTTTATAAATTAGAAAGGAAAGATCTGTGTGATGGGCTTTTACTCTTGCTAAGATCAGTATTGTTCAATAGAAGTATAATGGGAGCCACAAGTAATTTTAAATTTTCTAGGAGCTACATTTTCAAAGTAGAAATAAACAAATGAAAGCAACTTTAATACATTTTAACCCAATCTATTCAGATGTTATCATTTCAATATGTAACCAATATAAAAATGATTCATGATAACTTTTACATGCTTCTATTAGTATTAAGTCTTTGAAATCCAGTACAGATTTTACACTTATGGCACTTCTCAATTCGAACTATCAACATTTCAAATAATAGCCACATGTGGCCAGGGGCTACCATACGGAACCTGAACTATGCAGGTCAAAATATTAGTGTGCTGATGGGAGTCCCTGTCCAGAGTTCTAAACCTAAAAATGCCATCTGTTTAGCTGATACACAGTCTTCCAAAGTGCTTCTCTGAACATTCCAAAGTCCTACCTAAAACCATCCCCAGAGTTGAGGGCCTACATTCTGCCCTGGGCCATGTAGATAGGGTGGGCTCAGTGTTTATGCTTTCAGAAAAGCCAGCAGTTATAGTTGTGACTCATGACGTGAGGGGAAAAGAAACATATATGAAATGTGATAATGATGCCAGCTTAGAACATGTGCCAGTTTTCAATACCCATGACAAGCCTATCATTCGCTGAATATTGGTAACAAATTATGTATTAGGTTGGTGCAAAAGTAATCATGTCAAAGACCACGATTACTTTTGCACCAACCTAATACATTGATGAATTAACAAGATTTTGGAGCCTAATGTTTATTTATCTTTGAGAAAGGACCAGAGCCATTTGCACACCCATGCATTTAGAAAAAGAAACTTAACAAGCTATCCAATAATATCTGCTGTGCATTTTCCTTCCAGAAAAATATTAGCTGTTCAATAGCCATATCATGGATGTCTAAAAAAAGAATTTGGCCTCTAAACCCATAAATATAATCTTATAAACATTGCATTGATATTCTAAAATAATATTTACTAGAAAAAAATAAAAATAAAAACATTAGGCCAGGCGCAGTGGCTCACACCTGTAATCCCAGCTCTTTGGGAGGGCGAGGCGGGCGGATCACAAGGTCAGGGGTTCAAGACCAGCCTGACCAAAATGAAGAAACCCCATCTCTACTAAAAATACAAAATTAGCCGGGCATGGTGGTGCATGCCTGCAACCCCAGCTACTCGGGAGGCTGAGACAGGAGAATCGTTTGAACCCAGAAGGCGGAGGTTGCGGTGAGCTGAGATCGAGCCATTGCACTCCAGCCTGGGCAACAAGAGTGAAACTCTGTCTCCAAAAAAAAAAAAAAAAAAACATTGAAAAATCTTGGTCAACAGAAATAAATATAGTTGGTTTTTATTCCATTAATCCAAATAACTTTTCCTTGACAAAGTGTGGTGTCAATTGTAATTGTGTTGATAAAATTTTCAAAATATTCCAGAGAAATTAATCGTGTAATCACTTTCAGAAATAAATACCATGGACTATTTTGGTGTGTGAGTGCTTCCTTTCAGAAGCTGGAGAAAATTATCTTGTTAAGGCATTCCACAATTTTAGTGGCAGCTAACCAAAGTAATAAGCTCTTAGGCAGGAAAGGAAAAACAGTTAATTTTAAGAGTTTAAGTTAATTCTATAAGGAGTCTACCACAAGCATGGTGGTGCTCTCCCTTTTATGGGCCTGTTATGAGGAGTTGGTCCTCTAAAAAATCTTACAGTGATTCTTCCATGACAGCTTCATGTATATTAGGGGCGGGTGGGAGCAGGGAATTCTAGGTATCCTAGTGGCCACGTTCACATGAGTGGTTTTGAAATGAAGAATGAGTGAAAGAAATATAAGTCTATAGAAAAGTATTCAGTGAATGTAGAAGAGAAATTAGGTAAGAGGTAACCTAATTAGGAAACCTAACATTTTGTTAAAAATACAAATTATGCTCAAGTAATCTTCCAGATACAGACTAAATAGAACCATCCAACAACGCCATGCTTCATGCAGAGTAGGGAAAATTCTTCTTTTGAATAGGCAATGGTCTGTTTTCTCTCCCTCTCTCCACCCATTTTGGGGCAACAGGGAGTTCTCTCTCTTCCAAAATATCTCCCTACCTTTTCCAGCAAGAAAATTCTTGAAAATACTGAATAATTCTTTTTCAAGTTAACCAATTCTCCTACCCCTTAAATCATTCACACCTTAATATGAATTGAGTTAATTGGGTGACTCTCCTCTGGGAAAGAGGAACCACAGAGTTCACTGGAAAAATTCGAGAAAGTAGATTTTTCTTTACTTAGGCAGTTTGCAGGAAGTAGGCCCTGATGGGACATCATTTCCTGCCATCTTGAAAAAAGCTGCACTCCAAAGGGTTCTGTTTCTCCCATGCATCATCCAAGAAAGTGGAAGCATAGCAAGCACTCCATACACAACTCACATTACTCACCAGTGAAACTCAAGTAACTATGTAAATGAAACAATGCATTCTCCAGGGCAGGTAAGAAATGTGTATGGCATTTTTATGGATGCTTACAAAACATCCCTAAGGACTAGTGAAATTGGTCCTTAGAATAAGAGGTAAATTCAGTTAATAGGTTTCATAAATACTCTCTTTTGCATGTATATATTTGAAAACACATGCATGAGCTCCATTCGGTAGTGAGCATGACAAAAGCACTTGGTTGAGCTGATTTTGTAATAACACCCTGCAGTTAGTTCCCTCATCTCAGCCCTTCCCTTTATTCACAGCATTAGCCATGCCTTACTGAGAGGATACTGCTAAGATAACTACCGGAGAATGACAGACTTGGTGCAATAGATCATGATGGTCTACTTGTTGGTCATCACCAAAGTGGAAAAGAGGCCATTCTTGTGGGCGAGCAAATTTGGGACAGTATCACACTCCACTAAAATACCCTCAGAAAAGACTAAAACAAGGCCTGCATCCATAATAGAAGAGACACGGTGCTGGAGAGAAAAATAGAAAAGAAGAGAATCAGCAGAAGGAAAAATGTCCAAGTGACTCATTAAAAAATAGTTTTTATTAAGCAGTAAGCCTAAATATGAGCAAGAATCCACTTGCAAAGAGGAAAAGGCAGAAAACTGTGGACTACTGTAAGTGAGCTATAACGTGAATTACAAATATTTAAGCACTTCTTCTATTTGATTGGTGCTATCTAAAATAGAAAAAATTACCTGACCCTACTGTGAGATATCTCATTGTCTATTTTTTAGTAGATTAATGAATGGAAACATAGAAATTAGGTATAGATAGTAGCAGAATAAGCAATCAAATTTAGGAATTTTCTTCCTGAAACTGCTCATCAGACCATCAGATTATAGAAAAGAGAATTATTTTATATGAACTACCATTTTATCTGGTGAACAAGCAGAGGCCATGACCTGCTGGAATCCTTAGATTTAGGATGTCCTATCATTCTAACTTAGGGAAGTCAGTTAGGTAGAGCAGACAGTTTGGAAAAGAACAATGCTTTCAAAACATCTTCGTATTTTTTTTCTTTTTTGCACAGATACAGAAACATTAGCAGAGAAATACATAATTCAACACAAGTATATTTTGCTAAAACCTAAAGATGATAACATGTTAGAACAAAAACCAAAGAGGTATACCAACTCCGTCTTCTCATACTTACAGCTATTGTCACCACGGTCCGGTCTGCAAAGGCTGTCATTACTACTTTTTGCAAAATATTCTCCTGCAAAAAAAAAAAAGTGTAAATTTTCTCGGGATTACTTTGTCATCATAATATTTTGCCCCAAGAACAATCAATATTCCACTGAATCCCTTGTGAGCATTCTCAATCCCTCATTTTCTGTGGAAGTCATAAGAAGGGGCAGTCCCCAGCAGCAGGTTCATGCTGGATTCTGTACGTGTCTTTAAAACACAAATGAAAGTCAGTCAGTGATCAGCCAGAAGTGGGTGATAGATTTATTTCCAGGAAATGCAAAGAAGAAAATGAAATTAAATGGGTATCAAAGTGCTCACTTGAGTTATACCACAAAAAGTATGTATTTGAAACCAGCAAAATTCTGTAATGATGTTAACCTTTGAGTCAAAAAAGGGAAAAACTAAAATTGATGCCAAAAATTTGGACTTTGACACATAAATGGACATTCTAGGCAGCAACTGTTTTTATCTCCACCACAAAGCACTGTTATAATTATATTTTAAAGGCTGTTCTGGGTACAGATTCCATCTCTGTCCTAGAGGAAATCTTGGTTCAATTTTTAAAGTGAAGGAGTTCTTTCTTTCAATCATTTAATTCATATTCTCTCTCTCTTCTCTGTTGAGGCAGTATTACCGTTATAATAACCCTCAATGTGTCCTTTCTGAAGTCAAATTTTAATATCAAGTTAACTTTCAGAAGAATATTAATTGCTAGCTCATATGCAGTTTGTGATTTAATGAAACATTTTCCCTACTCAATCACAGCCTTCTGGACAGATCTTTCTTGGACACATTTGACAATTTCAAATAATATCTTTCAAAAGGCAAAATTTATGGCTTTTTACCATAAACACATAGAGAAGACTGTTATTAATTCTAGCCATTGTTAATCCCAGTGAATCATTCTTCTTCAAATTGCTTTGGGAAATAATGAGTGGTGTTGGTTAGTAATAGATTCTATTAAACAGAGATTTTCGTACTGCATTTCAGAACTTTTCTGGCGTAGTACTTGAATATAGTACAGTACCTCTCATCAACTAAGCCCTGGAAATTTACTGTTCTGAAAATTTTTCAAAAAGTTGTGGCAAATTTATTTTATGTTGATTGGTGATAGGAATGCCTTTCAACCATATGTTGGGCCCTATTTATTGTAATTCTCAATGTGCTATCATCAGTTCATCCAGTAGATGATTGAGCAGATTCTCAAAACAATAGTACTGAGGATTCAGAACCCAATCAGGAAATAATAAATTGTAATTTTCATGCACATTTCTCCAATTCGTCAATTTTAAAAGCTTAGATAATGCACTCACTGTGGCCATGTCAATGGAAGCTGTTGCCTCATCCATAATAAGAATGCTGCTTTTGCGGACAAAGGCCCTGGCAAGGCAAAATAGCTGTCTCTGTCCAACGCTAAAATTCTCCCCACCTTCAGTGACAACCGCATCTAAATCAGAGAAAGAAGCAAGGATTTCACTAAAGAAATGCTACTAACATTTACCTTGGACAAAATCATGAAAAACACATTATGTTGTATGACAGCATGATGGATATCACTTAGTGCTGGTGCAAGGACTTCATACTGGAACACAAAGAGGAACTCCACTTTGGGAAAATGAAGATGTCCCTAAATTATCTCATTTATGACAATAGGTAGTGAATTACCTCTGATAGGAGGATATAAAACATTTGGAAGACAGAAAGATCTTGGAAATTATTTAATTATTTAATACAATTCTCTAAGGAGATTACTTAATATAATTACCTAAGGCCCAGAGAGCTGAAATGGCTTGCCCAAAGTCACATTTAGCTAATTTGATAAGATACAGAATATTCTCAACTCTAATTCCACTTCTCTTTTCATTATACCATCTTTCTGGACTGTAAGTACCAAGTGGATAAGGACCGGGTTTATTTTTTTTTTGTCAGAATGTCCCTAGTACTGCGGTATCTTACACAGGAGCTGAATAACACACTGTTGTATGGATAAATGAATATGTCCTCATTATCCTTTTCTTTTTTTTTGGTTTCCATCTACATTTCATAAACTGTACTATTGTGAGTTTAAGAAAAATTCTGTTTCCAAATGTCTTTTTTATTAGAATTCAAACACCTTTCCCTAATGTCCTGGGGAAAATTTCTATTGATTATATTCTAATGGTATCAAAGTCTTATAATTTGTCATGATGGGAAAATAGGTATTTATTCTCCAAATTCTGATTTACATATAAGAGGATGCTGGACATAAGGAATGTTTCCACCAAAGCTGGCCTGAACCAAATCTTCATTAAGCCCTGGTCATCTTTACTAAGATGATGAGCACCATATTCAGTCGGTTACATAATGTAAATACAATCCCCTGTGGCCTGTGCTGTACCATAACCCCAAAACACTATGCCCACAATCTAAACAGGTGCATGCAGCTCTCATGTTAATGAAGAGGACTAGAAAGATGCAACTGTCTTTCCAAATATTAATGGTGAGAGAGGGGATCTCTAAATGCCAAGAGAGAAAGTTCTATAAGCATGCATTAATTTCTCAAGTAGACTTGCTGGGCTTTCCACAGGAGACATCAAAAAACTATTATGGGAGCTAGGCATAGTGGGGCACCTATAGTCCCAGCTACTCAGGAGGCTGAGGTAGGAGGATCACTTGACCCCAGGGATTAGAGGGTGTAGTATGCGATAATCATGCCTGTGAATAGCCACTGCACTCAAGTCTGGGTAACATAGCGAGAACTTGTCTCAAAAAAAAAAAAAAAAAAAAAGAAAAAATCATTATGGAAAGTTCATCCAGAGTTCTGGAATTATTTTCACAACCTGACCCTGGCAAGTCAATAAAACATTCCTTAAAGACATGCTGTCTTAACTTTTGTTTGTGGCATACTCTCTCCTTGGAACTTAATTAAAATAATAAAATGTAGTATTTCTGAGTTGGCCCTGCTTTTCAAATAAACTAACAGATAAACATAATTTTATTTTGTAGGTTGACTTTTTAAAAACTAGATGCCAAACACCACAATTTGGCAACTATATATTGTATATTAAATTTAGAATATCAATAACTATTATCTTTCCTATTGCTTTCTTAGATGAGTTAAGATGTTAAGGAAGCAAAGTCAAAAATTATACATGTTCCTTTTAATGAGTTAAAGATAGTATGAACTCTCTGTGGTTTCAATAATCACATTCATGCTGTCATCATTTATTTGTCAGACATTGTACAACCCCTAGGACTGAATTTTTATCAGTGATTGAGTACATGTTGTGTTCTTTACACAAGTGTTTAAAATTGATACTGCCTCAAGGCAATACAAAACAATGTCTTCAAACACAAAGAAAATTATGTTATATAAATAAAAAGAATTTTCCCTCCTGGCAGCAGAGAAAATGGCTACTAATGGGGCAAAATTGCCTTTCCCTAAGTGGTGCCAAAGACTTAAACCTAACAGCTCCTGCAATCCTTCCACTCATTTCCTGATGGTAGGTGATCAGACAGGTCAACTGAGAAAGAGTAACTACAGGGAAACATCCATTACAATGACCTGTACCCACCAATTGTGAAAAGATGGCAGAGATAAATGTATTAATTGGAATATTTTGGAGTAGTCACATAGAACAGAATTTGTTATCGGGTTCACCCTCTTGTACCCCATGCAAAAACATTAGATTTTGAAATATTCTAATGACTTTTAGGATATTATTTTAAATATAAGGGGATTTAACACTAAAGTTATGTGATTATAGCATAAAACGTAGATAGACATATGTAGGATTAATGGCATATATAAAAAATAAATATGCTATTTAGGAAATATACCTAGACCTCCAGGTAGAGATTTGACCATATTCTTCAGCTGAGCAATTTCTAAGGCTTCCCAGAGTCTGTCATCTGTGCATTTGCACTCTGGATCTAAATTAAATCTGTAGGGAAAAATTAGTTAATTAGTCAATAAGTGAAAATATAGAAACTTTTATGTATATTTGCTTATTGCTTTTCTTTCCTTACAATGTAAGTTCCATTTGTTTTGGTTACTGCTGTATATTCAGCACCTAGAACAGTGCCCAGAGCAGTGCAAGCACTGAATTCATGCTTGATGAATGAATGCATGATCTTAATAGTATAAAAAATTGTCTTGATATCATTATAAAACTTTGTATACATTATATCATATTATCAAGTTTGTTACCTAGCTCCATTGGCTCCAAACTATGCTTAGTATAACCCAAATAGTATCTAGCAAAATATTCCTGCAGGACTGATGCTACATACATACATCTCTATGGGAGCATATTACACTATTTTAGATCAGCTGTGCTGCCATCACCAACAATAGTAGTGTACTGGTCCATTCTCATGCTGCTATAAGGACATACCCGAGACTGGGTAATTTATAAAGAAAGAGGTTTAATTGACTTGCAGTTCTGCAGGGCTGGGGAGGTCTCAGGAAACTTACAATCATGGTAGAAGGGGAAGCAAACATGTCCTTCTTCACATGGTGGCAGGAGAGAGAAGTATTAAGCAAAGTGGGAAAAGCCCCTTATAAAACCATCAGATCTCATGAGAACTCACTCACTATTATGAGAACAGCATGGGGGTAACCGCCCCCATGATTCAATTACCTCCTACTGGGTCCCTCCCATGACACTTGAGGATTATGGCAACTACAATTCAAGATGAGGTTTTGGTGGGGACATAGCCAAACCATATCAAGTAGTATTCATAATAAATATATTTGGAGATATAAATTCACTATGGTATTGCTAAATTACTTGACACATCCAGAAGTTTTAAAGTAGTTTTACAACTAAATACTAGGCAATCTTACATACATTTTTTCTTTACAATAAAGAGTAATTAGTAAAAGGAGGTGGCAAACACTTCTTTGTAATTAAGTAGATGGAGGTTAGGAGCAAAATAGAACAAAATATGGTCAAATGAGAGATGTGATCTGGGGGATGATGCTGATATCATTTTGCTCTGTGTTCCCACCCAAATCTCATCTCGAATTGTAATCCTCACGTGTCCAGGGAGGGACCTGGTGGGAGCTGATTAGATCACTGGGGCAGTTTCCCCCATGCTGTTCTCATGATAGAGAGTGAGTTTTTATGAGATTCGATGGTTTTAAAGTGTGGCAGTTCCCCCTTCACTCTCCCTCTTTCCTGGCACCATGAGAAGATGTGCCTTGCTTCCCCTTTGCCTTCCGCCATGATTGTAAGTTTCCTGAGGCCTCCCCAGCCATGAAGAGCTGGGAGTCAATTAAACCTCTTTCTTTTATAAATTACCTAGTCTCAGATCATTCTTTACAACAGTGTGAAAACAGACTAATACAGATGCCAACATGGACTTTGGAATCAGGCAAACTTCAGTTGGAATAGCAGTTCTTCCACTTACTAGGTGTACAAACTTGGTTTAAGTTACAGCTTCTTTGAGTTTCAAAACCCTCATCTATAAAATGGAGATAATAAATATCTACCCTAGAGTAACGGTTTGAGAATTTAATCAGATAATATATTTAAAGCACCTAGCAGATGGTTGATATCCCCCCCGCCCTTTTTTTTTTGGTGGGAAACCCTGAACCAGGTATGAAGACTGTAGCAGCTTTATTCATAGCAATTTTGGCTGAAGTAAAGTTGTAAGGGGTGGAGGGATAGATAAAGGGATTAACCAAAGTCAGAATATCTGCTGAGGTCAGGCCAGACACACAAGTTAGACTGGATATCTGTAAGATGGAACACCTTAGAAATGTCTGCCAAGCATCACCGTTCTCAAGTATAGTGGAAAAAGTGGCTTTTATAGAATCAAACTGAAAGGGATGAAGATCTCCTGGAAACATAATTTTATAGGTTAATTTACAACTCTAGGCTTTTCCAATCCAAATTGTTGGATGGTATATTTGATTTTATTGCCTTGATATCAGTTCACTCATACCTGAAAAATGACTCTGAGTAAAACCTTTCTATGAGTCAAAGGCTAAATCCTAAGGCATACAGGTGTTGCTAAATATGTTACCTACCTAATGGAACCACTGAATAGTATTGGATCCTGCAGAATGATTGAAAGTCTAGAACGTAGTGTGTGCAGTGGTAATTTGGAAATGTCTATCCCATCAATGACAATTTTTCCTGTTAAGGAGAAACAGAAGTTACACACACATAGTAAAATCACAAGTAAAATAATATTTGTTTACAAATTGAAAGTTATTTCTTAGTTAGGGGTTGAAATTCAGGAGACCCACTTTTCCATTTAAGCATGTGGTGATTCCTCAAGTATCTAGAACTAGAAACACCGTTTGACTCAGCAATCCCATTACTGGGTATATACCCAAAGGATTATAAATCATTCTACTTTAAAGACACATGCACACTTATGTTTATGGCAGCACTGTTCACAATAGCAAAGACTTGGAACCAACCCAAATGCCCATCAATGATAGAGTGGATAAAGAAAATATGGCACATATACACCATGGAATACTATGCAGCCATCGAAAAGGATGAGCTAATGTCCTTTGCAGGGAAATGGATGAAGCTGGAAACCATCATTCTCAGCAAACTAACACAGGAACAGAAAACCAAATACTGCATGTTCTCACTCATAAGTGGGAGTTGAACAATGAGAACACATGGACACAGGTTGGGGAACATCACACACTGGGGCCTCTCGAGGGGTAGGGGGTTAGGGGAGGGATAGCATTAGGAGAAATACCTAATGTAGATGATGGGTTGATGGGTGCAGCAAACCACCATGGCACATGTATACCTATGTAACAAACCTGCATGTTCTGCACATGTACCCCAGAACTTAAAGTATAATAAAAAAAAATCTTGTGTCTCTAAAAAATATACATATTTGGTGGTGATTTTTCTTTCTTATATATTTCTCCTAAGGGAATTCAGAGTTTTTATTCTGTTTATGTGATCATACCAACCAAAAAGTATTTTTATCCCTTACTGAGTACTTTTCCTTCTAGTATTCCCTTTATCCTCCTCACTTTATTTCTCTCTATGGGATTTATCAGAATCTGATATTCTACACACTTTTACTTATCTTTTTTTATTGTCTGTTCCCCAACTAGAATACAAGCTCTTTAAAAACCAGGATCTTTGTCATTCACTCCTGTATTGATTTAATAATACAATGCATTACAAATAGAGAAGTAAATTCTGTGATATGACTATCAAGTTTTAATAAATTTCTCCATACTGCATATGGACTTATAGAGGTTTGTGCAGTGTTGATGTTGTTTCTCCACCATGATATATGCAGTTAATCCTATCACTTTTGTGCAGAGACCATATTGCCCTGTGAGATAAGATGTCAGGCTCAGAATGGCAGCTGCAGTCCTTTTACCAGATAGATTTAGAGCAGGCAAGGGTGATTAGCTTAACCTATGTCTTTCAGGAATAATAGATCAGAAATAATAAATTATGAATTAAAATCTTAATAGCCTATGGCTATTAAAAAGAGAATAAATCATTGATAGTTCACATGGGACCTGAAATCATGTGTCTGAACTCATAAGGATCAGGCTAACCTAACATGATCAGTCATAAACATAGTGTTTTAATGAAAAATGTCAGTTGATTTTTGATCACTTAATTGCCTTATAACTTTAATCCCACTGAAAGTCCTTAAAGTATCTGTGCATTATTACTAGCCATGGAAAAAATAAGCTGCTAACTTAGTGACAGAAGTTTACCTTGTTCCTGAATCTGAACCCCAAAAAAACTATATTTACTATAGTTCCATGTTGTTGTTCATAAACTGACCTCTTTATCTCACAGAGCTGTTGTGTAGATTAAATTCAATAATATAAACTGTCAAGTACAATAAACATGCAAAGTACTATAGTCATCGTAATCATTACAGATAATAATAGTAAGCACTCCTTGTACTGTCAAGTACAATAAGTTCGGTCAAATTCATTGCTGGATCCTCTTTCATTCAAGATACTTTATGTGCTGGCCTATTTATAGGCCACTTGATAGACTAAATGTGACTTTTTTTAAAAAAAGATTAAGTTATTTCTACGCTCTTGTGTATCATATTATTAATACTATGGTGGATGAATGTGTATGTTTTGTGTATGTTGTTACCATGAGCTTTATCACTTTGCAGCAAAGGTTGCCTCCTCACAAAACGTTCAATGTCATTAAGCAATGTTATTAAGCAGATGATGGTAAGAGTCATGTACCAAAATTTAAAATGCAGATTACTTACCTCCTTGTACTTTTTTCCTTTGTTGGAAAGAGACATACATTTAGTCTAAAGGAAGCAAGGCAGTTGTCCTCCCTCTTTCTTTCTCTTGAAATTCCACCTCCACCTACTGCTATTCAAAGTGGGTGGCCTTGTTTTCATTTTACAAGTTTATTAAAATGCTTTAGCAATAATGTATAGACATGAGTTTAAGGCTCATCATTTTATTTCCCCAATTCTATGTCTTTTATTTACTTTTGAGCTGTTTATTTGGGATATCTGCCTTGAACCATGTGTAGAGCACAAAGTCCTTATAAATATTTGCTTTTGATTTCTGCAGGATTAGGTAAATTGATGTTTTTTTAAAGGAAAGCACCAAGTGGCCACTTAAAAAATTTAGTTAGCAACTCACCATCAAATATATCAACCATTCTGAAGAAAGCCAGAGATAACGATGATTTCCCACTGCCAGTGCGACCACATATGCCCACCTAGGAAAACAGCTGTCACTCAAAGAGAAGAGGACTCAGAAAAGGACAGAAGATTAGCTTAAGTTTTGTTTTTTAACTTAAGATATTATGATAAAACTGTAATTATGTTTAAATAATTACATTATAGTTATCATTTTTTCTTAGATCTACATTATGAATTATTCTCAAGATAAAAACAGGCTGGGCACAATGGCTCACACCTGTAAACCCAACACTTTGGGAGGCTGAGGCGGGTAGGTCACTTGAGGCCAGGAGTTTGAGACCAGCCTGGGCAATATTGCAAAAACCTGTCTCTACAAAAAATACACAAATTAGCTGGATGTGGTGGTGTGTGCCTGTAGTCCCAGCTACTCAGAAGGCTCAAGTGGGAGGATGGCTGGAGCCCAGGAGGTCGAGGCTGCAGTGAGCCGTGATCACACCACTGCACTCCACCCTTGGTGAAAGAACAAGACCCTGTCTCAAAAAATAAAAAATAAAAATATAAAAACAGTTCTCACCAAATCTTCAATGATTTCATTCTATTTATTTTTATTTTCATGTGATTGCCTTGTTTTTTCTTCATGGTTTTTTTTTTTTTTTGCATTTAGTATATTGTTGGACTAACAAATAATTATTCCATGTTATCTAAGAAGTGATAGTTTTATAACAAAAAGTAGAATGATTCCATTTTCTTCTGCCCACTTGTTCTTTTTACAATAACTAAAAGAAGTCATTTGGGGACTAGAGTTATTATGAATGCAAAGATTCCCAAGGGGATGGCTATTATGGCCAGGAGTCAGAAGACAGAAATTTTTAAAAACATGCCTATTGTTGACTTTTCTGATCTCCATGGGAGACTAGTGAATTACAATATGACTTGGAGAACATGTACTGTAGTCTGATCCTATCTCTCCCTTTTTTCTTTTATGCAGATAATTTGACCTACATCAGGTAGGGAATATACTTACTTGGCTGGGAAGTATGAAGAGCTTAGGTAGTAAAAAAGCAGACTCCCTCAGAGGTTTTATGTATACAACATATCAAATGCAGTGATTTCATACCTTTTGTCCAGGTTTGATGTAAGCCTTGACGTGCTTAAGAACAGGTTTCAGATTATTTTCATATCTGACACACAGATCATGTATCTTGATCTCCCCTTCTTGTGGCCAATGTTCTGGAACTTGAGAAGGATCTGGAGGATGGGATGGGGAAATAGACAGATAATAGGCAGATAGAGATTGATGTAGAAAGAAATGTATACATACTTAAATACATTTATACATATATATATATTTTTCTAAATTTAAAGTAATACTGAACCAAACTATGTGGCAGTTTTTTTTTTTTTTTTTTTTTTTTTTTTTTTTTTTTTTTTTTTTAGTTTAAATCACATTCAAATAAACACCTTTTGATTACGCACTTTTAAGACAGTTTTTTTCGTGTTTGTTTTTGGAGCCTTAACCATCATCATCTCTCCTTAGCATTCCGTCACTCAATTCTATTCAAAGTGGACAGAGATAGTTCATTTCTGAATTGATTTATTTGTTCAGTCAGTTGGTCATTAAACACTTAGGTGCTTTAAATGTGAGAGGTGCTGTACAAGGTGCTGGGAATATGGAGACGAAAGACACAGCTCAAGGTGCTTTCTGTGTCCTTGGGGAATTGTCCAGTAGGTCAGCACCTACAGTACTACATGGAGGCCCCATGATGAAGGCAAACCTACGGTGCTCTGGGAGCATGGATGGTGCTAACCTTGGAGGTCCAGGAGGGCTCCAAGAGGAAACAGTGCCTGAGATGAATTTTAAAGGATGGGAGATGGGGAAATTTATTTTAAATATATGTACATAGGAGAATAAAGAGGAAAAGAAAGCCTAGCATGTTAGTGTGGCCAGAGTAAAAGTGGTGCAGGTGGATGACAAGAAATGAGACATGAAAGATGGGCAAGGGTTGGCTAATGAAGGGGCTCATGGTCTTAGCTAAGTTTTCTGGATTTTGTCCTTGAAGAACTAGATGACTGTTGAAAAATTTAGGTAAAGGAATGCCTTTTAAGCTTGGAGATATGCATTTAATGAAGATTATTCTGTCCTCAGTATTGAATTTCCTGACAGTATTATCCTAGCAAAGTTGGGAATCTCAGTCCGTATTTTAAGATCCAAATTTCTTGACATCTAAGTTAATAACGTCTTGAGAAAGGGAATATAGTAGTTTATAGTTTAGGTCAGCAATTAATGTAATAAATCCCAAATATTTTCTCTTTAAATGTCATTAAATAAATATCTGTTTGGACTCTGGTTTTATCCAAGACTTTTCAGGCCTAAATAGTCACATCTTTTCCGGTGTACATAATCAAGCAAAGCCAAGATATGAGAGAGTTTTCTGGATACTGAAGTGGAAAGCAAAAGCAGAAACAACAATGTGCCCAACAAACACTAATATTTGTTTAAAATAAATATTTAAGTGAGACAAACAATATTTAGAGCAATACCCATTGTGCCTTCATAGTTCTCTGACTCCATAGTCAGGAAACTGTTCACCTTCTTCACTGCACCCATCTGGACCTCCAGGTCAGCCAAGTTCCTCACAACCCAATTCAAATAATTGGTTATCTGTGTCAGGTGATTAAAAAAATTGTTTTAAATAAATTAAAGTAAGAAGTTGTGGTTAATCACCGGAAATTTTGGAACGAGATAACTTGGACCATTAGTGTACATGTGTGATACAACTCATAAGTGCTACAGAATATTAGAGACCAAGGAGAATGTCATGCGATATATCAGCAAAGAAGGTGTCTGGTTCCTTCAAGGGTCCATAACTGTCACTATTTTGTGAACTGTCCTGATTTCCCTGCATGATGGATAGTGGTATACTCTTCTGTTTGCACTTATCTCATGTATATTCACATTCATTGTAGGCTAGTCCCCAGCTGGGTTGTGTACAACTCAGGACACGGATCCCAAACAGCTTGGAGAGTACTCTGACCACAAGATCTGAGAAGTTCTTAAAAATTGGTTCACAATGCTAGAAGTGAATCCAAACTGTCCCATAAAGCTGGGTTTGGGCCCCAATCTACTATTATTTGCAAGATGTAATCTTGTTATGAATTTAAACCTTTCCTCTAACGTCCATGAATAAGAGTTGGTAATAACTGTAGTAGACCCTCCAACACTGCACAAAATGAGATTTTTTTCCCTTTATTTCTTCTAAAAAAAATGGATACATACGCAGAACATGCAGGTTTGTTACATAGGTATACGTGTGCCATGATGGTTTGCTGCACCTATTGACCCACCCTCTAAGTTCCCTCCCCTCACCCCCACCCCCCAATAGGCCCTGGTATGTGTAATTCCCCTCTCTGTGCTCATGTGTTCTCAACATTCAATTCCCATTTATGAGTGAGAACATGCGGTGTTTGGTTATCTGTTCCTGTAATATTTTTATCCATACCTACCGTAAGTGCATACAGAAGACCCAAGCCTACCAATCCAGAATTCGAAGACCCACTAATGGATGCTATAGATGCAGTGAGGACAATGCAAGCTCCCAGATAATCCTTTGAAAAAGCAAGAGAAAATGTTAAAAGGTTACTCCCAAGTTCTTAAACCAAGTTCAATCAATTTACAGAGGTGATCACTAAGAGAATACACATCATTCCATGTGTGTCCTGTTAAGTTTCAGAGGAAGAATACCTAAGATGTAGAAGAATAATAGCTTGCAATATTAGAGCTGGAATGGAGAGTGAGTCCATGCTCTCACTATATATATCTATATCTATATCTATATCTATCTATATATATATCTATATATAACTATATAGATATATATATATGTGTGTGTGTGTGTGTGTGTGTGTGTGTGTGTGTGATATGGGTTCAGAGAAGTTACACATCTTGCCAGAAGTTAAGCTACAATTGGTGGCACAACAAGGATCAGATGTAGGGTTTACTTTTTTTTTTTTTTTTTTTCCGACTTTCTACTGCATTATGTTGCCAGACAAGCAGTTATTTTTGGACCCGGTTTTCTAGCTCAGATTTCATGTGTGCTTATGTCAGGATTATGATTAGCTCCTTTGTGTTGTGTAGTGAGGCCCTTGCAGAAATTTGTCTGTGGTTAACTTGTTGGGATTTGTATTAGGTTGATGCAACAGTAATAGCAAAACCCACAATTACTTTGGCTCCAACCTACTATTTGAACTTTTTGTCAACTACCTGGCTCAGAGTCTGGGACACTAAACCTACAGATTTCATGTAAATAAGAATAAGCACTATGCTTGCTCAGACAATACAAGTATGGACATGTCTTAATGTATTTAAATAGTGTATGATTCAATTATAAACTCTTTTCCAAAATTAAAACAATTCTTTAATAACAGCCATAGATTCAAATAAAAGATGGGAACATCTGTCCATTTCCTAACGCTTTCTTTTTATCTCATTTCCCAGCGTTCTTAGGTATTGTTCTGTCTCATCATTCAAAAAAGAAATTCTAAAAACTTCTCATGTTAATGTGTCACACATCCCCAAAGCAGGTAGAATTTCAGATATGCTCACTTTCTAGAATTATCTCAAGTCTCATTCCACTGATAAACTCCTTCTCTAGATAGATTTGTCTCTGGTGCCTCAAAAAAAATCTCACAACTAGATGATAACACATTAATGACAGTAATGGAATGTTGAACATGCTGAAGTCAAAGAATGAAGATGTTTCTCAAATGACCTCACATGTGTACATTCCTGTCTCTTTTAAAAACAGCTCGAAAGATCAAACTGTTGGAGAACAACCAATGATCCCAGCCTTGGAAACAAAATCTGGGTTCAGACACTGACCTTGCCCGTTACTAGTTAATGAGCTCAGACAAGCAACTTAAAACCCTCTGAGACTCAATTTCTTCCTTGAAAAATAGAAATGATGTTTAATTCACAAGGATTTTTAAAGGAATAAAAATGTTAAATACCAGTTAGATTTCTCCATCTCCACATACCAGAATGTCTTTTTTTTTCCCTTTGGATAATTTTCAGATGTTTAAAGCAAACTTAAAAATGTGTATGCATCATAAAACATCAAAGGTTAAAGCAGGCACTAAAATTTAATTCCATATTGATGCTCATGATCTTTACAAAGATTAAAGGAAAAAAAATCACATAGAGTTAATCCTTTGAGGCAATAAATTCCACAGAGGTAGTAAATACTTTTTTGATTGCCTCTTCTGATGTATCCTTTTGTTAACAACTTGCCACACCCCTACTAGACTGTTCTTTCTCTTTTCCTCTTTATTTGAATTAACTACATGGATGCAGAGAATAACCAGTCTGGGCTGTTCTTCTGCAGTTTATACATGCCAAAGTGCTCCCAAATACTTCTAAAATATTTACAGCAATATGAATTTTTTCCTTTCAGCCAGTTTGTGTAAAGTTAATACTTTCAAATTTATGTTATACATTTGGATTTCCATATTATTTTTTCTAAAAGTCTCATAGAGTTTCTGTAATAAGTTGCAGAAAGTAAATTAGTACCAGAAAATCCTTCCAGCAAGGTATGTCTGGCTTGACATTAAAAAAAATATGTCATCTGGCTTCTGAGAAATTTCTGTGAGTGGTGTATATGTTAAGAGTTTGAGGCAAGGTACTTCTTTCATTAACTTCTATTCTCTACCTCCTGCCAGCTGACTTCATCCATCCATTCATACATTCTTTAAAAAATGTAAGTCAGGTCATATCACTCCCCTGTTTAGAATTAACAGTGCCTTCCTATTATACTTACAATACATTCAAACTCAGATGGGTGACAAAGCCTTATATATATAGCCTATATATATATATAAAACCTTATATATAGGCTCTCATCTATATATATAGCCTTATCCAGACTATATGTCTGGATTTTGTACCCTGTCTACTCTGACCTCATCTGAGATTACTTTCCTGCTCCTTCACTGTACTCCAACCACACTAGCCTTTTTCCTATTCTTGGGAATACATCAACTTTGTTTCTGCCAGTGACTGCCTGAAATGCTTGTCGGTAGGTCTCTGATACCTGGCTCCTTCCCATCATTTGAGGTTCAACTCAAACATCACCTCCTTGGAAAAGTCTTCCTTTCTTGGTTCCTAACTCCAGCCCTGTGGCTCTTCTCTTTCCCATTGTCCTGTTTTATTTTCCTCAAAGCACTCCGAAGTGTATGAAATTATCTTATTTGCTTATTTGTTTACATGGTTATTGTCTATCTACTCTCATTAGAATCTACGTTCCATGAGGACAGGGTCTTTGAATTTTTACCATTATTATCTCCAGCAATAGGAATAATGCTAAATACATTGATTGTAAAGCTTCAGTACTTGTTTGTGGAGTAAATGACTAGATAAATTCACCCCTTCATAAAACATTCACTGAGTTTTTCTATGAGCTGACTATTTTCCAACTTAGGACTTCTCCCGACTTTTCTTTTAGGATTTGTATGAATCATTTAAGTCTCTACCAATCTCATTTCCAGATTTTAAGAGCTGAACATGTAAAGATACTACAAGCATACATTTTTTGATAAAGTGGGAAGTCCAACACCGAGTTTTATAATCTTTTAACTCCCATGTCCATTTAGAACTGTAATATGACTGTCTCTTAAAAAGCTTTGCTATGTTTAAGTGTTATGAGTTATTTCCTTTTCTAAAGTGAAAAGTACTTTTACCTAAGCCATGAATTTCATCATTCAGTTCCAAATTATTATATATATGTATATATTTTACTATTTTAATTGTGGGAAAAAAACTCACAAAATGCTGTTGCTGTGTTTTTTATAAAGAACAGATTTGGACAAAATAGAACAAGGTCATAGCTGACTGAAATATCAAAAATCACTGGGTCTAAATAAATGGAAATTAAACAGTAGGAGTAATATGAATATAAATATAATAAAGGAAATGTAAAACATTATGCAGTCAATTTCTCGCTATTGAGTTTAGTTTACTATGGAAATCTTTGTATTCTATATTGGGCTCCTGAATTCACCCACTGTAAAGAATGACATGGTAGATTTGATTAGAAGATAATTTAAACTATTTTCCATTGAATTAAAATGATAATTCTGGTAACAGGTAGGTAGTCTTATTCTGGCAAAAGGGCCAGCAAAAGAAGTGAAAACAGATGATGGGAGAAAAAGGAGAAGACTCATCAATAAGTTGTAGTCAATATATATTTTCTGGGCCCCTTTCACGTGGTTAATGTTTTCAAAACTACTTGTATAATTTTCAATATGATCACTAGATATTATTAGTTATTAGGCCAGCAATCCAAATATGCTCAAATTCATATATTAAAATGTTTTAGAAATATTATTTTTGACCCGGTCTTCAGCAAAAGAAAGGCATAGCTTTTTGAGGTACATTTTATAGCAAAAATTTTCAGAAGAGGAACTGATTTTCAAAATCTACAATCAACTAAATTCAAATAGATATTATAGCTTGAAAGCCAATATATCTGTAGTTTAGTATGTATAACAAAGTTATTTTATTATAAAAATATTTTTAAACTTTCTTTTTAAAGAAAAAGTCATTCAGGCTGTCTTTTAATTTTACTAACTAGATACTTTCCAGCTCACTGCTGGATTACTACCACTGCTAAAAACTGTTTTTTTTTTTTCTAAAGTACTGGAAATATTTTAGAGACTACTGATCAGAATTTTATCTTGATTTGCATAAGGGATGAAGCTCCTTTGTGTACTACACTTTTCAAAAAATATTCAGCAAAATCACTAAATTTCAATCACTTCTCTTCAAATATTACAGTAGTATAGAAATGTGAAATTAATAGCTAACATAAAAGCTTTTGTGGCCAGGTGCAGTGGCTCATTCCTGTAATCCCAGCACTTTGGGAGGTCAAGGCGGTCAGATCACGAGGTCAGGAGATCGAGACCATCCTGGCTAACACAGTGAAACCCCATCTCTACACAAAAATTAGCTGGGTGTGATGGCAGGCACCTGTAGTCCCAGCTATTCGGGAGGCTGAGGCAGAAGAATCACTTGAACCCGGGAGGCAGAGGTTGCAGTAAGCTGAGATCATGCCACTGCACTCTAGCCTGGGCGACAGAGTGAGACTCCGTCTCAAAAAAAAAAAAAAAAAAAGCTTTTGTTAGGTCTCCGATGTTCACTTCTTTTACTGTTAAACTTAACAAGTTTAATGATTCACAAAGTGACCCTACGGTTACATCTTTCCATTCCTTTGCAAATACGTGAGAAGCAAATGGCTTAGAGGCAATAAACTAAGAAAGGAGAAGCAGATGGTCTGCATAACTTTCACAGAAGACAGCTAATACTTGGGGATCACTAATAGCATTTATTCTACTGCTATAGCCTTACACATCCTAAGCAATCTACTCAGTGAAAACCACCTTCCATCCAAATGATACAATGAAATGGGAGACTCAACTTAGGAAACAGAAGTTACAACACAGATGAATTATCTACATTCAAAAGAGGGCTTTTATCTGTAGAATAGTAAATTACAGCTTCCATCAATTCTGTGAATTCAATACTCCCCACCAGAAGATTCCCATGTCGAAAGAGAGGTCTCTTTTCAGATTTCTAGTGATTCAAAGACATCTATCTATATTTGGAATTATAATGAAAACTGTAATTCTCTATAAGGCAGCCTTGTAAATAGTTAATAGCAACCCAAAAGTATGTGATCCCTCTCCTTCATATAGCACTCAGGAGCACATTATTGTACCACTGGGTATCTGCAAGAATATATTAGGGCCTTCAAATTACGAGATCACTGCATCCCTGTCTGTCGTTGAATTGTGAACACACAAAAAAGCAGTGTTGTCTCACAAAATAGACTCTTGTGCAAGCTCACCCTAAAGACCATTTTCACTTTAGCCTGTTGACTCTAAAGTATTTATTTTTGGCTTCTTCATGTGAATTTTCTTTTATCCTTCCACCACACAGCAAGACAAAGCCTTGGAAAGACAGCCTTTAGATAAAGTTACACCATTTTTGCAACTGAAAACACCAATGCCAAAGAACTGGAATTGTTTAGTCCAAAGGGATGAAGAGAAAAGACTGTGCTGAACGAGAGGACGCAAGCAGCAATCAGAGGTTAGGCTGTAGTGACACATTGCACTCAACCGCGGCCGGCTTCACTTGGCACCCAGAGGAAAAACAGTCCGCTCTGCTGCCAAAGCAAGTCCGGTGGCCAGCCACAGTCTAGCCGCTTTCTACCAGCCAAATTATTTTATTCTTTTAGTCTCTTGTCCTTTTATGATTTGAGTGTGTTATGGCCTTTATTTTTTTCCCAATTCAAAATGAATATGATATGAATATGGTGGGCAAGGCTAGATCTTCCATAGGGAAAACTATCTGTGTAGACAAAGAGGAAAAATCATGATTGTCTTAACTCTTATTTAACATGACTTGGAAAAGAAAAGAAAGCGCTGTATTTTTTTAAAAACATAAACAATTATTTTGAGATACGTTCCATTGATATCTAGTTTTTTGAGCGTTTTTAGCATGAAGGGGTGTTGAATTTTATCGAAGGCCTTTTCTGCATCTATTAAGATAATCATGTGGTTTTTGTCATTGGTTCTGTTGATGTGATGGATTACGTTTATTGATTTGCGTATGTTGAACCAGCTTTGCATCCCAGGGATGATGCCGACTTGATCGTGGTGGATAAGCTTTTTGATGTGTTGCTGGATTCAGTTTGCCAGTATTTTATGGAGGATTTTTGCAATGATGTTCATCAGGGATATTGGTCTGAAATTTTCCTTTTCTGTTGTGTCTCTACTAGGTTTTGGCATCAGGATGATGCTGGCCTCATAAAATGAGTTAGGGAGGAGTCCCTCTTTTTCAATTGTTTGGAATAGTTTCAGAAGGAATGATACCAGCATCTCTTTGTACCTCCAGTAGAATTTGGCTGTGAATCCATCTGGTCCTGGGCTTTTTTTGGTTGGTAGGCTACTAATTATTGCCTCAATTTCAGAACTTGTTATTGGTCTATTCAGGGATTCGACTTCTTCCTAGTTTAGTCTTGGGAGGGTGTGTGTGTCCAGAAATTTATTCATTTCTTCTAGATTTTCTAGTTTATTTGCATAGAGGTGTTTATTGCATTTTCTGATGGTAGTTTGTATTGATGTGGGATTAGTGGTGATATCCCCTTTATCATTTTTTATTGCATGTATTTGATTCTTTTCTCTTTTCTTCTTTATTAGTCTGGCTAGCAGTCAGACTATTTTGTTGATCTTTTTTGTTGATCTTTTTTGTTGATCTATTTTGTTGATCTTTTCAAAAAACCAGCTTCTGGATTCACTGATTTTTTGAAGGGTTTTTCATGTCTCTATCTCAACATATGAAAAAAAGCTCATCATCACTGGTCATTACAGAAATGCAAATCAAAACCACAATGAGATACCATCTTATGCCAGTTAGAATGGCAATCATTAAAAAGTCAGGAAACAACAGATGCTAGAGACGATGTGGAGAAATAGGAACGCTTTTACACTGTTAGTGGGAGGGTAAATTAGTTCAACCATTGTGGAAGACAGTGTGGCCATTCCTCAAGGATCTAGAACCAGAAATACCATTTGACCCAGCAATCCCATTACTGGGTATATACTCAAAGGATTATAAATCATTCTACTATAACGATACATGCACATATATGTTTATTGCAGCACTGCTCACAATAGCAGAGACTTGGAACCAACCCAAATGCCCATCAATGATAGACTGGATAAAGAAAACATGGCACATATACACCATGGAATACTATGCAACCATAAAATAGGATGAGTTTATGTCCTTTGTAGGGACATGGATGAAGCTGGAAACCATCATCCTCAGCAAACTAACACAGGAACAGAAAACCAAACATCGCATGTTCTCACTCATAAGTGGGAGTTAGACAATGAGAACACATGGACACAGGGAGGGGAACATTATACATTGGGATCTGTCCGGGGGTGGGGGGCTAGGGGAGGGATAGCATTAGGAGAAATACCCAATGTGGATCACGGGTTGATGGGTGCAGCAAACCACCATGGCATGCGTATACCTATGTTACAAACATGCATGTTCTGCGTATGTATCCCAGAACTTAAAGTATAATTTAAAAAAAAAGATAAACAAAAATTGGATGAGGTTCGGAGAACGTCCCAAATTCAACAAAAGGCGTTTCTACTCTGGTTTCTCTCTCTTCTTTCTTGAGATTTTCTGTCAATAGCAGTGACATGGCTTTGGAAAGTTAAAACTAGGCATAAAGAGGAAGGGAGGGGAAAGATAGCCACAGAAAGCAATGATATCATGTTTTCTCCCATTTCCATTATGGCTCTGAGTCCATGAATTAGAGTTGGTGAAATCTGTGTGAAGAAATCCTGCTTGCCTCTTCTAATTTATGTCCAATGAAGTGACCTTCTTTATATCATTTTGGTTGCATTCCTGCTCTGGGAACTCTAAGAATATTTGCTAGAAGCAGATATTTATGTGAACTTACTGAGTAATACAACAAAGAGGGGGTTGTGTTGATACCATAGATAAGATCAATGCAGATGTACTGGGCCAATTAGAAATTTTCATTACTTTAAAAAAAAAAAGACTTACAAGGCAGAATACAGAATATATCCAGCTGTGGGGTGTAGAGAACAGTTCACACCCTAGTCTCCAAGGTACTATATCTCAACTTCATTTTTCTCACGCAAGATCCAGTTATTCCAAACTAAAATTCTGTCTCCAGTGATGTGGACATGCCCACAGAAACACAGTAGTAATGAGGTCATTTATATGTGCACAATTGAGAGAAAAGGTTATTTCCCAGGAGAAGTCATTTACCTTATTTAACACTCCTACTGTGGCATATGTTCTTGGATTATAGTATTTATATTTAAATACACCTGGTTCCAATGAAAACTCTCAGTTCACTCAGAAGAGCAGAGCGACAGTGAATCTGACTGGTCTCACAATGGATCTCTGAGATTGTCTAGAGGGGTGTGCATGTGTGCGTGTGTACACGTGTTTATCCATATAAAGTTACTGACATATAAATACAATGGATGGAGGCAAAGCATACACAAAGGACCTTGAACCTTGACTTCTGTCAGCAGATATGCCTGGAACCTTGCAATAAATCAACAAACGTTTCTTGCCAAAATATATCTTTGCCCATCGGAAATGAAAATAAAATACTCCTTAATATTTTGTATTAATTTTTAAGGGAGAGTTCTAGTAATAAGACTAGATTGCAAATCTTGGAAGGATTCTAATACACAGAAAGCAAGGAGAAGACATAGTAACAAATGCATTACAAAGTAACCAAATGAATGGCCTGTTCTGCCCTTCCTGTTTCAGGTGTCAGTATTTTGTTTTTTGCAGGTGGAATTCAAGATACAGAGTCTATTATATTTAGACAGGTTCAACTGCTTTTTCACGTGGGGGTTAAAGTATTGGGTTATGAGACAAACTAAACTAAACAATTTTGAGTTTGGCTGCTGTTCCTTTCTAATTTTTCCTGACCTTCCCTTTCTTGGCAGTCTTAAGGCTCTAATATCTTGTCTTCTGGCTATGAGAACAGAGCATATGGTTTGCTTGAAGATTCTTGTTCAACACTTATCCATTAATCTGACAGCAGGAAGTGCTAAAGAGCAGAAACAGGAGTCGGTCAGACTCTCACCTCAAGTCCAAGGCAAATATGCTTGCCCCTAAAAGACATACTTGATCTTCAAGTTCAGGAAAACCAGATACAAAGGTAACTGCTAACATTTCTCCCTTATGATTTCGGGACATTCTTTCAGTAAGCTATTTCATCAGTAATTATATTATTCATATATGATTTTTTCCCTTATAGAACAACACACACACACACACACACACACACACACACACACACACACACTCACATATCAAAACAAGGAATTAAAGCAAGGAATTATGGAATTATGGTTTGTATAGGGTTTGGGAATAATGTTTTGGTTTTGTGATAAATCCTAAGTAACACTTCACTTGCCTTTATTTATCTATACGTAATTCCCAAGAAACTCTGTCCTGCCTTCTTCCAACTGTCACAGCTACCTGGAGGGAATTTATCAGCAACCAGTACTTCTGTCAAAACTTTGTGAAAAATAACTATGCTGTGCTGTTGAATAATTTCTACATAATGACTAATATAGTTGAGGAGAATCTCTGTAAACCAGTGAGAAATCATGATAATAAAAGCTCACAAGGATGTCCAAGATTCTTGTTTAATCTGTATCCATCAATCAACTACTCAGATTTTAATTTGGGCTCCTTCATTTCTACCCTATTAAATTCCCTTTACCATCTTCCTTCTCTTTTCTGTTGTGTTTTGAAAGAAAGCCTATATGTTAGTGAAACGCAATTAGTGGAAATAAGATTCTCTCAATAGTAGAGATAAACATGCTTTTTCTTTTCAAAACCGGCAAATACCTATTTAAAAAATTACACTCAACTCAACATTACCATCAAAGTAGCTTATCCATGTTCCGGATCGCACAGACTACAAACTATATTCCTTGCCTTCTGGAATGTCTTTCTCATCTCTCCTACTTGATACTCCAGCTCATTGGCTTATGAACCCCCTACCAGGGCAGGTACAATTCATTATTCATTCATGCATGCATTCGAAAGACATTTCTTGAATGCATTTGCCAATCAGTGTAGTAGGGGATTTATGTTACTTTTAATCCAATGCCCATACAAGGTACAAGGTACACATTCTTATTTTACAGATGAGGAACTGGGACTAAAATTAACTTGCTAGACCAAGTCTGTGTGATGCCAAAGCTTGTGCTTGTTCTTCTACATTATGCAAGACAGAAGGCAACAGATGATTAACTGTAGTTTTCTACATTTTGCACTAACATGACCCTCCACTGGCTTAAAACGTAGAAAGTTGCCATCCTTCCAGGCAGGACCAACTCAGTGAAGGAAATGAGTACATCTGTTCACTTGCCAAATGTGCTCTTTTGGAAAAAAAAATTTGAAGTTATACAAATATTTGCCATTCCATTAACTTATGTGATCTAGAAACTAATGAACACAAAATGAATTTTTGCTTTTTGGGCTATTTGTCTTGTCATTAGCTAAAACATTATGACAAACTTCATCTGTAACATAAACAAACCTGAGCTATTTTAAAGTCCAGAAAATGTGAAGCTAGTGCCGAATCTCAGTGGAATACTAATTTTTACAACTGTCTGCCTCTTTGCAGCAGGCGTCTTCTCTATTTGGTTTCCATTTCGAAATCATGAAATGAACGTACCGTCCTGACCTCCAGCCATCTGTTGGCAGCTGAGAGAAATAAGTAGGCAATGTTGTTTGTATCCGTCAGTTCCAGCATACGTTGTTTAAATCTGGTTTCATGCCTGCAGAAAACAAAAACACGATGTTAACCACACAACAGGAGAGGTAATAAGAAACAGTCACACTTATTACTACACTATTTACTCAACACAGTGACAAACTGATGGCATGGAATGATCAGTAAATAGATTTCTTTTTTTTTTTTTTTTTTTTTTTTTTTTCAGATGGAGTCTCGCTCTGTTGCCCAGGCTGGAGTGCAGTGGCGCGATCTCGGCTCACTGCAAGCTCCGCCTCCCGGGCTCACACCATTCTTCTGCCTCAGCCTCCTGAGTAGCTGGGACTACAGGCACCCGCCACCATGCCCGGCTAATTTTTTGTATTTTTAGTAGAGACGAGGTTTCACCGTGTTAGCCAGGATGGTCTCGATCTCCTGACCTTGTGATCCGCCCACCTTGGCCTCCCAAAGTGCTGGGATTACAGGCGTGTGCCACCGCACCCGGCCCAGTAAATAGACTTCTACTTCAAAATAAAGACCAGCTACTACTGCTCTTTGCATTCTTAGTAGAGATGGTGTGGTCAGGTGTTTATTTCCTTTCTTATACCCTTACTAGGAAAAAGAGTCCTTCTAATAACAACATTGTATTAAAGATCAGTTCATAAATTTCCACATAATTATTGTAGCCATGAGAATAAAGCATAGCCTACTACATTAAAAGGGCCTTACAAAATCCAGGATAAATTGTGTAGAAATGCAACTGTACCGATATTTTGTGGCATTTATTTTACTTTTCCAAACAACACAGTTAGAGTTGGGTGGGAAGTGCTGGCACAGAACCAGGGAAGACAGAAAACTATGCATTTGCAATTGGCAAAAATATACTTTTAAAATTATCTTTTTGCCTAATATTTCTGGGAACCAAAGGAAAAAAACTGGGGTGGCAACAAGTAGAGGATGGGGACACTAGAGATGACGGCAAATGCTCTACACCCCCAAATTCTGAAATATTTGTAAGGATGGTCATTGCATAAAAGGAATTTGGTCTGTGTACTTTCAGGGTTCTATGATATATATCGTTTGGATATTGATCTTCAGCAAATTAAGTTAATTCTTGGTGCTCAATAAAATCACACCAAATTCTGTGTAACCTATTTTATAAATAAAACTGTTAGTAAAAGCCCTATCCATTTAAACATCTGAGCCAATATCTCAAAGAAATTCATGTTACATGGTAGAAAAAATCTTCTCTAAATCACAACAATAGTCTCTTTTTATTTCTCAATTATTTTTCCTGAATAACAGAAACATTGGAAGGCTGGATAATATAATAAAAATAACTGGTTTGAAGGTAGGGAAAATACCAAATCAAAATGTGATTTATTCACTCTCTGCAGCCACGGCTTGTCTTATAGAGACCTCCCATCTATGGGTTATGTTTGCAAGAAATAAGCAAACTTCATCTGACAAAATGGCAGTGATTCCTTCTGGATAAAACACTTCCCCCACTCACCTCCCCAATTTTTAAGTAAAATTGTAAAAATGTATAATAAATCATCATATGTCAAAGAATGAAGATATCCTGGGAGGGGTGTTCATTTGGCCCACTGAAGTAATCCATACAGGCCAATATAAAGCAGACGCTTGATATCTATCCAATCAATCTGATCATTCCAATATGTCAAAAAAGATAGATAATTCAGTCGGACAGTAAGCTCTAATCTACAATAATCAGAGAACTCAGCAATCATAGCTAAATAGTTACCTCACATTGAGTTGAGTATCCATGACCCAAATGCCATGCTGCCATGCACAGGAGGACCTGGCCTGAATGGCAGCACTCATGCTGTGGGACTAAGCAGTCCAAGCTTACCCTCCAGCTGACCTTTTTAGGGATGAATATAGAGAACAACTGAAGGGTAGGGGGGATGTTCAAAGGGTTATAGGATTTACTGAAACAATGAACATGAACCATAAAGATTATCTATCTATCTATCTATCTATCTATCTATCTATCTATCATCAATCTATCATCTCTCTATATACACACACGCAAGGCTCATTTTTTTTTTTTTTTTGAGACAGTCTCACTCTGTTGCCCAGGATGGAGTGCAGTGGTGCGATCTCAGCTCACTACAACCTCTGCCTCCCAGGGTCAAGCGATTCTCCTGCTTCAGCCTCCCCAGTAGCTGGGACTACAGGTATGTGCCACCATGCCCAACTAATTTTTGTATTTTTAGTAGAGATGGGGTTTCACCATGTTGGCCAGGATGGTCTTGAACTCCTGACCTCAGGTGATCCATCCACCTTGGCTCATTCTTTTTTGTACTTGCTAGGTACATGTTTGGTAGATTTTCATCCATTCATTCGGGAGCATTTAGCAATCATCCACTCTAAGCAAGACATTATGCTAGACACTGAGGATATAGGAACAAGACATGACCTACTCCCTTGAAGGGTCAACTGTCTAGTGAAGGGAGGAAACACAGCATTAACAAGTAAAAATGGTGCAACACACTGTCTAGCTATAAGGATCTTATGCACAAAATGCTACACGAACATAAAGGAAGGGCATGATTTGCACCAAGCAGAGGATCAGCACGGTAGGAAATGGAGTGAAGGGTGGAGAGAGAGGAAGGGTTAAGCAAGGTGTCACAAAGGACAAGGAAGATAATCTGAGTGAGGTTTTTAAAGGATAAGCAGAATGTTTTTGGTGAACAAGGCATTCTACGCAGCAGGAACAATATGAGAAAAGGCACAGAAATGAGAAAGCGCCACATGTTCTGGGGCTTGAGACAGGTTCTTCTCCCTAGAGGACTGTGTGATGGAGAGATTGGAGATGAGGCCAGGTGGACCAAAGCCAGTGGACTACATTTGAGATGAACCTCAAACACTTGATTCTGACAAAGTGCTTTATCTGGAACACTTTTGACTCTTCCTCTAGTTTTGGGATATTGTTTCAGATCCACTCTTAAAGAGTTTGTAAATGGAGTTGGCAATAGTCTGAGGCAGCAGTGAGAGGGGAGGGGTGAAAATGCAGTGAACATTCTTTCTGCGTGTTTCTATTTGGCAAGAAACCTTCTGTTTTCCTAATGGAAACTTTGACACACTCAGCCTGTATCTTTTCATCCATATCCAGCTCATCTTCTGAACATTCTTAGACCTTTATTCTGTCAGACAAGAAAAAAATAGGAAAGGTCACTAAAATCTCAGTCTAATTTAACTGTGATGCTTTCGTGGTAAACTACTTGAGGGAGTTCATTGCTTCATGTGAGTACACCACGAACCCTCAATGCGGGGGAGGAAAAGCAGCCTCATCAGTAAATATTAACTTTCCAAAGAGTTCAAGACTCTGGGGACTCCAGTTAGCTTGAAAGAAAGGAACAGATGGATGGAAAAAGACACAATCAATTCCTGACCACAAGTACCAAATGTAAGGATTCTAGAATTTTATCCATGGCAGCAGGGCCATCCCATTTTCAAGACTTCTTTTGGGTTTAAAAATGCTGATATTTATGATAGTTAATAAAAATGCTTTACGTCCCTAATCATCAGAGAAATGCAAAGTAAAACCACAATGAGACACCACCTTACCCCTGCAAGAATGGCCATAGTTTAAAAATAAAAAAAAAAAATAGATATTGACGTGGTGAAAAGGGAACACATTTACACTGCTAGTGGCAATGTAAACCAGTGCAATCACTATGGAAGACAGTATGGAGATTCCCTAAAAAACTAAAAGTAGAACTGCTATTTGATCCAGCAAACCCACTAGTAGGTATCTACCCAGAGGAAAAGAAGTCATTATATGAAAAAGACAGTTGCACACACATGTTTATAGCAGCACAAGTTGCAACTGCAAAAATATGGAACCAGCCTAAATGCCCATTAACCAGTGAGTGGGTAAAGAAAATGTGGTATATATACATCATGGAATACTACTCAGCCATAACAAGGAACGAAATAATGGCATTCTCAGCAACCTGGATGGAATTGGAGACCATTACTCTAAGAGAAGTAACTCAAGAATAGAAAACCAAATATCATATGTTCTCATTTATAAGTGGGAGCTAAGCTATGAGGATGCAAAGGCATAAGAATGATATGATAGACTCTGGGGACTTGGGGTGAAGGATGGAAGAGGGGTGAGGAATAAAAGACTACACATTAGGTACAATGTACACTGCTTGGGTGACAGGTGTACCAAAATCTCAGAAATTATCACTAAATAACTTATCCATGTAACAAAAAATTGCCTGTTCCCAAAAAACCTATTGAAATAAATAAACTAAAATAAAACATTAAAAAATGAACTCTGGAGGATCTAAACCTGGATTGGATCCTGCAGGTACTTCCAGATAGAAGTTGAGTTGTCTTTTGTTTCTTCCAACTCTAATTCAAGCATTGAAATTTAACATAATATTTTGTTCTACTTAAAGCTACCTAGAAGTTTTCCTAATGTAAAATTAAGGATAGTAATGCTAAATTATGCTCATGTGTCTAGGGAAGAAGGTAAATGAAAAATCTGAATCTTGACTCTTGGTCAATTTCCTCTTTCATTCTAAATCTTCCTCATTCCCTTCACGATGCTCTGCCTTGTTCTTGTCCCCATCCCTCTCAGAAGATGACTTCCCCTGTCCTTCAAGGAGAAAACAGAGGCTGTTATATGTTGAACTCATCAACTTCCTGTTGTTTCACCTGCCAGTTTTCCTGAATCTATTCAGATCCTTTTCATACCTTCATAGAGGAGCTATGTACCAAATACTCTTCAAGCTGAAGTGGTCTTCACACTTGGGCACTTAACATACTCCTGCTAATCTGCTGTAATAATCTTCTCCGTTAACTGTCCCATCCCGCCTATATCTCCACTTCTTCCCTTCAGTCTTTGAAAATGTCTAGTTCATTATCCTCTTAAAAATGAAAACGCAATAGTAAAAAAGCTCCTCCTTTTAGTTAGCTCTCCTAAACTCCTTCCCACCTCAGTAAAACTCTTTCAAAAAGTAGTTTTTCCTTGCCATGTCCATGTTCTGATTTCCAATTAATTTTTTAACCCTCTGAATTTTGCCTTCGATTCTCTCCACTTTATCATTACTGTTCTTGCTAAGGTTATCAATAGCTTCATGGTTGCCATATCCAATGGACACTTTTAATTCCTTTTTATTCTTCTTTTATGTTGTTATTACTATTGACCATTCAATTTCTTTTTAAAATGCTCACTTGATTAACTCCAATGATGCCACTATCCTGATTTTTTGCCTATTACTTAGATGGCTTATTTTCCCAACTGGTCTGAATTCCTCTCCCTTAGTAGGAAGATGGGTTCTGCCCTATTAAGTATTAACATTTGGCACTTATATGTCATTGAGGTCTTGGAAGGAAATGGACAAGACTGAATTAAGGTGCATTACAGTGGTGTTGCCTAGGGTAATATGCATCAAACACAGGTAGAGCAGTCCCTTAGGCTTTCCAGACCTGTCCTTGACCTGGGTAGAGCTGCTACAGGTAAAGGTTTACTTACCAGAAGGTGCCATTTGGATAAAGGGCTATCAAAAATTTCAGCTGACCACTTAAGGGCCTTTAATGGCCTCTAGGGAGGCGAAGTGCTTGGGTGCTGGCCTCTCCTATCTGGATATATATATGTATATGTATATCCATTTGGTACTTGTGGTCAGGAATCGAATGTGTCTTTTTCCATCCATCTGTTCCTTTCATATATATATATCCAGAAGAATAAAAGAGGGGCTGAAAATGATATATATATATGACTTATACATATAGCATATATAACATTATACACACACACACACACACACACACACACACACACACACACAGTGCGCACATGAGGAGGGAGCCCAGTGAACTGATCTTTCCCACCATTAACTTCTCACTCATAGGATAGTTGATCTTTACAGGGACCAACTTGCTAAACTAGCAGTCACAACATCAAGGTTGCCAAGACGTAGATCCTCCTCCCATAAACAAGGCATTGGTTTGGATTTGACGGCATCAGGCTGGCCTATGTTGGGGTTGGCCAGGAGCAGGAGGAGCTCAATAGGATTTTTAGTTGAAAGACTGAGACCATGACAAGGGGCAACATCAACCCTTCCCCTTTACTGAGCAAGCTGACTGGGAACAGAATTCAAACAGTCTGTCCAAATTAGGAGGGCTGGAAGCAGATAGATGTTGAAGTAAAGAGCCATGGAGATATTAACAGAAAGTAGTAGGTTGAGCAACGAAGTGTCCTTTAATTTATTCACAAAACATCTGGACACCTAGTATGTAACTGACTCTGTCAATATTCTAAAGATTAAGATGAAGGACACATTACAGCTCTTAAGTAGCTCCCAATCTTGTAGAGGAATGCAAACACACAAACAGTTGATTATGATGCAGTGTGCTAAGTTTAGGATGCAACTTAACATAGAGATCTAAGAAGGACATGGACTCTACATTCTCACATTCAGAGAAGGCTTACCACAGTAGATGATAATCATGGACTGATATTTCAGCAATGAGATAGGCACTGGTTAGCCAAATATCAAAGGATATTGGGAGGCACAAGTCATATAACCTATCTTCCTCTTAACCTAAGAGGACCAGCTCTGTTTAATGAGGCAGCAATTGGCAGATCATATTTTCCACAGGATCTCTCTTATCTACTTTTTCGTTAAGTGCTGGTAGTCTGAAATTTTTCTGCAAGCTCCTCTTTTCTTAGTCTACACCATCTCCCTCAGCAATCAAATCCATGGCCAAAACTTTAACTAGTATCCATAAAAGAATGATACTCAAACCTGTATCTTCTGCCCTTAGATATCTCTTAGACATCAGACCTGTATACCAAAATGATCAAAAACAGTCCAGCTGGATATCTCATTACTACCTGTACATGTTCATAACCAGACTCATGAACTCCTTCTCCAATCCTCCACATCATCTTCAATTTCCTAACTTGGAAAACTACCTACTCATGGAATCAGAAACTTAGAAGGAATCACCTTCAACTTCTCCCTCAACCTTACTCTTCACATTCAATTTGCTCCTAAATCTCATTGTTCCCACTTCCTAAATATTCCTTAAATCTGTGCTTTCTCTCCCGGTCCTTAGTTCCTTATCCTGCCTTTGTAATCTCTCATGTGGACCACTGCAACAGCCTCCTGGAGTCTCCTTGTCTCGGGCGTTAACCATCCCCAGTTCATAGTAGTATCCCAGAGTTATTGTGATGAACACAACTCTGATCATATCACTTTCCTGCTCAAAATTCTTCAGTGACTACCACACATTGAAAGGATCCAGTCTAAGTTATTTAAAGATACTTATCAATGCCCTTTGTGCACTGGCCTCTACTATGGTTTCAAGCCTCATCGCCACAGACAGCTTCTCTGTACTTAATGTATGTTCCAACAGTACTGGACTCTTTTGATTTCCATATAAAATAGAAATCTTTATATTTTCACACATCTGTTATATCTTCTTTCAATATTCTATCTCCTGTATCTGCCAGGTCAATTATTCCTCATTCAAAGATTTGTTATTCAATAATTATCTCCCCATTCCTTCTAGACAGAGTGCTACCCTGCTCTCTGACACAGTTGTTTCTTGTGATATTAGACTATGTATCATGCTGTGTTGCTATTTTTTTTCTTAAGCCCTCTCTCCTACTAGGCTGTGAGCTCCTTAACACAGCCCATGTTAGCTACTTAGTCAATATATATTTATTGAGCACTTACTTAGTCCCAGGCACTTTTCCCAGCTAATGATGCCACAACAACAACAAAAAAAAGAAAAAGTGGGGGATGAACTGATAGGGCTTACATTCCAGTTGGAAAGGACAGATAACTTGTAAACAAATAAAAAAGATGATTTAAAATACTCAGATAAATATCACAAAGGAAATAAAAAGGACAACATGGCAGGTGTATGTGGGGAGGATGTGGGGAGGGAGGGCAACAGTGCCACTTTTTGCTGGTTGGAAATGAAAGGCCGTGTCTTTTTAGTCTTTATATATCTACAGCAAGAATAGTACCTGGCATATGTTCGGTACTCAAATGTTTCTTAAATAAATTGAATTGAAAGGACTTATTTGGTGAAAAAAGTAATCTTTAATATGGTGTACATATTAATACCAGTGATCATTGGTGGTTGTTAGAATATAAATTTCATGTTAATATCTACATTCAATGCCAATAAATAATTTTGACATCTCCAATAAAAGGAATTGCACATTATGATGGAAAAACATACCAGTGCAGAAAGCATGAATGCTTCATGATGCCGCCTACATAGATTATGTAGACGTGCTGTGGAACATGATGTTGTGGATAGTTGTCTCTCTATATTCTACTCTGTGACCCAATTCTATATTTAAAAATAAATTTCGTAGGTTAGAAAAATCTCTGGTTAAAATCTATATATACTTGCGATTAGGATTTCAGAACGTTATAACACTAAAATATCAATTTTCTAGATTAAATGAAATTTTCAGTAATATCATCTTCTTTGCTAATCTGACTTGAATAGGAAAATTGGGATAGGTAATTTTTTGAAAGTAAACACCCTTGATCAAAAGTTTAGGTTATTACTCTGTTTACAAACCTTGAAGAAAAAGGATTAAATTCTAAAACAACTTTGGTGTAATAATATTTCTTTTGTGAGAATTATTATTACTATTATTATTTATACATTTATTTTAACTTGTTTATTGGATGCTTCTTCAATAGTCAGTGTGGTTAATACTTCGCAGGGATAATATTAACTAGTCCAATGACCCTAAGAAGCAAAATTGATTTTCTCCATTTAATAGATGAGGAAACCAAGGTTAGAGAATTCAGATGCCTTATCCTAGTCACACAGCTAGTATTTTTCCTATCTGTTGCTTCATCCTTTATTATAGTTAGCATTTTGGATGAGTAAACTCTAACTCTGATCATTTACACCAAATTTTTCTTATTCTTGGTTTAGTACACCATCAGGCACACAATGGGGAGATCAAACAAAATGAAAGCAATGATCAGTTATTTGTAGAAAAATATTTGTTGATGATGTTATTGCCTAGTCAGCTAATATAAAAATGTGTTTACTCACCTAAAGGCCCGAATGGTGGTGAGTCCTTCTGCTGTTTCTGAGAAGTGACAGAGCAGAGGGAGCTGGGTACTATCGTCAAGTTCCTGGAGGTCCCTAGTAGAGAGAGGGGCAAAAATAAACTTCATGTGCATCCAGACTCAAAGACTACCATGTTTATTCTTTAAGAGAAAGTTATTTTGTCACTGTATTTGTTTTCCTCATTGAAATTTTTTCCCCTAGCACTCAATTAACAAAAACTTCAACAGCTTACAATCTAAAGAGGAAGAGAAAGATGGGTATATAATGAATACAGGTAGAGGCTGAACATAATGTGTTGTACAAAACTATCATCTCTGTGTAACAGCCAAAGTAAACTGCTACAGGATTCAGTGGAATGAGCACTTAATTCATACCTAGGACATTGGTGGGATTTTCCTTAAGCGGGTAGAATTTAGGCGAGACCTTAAGCTTGATGAGGGCTTCTACAAAATAGACAAGAAGAAAAATAACAAGAACAAGCACCGGTGTCTGAAGAATCTTGCAAGTTCAATCTGTCTGGTGCCCAGAGTCCTTTAGGGCTGTTGTAGTAGGAAGAGGCTATGTAAAGGATATGGCCTTGTAAGGGTGACAGTGGATTGTAGAAACATCCTTAATGGGCTGAAAAAAATCGCTGAAGACTAGAAATAAGGTAATCTGGCCAGGTGCGGTGGCTCATACCTGTAATCCCAGCACTTTGAGAGGCTGAGGCAGGTGGACACTTGAAGCCAGGAGTTTGAGACCAGCCTGGCCAACATGGCATAACCCTGTCTCTACCAAAAAATTAGCCAGCCGTGGTGGTGCACACCAGTAATCCCAGCTACTCAGGAGGCTGAGGCAGGAGAATCACCTGAACCCAGGAGGCAGAGGTTGAAGTGAGCTAAGATCACTCCACCGCACTCCAGCCTGGGTGACAAAGCCTGACGCTGTCTCAAAAATAAAACAGAAAGAAGGTAATCAGAGCTGTCGTTTAATCCTTTAATCAACATAACTTGGGAGACAATGTACAGGATGAAAGAGAATGGGTGAGTGAGGAAGATCAGTTAATATAGTCCATATAAGAGGTTTTTAAAAAAATGTTCAGAATTAATGTGATGCTGGTCAAGTTTAAAATAGGAAGTAGGGGAATGTGGGACAGTCAGAAGAAGCCCTATTTGCTGTGATGATCAATTAGTTTTCACAGGGTAAACAAGAGTCACATATAGCTTGGCTATTTCTAGTTTAACAGACTTGAAAAGTGACAGTGCTGTTTACCAGAGTGGTGGTCAGGGGCACAGAAAGAAGACATTTGGAGGGAAAGGATAATGAGTTTAGTTTTGGACACAGTGAGTTTGAATCCTTGCCTTCATGGAACTTCCATTCACAGTTTCTCTAAGGAACCACATGTACATAAAACACAGACATATACTGAATGAATGGAAATGCTGAATCTGACCATTTTGATAAAGATATATTCATGACAACTTTTCTTTAAACCACATGAGCTAGAATTTATAGAAGATAGGCTAACAGTTATATCACATGTTTCAATGCATTCCATTTTTTACTTTTCAGACCTTTTTTCCTGCCCTTCTCTAGGTTTTTGGGGTTGAGAAGATTAGAGAAGTAGTGTTGGCATTCACCTGTGAGGGTCAACTGAACGGATGAACATGGTTCCATAATCTTCAACAATTAACTTATGCCATTCCTGGCTGCCAGTGTAGTCTAGTTCCCAAAACAAATGCAAGTCTTTTCAAAATGGAGTTTCTAAAATGGATTCCCTCATTCAGAATTTTCACATGGGGATTCGGGGAGAGAAAGATAGAAGGAAGTGGGAGAAGGAATATGAAGGAATGTGAATAGTCTGTTATTTTTAAACATAAAACCAAATGGCTATTTGTAAATCTGACACAAGCAACAGGTGGTCACTACATTGAGGTTTGGAGTGAAGGAAAAATACTGTGGAAGGAGGAAGCTTTGTTTATAAAACTGTGTTTGATAAAACCAAAGAGGTGAGGGCACAGCTTGATCTTGTATTCTTGCAAGAAGGAAACAGTTACTTACAAAGCTAAGCAAGCATTTGATCCATGATTTTAAATATTCATTTTTTCAGAGCATTTCCTGTAGCTAGTTTCCCACTTAAGTTCTCTTTAGTGTATACAAAAATGGCATGTTAAGCTGCCTGAGCTTTTCAACATGGATGAGTTCTAAAGAACCTCAACATCTAGAAGGATCCTTGTTTGTGAGGTTTAATATCATATGGTTATATTTGCTAACTTTCAGATAATTTCAAATAAGAATAGCGTACAATCCATTGTCAATATTAATTCTTTAAAATAACCATCCTCTCCATACTTTAGTCTCTAATAGATTATTCTGATGATGAACAGAATTCACAATTCAAATTTGTGATGGACTAGGAATATTTTCCCAAACTTTGCACTCCATTTGTATTGATAAAGGGCAATAATAGGACCAAATGAGTATGTGATTAAAGTAAGACATGACTGATATCAGTGTTGAGAAGGCAAGGACAGATTTGGAAACCATCAGCAGTGATGAAATAACTCTGAACATCTTTGCCCCACCAGCAAGTAGACCAGCAATAGTATCAGAAGAAAAGAAATGTGAAGTTGATTACTAGCTTCTCCATTTTGATCAGAATTTGCTGCAAGCAAAGACGATGAGTCTAGGGATGAAAAACAGACTAAATGTGGATCCCTGACATTTAAAGGATCCTAATTCATAGCTAAGAGGGAGAAACAACTATTTCTTCAAATTATGAAATGTTATATGATACATTCAGAGGTTCCCATCTACAATTCTTTTCTTCTTATCTCCTCCTACTTTCTTTCACCTTCCTTGCACTCAAGTCATATTAACATTTTCAATTTTCTGAATAAACTCAATACCTACCTTCTTATTCTAGCACTTATCCATGTATTAGGATTACTTTGTATATGTTTTATCTTCCTTAGAGACTATACATTTCTTGAGAACAGGCCCCTGACATATCAATCTCTTCACCTGTCATGTGGCTTAACACAGCTATTTGTGACACAATGAGTGCTTAGTATTTGTTGAAATAACAAACTTTACTATACTATATATAGCGGGGTTTCAAAGTTAAACTGGAAATTTTAAAACAGCTGGTATTATATTTCATTTATTCAACATCTCAGTAAATGACAAATCCTAAACGAATATTTTTTTTCCCATTTGTAGAGTATAATAATATTAAATCACTTACTCTTTGGGATTATGTTTCTGGTTTCCTTTTTTTTTTTTTTTTTTTTTTTTTTTTTGAGACAGAGTCTCACTCTGTCACCCAGGCTAGAGTGCAGTGGCGTGATCTCAGCTCACTGCAAGCTCTGCCTCCCGGGTTCAAGCGATTCTACTGCCTCAGCCTCCTGAGTAGCTGGGATTACAGGCGGGTGCCACCACGCCTGGCTAATTTTTGTATTTTTAGTAAAGACGGGGTTTCACCATGTTGGTCAGGCTGGTCTCGAACTCCTGACCTCACGATCCGCCCGCCTCAGACCCCCAAAGTGCTGGGATTACAGGCATGGGCCACCACGCCCGGCCTATGTTTGATTTTTTGTTTTCTATCAATGTCATGTTCAGAAAAAGGACCATGGAGTGAAAAATTTGTCAGTCTTAGAACTCAAAACTCAATAGATCAATCCACATGTTAATATATGTCCAGGACTAGGTAAGGCCCAGACAACCAATTATAGGTATAATTATAATATTAATTGATACCTAAATGAATCATAATGTCAGGATAGATTTCATTATGTTTCATATAGGTTGCATTTCTAAATTCCACATCTTATCTTGAAAAACACTACAGCAAATGTAGATCACAGTAAATCAAATACAATTGTCCCCATGGGGAAGTGATTCCAGGACCTCCCATGGATACCAAAATCTGCAGATGCTCAAGTCCGTTATATAAAATGGGTGGCATTTGCATATAACCTACATACATCATCCCATATACTTTAAATCATCTGTATGTTACTTATTCTACCTAATTCAATGGCAACACATCACACATCGCTTCATCAGTGTGTATTCAATGTAGTACTCGGCACATGACAAATTCAAGTTTTGTGTTTTGGAACTTCGTGGAATGTTTTCTTTCCAAATATTTTTGATCTGTTGTTGGCAGAACCCATGAATAGAGAGGGCTGACTGTAGATAAGCTTTTGAAAATGAGTGGGATGCTGTTTTACTTACTTAGAGGCAACCCGAAAGTATTTCTGGATAAAATAAAAGGCAACACCAAGGGGCAGGAGAGCAACCAGGAACACAGGAGTAGCATAAGAAATCATCCCAATGGCAGACAGGCAGAGCAGTGTTGAGCGAGTTAGAGATTCCAAGGTTGGAGGGATGTGCTATTAGGGTAGTTTAAAAGGAAAATATGATTAGCCCAGTGAAATATTGGCTGCAATGTAACAAAAATACCTATTTTTATGTTGATAGTTACACAGTTAACTACCAAAGTAGTGTATAAGCATGTTCATCCTAAGCAATTCTTCACTCACTTCCCATAGTTTATTATGTCTGTCTATTTATCTATCAACATGTCGTTGATTAGTTGTCTATCTACCTATTTACCTTGGGTGTTTTATGTAAATGACACTGTACTATAAATATTATTCATTCATGTGTTTGTTTACTGAGCAAGACAGACTGTAAATCTTCCCATGGCAGTGCATACAAATCTATTTCTTTTTAATGGTTGCATAGTATTAGCTTATTTAGCTATTCCTCTACTGTAATACATTTAAATTAATTTTCTGTAATTGCTTCCTCGTATCCTTTGGGCTTTTTTGAGTGAATTAATTTTTCCTTATTGATTTTTAGATGCTCTGTATATATTATGTTTATTTAAAAAATATTTGCAAATTTTTGTTCCCAGTTATCTATTGTATTTAAATTTACCTTTGGTGCTTTTAGCTCAATCACAATTTAAAGTTTTTTATAGTCATTTCTGTTGACTTGTGGGCTCAAAAGTAACCTATTTTCCTTATTGTTTCTGAGTTCTTTGTCTTACTGAGAAAGACCTTTCCCACCCCAAGATTCTAAAACTATTTTCCTACATTACTTTATAGCTTTATGTTTTAATATGACCACCTCTATGCTATATGCATTTGCTTTGTATTTTTTGGGTAGCTAATTATCCCAATATCCTTTATTGAAAAATTAATCCTTTCCTTATTAAGATGCCACATTTATACGTTAAATTTCTACATAAGATGGAGTTTTTGAATTCTCCATGCTGCTCTTTTGACCTACTTGTCTTTTGCAATTAACAGAGTGCTTGAATTTTGTAGTATTTAAAAAATATCTAATAGGGAAATTCTTTCTCTGTACAGGATTGTTATGACTTCTGGGATTGTTGAACATATTTTCTTCACATTAAGTTTATTTCTGTTTTTATAGGTTTTATTGTTATGAATGGAGTTTGTTTTTCACTATTTTCTTAAATTGGTATAGAGGAAGTTGCTGCTTTTCATATGATATATCTTATGTAGATACTCTGCTGACTTTTCTAATTGGTTATTTTACTAATTATTTTGAATTCTCTAAGTGACAATCATGTCATCTTCTAAATAATGAGTGATTCATTTCTTCTTTTCTAATGTGTATTCCTTAGAAAGGTTTTAGGTGCAGTCTGACCTAACACCAATGCCATGAAAACATCAAAACTTCTCATCATACTCTGCAGTCAGCTGCATGCATCAACCCTCTTTCTAATTGAGGGCCATTTCGGTATTCCGAATGCTACTCTGGAAAGTCAGAAAAGACAAGGGCTGGATATGATGAATTCCTTTCTCAGTCATCCAGAGGGTTCCACTTATAGAGTGATATAATTTCAGAGTTTGATGTCTTTTATTTCAAACAAACTTTTAGATTCCTAAGGATCTTAGGCTAAACTTGGCATTCCTGGAATTTTTCCTAAAGTATCACACCATCTGAAGCTTCAAGAACCAATCTAATAAAAGTAAAGGACTTTAAGACAGCTTGGCATCCCATCCTTCACTTCTGAGAGAAATTCTGCATGAATACTAAACTTTTAAGAACTTTATACTGTGAATGCTGATATGACTTTAATCAAAACAATTTTTTTATAATCAAAAATTTTAAATGTTCAATCATTCTTTACTTCATGATGGTTCTCCAAGTATCTTCTTCTACATGTACAAATTAGTCTGAGTTAAGATTTTCCTTTAAGATTTCATTCTAGATATCATTTGCATGTATTGATACAAATACAAATGGGCCTTTATTTAAATTTCAGAAATCCTCTATTGTTAATAGGAATTATACTTTATCTTAAAATGCTATTTAGCTTACATTGTGAAACTAATTTTTGAACTTGGAAGTAACCCAGTTACTCACCTGATCAATGATATTAGTATCAGCTGAAAAGCGATTGAGAATCAGTCCCAGGGGTGTGGTATCAAAAAACCTAGGCAATAAACAGATGGAAGTATATGATAATACTAAACTATTTGGAACCTGGGCATTGCTAATGGGCATCTTAGTGTCATGAAAATGAGAAGCTCCCTATTCATTTGCTCAAGGACTAAAGAAATTCTTCTAACTTTCACATTCCACTTAAATTGAAAAATGCATATTTTTATTATTTTATGTGTGGGAGTGAGAAATAACCACTGTTTTACCTTATTGGTCCAAGGATTATCTTATTGAGAAGGTTGTGGTGAAGATTTTTGGCAGCTGTGAGACCCATCCATTCTACAGTGAGGGATGTAACAAGGCAAAGGAAAATGCCTGCTCCACAGAGTATGCTAAAGCCAGCCACATAGTAGGTCTAAAAAGCAACCAACACAAAAAGCACATAGGAAATTATCAATGGAGTTCTTTCTTACTAGAAAACCAAATGTCAATGTCAGACAAGATTGTTTTCTTCATTATTTTGCATGCATTTAGACGGTTGAAGGAATGCAATTTTTTGAGGCCCAGGGTAGTATCCCCACCATAATTCCACAGGCCAAGCCTCCACCTGCTCCCTTCACTCTCCTTCAAGGCTTGCTTAAAAGCAGATGAAGAGAAAGAGTTTGTTTTCAGGTTTGGGGCATATTCTTGGCTTTCTATGTTGTAGAGCTCACTTTTCTCATTCCTAGTCTCAAAATGACCAGCTAATATACTGATGTAGGTAGTTAACATCAAATACCATAAGAACAAATACAAAAAGGTCCTCTGTGTGTATATATGTATAACATATATAAAAATATATGTATAAACTCTCTTGAATACAAGTCTAAACATTATATTTAAATATTTCTTATGATAAACTTTAAAAGTATTAATAATAGCTTCTATTTTAACATTTTTGATAGTTTATTCTATTTCAGGTCCTGTTGTAATTATTAACTTATTAAATTATCACAGAAGTCCTATGGCATTTGGGATATAAGCATCTAACTAGATAAGAAGGTATCACTGTTAATCTCAATATTTCCTTGATGATTTAAAAACAAAACCGAACCAATTGTACCTGATCAGCTTTTCCAGTATTGTTTATACTGTACTCCGATGTCCATGTGGCCAGCCAATAGTCTATAGCTACAATGACCGAATGCTTCAAAAGCTTAGAGAAAATCATCAGGATGAGCAGGAAGAATCCTCCAGATGTCAGGTAGCGCCAGCAGGTTTTCCATGGCATTTTAGTCCTGAGCCTCATTACAGTGGACATGTTATCATCCTCATCTTCCTCCTCTTCTTCCTCTACATACAAAAAACTTTTGTTTAAGCTTCAGATGGGCACCGGCTAGATATAATTTTTATTGCTCCACAAATAGTATATAAACATTCATACATTTATAAAAATGTAAGCATTAGTATTGAAGTTTTAAATGCTTTTAGTAGGGCAAACCTTATTTCTTTCTGAAAATAGGTGAAAAATGAATGAATGAATGAGTGATAAAACAAATGTAAAATCTACATCTGGATGAGACTATTTGCTGATTTACTGCACATCAAATTGACTGGAAGAAACTTACAAAGTTATTGAAGGAATTGTGTTGCCAACAAAAACCACATACCTGGCTTACAAACATCTACAATATTGTGACCTGCAAATTTCTGAATTTATAAAGCTGCACCAGGAGGGAGTAAGCTCTGAAATCTGTGCATAGCACAAGAGGGCATACTCCATGCTGTCTATGGCCCCAAGGAGGAAACTTCCAGTGGGCAAAGCCAGGGGACACAAAGGATAATGGGCTAGGAATTCCTCTCAGATGTTTAAACCATCTAGAAACTCCAAGATGGGCTTCCTTAAGAAGGACTCCACTGCTAAAGCAGGCTTTGCATTTCCTGACAATCAAAATTTGATCATTTCTATGGTCCAGTGACTGTGTTCCCATCTTTTGCTTTTCCAAAGGAACTTTATTCATTAAAGTTACCCTGTATGTACTTCATACTATACTATATACATATCAGGTTGTGGGGAGGAAGGACTTGTCTTTACTTTTTAGGTTATTAGACCACAGGGATCCAAATATGTTTATGATGAGAAGACTGAGCATCACCAAAGATCCTGATATTTGAGCTGGATGCAGTAAATGACTACGTCTCAGAGGTTCTCCCCTTTGGCAGGGGTATGTCCTTTGTGTGAGAAGAACAGACTAGAAATTCGCATGATCAAAGAGGTGGACACTTGCACTTTGCTAGCTGTCTCCCCAATACCCATTCTTTGCTTCTATATTAATTGAAATTTAAAGTTGTCCATGGCTGCCCAGCTAAAGACAGCATTTCCTCACATTCCTAGTACTTAATCTTTCCAAGCAATGAAAGAGCCAATAATAAGTAAACAGAAACAATACGTGCAACTCCAAGTCTCTTAAGACTTGAGTTGAGTCTCTTAAGACTCAACTCCTTTCTCTTAAGAGAAAGGAAGTACCCTCTACTTCTTTTCTTCCCCTACTGTTGGCTTGAGCATTCTGATAGGACCTGCAGCAACAAACTAATAAGTAATATGTACTGTAATTGGCTCTTCAACATACATTACTTCATTTACCCTGTAAGCAAAGTGCTATTACCTTATTTTATACCTGAGAATATGGATTAACACAGCAAGCCAAGGGCACAGTCAGCATCCCCACTGAAACACTGAACAGAATAATTGGGTACAACTCCACTCTTATAGCCCATTAGAAATAATTTATATAGAGTTCTAGAAGCTGATGTCTGTTTACAGCACCAAAAATTCTTTAAGAACATTTTTAATCATAGAAATTGAAAGTAAAATGTAGCCTTCATTCATTAATTCATTCGCTCAATGAATATTTGTTGAAATACAGAAATATAAAAGCACATTTTGGTGCTATTTGACTTGAAATGAACATTTTCTCTGTTTTTTTTAATTGGTTGGTAGAAATGCAGGCATAAGCAAAAATTACAATGGGAAATGAGGCATAAAGCATTTACTCTATTGACTTAAAAGGTGGTTTATCTCACAACATTCTTGGCAATGAATGTCAAAGCAGTGTAATTATTTCATCTCATTCCTCACATTTCCAGTCAATCTTTTTTTCCCAGTATACTTTATCAGATCTGGAAAACTGAAACATAACAAATGGCATTCTAATTTTCTTATCCTTCATGGCTATATTGTCATGAAAACCTCATGAAGATGAACTGAATGAATCAAATACAGCTACTTCAAAATGCCATATTTCCCCTTTATTACTTATTTCTGAAGGATTGAAATTTTCTTAAGCAGATTTGGTCATTATACTAGACAATTTCAATTTTTCTGAACACAACTCTAGATCTATTTAGAATCCACTGCCATTTCCTTTCAAGTCTTTCTCACACATAACAACTGTAGTAAGACATATTCTGTGGAGGCCCTCAAGATGACTGTTGATGGATTACATCCACCTTTCCTTGACTCCTATTGTTTCCATTTTCAGTATTACTTGATTTAATTTTTTCCCCTGGCAAAGTGGCTTATTATTCCTCATGGAGACACTCACACATAAAAAACCCTCGCATCCTGTTATCCCATTAGAATGTTCCAGATAAAAGAAAAAAGATCTACCTTCGTCTTCGTCCTCCATCTGGGCTTTGGCTTCTCTTGAATACATGGCCCGTCGGAGAGTTTTCCTCTCTAAAGTAGTTTGGTCAGCTTCCATATCCTGCAGTAAACATTGTACTATCATGCAAGGAGCTAACACCAATAGGTTGTGACTTATCAATGAATGACTCACACGTGTAAATGGTTAGTTACCTTTACCAATCTCAAGCGCTCTGTGCTCACTCTGGAGATCCACAACTCCTGTCACAGAAACAGCTGTGGGGGCAGAACCTTAGACTTGTAGTAAGTGCTGCAGTGCTCAAAGGTGTGGAGCAGCACACGAGACCAGGAAAAGCAAGAATGAGATGCAACTGACTCCAGAAGCAGGGTGATATCTCCCTGAGCCCTAAAGCATATTTCTACCATTGCTACTTATTTTTACATCACCTTCAGACTATCCTTGTAATTTTTCTAATTAAGGATTCATTCATGTTAATACATATCTTCCTTCAAAAGAGCACATGGTTCCAAGTTGGTTAAACTGATGTCAGTCATCCACTATTATGAATTATTAAATCAGAACGAGTTTCTTTAGCATCTCACTAAGGGAGCTGCACAAAAGAAAGGGAATTCAATAGGATCTGAAAGAAGGTAGAGAACGTTGAAGAAAATAGGCAATGAGGATTCTAGGTGCCTAGCAGTGTAAGAGAAAGCCCTAGGAGGAGAAAATATGCAGAAAGAGAAGGGAAACGTGCCAAAAACAAACTTTGCAGATTTTTAAGAATTGCTGTGAACTTTATCCTGTAGTTAAGAAGGGTAGAATCATTTCATTTTCTCCATGCCCTGCTTCCAACACACCAGCTCCCCTGACCTCAGGACTGCAGTAGTAGTATCAGTTCAGTTACATTGTGGGTTAAATCAGGTTCTACCGGCTATTCTGGAAAACCAACCATTTCCCCTTTTCTGTGGGGAAATGTATTCTGAATTCTAAACAACTAACCCACACATTTTGGAATCTATGGTAAATTGGGAGCTTCCTGTATATGCCAATACAAAGAAAAAAAAACCTACACAGTTTTTCTGTTACATCAAAAAACCAATAAACCTTTTGTGATTAGTCGCTAGGTAGTGACCTTGGTTGATTTTTTTTGGCCTCATACAACATGTCTGATTTAGGAAACTTTCTATTCTAGAGGGTTGTACTACTTCAGATTCTTGGTTAAAAGAGTGAAAACAAAAATGTCTCCTGAATCCCATTTTTACAGAGAGTTTGACCCCAGTTTTAAATTTTGCATAACGATATGAAGACCAACATTTATAAATGAAGCTAAATTAAACTCAAAATTAAAGAGGATCCCTGTCTTGTGCATATCATATAATGAAATAAAATAAACCTTCATAATGAAAAGTAGATTTGATTCCAGTTCGATTCCCCATGCTGTGACCAAAAGGTTTAAGACCTTGGAGACTTAAAAAAACAAATAAACAAACAAAAAAACCCAAACAAACTTTAAAGCAATTTTTCCTAAGAGTAAATGCTCATATTAAGCTCATTATAGGTTAAATGTTTTAAATAGTGATGATGCTTGGACTAAGTAAATAAAAATTTAGTTTCATTTATCCAATAAATATTCACTGGGCCAGGCCAGGTGAGGACAGTAGAGAGGGAAGTGAGGAGTGTTAAATAATACCAGTTTATTCTGCTTAACAGCATTAAGAAGATAATGGTTCATGTCATTTAAGCTAATATTTAAATCAGCTAAAAGTGTTAACTCCCTCTCCTTTGTAGTTTTCATTACTATCTATCATATTCTTTCCTGTTTACCCCTTGATCCTTAAACTGACAGCTCTTTTTCAAGCACTGCATTAGGAAATTTTGTGCATCCTTCGGTTTCACCTTCCTTCTCCACTTGCTTGATCTGTTCTGGCTCTAGGCCAGACTTTCTCAGCCTTGACACAGTTGACATTTGAGCTGGACAACGCACTGTTGCAGGGTCTGCCCTGAGCATTGCAGAATGTTGAGCACACTAGATGCTAATAGCATCCCCCTGCCCCAGTTTGTGACAACAAAAATGTCTCCAAATGTTGCCAAATGTCCTCTAGGAGGGAAAATTGGCCCAGGTTGATAGGAAACACCCTGTCCTGTCCCATAACAAAGTAAACCGAAATCTGTTTGTACAAAAACTTCCCCAAGGTATCGTAGTGGTCTTGTTCACAGTGTGATTCTGGCTGCAGATGAATTCAGGTGCCTGCCTTTTGTTACATGGCAGTAATCTCCCTCCATCCTGAGATAAGGATTCTGGGCAGGTGCGTGATTCATTCTGGCTTCTACTGGCTGCCATTCTACCTTGTAACTGGATTTACCCTGTCCATACCCTAACTTGCTCCACACCTCCTTCAGTTCATACATAACCCTGTAATGTGTCTTTAATTATACAGCTATGCTATCTCAAGTGATCACTTCATTTCTAAATACAACTTAATGGACTTTCTTCCTGGCTTGCTTAACAGTGTTACTATAATATTGAGCCAACAGCTCTCTTTATTTTCTAGTTCTTCTTTCCAAAGTAAACCATAAATTGTCCCAATCCTTAAGTTTACGTCATCTTCTTTTGTCCCTGGCATTTAGATCACTGAAAAAAATGTCATTTGGAGTTATCCCCGGTACGTTTAGAATCAAGCTTCCCACAGCACAATTCCTAAGCAGGCACTTGTCAACTGTACCTGATACTGTTTTGGGGTTTGTTGTTTGTTTATTGCTTTTTTTGCCAAATATCCTCATTTCAATGGTTCTGTGATTTGTCCTATTCTGCTTGTATATTTTTGCATATATCTTTTCTTCTTTGTGTGGTTTGCTTTTGAGATCTTTAGCAAATCCAAAGAAGGTAGAGAAATCCTAGGGTTTATCTGACTTTGTATCTTCCTCTCTCTATGGAGACAGATCCTTTATTTTCTTTTCTAAAATAATATATTTAAATTTCCTAATATTTTAAAGAAATTCACTGGTACAAATATTTCATTTTGTAAATGCTCATTCCTGGATAAGAATACCAAGTGCTGGACACTTTGTACTCCCAACTCAAGAACAAAACATTTCAAAAATTTGCAAATTTAATTTACAATTTCACTTGTCTATCAGAGTTTTTCCTCTTTTGTTGTACTCAATCTGGTATCCAACTCTGTGATGACCTCATTCAATGTTATACTTACATCACCCATAACATTATAGTGTAATTACACCGGATATGCACTTGTGTTTAAATCCCATTGGTACCACTTATTATATATGCTGTACAACTTTAGGTAAGTTACTTAACTTCTCTGAGCCTCAGCTTTCTCATCTGTCTAAGTAAGATAATATTTCTTTGCTTATTTGTCAGGAGTTTGTGAGAATTAAAACACATCATGTAAAAAGGGCTTTGTGGACTTCAAAAAAAGTACAAATGTAAAATTTTATTTTTATTTCCTTCTGATTACCTTCTTTCACCCCAGAAGCCTTATCCCAGATATGCCTTACAACTTTGCCCACTACTCAGAGCTCTTCCTTCAAGATCACCTTGGCTTTTGACTTTCCAATGACCCTCTATTTGTAGGTGGTTAGTGAAAATATTCTACTTTTATAGATGAGAAAAATGAGGTATAAATAAGAAAAAATAAGGAAACGCCATGCTTCAGTTAAGTAGTTTCTGTAAGTTTTAAACACACATATAATTGCACTATGGTTGAAATGTAAACAAACAGCCTCTAAAAACCTGACTGCACCTCATCCAAAGATGGCATTAGAATTTTATAGGTTCAAAGTACCCTGTTCATTAATAATATGCAAAGATACAATTGCTTTGGATTTCAGATAAAGACCATTATATTACAAAGTATTAAATGGTAATTTTTTAAAAAGCATTCTTAGTAATTAGTAAATTTCTAACTCTTCTGAATTGGGCTCTGAACTCTTCTGAACTATGAGCACTTACCTTTTCTAATTCTTGATCTTGCCGATTCATAAGTGTTTTCCAGTGTTCATAAAGCTCAACATCTTTGGTTTGAATGTCCTTCAAAGTTCCTTCTCTTAGGACACTTCCATCTTTCATGGCTATGATCTAAGGAAAGCGGATATTCCCAGAAATGTGACGAAAAGCCTTGATTGGCAAAATGAACTACCTTTATTTCAGAAAGCATTTTTTACTGTCTCTATTTATATGACTATAATATAAAAATGAGCAAAATTCTCTTCTAAACTCTTACCCAGTCAGCATGCGTCAGATACTGTAATTTGTGAGTCACAAGAACGAGTGTCCTTTTGTCATCTTGCAGGAATTTCAAAATCCCCTCCTGCATTAAATGATCACTCAAGTGAATGTCCAGGGCTGAGAATGGATCATCCTGCAATCAGTAAAATGGAGGAAAGATGGACGTTTTCTATACTTGTTACATAACTCAATTCCTCTCGAAAATAGTAATACAAATAACTAAGGGCAAATCATCCCCCAAATCTAATTTATTTAAAAAAAGGATAAAGAAAAACTACCTGTCAGGTACCATGATTATTACCTGGGTGACAAAATAATCTGTACACCAAACCCCCATGACACACAATTTATATAAAAAGCCTGCACATGTACCTCTTAACCTAAAATAAAAATTAAAGAAAATAAAATAAAAAAGGGCCAGGAGAAAAACAAACAATGAAATAAAGTTAGAAGTGCCTGCAGGCAAAAAGAAAAACAAACTTTGTAAAATTATTTTAAAAGTAAATAACACTATTCAAAATGTTTTGAATTCTTACAGAATCAGCAAGTTCAAAAACCGTATTACTCAGCAATCTATAATAATAGAGCAAAACAAAGAATGAAAAAGATAATTGTACTTGAATTCTAGATAACAAAACTAGGTATAGAAAATGTTAATTGGGCCAGGCATGGTGGCTCACGTCTGTAATCCCAGCATTTTGGGAGGCCAAGGCAGGCAGATCACCTGAGGTCAGGAGTTCGAGACCAGCCTGGCCAACATGGTGAAGCCCTGTCCTACTAAAAACACAAAAATTAGCTGGGCATGGTGTCGTGGGCTTGTAATCCCAGCTACTTGGGAGGTTGAGACCGGAGAATCGCCTGAACCCAGGAGGAAGAGGTTCCTGGAGGAGGAAGAGGCAGTGAGCCGAGATTGCGCCACTGCACTCCAGCCTGGTGACAGAACGAGACTCTGTCAAAAAAGAAAGAAAAAAGAAAATGTTAACTGGATCATAACAGGACTTACTTAATGGGGATATTTTCAGAATTAAATGAGTTAATATACATGAAGTGCTTAGTATGGTAGTGGGTATATAATTTACATTGTTAGCTATTATTATTATTATTATATATAAGAATAGCATGCCTAACACTTCCTGATGACAGTTGTTCTAGGGAGAATGTTTTTATCCACCAAGTGATTAAGATATTTAGAAAATAATTTAAGAACTCACATTAATTGTCTTTTTTTGTTGATGATATCACTATAAATTATTTTCATATATATTTCATACCTAAAATGTTATATAGAGCATCAAACTACATGTTTCACATTTTGGATCTTAAAAATAGGAGAGCTAGAAACAACTGAAGAAAACTGGAATGTATCCTCAAACTATGAGTTAGAAAGCAAAGTGACCTGAAGGGAGGAGGTGCAGCAGGAATATAATCACTCCTTAGAAGGACCAGGGATGGCAGGGAATGAAAGAAACTGAGGGAGCACTGAAGGGACAAAGCAGTAAAAAATGGTGGATGTTTCAGGTAAAAACTGGGAAGAGTTAATGGAACAGTGGGAAAAAAAGTTTATAAAGGTCTTCTTCATTACCCTTCTTTCTTTGTTGCTTCTCCAATAGGTAATATGCAAACAAACTTCTACTTTGTCTTATGGGCCCAAGAAAGAAGGAGCTGGTTTCTCATGCTACTACACACAGGCTACATGTTGAGATATCTAAAAATAACAATTCTGCAAAATTTTCAGTTGAGCACAGTCATAGTCTCTCTACAGATAGATTGCATTGCTTAATAATCTGAATAATGAACAAAACAAAAGTAATTGCTATTTAGAGAGAAACTGAAGTTTGGAAGTTAGAATAAATTTATGTATAATCATTATAGATTGTCATATGATTAGCTCAGTAATTTTTCAACTTTCCATCTATTTGTCTGCATAGATAGAAACTATAAGAAATTTGACCTTATTAAAGCATTTAGGAGAATCCTTATGCAAAAGAAATATTAACAAAGCATTTTGATAGTTAAAGGGTAATTAAGAATTATAGGAGCCTTTAAAAAATCAGTCTGCTGGATATTGTAATTGTGAATAAATGGATGATATAATCAGTGTCCTCAAATGACTTTTATAGAAATAGACACAATTATCTTGATTGTCCTGAAATTTCTTTGGATGACAAGGGAAATATTTCAAATCTTTCAGACCCTCTGGATCATCTTAATGCACATCAATTATTTCTGAGATGTTGCAATAAGTACTGTGTATAGGAATTGGCTTTCAACTGCCCAGTGAGTTGCTTTTCAAAATCATCACAGACACTAGCTCCTTGTCATTTAGCTCCTTTTAATAACAAGAAAAAAATATTCTTACTTGAATTTTAAAATTATTAGATTTTGATAACTGGTAGAGAATTCTACCACTAATATATGAAATTTCTTTTAACATAGAAGTTATAATGTAACTTTGCAGTTACTTAAAAATGAAAGTCAAAGAACCAATATAAAGTGATATCTCCACAGCAATGGAAAAATATCAGGATTACACTGACAAAAGTGTCTCCATTTCCATCACCAACAATGCAGCAAGGATATAATTATCAAGATTTAGCAAATCTTGATATCAGCAAATTATTGGTTTTAGAAAAGCAGATGATTTTCACAGGGGGAATCTGATTGCCTTTGAAATAACTTTCTGCTTCTGATTCCATTAAAACCCCAAGAATAATTTGTGACGTAGACCAAACTATCCCAAATGATTCTTCCTGGGAATTTTTCACAGAAAAAATAAGACATGAATTGAAAATAAATTTTTATAATAATTCAATTTGACTGTCCATAAAATTCTGATATTTATTTATTTATTTATTTATTTATTTTGAGATGGAGTCTCACTCTGTCGCCCAGGCTGGAGTGCAATGGCATGATCTCAGCTCACTGCAACCTCTGCCTCCTGGGTTCAAGCAATTCTTCTGCCTCAGCCTCCCAACTTACTGGGATTACAGGCACACGCCACCACGCCCCGCTAATTTTTTTGTATTTTCAGTAGAGATGGGGTTTCACCATGTTGGTCAGGCTGGTTTCATACTCCTGATCTCAACTGGTCTGCCTGCCTCAGCCTCCCAAAGTGCTAGGATTACAGGTGTGAGCCACCGCACCCAGCCTAAATTCTGATTTTACATGTTAGAAGTTAGTAAGGCATAATTGAAAGTCCATTATCTCTAAATTAAAAGGTCCAAATTGTAGTTATGACCACTCTTGGAGGCTGGCCAATGTTTCAAACTCAGTCACTTAATTTGTAAAATGGGGATAATAAAGAGGCCTGAGAGAAAGCACCTTGGATTGCTGCAAAGATGCAACAAAATAATGTAGTCAAAGTCTGTAAATCATTTCAAAAGTGTTGCTTTATTATTATTTTCTTATAAATAAAGCCATGGTGGATTAATATTGTGCTTACCCCTTCAATGTATCACAGTGAGACTTTAGCATCTTCCAAGCATCTCTTAATAAGGAAGAGTGTGGTGACTAAGAACACAAGCTCTGGAATCCAGCCATCTGACTTTCTATCCCTGCTTCACTGTTACTATCTGTGTGATGTTGGATAAGTTATCCCCAAAAGCCTCAGTACGTTCATCTGTGAACAGCAGTAATAACAATAATAATAGTAATAACAACAATAATGTCAAACCTAGGAGAGTTATTATGAGAATTAAGTGAGCTAATGTGTATAAAGTACTTAGAATCATGCCTAGGTCACAGAACTATCATTTATATGCCATAGCTTCATGGTGGGGATTTGTGATTTTTTTTGTCAAATATAACCTTTTCTACAACTTACTAAAAATTGAGGCTTAATGGCTTGAGAAACATGTCTCCAGATTCAATGTATATAATAAGATTATGGGGAAATATTTCCTTTAAAGAAAGCAAGACAATTGCCAAACGGCCAATTCAATGAATGGTCAATTCTTTGTTTACAAGCTTATGTTATTTATTCTAATATATATATGTACAGTCTTCATTAATATATTCTCTTATATATTCAATAAATGTGCTTAAATAGTATATTCTTTATATGGATGTATTTTTGGAAATAATTTAATATATTCATTGATACAGCACATTTGCAGATGCAATGAAGTTTTCAAAAATAATATTTTTGATACATAATTAAGACATTTTCATCTAACTTTTATACTGCATCAAGGCTAACATGATAAAAATTTATTTAGAGCAAAATGTGAAACTATTCAAGTGACATGTACAAGTAAAATCCTTAAAGATATAAGTAATGCCTTTTTCTCAACTCTATTTTCTTTACCCAGCACAACAGATGGCATTGGGGATGTTCACTGAATTTTAGTAGATAGAAAGGAGGAAAGAAGAAAGGGAGGGAGGAATAAAGAAAGGATAACAGGGAGTGAGTGAGTAAAGAAGAAATGTAAAAGGAAAGGAGAGAAAAGGAAAATACAGCAATAATTTCAGAAAATACCAGAGAATCTTTGCTGATTACATAGCCAATACTCAAAAGGCATGCATTTCTAGCACAAACTCTGTCATTCACTAGACATCAGTCCTTGGATAAGTTTCCGCATTTAGCTTGAGGATACCATCTACCCTCTCTCAGCACTGTGATGAGAATCAAATGGGATAATACTGTACCTTGTGAATTTTTAAACAATGGAAATGTGAGATATTATTATTTTTGAGGAATTTTTAAAACACATCAACAGCATTCCATTGCTGCTAAAATGTTTTTCAATAAGTTGCAATGGAGTAATAAGACCAAGATCATAAGACCCAAGAGTTTTAAGGTTATCTGAGCTGAGCAGTGTGCATCTAGCACAGAGTTTTTCAAAGGGACACTTATATAAACACTATACATCAGGGATTAAGAAAAGTTATACAAAATATGTTATTTGTGGAAGAATTGAAAATACTATGCTTGCTTGGCCTAGAGAAATGTAAATTTAGACAAGTTATGACACTAATATTAGAATGTTGAACTATATATATATATTTTGCTGCAGAAGTAGAGTGCAGGCTGATGAACAGATAGTACTCAGAAGCAGATCTCAATACCATAATAACTTTCCAATAATAAGAGCTGTCTGTGGTAGAAAGAATAATGGCCCCTAAGGATGCCCTGGTCCTAATCCCCAGAACCTGTGACTGTGTTACCTTATATGTCCAGCAGGATTTTGCAGATGTAATTAAGACTAAAGACCTTGAGATGAGGAGCTTATCCAGACAGGCTTAAACTAACTATATGCATCCTTAAAAGCAGAAAACTTTCCCGGCTGTGAAGAGAGGAAGACGTGACTATGTAAAAATAGTCAGAGAGACATCATGTTGCTGGCTTCAAAGGTGGAGGAAGGCAGGCGTGAGACAAAGAATGTAGGCAGCTTGTAAACGCTGGAAAAAGCAAGAATATTGACTATTCCCGTCCCCAGAAGGGAACACAGCCCTGCTGACACTTTGATGGACTTCTAATCTATAGAAGTATAAGATAATATAATAAATCTGCATTGATTAAGTCACCAATTATGGCAATTTTTTATAGCAGTAACAGGAAATTTATATACTGTCCAACCAGGAAAAGCTGCCTTAAAGGTGAGCAATGTATCTTCAGGGAGAGTCATCGAGAAGCTGTTAGAGTTAATGCTAAAAGTCATCTTGTAATGAAAGGGTGGGAATTGACAATAATTTAGTCCTACAACTTCTTTGATTTCCATGATTCTACAATTGAAGTAGGTTGGAGTCACTAAATCATAGCAGGCAGTAAAATGAACTGAGGAAGAAAGCCACACCCAGGGGACCTCAGTCCCTTTCAGATTTCCAAGGCAGTTCCTCAGGTTCAGTCAGTAATTGATCCCAAGGTTCAAGAAGTCATTTCTAGTTGTGGATCCATCCATTATTATAAAAAGAATTTACGGCTGGGCACAGTGGCTCACAACTGTAATCCTAGCACTTTGGGAGGTAGAGGCAGGTGGATCACTTGAGGTCAGGAGTTCGAGACCAGCCTGACCAATATGGTGAAACCCAGTCTCTACTAAAAATAAAAAAAAAAAAATAGCCAAGTATGGTGGTATGCACCTGTAATCCCAGCTACTCAGGAGGCTGAGGTGGGAGAATTACTTGAACTTGGGAGGTGGAGGTTGCAGTGAGCTGAGATGGTGCCATTGCAGTCCAGTCTGGGCAACAGAGCAAGAATCCATCTCAAAAAAAAAAAAAAATCTACAATTACATAGGCTACTGTTAGATCCTGCAATGGCTTTCATGGTGTTTTTAGGTTTTGAGGGGGAATAACTTTGGAGACAGGTATTCTTAGGGGGATGAATTAGTATGTCCAAATTCTGCTACCATCCCCAATGACAGATCCAAATTCAGTGGGAAACTCCAAAACCAACTTACTTTTTCAAGAGGCTCTAGAGATTAGATGGAGTGAAGACTCTAAAAATGTTCTGGGAACCAGATTGATAAGTGGTTAATAATTGTACAGAAGGAGAAGGCAGGGATGCATTTACATACTCTGCCAGCATCTCCCCATTGTCTACTTGTAAGCTATTTTAGGTACCTCCTGCTGGAGAGACCAAAATAGACCAAAATTATAATCAACATAACCGTCAAATTTTATTTCTAGATCCACAGCTAGAAGTAAATTATTAGTCCAAGATGGATATCACGAAAATCATTCATGACGTTTTTAAAGACATAAATTTTAGATTCTACCTTTACAGATTATGCCACAGGTCTAGAGCAAAACCAAGCTTTCTACAGTTGTAGGGAGCATCACAGATAAAGCTTATCCACAGCCCGAGTTGCACAGCACTGGAATGGGGTACTACGCTTACTTAGCCCTGTGTCTACCAAGAGTATATTTTCTGGCTTTTTTTCTTTGCCATCAAATATAAATAAGAAGACTTATGATCCTGCCTCGTTCATCCAATACCATCCAAATCCTTTCCTGGTTAAGAAACTCAGAAAAACAACCACTTAGGGCATCTAAGTCTCTTGGACACCAATCTGGATCCTCCCAACTCTCAAGATACGTTGCTCTTCTACTGATCTACTAATCTGTACTTCAAGGATTTATTTCCCCTATATACTTTACGATTTCACAAGTTAAACCATCTTTCCTTGAGTTACTTGACTTACACCTTTTTAAAGACTCATTTGTCCAGATGGAAGAATGAAATAGAAATAAAAGGGAAGGCCATATTCTTACCAAAAAGACAATGTTGGTGTTTTGATACAGCGCTCGTGCCACACAGATTCTCTGCCTCTGTCCCCCACTCAGGTTGATGCCCTAGAGAAGAGACACCCCCAAATACCCATTTTTTAATATTAGTAAATGATCTTTTGGTAATATGACCTTAAATTACAAACGTCTTTTTAAAAATCTTAGATTGATAGTAACTTGTTAATTAAATTGTAGTAACATTGGTAAGAAAACATGGAAACTGTCTACTGGCCAACAGTTCTCAAAATAATCAAGATGGCTTCAGGCTGATATGGTTAATCTTCCTTTCACTCTAATAGAGATCTCTGCTGTACAGAAGCATTAATAACCAAAACACTTGCTAGGAAATGCGAGCAATTCCAAGATTTTTTCTTGTTTACTGAGTTGTGTCTGTAGTTTACTTAACATACAACCCAAATTTGATATTATGAGTTATGTGAAAGAGTACTATCCAAGAGTATGCTTTCATAATAAAGTACCACTTACACTTTAAAAAAAAAACTAGTATTAATTGACCTCTTAGTATGTGCCAGACTTGTGCAAATGGCTTTACATTTTTAAATTTCTCTTATTCTTCATAGCAATTCCAAGATGTAGGTATTGTTTTAATTTTACACATGTGGAAACTGAGGCTCACAGAACTTAAGTCCATTCTCATACACACTGCGGTATGTAGCAAAAAAGAACAGCCATTAAGAACAAAGGCCACAGAGCCAGACTAATCCTGGCTACACCACTACCTTGGCAACTGTGCAAGTTCCTTAACCTCTCTCAGCCTTGATTTTTGCAGCTTCATATGCAGATAACGATAACACCCATAACACAGATTTGTTGTGAAAGTAGATAATGCATATAAAGTTTGTGCCCAGGACTTACAACGATTAAAACATTGTAGACGTTGTTGTTCTAAAGATTATAGGTATAACTATTTTTCAGCTTGTCTGAATAATATGACATCAATGCAAAACATGGTTACACAAAGAAAAAAGAGCACTTTAATAAGAATAAACAGATTTTCAACAAGGTTGGGAGAAGCTATGGAAAGTAATCTTAGTTTCAAACCTATTACAGCAAGCTCCACGTAAGCAAAAATGCATTTGGTCAAAGCCAGGAACTATGTTTCACCTTTCTTTGAGAACTCTTAAGTGACTAGTACCATGTTAAGTATACAGTGATTACTCAATAAATATTAATACGTAAGAAAGAGTGGCATCAAAGGACTCCCATCCTTGGTTTTCTGGAACTTCTTACTGGGACAACATACAACTCCTAAGCTCTCAAATTTCATGATTCTCTATTAAAGATTAAAGACAACCAGAAGACTTTTCTAGATTTTTGTTCATTGCTTAATGAAACTATATATAGCTCACCCTCTCTCCAATTTCAGTTTGATCTCCAAATGGTAATAAGTCAATATCTGGCTGAAGAGAACAGGCATCTGTGACAGCTTTGTACCTTTGGGAGAAATGATTTTGAATTTTTAGATCTCAATTAATACATTGTCCATAAACTAAGTGCCAAATTCAATACTTTGGAAGTTGAAATAAAACATTTGCTGAATCACTTATTATATGCCAGCCTCTGCTCTACATTTCTGGATACAAAGATACATAAGTACTACTTCCCCCCCCTTTTTTTTTTTTTTTTGAAGACAGAGTCTTACTCTGTCACCCAAGCTGGAGTTCAGTGGCACGATCTTGGTTCACTGCAACCTCTGCCACCTGGGCTCAAGTGATTCTCCCGCCTCAGCCTCCTGAATAGCTGGGATTACAGATGTGCACCACCATACCCAGCTAATTATTTTGCATTTTAGTAGAGACAGGGTTTCACCATGTTGCCCAGGGTGGTTTCGAACATCTGAACTTAGGCAATCAGCCTGCCTCAGCCTCCCAAAGTGCTAGGATTACAGGCGTGAACCACTACGCCCAGCTGGGTTCCGACTCTTAAAAAGCTAGTTCACGGAGCAGAAGACTGATACAAAAATATACGATGAAAGTTTACCTTGTTAGGTATTATAGTGGAAGTGAGTATAAAGCACTCCTAGAACACAAATGAAGAAATGACTGACCATTCTGAGAAGTATCAGAGGAGGCAAAGCTTAAACTGTGTTCAGAAAGTTGAGTAGTAAGTTTTCAGGAAGAAAATGAGTAACGAAGTTTAAGGAACTTGAGAAAGTAAAAAAGTTCATGATGAATGTAAGGGACTGCAGGAGGTTCATTATGGCTAAAGCAGAGGTTGTGAGTGGGCGCCCTTCCACACTGTCATGCATGCTGAAGAGAGGAGACAAGGGAGATAGTGAGGACTGACAGTCCTCAAGTTCATATAAGGCTGGGACTGGAAATCAGATGAACTGGAAGTACAAGGAAGCATGGGGATTGAAGATGCTGGGGGAAATGGCAATGATTTTATTTTCTTAATCAGTTCATCTTAATGTAGTAGAGTCATTCTTCATTCTTCCCTCTTCTTCTTCCTGTTGATATCTGTCCATTGTTGTTCTTCAATTTTTTTTTCTCAACCATCCCTTCTTTTATATTTCTACCGTCATTCCTAAGTGTAGGCAACACACACTGCATGCCTGGATAATTATTCCAACTGACTCCTAAATGTCTCCATATATATGTATATATGCACATATGTGAATCTGTATATATAGAATGCACATCATTGTAGCCAATTGGCTTTTAGGCCCCCCAACTATCTGGTCTCAGCCTCCTGAATCTTTCTGTCTGGTTTGCTCCAGGTCCTAAAGGTTTTGTCTTTCATATGGTCTACTTTTCTCCTCCCTCCCCCTTCCTCTTGCCTCTCCACTTACTTTATTCTCCTTAATTTTCAAGACCCAGCTTATGGTCCTAAGACCCACGCTTGCAAGAGTGGCTCAGGGAAAGGGTCATACCTTCTTATGTGGTGGTGGTATTTAAAAGATGCTTGAAAGATGGTGTATTCTGGCTGTTCCCAGTCACCAGACCCCTCAGGTCCTATATTCTTCTTCTTTTCACAATTAAACTTCCTTTGTGAAATTTACTTGAATTTTTCCTTCTCTATCTTCTCACCAACAACCTAAGCAACACATCCTCACTCTTACCCTCCCCACCCCACACACATACACACTTCAATTGCTGTTTAGTTTTGGTGTACAAATTGTTCTCAATAAGGGTCCAAGATGGGCTGGAACTTCCAGTGAGGCTTCTCTTCAAAGAATTGATTCAAAAGACCTTGGTGATGAGGATGAAAACGGGGCCAGCAGGAAAGAAAATACCAGATGTAAAGGTTCCAGAAACCATTGTTCATTCCCAAACACACGAGTCAGAAAGAGTTGCCATTTTGGTTCTAAATTTTATATGCTCAAAATTACCTCTGTTTGTTAAAAGGACTTCCAAAAGTAATATTTTCTTCTACTGTAGCATTTAATAGCCAAGGCTTTTGAGCTGCATATGCCACAGAGTACCTGTTCCTACTGAAAAATGAAAAAGAAAAAAAAAAACACCAGGATTATGCAAAGGTACTGTGCGTGTATGTATTTTACTATAAATAGGGGAAATAAAATTAGTAAACTATCTCAGATACAGAAATGGAAAACTTCTAAAAGAGAAAAATTTAAAGACCACCAACCTTATTAAGAAATGATTAAATATGCCACCTAAATTAAAGGGATTAGGATTTAATCAAAATGTCACATGTATAAAGTTTGGTTTTCTACACTGAAGAAGTGTTTTATGGTCTAAACAACTAATTGAAATTTCCTTTTCTAAAATGACTATAATTTTTAAAAAATAATTAAAAGATTATAGCTACAGACATTTTACTTTATACTAATAGCACTTTATTAACTATAAATTCTACATGCAAACTTTAAGATGTTAATTGATACTGTAATTATTGTATGGCTTTGTGGCTTAATCACATTAACATATTTTATGGTAATAGATAATATGTAAATATTTCAAAACAAAGAATATCTTAAGGAGTCCCTGAAACTTTCAATATTGAAATCGTGCATGTAAAAACTGCATATTTCAAAATATATTGAAATCGCTTATATTTTAAAAATAACTACCTCCCCCCTTTTGACTTGCAAATTCTACCAGATGTCTATACATCAGACTTTAATTTCCAATAGTTAGGAAAATACATGTGAGCTGAAGAGAATGATGGGAAGGGCAGGTCAGTTTAAAAGTCAGATTTCCACAGTTAGTTCATGATCTGTAAAGTACTGATGAAGGAAATAGGGTTAAAAGAGAGCAAGGTTAAAAAAGAGAGTAGCTAGAAATGTTCAATGATCTTTCTAAAACATTACGTCTTAGGAGTGTAGAAGACATGATACTATATAGTATGCTAGCAGTCTCTGAGATAATCATATGCAGAGTAAAACAATGGTTCCCAACCTCTGACATGCCTGCTTTCCCCCCCACCCCACTCAGCTCTTTAAGGTTTTTGTTTTTGTTTTTCCTTTTAAGTAGATAAAGCACTTGGCTCTTCATCTCTACCTTACAGATGGATCCCATCACTGTTCAACTCATAATCAATATATGTATTAATTCTTACATTTTTATTTTATGAAATCCCAAACCCAGTTTACTGAGGATAGTTTGAGTTTCAGCCAAAGTTGGGACACGTGTGACTCAGTGAGAGGAAAACAGTTGACACAAGGAGCCACTTTGTTTGGTAAATTAGTTCTTTTAGCAGCTTGTCAAGGTTGCGAACCACTGCTGTTGGAAATATGCTAGCACACTTTAATAAATAACTATACATTATCAGAGTAAGCAAAATGAGATTAAAGAGATTAAAGTCTGAGGAAGGAAGTTATTCTTATTAAACTCAGGTTAAAATAGAAATAATACCTTCTGGTTGCTTCAAAAGAAGGCTCAGATTCATTTACACTGCAAGTATGGCAAACAATGTTCATTAATTATGAAGTAGAAATATAGAACCAATGTGCATACACGTCAGGTAAGAGATACAATAAACACTGGACATATTAAAGAGCACATTTCCCAAATGGTTTCTGATATTAATTTCAAAGACAAACCAGATAAGTAGTATTCTTCTTTATGTCTTCATCAGCTAGGAAATAATTGCTTAGTAAGCTTCTAAAACATAGATAGCACTGTTCTCTTTCATAAAAATTTTGGTTCATACAATGACTGGGTTCTAGTGCTAACCCTGCTCCAAACAGCTGTAAACTTGGGGAATCCCTCTAGAATACAGTTTCCCGTTTCATAAGGACTCTGTATTTCCAAGGCCTTCCAACCTTTAAAATTTGAATTCAATAAATTTAAATTCCAAATTAGCTACCCTAAGGTAGCAGCAGAAATACTTTTTGGGCACTAAACACGAAAGATACACAAAACACACTGGCCCCTCAGGAGCTTGTAAGAAAAACAGACATGCACCAGAAACCAAACTACATCTAAGTAGAATCAATTATTGATATGATTTATGTAAAAAGTGGGCTTTGGTCACAATTTGTTATGCCTGTATTATGAGGAAAGACACCTGAAGACCTATTTCTTTTATTGTTCTAATTTTTTATAATTTAGGGTCAGTTGAATTCAATAACATACACATTACAGACGTGAATTCAATAACCATACAAATAATTAAAGCCTACAGAAACTCCAAAAATTGATTCTATTTGACTTTGCAAAATGTTGTATGTTTTTGTGGAGAAAATTTACCTAATTATGCTACCTAATGATATTTGGTTTAGAGTTACTAAGGATCATTTTCACTACTGCACACTGCTAATGACATCTTGGGATGGCTGACAGAGGCAAAAAAGGCAACCTCAGACTAAAAATTTCCTCCCAATAATAATTGTTCCCTGATTTAAGTTACTGATAAAAAATAGGGAAATGATCATTTTTATGAATAATATTTTCCACGCAATATGCTTTAGATAACAAGAAATTTGGACTTTGTTTTCTGTGGTATAAATCCAATGGGTGACCTCACTAGTTTTAACTAATTTGAGGAAGACAGGGAAGAGAGAAGAGTGAGTATGTGGCAGAAATGAATGTGTTAATTTGTATTCTGGCCATTCAAGTGGAAATGCCCATTAGACATGTGTAAATACCTGTTGGACATTTGAGAATGTCAGCCCAACGCAGAGATATGGATTAAGAATTCATCAATCTATTCAATAAAGGTTGGTTAAATTCCGACTCTATTTATTCAGTATCAGTTAAAAAATATGCATTGATCACTTCCTAGTGCCACACGTTAGAGATACAGCAAACAAGAAAGATCCACTCCTTCTTTCACACCACTTTCACTTTTGTGGGAGCATAATAAGGGAATAAGGGCTGAGACAGGTGGGGTAAAAGATGGTAGTAGGGCACTGATCAAGAACCAACAACCAAAAACAAAGAAGCAAAGAACCAGAGCACCAAGCCACTTTTAGCAAATCAGAGTAAACAATAGAGTTGATGTCAGAGGGAAAATTAAGAGTGTGCTAGATGAAAAAAAAAAAAGCCAAGAGTACTTCAGACCAGAGAAAATATGTATTAGAAGGCCATGAGGTATCCTGATTACACAAAGAAGTGATGTATATTCAGCATGGCTGAAATGTAGGTGTAAATGGCAATGAACTTAAAAAGTAAGCACAGCCAGATAATGAAGGGGCTCATAATCCATTTTATAGAGCTTGAACTTTTCCTAAAAGTAAAAGAAAACTACTGAAAAAGGTTTAAACAAGAGAGAGATACAGGTTCAATTTAGAAATATCACTGTGATCACAGAATGTAACAACTGAACTAGAGGGAACAAGACTGGAGATCATAAAAGAAATCCTTTGCCAACCTCACAGATTTGACTCAGTCAAGTCACCTATAATCGTTCTTATAAAACACTGTACTTCTTCCTAGTCTTTATAAAACATTAATAAAATAACCATAAAATTATTTTCTTACTTCCTCTTGGTTTCCCCTGCTAAACAGTAAGCTTCATGAAAATAGGGGCCTGCCTTCTCTTGTTCACTTATTTCTCCCCCAACTTAGAACTAATACAATGATTTGCATATAAATGGTGTGCAACAAATATTTTTTAACAAATTAATAAATGCAAGGGTCACGGAAACCAAGAAGCCAAGTTGATTTCAAGGAGTCGTCGATGGGTGAAGAGTTTCAAAATCTATGGAGAAGTAGGACTGAGGACAAATTATTGGGAGTTAGCACTTAGGCAGTCATTGGTGAGACCCTCTCATCCAGGTTGCAATGCACAGAGTAAAAGAGAAGAACAGAGGTTAAGTGTGGGTGGACTAGGTCGTTAAAAAGAGAAATGTTCCAGTTGATTGAGAGATAAGAAAGACCATTATTTAAAAAATGGGTGGGGAATAATGGAGTGTGAAGAGCAATAAATAAAGACATTTATAAGAGAAAAGGGTTAATTAATGCAGTAAGGTCCTGAAAAAAGCAAAACAGCACATAGGGGATCTTCACTTCTGAAAACCTCTCCTTGAAGGATTTACGTATATTTTCCTTTTCTTTCAGAGAAAGAAAAAAAGAGGTAAACTTAGACTCATTTGTAGGTAATCATCTTCCAAAAACAAATTAACCCATTATTTCACTAACATTTTTATGAATAATGTTATAATCCTTAACTTCCAGAGACTACCTATTCCGGCCCTCTCACATATCAATATGTTTAATCAAATTCAGTTGTGGAAGGTTATATAATTTCTCTTCCAAAATAAAGAAGTAGATTTAGCTCTGTCTAGACTCATCCTCCACCATTCAATGTGGTACTCTACAGCACTCAAGACAACAGGAGAATGCAAAGAGGTCATATAGAAAATCCCCTTCTAGAAAACAGAATAAAGTTTCACTTCTGAAAACCTCTCCATGTAGAATTTGTGTGTATTTTCCTCCCAGAGTAAAAGTTAAAGTCGACACAGTGTATTAGCAACTTCCAAGTATTATGGTTAATAATATTATGGAATGGGAGAGTGACTTTTGCAAATTTAAATCAGGAATGACATTTGGAAGAAGGGAAACTAGATGCTGGCACAAACATGATATATTACATCTGACCCAGGAAAGCTGACTTAATATTATTATTCCTTCATGCCAGGAAAGTCACATGAAAAGGAATATTTCCTCCATTTGTCTGAAAATAATTGAAGCACTGTTACAAAGCTGATTACACTAAGATGTTGGGAGATAGAATGTCAGGACAGAAGGGGCCTGAAGAGGAGGATGGTTGATGGCATGGGTGAGAGGGAAAAGAAAAAAAAAAAAAAAGGAAAACAAAGATAAATGACAAGCTGTTTCTCACATCATTACCACCACAATTAAAAAGCATTCTGGACACTCCTCTGAAACTATTCATCAGATAAGGCATTTTAGTTCTAGCTCCTAAGATATCAGTAGAAATTATTGTTTATCATGACAACCAGGAAAGGACTTCAGTCAGGCAGAACATTTGTTTTTCAACAAATATGAAGCACACTTGGATGCAAGATTGATGTGCACATTGGCATTCTGACAATTTTGGAGAATTTTTTTCATTCCTCTCTCCTCTCTCTCATCTTTTCTCTTCTGGGTCTACAATATGTCAGACTAGGTCAAAGGAAGCAATTCCCAAGGAAACAACTATCGGCATCTGTATGTTCCACGTTCTACCCACACAGGTGTGTGCTGGATGAACAACAATGCCTTTTCTCCGGCCCAAAGTAAATATTTCCTGCTGCAGTAGGTCAGAGTACTTTACTCGATTTTGTTCATGCCTGTGCATGAGGACACATTCAAAAATAAAATTTATGGCCGGGCACGGTGGCTCACGCCTGTAATCCCAACACTTTGGGAGGCCGAGACAGGCGGATTATGAGGTCAGGAGATCGAGACCATCCTGGCAAACACGGTGAAGCCCTGTCTCTACTAAAAATACAAAAAATTAGCCAGGCATGGTGGCAGGCACCTGTAGTCTCAGCTACTCAGGAGGCTGAGGCAGGAGAATGGCATAAACCCAGGAGGCCGAGCTTGCAGTGAGCCAAGATCATGCCACTGCACTCCAGCCTGGGCAACAGAGTGAGACTCTGTCTCAATAAATAAATAAATAAAATTTATGCAATCAGAGACACATGTAATGGTGAAAGAATGATAGCAAAGTATTTGGTGTCTTACCATATCATTTAGTTTATTGTTTTGGTTTGTTTTGAGCTTTAAAAAAAACGAATTCAGTCTGTTGAAGTAAAGGACTTCTAAGCATTTACACAGCAGCAGCTTATGAATATCAATAATTTCTAAATTAGCTTAGCTTTAATTAATAGTTATATGCCTTTATTGGACTGGGCATACAGCTTTTGTTTCTGGAATGAAAAGAGTAATTACAAATAACTCTTTAAAAGAATGTCAGTATCCTCTGAATCTTCTTGATCCTAAAATATGTTTTATCAGATATTAAGGATATTATGAAAAAAATAAGTAATTCTTTTAATTAAATAAAAATAGAATTTGCATTAACTTATTCAATCTATTAGAATATTACATTTTCATTTGTTTGTGTGTTGAACCAACTTAAACATTTTTGAAGAAAACTTCGGTCCTTTCTGCAGCGAAGAGATAGCATTGTTGTCTAGTAAGGCAAATGCTCATAAAAAGATAATTTTTAGGTTACAGGAATTTTATAAATACTCAGAATTATCTCAATTTCCTTCTTACACTTTCATCCTGCTGGCTGACTCCAAAGTATATGCTGAATCTATTCACTTTGGTTCATTCCACAGCTACCATGTTACATCAAACTACCTTCATCTCTCATCTGAATTAGTGAAATGAACTCTTAAATGGTTTCCCGCACTTTCCCTCTTGCCTCTGTAATTCATTCTTCACACCACAAGTCCGAATCATTTTTTCAAATTGTACATCATATCTTTGCAAAAATGTAAATCACTCCTCTACTTAAACTTCTACAATATTTTCCCACTGAACTTAGAACAAAATCTTAACTCCACAGCATACCCAGAATGCTTTCCTCCTTTTCCAGGTAGCCTCAGCTTGCACCTGCATCAGTCAGTATTTACCAGCCATTCTAGACCCTTTTAGGATCCTCAAACACACCTCACAGGTATAGTACCTTTACTATATTGCCTTGTTTTATCATTGTCACAGCATTTATCAAAGTCTAATATTATGTCTTTTTCTTGTTGATTACTTATACACAGGCCACATTCTAGACTGTAACCGCATGAGATAGAGACTTGTCTTGTCTTGTTCAATTCTATATCCTTGATACCTAAATCAGTGTTTGGCATGAAGGAGGTACTCAGTAAATGTTGAATGAAAAAGAAAGGACTAAGAAATAAAATATCTGTATTCCATACTAAACATGGAAGATGGTCCAACTGATGTACAATTTATGTATTTTTCCAAGTGTAGTTAATTTCATTCCTGGATCAAACTAGATGTTGAAGATCTGCATACTTAGACTGTGTTGTTCTGATACTACCCATACCACATCCTTCACCCCCTCCTGCCTGCCCTCTAAACCTTCACATAACATTTATTATATAATCTATAATCTAGTATTATATTCTGAATTTTATTTGTAATAATTGGCACATGGAATTTACTTTTGAATAAATTTTAGGAATATTGAAGACATTAAGAATTAACCTTTTATTGACTTTTTATAAGGTATATGGAAGATATTTCTTTAGTTTTTTGTTTTTTTTTTTAAGAGAAATGGTCTCACTCTGTCGCCCAGGCTGGAGTGTGGTGGCACATTCACAGCTCACTACAGACTCAAACTCCTAGGCTTAAGAGATCTTCCTGCCTCAGTCTCTCAAGTAACTAGGACTACAGGCATGCATCACCATGACCTGCTTATTTTTAAATTTTTTTGTACAGATAGGGTCTCACTATGTTGCCCAGGCTGGTCTCGAACTGCTGGTTTCAAGTGATACTCCTGCCTCAGCATCCCAAAGTGCTGGGATTATAGGCATAAACCACAGCTGGGCAGATTTCTTTCACAGCTCTCTCCAAAAAGAGAAAATCAATCTCTACTGAGTAAATGTTTCTGTTTTTTTCCTCACGTTTCCTTCTTTGCCTAGCTTTCATGAAGTTCAGAAATTTGTGGCCCATATTTTATAATTATACAGGACTTCAGTACATGCATTTCTGTCTATTACAACTTCAGATGATTATTTAAACAATATTTAAAAATTTTCTTTATCTTTCAAACTCTACTATGTTATTTTAAATAAAACAATACAAAACTTTATGAAATAAGATACAATATAAATCGTATACATGCTTAGGAAAGCAAGAAAATAAATAGGTTATAAAGAATATTTTCTGCATCCTCACATCATTTCTTTATTCATTAACACAATGATAATTATGAATGATAATATTGGGGGTCAATTTAGCTCAAGTGGGGCTGGGGCCTGGAAAGTTAAATTACACTTGGAACAGGCCAGATTAGGAGATCTTCCTGGTAGTATGAAAATAAAATCTCAAGCCTTTTCTGTCACTGTCATTCTTTCTCTCTGTTTTAATGATGGTAAATCAGGATAAAAACAAAACCCAAATAACTTAATTATGGTTGTACAAGCTACACAATGTAATTAAATCCAGTGGGATCTACTTCTTCATCCAAGATAGAAGTGACAGTGGCTAGGGGAACATCATCTAGTGCCTGAGGTTAGTGACTGACACCATCTACTGCCTGAGGATAGTGGCAGGGGAAACCTTGTCTAGTGCCATGAAGCAAACTGAGGTAGCAATGTTTCACTGAGCTCTCTGCTGGGTATGCGCTAAACAGTTGCAAGGCTATCTGCTAGATTTGCTCGACAGGGATAAAATGTACACTCAACAATTCTCAGTCTTCTTCTTTTGCCAATGACACTGAAAACAGGATTTACACTTCTAATTTCAGTCTGAATTTCACAACCAAGAATTTTTTTTTCTTAATTGGAGTTTAAAATAAAATCTACTCTTAAAAGGCCCATAGTCTTCTCATTCTTGAGAGATGTCTGTGTATGTAAACAGCAAACTCAGCCACGGTGGAATTCATGATAGTAGATACAAAATGATATGAAAGAACATCTGTGGGTTTCCCAACCTCAGCACAATTGATATTTGGGACAAGAGAATCCCTTGGTATGGGAGCTGTCCTGTGCACTGTAGGATGTTAGCAGCATCCCTGGCCTCTATCCACCAGGCCAGTAGCAACCCAATGCTTCAGTGTAAAACCAAAAATGTCTCCAGACATTGCCAAATGTCCCCGGGGACAAAAATCACACCCGTTTGAGAACCACTGGTCTATAGCCTAATTTCTTAGATCAGCTGTAGCCAGTGTATCCATAAACTACTTACGAGGAGTCTACTAAGTAGGCCAAACTAAATAAGTATAATTTACTCTTTATTAACCAATTATGTAACATATTTCTGAATCACTTTATTACCACAATGTGCTTTGACCACCATTCAAATATCTAGAAGAAACATCATGCTGGAAGCAATCATTCAAATGTCTGGAAGATGCACTTTCTTTTCCATGTCTTTAGAATTGCACTAATCAAAGCTATTCATATCTCCAACTAGACGCTTCTAGTATCTAGTTTAAGTATAAGGATAAATAGTTGATTTTCACTTTCTTATACAGATTTTGGAAAAGATCATTTGATATTTCTTCTCTGAACATTGAAACTTTAAGGCACTGTTTCTATTTAAGCCTTATAAATAATGCACATTTTCCATAACTTATTTTGTTATAGAATAAACTTTTAAGTTATTTCTTGAAGTGTTACCCATTTAACTTTAAAAACCTATCTTTACAATCCCATCCTTACTTTTGTCTCAGCAATATACTAGTTTATACTATTATAAACAACCTTTGTAATAAATTGTTTTGTAACTTTTTATTTATGACTTTTAAGGTTTCCATCAATTTTTTTTTTAAAGCTGTGCTTATTTCTGCGTGGTCTTCAGAGTCAGAACATGTAAATGTATTTGTCTAAGTTCTTTCCTTGGAAGATTATCAGATGTATGACATAGCAATGGAAGCCAACTAAAAATATACATACTTGCTCCAGTGAACTTTTCCTTCCAATGTCTGCATCTCACCGAGGATGGCAAGGAGAAGAGAGGACTTCCCACATCCTACTTGGCCCACAATCATGGTTAACTGACCTAGGAAAGCAAAACAAAGGATAACTACAGAATGAGATGGATTCTTGGTGAAATAACATCAAAACACATTTAGAAAAAGCTAATGTTTTACAATCAATGGCCCAGTTTTGATCTCCAGCAGTAAGGTATTCTAAACAGCTCCTTTCTCTGATAAGTCTTTTTGGAAAAGGAAAAATATATATATATATAATGATTTATTATTTTTAAAACTATGAAAATAGCTGATAGCAGTAAAGAAAGTAATGAAATAATTGCCTAGATTATCGAGATTAGTTTTAACTTTAATATTCAATTCATTCAGAATAAAAAGGGCAGTTTTGATGAAAATAAATAATTGTGATAACTCTCTTCTCCAATTTCTATTTGAAGAAGAGAGTGTCTTTGCATTTATAATAGAAAAATCTGTTCCTATTATAAATTTGTTTTGCATTTATAATAGAAAAATCTTCACCTAATGACCTGGCATAAGGCCAGGTCAAAAATATTTCTATTCAATTATAGAGACATTTTAAGGAAAAATTACTGGGTTTATTCCTAAATATTTTATTCTTTTTGATGCTATTGTGGATAGTATTGTTTTCTTAATTTGAGATAGTTTGTTGTTAGCATATAAGTACTTGGAAATAAAACTAACCAAGGAAGTGAAAAACATATACACTGAAAACTATGACATTGGTGAAATTAACACAAACAAAAAAAATGAAAAGACTTCTGGGCTTAGGGTCTGGAAGAATTAATATTGTTAAAATGTCCATACTACCCAAAGCAATCTACAGATTCAATGTAATCCTTATCAAAATCCCTACAGCATTTTTTACAGAAATAGAAAAATCAATTCCAAAATTCATATGGAAAGAGTAGACCCCAAATACCCAAAGCTATCTTAAGAAAGCAGAGCAAAGCTGGAGGTATCACACTTTTTGCTTGCAAAATATATTACAAACCTACGGTAATCAAAACAGTACGGTACTTGCATAAAGACAGATGCATATATCAATGGAACAGAAGGGAGAGACCATAAATAAACCCATACATATACAGTCAACTGATCTTCAGCAAGGGGTTTCAACAAACTGGATATCTACACACAAAAGAATAAAATTGGAGCCTATACTACACCATACACAAAAATCAACTCAAAATGGATTAAAAACTTAAATGTCAGACCTGAAACTATAAAAATCCTTAAAGAAAGAACTTCTTGGCATTGAACTTGGCAGTGATTTCTTGGATTTCACACCAAAGCACAGGCAATAAAACCAAAAATAGATAAGTAGAACCACATCAAACTAAAGAGCTTCTGCACAGCAAAGGAAACAACAGAATGAAAAGGAGACCTACGGGATGAGAGAAAATATTTGCAAACTATCTACCTGATAAGAGGTTAATATCCAAAATATAAAATACAAAAAAAACTAAAACAGAAATGAAACAAATAATCCAATTTAAAAATGGGCAAAGAACCCGAATAGAGATATTTCTTCAAATAAGAAGTACAAATGGCCACCAGGTATATATAAAATGGCATTCAACAACACTAAACATCAGGGAAATGCAAATCAAAACCATAATGACTTATCACCTCACACCTGTTAGGATGGCTGTAATAAAAAAACATGAAAGATAAAAAGTGTTAGTGAGGATGTGGAGAAACTGGTACCCTTACACACTGTTGCTGGTAATGTAGAATTGTGCAGCCAACAATGGAAAACAGTATAGAGGTTCCTCGAAAAACTAAAAATAGAATTGCCATATGATCCAGCAATCCCACTTCTGGGTATTTATGCAAGCGAATCAGAATTAGGGTCTCAAAGAGATATCTGCTCCCCCATCTTCATTGTAGCATCATTCACAATAGCCAAGATACTGAAACAACCCAAATGTCCATTGACAGATGAATGAATAAAGAAAATGTGGTATATATATGCAATGGGATATTATTCAGTGTTATAAAAAGAAGGAAATCCTGCCATTCACAACAACATGGATGAACCTAGAGGACATCACAGAAGGACACCACAGTCACAGAAGGAGAAATACTGTATGATTCTATTTCTAGGAGGTATCTAAAATTTTGACTCTTTTAGGTATTTTAACTAATTTAGTCAAAATTTTAGACACTTCTTCTCACAGAAACGGAAAATAGAATTGTGGGTTCCAGGAGATGGGGGAAAGGGAAAATGGGAAATTGTTGTTCAATAGTTATTACTGAATTTCAGTTATGTGAGATGAATAAGTTCTAGAAATCTGCTGGTCAATATAGTACATACGATTAACAATATAGTACTGTGTACTTTAAAATGTGTCAAGAGGATAAGTCTCATGTTAAGTGTTCTTCCCACAAAAAATAAAATAAAAGCAGAAGAACACAAGGAAATTTTTGGTAGCGATTGCATATTGAATACCTTTATTGTGGTGATGGTTTTCACAGGTATACACATATGCTCAAACTCATCAAAATGTAAGCATTAAATATGTGCAATTTTTATGGATCAATTACACTTCAATAAAACTTTTTAAAAATATTAAATACATATAATTATTGGATATTTAAATTTTAAGTATCTTGAAAACTTCATCAGTATTTCTCGCAAACAGAAAATAAGTTTCTCATATACTCTTTCTTTAAAGTGTTTCTCAAACAAAAAGTGAAATCAACCACCCCACTGTTTAAATTGCCCAAATCAGCAAATGAACAGTAAATAATTGTCCAAAGGTATAGACGCCACTGTGAAAGGCAGGTCTTATCATTTCCAGCCATTCCCACAGTGACACAGTGGCTCGCAAGCACAATAGTGCAAATAGGTAATCATAAATAATATTTATGTCTTTAAAAAGTATCTTTTTGTTAGGCTCAATTATCTTGGAAAACTATGGTTACGGTCATGAACAATTACAAAAATGCATAACAGATAACTCTTACCTGTTGGAATTCGAATATCTATATTGGATAATGTAGCTAAACCACTGCCCCATGAAAAGTATCCATTTGTGACCTACAAAATAAAAATACAGAAATTAAATTATATGTGTGGTATCAATGAATAATTCTAATTAAAATAATAATTTGTAGGCCAGGCGCAGTGGCTCATGCCTGTAATCACAGCACTTTGGGAGACCAAGGCAGGTGGATCACAAGGTCAGGAGATCGAGATCATCCTGGCTAACACGGTGAAACCCCATCTCTACTAAAAATACAAAAAATTAGCCGGGCGTGGTGGCAGGCGCCTGTAGTCCCAGCTACTCGGGAGGCTGAGGCTGCAGTGAGCCGAGATCGCGCCACTGCACTCCAGCCTGGGTGACAGAGCGAGACTCCATCTTGGAAAAATAAAATAAAATAAAATAAAAACTTGTAAGTACTAAAAGACTCAACCCAAGGTAGAACACACAACGGTGAAATTCTGATTTAGAGTTACGGCTATTTAGTGGTATAAATGAAAAATTAGAAAGAATGAAAGTGAAAGGAGGGTCTTTAAATTTGCGATATTATGAAGAATGCTAAAATCTCTGAAAATTTGGGATTACCAGATAGTTTACATATGGACATTCTTAAAAGACAATTATCCCAAACATTTCCCAATGAAATCTCTACATTAATTATTTTCTCACTGCCAGACAATTCCCCAAATCCTAGTGATTAAAATAAAGCAGAGAAATAACCACAAATTATTCCAGCAAAATGACTTCATTAACTGAGGAGGAAAATTTTGTAATCAATGAGTTTCCTGAACTGTGTAGGCCAACTATTCACTGAAGTTAAAAAAAAAGAGTAAAGAATAATAAAAGAAGTGAGGCAACATTGCTTGTGGTATAAACGTCAATAATCAGGAAAAATCACAATACCTTCTATTCATCCCACACAATCTATTTGTTTTAACAAGCTTCAAGTGGACTTAATAGTTTTACCAGTTATACAAATAGGAAATAAAACAGTAACAGAACCCAGGAATTAGAAGGATGAAGTAGACACAGATGAGGGGAGGAAAGGCTCCTAAAAATCAGGAGAAATTGAAGATACACTTTGCTCATAAACTAATGTTTTATTTCAAAACCATAAATGAAATTTCTAAGCACACTGTTGTTTAGGAATTTTGCAGAATGGATTTGTGATATCTGAATTATAACTACATATAACCCCCAAAACCCTTCATAAAATGAATAACTTAAAGAGTGAAAAACTGCTTGAAAAGGCTAGCTTATGTTTGTCCATGCAGGTTTTCTGTAGCTTGTGATATATATGGCACAACATTTAGTAATATCCATCACACAGTTATGTGTGAAATTAGTCATGGAAGGAGGGTCGCATGGAAGGGCTGGATTCGAATTACTGATTGCTTTGTAAATATGGCTGATCATCCTCACTCTGTTTGAGGGACTGTGTTAGGCTGGCATAGATTACAAAGAAGGCATAATGCATCCTCCCTGCTCTCTTGAAGCTTGCAATCAGTTGAGTAAGTAAACCATGGAAAGAAGTGAGTACAAGACACGACATTATGGGCTCAGTACCAAAGAGAGGGGACACACAGACACTAAGTACAACAGCAGCTCATAAAGAAAATCATTTACATCTGGGATGAGTCAAAAAACTTTTTGGAAAAAGAGGCCTTTTAACTAGTTTTGTAAAATATACTGAATGTCAATGAAAGCATTTGTAGGTAAAGAACTATAGTGAGAATAGGCTGAAGATCAAAAAAACCGTAAAATATGTCAGAGGAAATGATGAATAGAGCTAGCTGGGGCAGAGGTGGCTGGGGCTGTCATTATGGTTAAATGACAAATGGCATGCAAAGAAATTATACAGCCTCAGAGGCTGAAGATTCCATTTTCTCTCCTAGGGTAGGTGAGGAGGCTAAAAGAGGCACAAAAATAGATGCTTGTGGACAAGGGCCAGCATGAAACTAAGAGAGACCCTACATGACACCGTTGATGTTCTCAGCAAATTGGGAGCTAAGGTGATCTGGAGAAAGAGGAGACAAAAGGAGAGAGAAGGAGGTGGGAATAGAGTGGTGACAGCTGCATAGCTACTGTAGGTTTGGAAAATAATGCTGCTAAGAGACATGTAAAAGGATGGCAGATAGCTATTGGGGGAGGGGAGTCAGCTGAGGTTGGAGATAATAACTCTGTGGCCATGCTGGCCTATATCATTGTGTCACCTTCTCCATAGCACTCAGCAGCCTGGTTATAGATGTGTAGAAGGCATAAGGTTGGATTGCTGCAGAAAGGTACTAAAGGACTGGGAGAAAAAGAAGGAGTTCAAGATATTGAAGGTTTCAATGGTGTTAAAAAAAAAACAATGACCGTGAAATTAAAGGCTTGAGAAAACTTGGGTACCAGGATTTTGTTGTCAGTGACTGACTAGTCTAATAGAGTAAGATAGAGGGGATGCAGTTCCAGGTGGTGACCAAGTGTGAATCCAAATTATATGAGTGTGAAATTAAATTATATGTGTGGTATCAATGAATAATTTCTAATTAAAATAAAAATTTGTAAGTGCTAAAAGACTCAACCCAAGGTAGAACACACAATGGTGAAATTCTGATTTAGAGTTATGGCTATTCAGTGGTATAAATGAAAAATTAAAAAGAGTGAAAGTGAAAGGAGGGTCTTTCAATTCGTGATATGATGAAGAATGCTAAAAATCCTTTAGTACCTTTCTGCAGCAATCCAACCTCATGCCTTCTACACATGTATAACCAGGCTGCTGAATGCTGTGGAGAAGGTGACACAGTGATACAGGTGAGGTTGTGTAAATGGAGTGACAGTAGATTAGGGGATTTTCAGGCTGGGATACTGGATAGACTGTGCCCTTGGAAGTTTAAATCCTAACTATGTGTGGCACATACAAAGACAGAACGGTGGACTAGGAAACATACTCACATCTACAGTGAAGGTGGAAGAGTGATTATGAGGTCCTCTGATAATAGATGTGAAAACAGGTAGAAAATACCATAGCTTTATGAGTGTGACAGGGAAAGGTTATGGTCTGAAAGTAGCAGGAAAGAACTAAAAGAATGCAATGTCACCTTCTGATTTGGTGCTACATTGAAGTAAAAGAAGGAACAACATCCATACAAGAAAGATAGAAGAGGAGGAAGGCTAAAGTTAATTTCTCCTGCTGCCATTTACACTTCCATTCCCTCCTGCCTTTTACAAAATGCACTAAATTCCCCACCAGCAGGGTTAAAATCCTGACTTCCCCAACTAGATGTCTGAACTTGGAAAGTCAGCTAATATATAAATCAGTCTTTGCAAAGGATCATGTAAGGATAGGTACAATGATGATCATCATAACGGGGTTTATGATAGAGGAAAGATGGAGGCAAGCTCAGTGTACATCACTAGGGGATAAGTAAAATGCAGCGACACATTCTACAAGATACAATGGTGCACTTAGCAGAAGCAAACGATCAAGAAAACATTCAAGTAAATTGAGAGCACATAGACACTTAGGACAACACTACATATTTTACAAAGATATGGGCATGCCTAAGCACATCAAGCACATTAGAGCTGGTTCTATAATGATGGGGGTAGGAGGTATGTATATTGGGGATGAGGTGACTTTGATAGGAAGGAGTATCAGGCATACAGGGAAAGAATGAATTAAAATTTAAAAGCAGGAGCCAGATAGACACAAAATGTCACCTAGTATATGATTCCATTTATATGAAATATCCAGAACAGGCAAATCCATTGGTTGCTGCCTGGGGCAAGGCGAGTGGGAAATGGGGAGCAATTGCTTAATGGATTTGAGATTTCCTCTTGGGGTGATGAAATAGTTTTGGAACTAGGTAAAGGTGGTGGTTGCACAACATTGTGAATGTACTAAATGCCACTGGATTGTTGACTTTGAAATGGTTGTCTGCTAAGTGAATTTCACCTCAATGAAAAGAATTTTTTTTTTTTAAATTTAAAGGCAGGGCACACACAGACCATTGTCCATTTTCTCCTGCTGAAAATAAGTAACAATGCTGAACAAAATTTGGTTTGTAAAAAATCTCACTAAAAGAAGCAGTTAGGAAATTCCAAGTCCAAAATATAAGGAAAAAATACAAATTCAAAGGTGTGAGCCCCAGAACACCTAAGCCTCTTTCCCCCAAGGGTCCAAGTATAGCTAAGAAGGAAAAAAAATCCAGTTATAAAGACTTGTTCTAAAAGGTGTCAATGTTCGTTAGAAAGCTATAGTAATCATTACAGCGGAGTACTGAACACACATAAATCTGAGAAAAATAAATGAAGGCTATCAGTTGATTCACACACATATAGATCCTTGATGTGTAACTGATATCACACTGAAGATCAGTGGGGACAGTGATCAATAATACATGGGGCTAGGCAACTAGATATCACACTTGAAAACATTAAATCAGACCTTACTGATTTACTACTAAATTTGGGAAAATGACTACTACTAAATGTACTACTGCTACATTTATGATTTACTAATAAATTATTCATCCCTGATTTACCTACTAAATCACATCCCTACTTCATACTAAACACAAAAATTGATCTTATGTGTATTAAAGGACTAAAGTTAAAAAGTGTAGCTTCAAAGCTTTTAGGAGCTAATATGGAACGTCTTCATGGCCTCTGGGTAGGAAAAGTTTTCTTAAATAAGATGAAAAACCAAAGCATTAACCATAAAGGAAAAGTTGTATCCTAGACTATATTAAAATTAAGAACTTCTGTTCAATGAAAGATATCATAGAGTGGAAAGCCAAGTTACACAGAGTGGGAGAAGAATTTTGCAACATATGTGACTGTCAAAGTAGTACCAAAAATTTTTAAAGAGGAGAAGGACAAACAACCTGGTAATTCACAAAAGAGAAATCCAAACTCAAACCCCAGTGGCCATTTTCATAAATATATCTTATATCGAAAGTTGCTTGACCTTATTTGTAATCAGAAAAATGCAAATAAAAACCACAGCAAGATACAGTTACACCTCTCCCAGCACACAACACGTGGCAAAAAAATGAGAAGCATTTTTTTGGTGAAGATGTAGAGCAACAGGAACTCTCAGTCACTTCTGGTGAAATTGTAAATTGGCACCATCACTTTGGAAAGCAGTTTGCCATTATCTAGGAAGGTTGAGGATGCACATACCGTACAACTCAGCAACTGTTCACAATAGCCCCAAACTGAAAAATACCCAACAGACCATCAAAAGTAGAACAGATAATTAAATTCTGGTATATTTATAGAATGGAACAATTTGTACAATAGAACAGCAATGAGAGTGAATGGATTACATTTATAAAATATAGGTGAATTACACATACATAGTGTTGAGCAAAAGAAGCAACACACACACACACATATACACATATTTAAACTTTTAAGAAACTAAAAATATGTTCTTAGGGAAGCAAGCATAGCAAGAATAATCAAGGAAATGATGACTATAATTGCCACAGGGTGGCAATTATATCTCAGGGAAAAATATAAGAAGACAGCAGATATATGTGTTGGAGCATTTTCTGAGGGAGCTGCTGATATAAATATGTACTTCTCTGCAGTATGTTGTATTTCACAATAAAAATATTTCAAAAATATATTATTACCAATTTGTGAGCTTTCACCGTAAATAAAAAATTAATTTGGGCTTGAAAGTGAGCCTGAAACTGCGGAGGCCATTCAGAAGCACAGCAAAGTCAAAGCCATTGATAAGCAGCTATTTTTCTTAATGCATGAATGGTCAATTTTGGAAAAAAAATTCATAATAGTCTCTCTTTTCTTTCAAAAAGAAAATTAATGAAACACATGGAAAAGACATATTTTTAGATTCCTACTATAGTGAACAGAAAATGTCAATTAAAAACTGGCCCTGTTTTTTATTCACCAATACATTAGTTGTTATCTGGGCATAGTGGGGAAACAACAGCATAGAGGACCATTTCCAATCTCTCATTCCTTATCTTTTCATAGCCCCTAGTTCACACACTGCCTGAACATTATAATCGCCTAGGGAACAACACACACACACACACACACACACACATTTTTTAAAGCTTTGTAAGTGATTCTAATGCATAGCCAAAGTCAAGAATCACTAGAGCTCTCTTTAAAATTCATATGTGACATATCCTTTTAACCCCAAAACAACCACACTAAAATGGCATGTCCACCTCAAGATGGGCAAACCATGGCTCAATGAGGCATAGTAATTTGCCCAAATATCATGCATCAAATTAGTGGAAAAGGGAGGGCTAGCACTAGCTTGTTCCACTCAATCACATGTTTGTTCTGATTATGAAGTGGCTATTGTGGTAAGGTATTGTGTCAGGTGTCAAGGAGAGAGAGACCTAAACATAGCTCTTGGCTCTACTATAAACCCCATACTGAGCCTCCCCGTCTCTGTGACTGGCCTAGGCTGTGCAGGAGAATTGGATATCCTCCAGTAGCCAATGCAGCCAGTTTGCTAAGTTTCCAGGACTCTGGCAGCTCCCATGGATGGAGGCCTTTGACTGCTGCCGGCAGCTCTTCCAATTCCTGCACAACACTGATTACTCCCTTTTATCCCCAACTCTCGGTTGCCTGTTCTGCCTTAACTTAAGCACAATGCCTGGGGAGAGTCCAAATAGCCAAGTTTGAAATGAGATCAAGGGCAGTACCGGGAAACTGGTGAATGCATACACTAGTCTGAGTCTCCCCTGATTGAAAACAATGACTATTTAATTTATATTCCTGAAATTTGAACTTATAATATTGGTATTCTCATTAATCAATTTATTTGGTTGATAAACATAGGAATACCAGAAAAAATACATGTGACACTAGCTTCTAAAGCAGATTCAGAAGAAAGTCACATTCTCTGGTTATTGAAATGTGCTGCTGGAGCAAAAATTGTGGTTGGGAGATGAGGAAGAACTGACAATTAAAACTCAGAATTTTTTTTTAAATGTTATTAGGGTTAATGACAACTGTAAAAACAATTTAAAGGCACAATTTGGGACACTTTCACAGAACTTCACCATAAAATAGTAACATAAATGTTTCTATTCATGTAAGAATCCAGGAAATAAAAATAACCTTTATTGCAATGTCCTCTGTTTCTGCGGGACGTAGACGCCGTGTTGATTGCTCATAGCTGTCCAGGTGATATCTTCCAGGCTGTTTCCTGTTTATAGTTTTTGGCTGCTGCATTCCAAATGGAAAAGAACACAAGTTGAGGCTTTATTAAAAAAATGAAGTTTTACTGAACACTTACTCACATTGCTACCTAAGTTCCAAGAAAAAGAAGTGGATGTTATATTTTAATTATTTCAGTGACTCCTTCATAAAAAAAAATGAAAAATTCTTAAGCTATAGTTAAACCTCATTCACATGCCTCTTGAGAAAAAATGAAAAATATGAAAATAGGATACTTGCAAATGATGGAAGTTAAAGTACAGAGTCCCAAACTAAGTTTTGGATAATCTTTCTCTGATGATATGGATGGATTATGCCCAGGCAATAAAAACAACTGCATGGTGTTAAAAGGTGATCAGATTAACTCAGGTCAAACTAGAATCCATCTGTTAGGCTATGATATGGTTTGGCTGTTGCGGGAGGGACCTAGTGGGAGGTAATTGAATCATGGGTGTGGGGATCTTTTCCCGTGTTGTTCTCGTGATAGTGACTAAGTCTCAGGAGATCTGATGGTTTTACATAGGGGAGTTCCCCTGCACATGCTCTCATGCCTGCCACCATGTAAGATGTGCCTTTGCTTCTCCTTTGCCTTCCACCATGTTTGTGAGGCCTCCCCAGCCATGTGGAACTGTGAGTCCATTAAACCTCTTTCCTTTATAAATTACCCAGTCTCAGGTATGTCTTTATTAGCAGTGTGAGAATAGACTAATACAGTTATCAGGCTTGTAAACATTCCACCCGTACATTATTGATAATTCTCTGAATCATGAGGATTTTTAATCTGATACACTCACATAAATCAGATTGAGCTACACGGCACCCAGCTTCTGCTATGGATTGACAAAAGCATAAAGATCTAGATTTTTTTTTGTCCAAAGATATTACAGTGTTTCATCAGGAGATCCATAAGTCTTATAGAATGATCTAGTCTATCTCAAATGTTATAGCCCTATTCCTAGTCAATGGACTAAAACATCCTTTATAAAGAGGATGCCAGCTGAGTTGTGACAGTCTTCACATATTTAAGGTGAATGTAAGTCATATCTAGAAATTTGTCATTCTCTAATTTTTTGGTTCAGTTTCACACAGAGATAAATGGCTAAAGAGAAAGTAGAATATTTAGCTCATAAACCTCTAATCTGGAAAAATTTTAAAGCTCAAAATTTCTTCCAGAAACATATTGAGTCAGTATTTCAACATAAATAATTAACTTTTTTTTTTTTTTGAAACAGAGTCTCACTCTGTCCCCCAGGCTGGAGTGCAGTGGCATGAACACAGCTCACTGCAGCCTTGACCACCGAGGTTCAAGTGATCCTCCCACCTCAGCCTCCTGAGAAGCTGAGACTACAGGTGCATTTGCCACCATGCCTGGCTAACTTATTTGCTATTTGTAGAGACAGGTTCTGCCTATGTTGCCCAGGTGGTCTCAAACACCTGGATACAAGCTATCTGCCCATCTCAGCTTCCCGAAGTGCTGGGACTATAGGTATGAACCAATGCACTCAGCCATAATTATCTTCCTACTCAAATACCTTATAGAGACTATGAAGGCTAAGTAATAATACACTTTAAACTGTTAAGTTACCTAGAAAGGAAACGATTCTAGAATTGTGAAAGTTGTTGGTTTTGGGGGGTTATTTTTTGGCCTGGAACTGCAGGTTTAGCTTTTTGAAAAATCCATTGGGTTTTACTATGGGAATTAGGAATGTACTCAAATAATCAGTAATTTAATCCAAACAAGATATTGCTCTTCCAATTTCCATCAACTGGTGTATCAAGAGAACACCCAAACTATCAAATAGTACATTGCTAGGCTACATGCAAATAAATACACAAATTAAAAAGCCACTGAAAAGATTAGAAAGTAAGACACTAGCAGTGGTTCTGTCACACAGAAAATACTAATATATTTTGACTTAGAGAGGAGGAGAGTATGTTCATGAACTTTATTTTAGTTTTGTTTTTCCTTCCTACAGCCCTCACAAATACTCCTGGAAGTACACTGCATGAGAGGTTGTAGAAAGCCACTATCCTTTAGGCTAAGTATATTTTCCATACAAAACAGGTCTACACCTACATATAAAATGTACTGTCTTCTAGAGTCTTTAATTCTGTAACATTATTGCCCCCACAGGTCCAAAAGAAATGACTTCATGCCCTTCACAAAACTAAGAACAGGGTGGGAAGAGTAAATGTGTTGACAGAGATTTGAGTCGAAGTTCCACAGATGTAATATGAAGAGACTTTGGCCCTAGACTGTCACTAATTCTCCATGGAGATTCTACAGCCAAAACCACTTAACTCTAAGCTTTTACAGAATACATAGTATCTTAAGCACTCTCAAGAAGGAGTTTCCATTAGTGTTATTTTCAAACACACAGCTTTTTTCACTCCATTTTAAAAAGTTTGTCATTTGTGGTTTGGCCCATCAGCAGTGATGAATGACCCTGAAAGACATCAAGAAGTCCAGTCTGGTTTCAATAACCCTGAAGATATTGGATGCATTTGAAGGGGATTCTTTTTTTCTTTCCAAAACCTTTTCTCAGTTCAATTTTTCTTCTATGCCACATCTCATACAAAAAAATTCTTCAGATTTCCCTAACTCCATGAACTTGACCTCCTATATGCCGTTTCTTGAGGTCATCTCACTCTGCTTATCCCCCTATCTCTGAAAGACAAGTTCCTTGGTAGTCTAGGACCATCCCAAGAGTGACGAGACTGGTTCTAATCAAATATTTGATCCCCTACTGCCTAAAAGTTTAGACACTCTTTAATGCATTTTTGTCTTTGTGTCCATGTCCCCACACTAACAAACAAGCATTTTGAGGCGTTGTTCCTCCAGCATATATAAACATGGCTGGTGGTCCCTTCTCAGACAAAATCACACCCGTTCAGTAAAACAACTTAACAGAAAGTGAAAAAACAAAAACAAAAACAAACACCTCCAGAACAACAGAAGGAAACGAGTCTAAATATATAACCACAAGATTGCCTTTTTTAGCAGTTTTAAACATGATTTAAAAATATATAATATAGATTGATTTCCTGGGAAAAGCTTTCCAAGTTCCAATCAGTTCCAGTCAGGAGACTGATTGTGTTGGTTCACATAAATGGTAAATATATTCATATTTTTTCTAATAGTAACAATTATAACTAACATTAACTTATGACTCACGGTGGAATAATGCTTTTCTACTTTGTGAAATATATTAATTTTTAAGAATTTCTTCAAAATTTTTTAGACACTTCCTTCAAGAAAGTAGTATAATCCAGTCATTGATTTAAATATTATCTAATGGCTAATGGCTCTTAAATTTATATCTCCAATGCTTATGTCTCTTCTTGGGTTAAGAAGTATCTCAAAACTTGCATGTGCAAAATGTACCTCTTGATTCTACCTCAACACCATCTCCTCATTTCTCAGCCTCCCTATTTCAGTTAATGGCTATATCATCTACCCAGAAGTCAAGCCAATAACCTAGGATTCTTCCTTGAGTCCTCTTTCTCCCTCATCTCCTCCATCCAATCTATCACAAGTCTGTATCAGCTCAACCTCTAAAGTGTACACTGAATTTGATCTCCTTTTTTCACAATATCCACTGCAACTGGACCAAAAGCTCTAATTCTAACCATCATCCTCTCCTGCCTATATTATTATAATGACTTCTTTACTGATCTACGTGTTTTACTCTTTGTCCTCCACTGACTTCCTTCTACACAGAAAACAACAACATAATCTTTTAAAAATATAAACAAAAATTATATTACTCCCTACTTTGAAACCTTCCAATAATTTCCTATTGCATGTCAATAAAATCCAAACTCTTTCCATGGCTTACGAGGGCCCTCAATCATTGTTCTCGCATCATCTCATCTTTCTCTTCTTCACCAGGCTCCAGCCACAGTGCCCCTCTGTTCCTTGAACACACCAAATTAATTCCTACCTCAAGATCTTTGCATCTACTAGTTCTCCTGCATGGAATGCTCTTTTCCCATAAGTTTTCAGGAAAGGTACCTATTTTTTATTCAGGTCTTAGCTCAAATGCTGGCTCTCCAGAAGGGCCTTCTTGGAAATGACCACCCTGCTTCAAGTACCCAATTCACTCTCTAATACCCTCTTTCATTTTCTTCACACAGTGAAACTATGTTACTGTTTTAATTTGCTTATCAATTCCTGCCTCAAGAAAGCGAATTCTGTGACAGGAAGGATATCACATGTCTTGTTCATTGCTACAACCCTAAGTCTTGGCACAAAGCACAGGGCAGCCAAAAAATAAAAAACACAGTCATATATTTAAATAAAGCTTATTCATATTACATGTAATGCATGACAAAATAATATTGACTATGTTTCTAGATTTTATGTAGATACTAAGTAAATATTTGTATCATGGATAAATGAACTGGTCTACAACTTACAAGATTCAAGTTTTAATTCTAGCTCTACCACTTAGTAATCTTATGACTTTATTTGAGCCTCATGACATGCAAAATAAAAAGAGCTAGAAAATAAAAAAGAGACAATGTAATGTAATTCAACTGGAAAATAAAAAGAGACAATGTAATATATTAAGTGGATCAAAAGATAAAATGCATCAGAAAATATGTTTTAAACTATAAAGTGTAGTATAGCTAAATGGTATTATAAGAAAATGGTGCATGAGTAAGCTTATTTGGTGTTATTTTTATATACATTTGGAGTAAGCAAACTCTCAATTTCCTTTTGAATTAAACACGTCTTGTCTCTTAGGATAATTTTTTCTGGATTTATAAAGACAAGCCTTATACATTCGTCTATTGATTTTAGACTTGTGAGGTTGTAGAGAAGCAAGTCGTGATTTTTCTTCACATGGGTTAAAAACTAAAGCTTATAATCTCTTCTAACTCAGTTGTATTAATCTGTCCATTCTGCTGAGACTGTCCTCTATTCACAACTTCCAAAACAAAAATAAAGCACTTACAACTCCAGTGTGCTTCTTACAGGACTCAAAAGGAAGCGAACTTTCACCAGTTCGCCAACTGTCGTCACCAATCTCATCACTCAAGAGAAACTCATTCAGCTTTTGAACACTGCAAAAAACAATAAACACAGAATAAGAGTTAACAATAAAACCACCACCAACAAAGTGCTACCTAAATAACGACTTTAACACACAGTATTATGGTGAGTAGGATGCCTGTGAGAGTCATTTTTCAAGACCAACTGGGAATTCAGCTAGATCGACCAAACATCCTAAATTGCTGAGGACAGAGGGGTTTCCAGGACATGGGACTTTCAGTACTAAAACCAGAAAAATGTCAGAAAAATCAGGACCACTTGTCACCCTAAATTCAACAGAACCTTCTTTGCATTTTTTTTGCAATTATATTCCTTGTCAAAAATAGTGAAGTTGTTTAGGAACTTGGAACAGGGTGGTTAAAAATAACACTAATGAGGAAAGTCCTCTTAGTATTCTAGTTTTACAAATGATGGGGAGGTGACGTACAGAGAAACTAAGTAACCTGCCTAAAACCATTTAGCATGTAATATGCAAGGATCTGGAATCCTTGGCCACTGTGTATCTTGCTTAAGCACTATGCATGATTCACATTTTCTGAACCTGGCAAGGAGAGGGGACTCTAGAGTCTTGCTGCTCAAAAGTTTCAGCCAAGGACCACCAGCATCAGCATCAACTGGGAGTTTATTAAAAACAGAAAATCTCAGCCCTGCCTCCAAATACGAATCACATTATGTATTTGACCAATACTCAGAGGCACTTTATAAACACCATTTGAGAGGCCCTGCTCTAGAAGACTGGTTTGCCAACATTCTTTAATGTGACCTCCTTAGGCTGGGCACAAGACTCCTTGGCTCATCTACTCTACCCATTCTAATTTTCTCAAACCAGTGTCATAGGATCAGGAGCAAAAATAAATAAGTAAAACAAAGAAAATGATAATATGCTTTGTAAACATCATCCTAGAAATAAAATAATATACAAAAGGAAATTCAGTGAAGTTGCAAAGGAAAAGAAGTGCTCCTTTTGGCAAGCTAGGATGCAGCAAGTGGGAAAACTTAACTTGGCACATGCAGCAGCAACTACAGGGGAGGTATTGCCTTTGATAGGAAACTAGAAAATATATGTATGAAATAAATGGTTTCTTTTTTAAAAATTTTATTTGAACTTATAGTCAAGTTCCTCCAGACAAGTCTTCAGAACTTGTTTTTTGTGACACAATAACAAAATGAGAAAAAGGTAAATTTAATTTAGTCTGTTGCCCATGATCTTTAAGTGTTTTGGCTTTGCATGCCATAGAAACATGATGGAAGACGAAAATCCATTGAGGCAATCTATTAGCTGTCAAATTGCACTTGCAGAGAACTAAAAGAGGTAATTATTTAGGAAGAGCTTCAGTTCATACACTTTCTTTGAGTCTTTGATAGCAAAGTCTGACCACATAGACTTGAAAAACAGTGTTATAAATGCGTTATGAAACATTATTTTATTCCTCTTAAATGGCAGTTATTTCTTCTTCACTTTTACAGATTGTAATTGTCATTCTGTTCTTATGTTTTGAAAAGATTTGATTTTAAGAAGCGCAGCTCTGTCAATCAAAGGAATACCTTTAAACAATCTCACACTATGTCTCTGCACAAAAAAACAAAGTGGAGAAGCCAGTCTCATCTGCCTTTATAATTCCAAATCTAGCAATGCCTGGCACATGTCATTCAAGGAATGTTTGTTCAATAAATCAAAGAAGGAATAAATCAATGATTCTGACATTAAGTAAAGTTGGTTGGTTCAATTCTCCATTCCCATTTCTAGTATAGATACAAATCACGAATCTTTCCAGTATAGACTCAAAGCTTTTATGGAATAAATGAGCCCCACTCTTCCTGAGCATTGGAAGCAATGGTCCCTGACCTTGATTGAGAATGGGGACGACATTCTCTCTTCTTAACACCCCACTTTGAAACATCAATGACAAGGACCATCAATGGATGCCAATACTAACCTATCTGTGAACCTCTTACTTCCCTTCCCCTCCCATGTCCCCAGTCATTCTAGGCTCTCTGGCTGAGGATCTCCAGCACTGATGTTTTGTCATTGTTGTTGTTTGTTCCATGTCTATCTCTCCCACTAGACTGTGAACTCGTTAGCAGCAAAGATTTTCATCTTTAGAATCTATCCCAATGCCTAAAATATAGCATGGTAATTCCTAAAGAAATGTCTGATGAAATAATAAATGGGTAATACGAAAAGCATTTTCTATTCATACGAGGTCCTTTCAGAAATCACAGAGGTAAAACAATTATGGAAAATGCACAAATCCTGACCAAGGGTGAAGTAATTTCCACCATGCTTCCAGGTTTATATTTTTAAAATGCAAATCTGTGCATGTAATGACCCGCTTCTTAAAGTGACAACTGGCATCCGGTTGCCTTTCAGCATCTTTAGCATCGTCTAAAAGCTGCTCAGGAGTTTACTCTCGAGCTTCATGCCTTGATACTTCCCACATCAGAACCCTTCCTCCAATGACACTGAACTACTTTTAATCTCCTGAAGATACCAAGATTTCTCACCTACTTACCCACTTCTTCCCTGTGAATATACTGCTCCTGCTGTTAAAACATGTTTTACATTTTTTCTCCAACTTGCCAAGTCTTACCTATTTTTAAGGATTCTATGAAAGAGTCACTACCTCCTTTAAATCTTTACCAACCTAAATGTCCAACAACAATAGACTGGATTAAGAAAATGTGGCACATATACACCATGGAATACTATGCAGCCATAAAAAATGATGAGTTCATGTCCTTTGTACGGACATGGATGAAACTGGAAACCATCATTCTCAGCAAACTATCGCAAGGACAAAAAACGAAACACCGCATGTTCTCACTCATACGTGGGAATTGAACAATGAGAACACATGGACACAGGAAGGGGAACATCACACACTGGGGACTGTTGTGGGGTGGGGGGATGGGGGAGGGATAGCATTAGGAGATATACCTAATGCTAAATGACGAGTTAATGGGTGCAGCACACCAACATGGCACATGTATACATATGTAACAAACTTGCACGTTGTGCACATGTACCCTAAAACTTACAGTATAATAATAATAAAATTTAAAAAAAAAAATCTTTACTGACCAGATAGTTTCCCTTCTCTCTCAAAAACTTCAAGGATGGCCATTATGGGCCATAGCATTCTTTGTATAGCTTTATAACACCATAACCCACCATACAGTAATTAGTTTCCCTTCCTGGTCTGTCTAACTAGGCTGTGGACTCCCTGCAGATTTCAGTCTTTTATCTTTGGAATTCTTAATGCCTAGCAATGTACCTGTATCAATAAATGAATGCACATCCACAGAAGATGCTCTGAGGCTTGGGGTAGAGATGAGTAAAATGGTGGTAAGACGGTGAAATGGAGATTTGTAACATACAAAGTGGAGAAGTGAGGCAAGCATTCTAAAAAAGAAATCACTCTTCTTCGAGCATTTTATTATTTTAGATAATAGTTACTTTTCATTATTCTGTTTTGTGAAAGTAGACAAGAACACTTCATCATAAAATGTCCAGAAAAATCAAATGGTGTTGGGTGCTGGGGGGTGTGAGGAGACAATCTGAATCACACCTGCCTCATTCTTCCATTTTATGAGGTATATACAGGTCTCAGCCATTGAATGCCATGAAGCCCACTTTGGCTAATAAGCCAAACCTTATTAAAAGAAAGCATAGAATTGTTTTGGAACCAAGAATTGAACATGGTATGGAATTCTCCTCCGGTAGAGAAGTTTACAAGTCTCTTACATGCATGTATAGCACAAGTTTGACAGTGTGCTTTATCCCATTCTAACCCACCAAGTTTCTAAATGTATTTAAGATTGCAGTGAGGGATTTAGAATTTCCACAGTTCCTGAAGAGGAGATTTCAAAATCAGCTGACCAAAGTCTCCGATTATAAACAGGCTGCTCAACTCACTGTGGGCCAACTGGCACTAAAGGTTGGTCACGGCTTCCCAGGCACAGAAGAAAATGCTCTAAGTCCAATCAACACTGGGAGAGCACTTATTTGGGTTCCCAGAACTAGCACACAGTGGGAAAAAGGATTAATGTTCTCTGCTTACCAGTCATCTCTGTAGGACCTGCAATTCAACCACTGAAACTCATTTGAGAGAATCAGGCTTTTATAAGCAGATTCTGTTTGGCCTATGGCTTGGGAAATCTGGAACTGAGCCCTGAAGAAAGACTGGTCTTTATCAAACTGGCAAATGTCTTTTCCATGAGATGTGCAGAAGGGAGAGTGCTGTGCAGAAATATACAGGGATATCCATCCTCCACTGTACTAGGATTTATTACCACGGAATTGTATACCATGGATTGGAGGGACACCCCTAGATTGTTTTCATTTTTTTTTAATCAAGTCAAAGTCCTTTTAATATTTGGTAACCTCCTGATTTCAGAGGTGTTATCTATTGCAAGTTATCAACTGCTTTTCTATCTCCACTTGTAGTACAAAGTCAAATTTCAAATAAAAGTGTAACCATGAAAGGGACAGTTGCTGAGTGGAGAAAATGAAAATAAGGACCAAAATAGCAGACTCTGGCCATTTATCAATTTTATTGTTTGAAGTAGCTTCCCTTCCAGAGCACTGCCTAATTTGGAAGTGGTGCTACAAAAAGTAGTCAGTGATCCGGACAAGTGTTTCAGAAGGCAGAACAATAAGAAAATGAGGGCAGATGTGGCCAGAAGGCTTGAGCTCTAGACACTAACAGCTCTAGAACTGGTTGTTAATGAATGTCTCAGAGGTTAACTTTGAAACTATGTTACACTATCATATTCTGTAAGAATTTGGTTTATAAGATGATTTATATGCATTTTAATTTTATTGGGCATTAAGTGATTGTTAAGCAAATGCAAACTATTGGCTTAAAACTGAAGATTCTGGTATTTTGAATAATAAATTCTAGTTTTCTCAGTAAGATATAGACACCAGCACAATTATCTCATTTTAAAAGTCTTACAAATGATGTTCTATGTTTCCGTCAATTGCAACATGATACTTCATATATTTAAAGGCTCAATTTTCCAATTTTTCTTCAATATTGCGACATCTTGGCACTTCTTTCAAAAGCCAGATATAAATATGATAATGATTGTTTACAAAGCATTCTGAGGTTTTATAGGTTTATAAAGAGCATATATCTAAAAAGAAAAATTCCTTTTTAAGAGTGCCTTATTTATGGGAGCATAAGACATATAGACTGTCGTATAGGCAGTGTATCATCTAGTTTGGTAACACATTTTTATAAGTAAAAATGGTGGAAAAATGGTCTTATATCACATCTATTTTTATAGCTGTGCATTATGAGATATTATAAAGAGACAAAATCTGCACTGGTTGGAAACACTATAGAAGCATATTTAAATGAGCAAAATACAAAATGGTTTTACAATTCTTAACCATTTTCAGAGACTTTAAGCCTGGATTTTTTTCCAGATTAAACTAAAATTAAAATAGTAAATGTGATGATGTGAACATTCTCTGTCACTATTGTTGCCAATATAAACTGGCACAGCTTTAGTGGAAAACATTATGGCTGTATTCATTTTTAAAAATCTTAAAAATGTGTGCCCTCTTTGACCTACCACCACTTCAGTGGAAAGCAACATATTCATCAAGGACCTCAAAGATGTGCATATTATTAGAACTAGTATCCCCACTTCTAGAAATCCAACCTGAGAAAATCATCAGAGAAAAGTTTACAGATAAACAGAGATGCGTGAACTTCAATGTTATTTATGTTAGGGAGAAAATAGAAACATTCTAAATGTTCAATTAAAAGGTAATTGTTAAATAAATTAGAATATTTCCAACATAGAATATTGCATAGTCAGTAAACATGGGGTATTATAAAACTTAAATGAAGGGAGAATAATAAAAAAAAGTGTAATCAGGAGAAAAATGCTAGATAAATTTAAAATTTTTGTTTTGAAAAATTATTTTTACATGAAATAAATAAAAGACTGAAAAGTAGCATACCACAATTTTAACAATGGTTGTCTCCTGGCAGTGATTTTAATGTTCTTTTTTATATTTTTTCAAATACTCCTATTAGCACACGTCATTTCTATTATCAATAAGCAAAAAATGCCAGACACTTCAGTGCATACCTTATGATGGCTTTGACTGCAAATCTGACCACCGTGGAGAGCAGGAACAGTGGTGTGACCAGGATATGGAAGAGAGACAGTGAAGCAAAGGCCTCTGCAGGTTTCAGATTGTTTCCACTGGCATACGCATGGGTCACAAATGTCTGTGCAAAGAAAGGAGTTCTTTAGAGAAAGCTGGAAAAAGTGTCACACATGCGTACATTCAGTCCTAGAAACCTAACATATTCTGCTATGCCAGTATGTCCATTGTAACTATGATAACAATGACTTCATCCAAAACTCCCTAATTAAAACAATACTTGCTTTTGGTAAGTCCTGAAAGGCTTACCTGCAATTATAGTGGCAAACTTATGAGAAAGTTAGAAAAAAATTCTACTTACAGGTTAGGTAATTGACCCTGTCAGATTGCTAAGTAGGGGGAATAAAGGGATGGAGAACCCAGAGTTTTCAACAACCAGTCAAGCCCTTTCCAAGCAATACTAAATACTCCGGGAGAAAAAAGAATGTTCTGTTGTTTTGGGGTCCTCACTGTGGATCTTTACTAAAACTGTCAGCATTAATATCCAAAGAAGACTTACTTCCATTTTTTTTTTTTTGAGACACGGTATCACTTCATTGCCCAGGCTAGAGTGTAGTAGCGTGATCATGGCTCACTGCAGCCTCGACCTCCCCAGGCTCAGGTGATCCTCCCACCTCAGCCTCCCAGTTAGCCGGGACTACAGGCATGCGCCATCATGCTCAGCTAATTACATTTCTACAAATAATACCAGTTGCCGATTTTGTCATTTTAGTATGAAATATAATGCAATTATTTAAGATTTTCTGGTTATTGATCTAGCTCCATCTTGTTGTAAGAGTATCTGGGAACCAGATCGTTGAGATTAGAACAGTTAATTCCCAACCGCTGTTCATTTTGCAATGTTTGCAAATGTACCAGCATACATTTGGCAATGTTTTGATTGTTGTAACTGAGGTTGCTACTGGCACCTGGTAGCTAGAAGCCAGGGATGCTGCCAAACGTCCTAACACAGAGGGCAGCCCCTAGAACAAAATTTATTTGGCTCAAAATGTCCATAGTGTCTTTACTGAGAAACCCTGGATTAGAACTCTTGCAATGGAGACTGCCATAGAGAGAAGTCACAGAGGTGAGGTAATATATATTACTACCCACACATTCTTGCTCATAAATCATTTATAAACACTGACTTGGTTTCATTTCTAAAAGAGAGAAAAAGTGTCTTACAGCAAGAACAGCTGCTATGGGAATTGCTGCATTCATGAAGACTGTGGAAAGAAATAAAATGCATTAGTTTCATTGAACTGTGAAAACATTTTCAGTAACTTTAATCATCTATTATTGCTTTAACTTTCTTTGAAGACAGGAAGGACAAAGAGTATTAAATGTCATTTTGTCTGGAGTCCACAAACATTTACCAGTTAATATCTACTTGTGTGCAGTTTTATGAGTTCCCATACATTAGTCTTAACCAGTTTCTGTTTTTCTTTATTGAATTTTTTTCTTATGAAATGTTACAAACAAAAGAATCCATATAAAATCATCCTTTAATGATAAAAATTATTAGAATTTACAAATGTGTATTCTACAGAGGGGTTACAGTCTATCTTTTGTTTAGTCCACTAAACTAATTTAAATATGTGAAATCAGGTTATTACACAGATTAAAAACAAGAACTTGACATCACTTCGAGTTCTCTTTCCAGCAGTGTTATTAATATTCATTTATGGCCCTTTCAGTTAATAAAATAACTCCATATCCTGGACTCTCTGCGTGTCTAAATATCTCTCCTGGAATATATTTAACTGTCACTGGATCAGCATGATATGCCTAGTTGAAATAAGAAAAACTCACATTTTAGCTTGAAATACTAGTGTTTGGAAGTAACAGTAAAAATAAAAAGCCAAGTTGTTGATTTATAGTCATACAGTCATAAACTATAGAATTTTAGGAACCAAGAAACCAAAGATAAAGTGAATTGTTTGTAACAGAGCCAGGCAACAGCAGAGTGAGAAGCTAGAATCTAATTTTCTTTTTTTTTTTTTTTTTTTACTTTTCTTTTTTTTTTTATTATACTTTAAGTTTTAGGGTACATGTGCACATTGTGCAGGTTAGTTACATATGTATACATGTGCCATGCTGGTGCGCTGCAATCTAATTTTCTTAACAGTAGAGGACTCCGGTTTTAAAAATCATCTGCTCTCAGGGATTATCCTTACCACCGTACATAGAACAGAATCAGACTGTGCTTTTGCAAGTCCAGATATGACTTAGTTGTCAAACATAGACTCTTGTACAGTACCGCGAATCCAAACACTGATCTGAGTTTTGTAATAACACAGATGAGAAGCCACATTTCTGCCTCAACCTTCTTTCTCTGACCATTGTCACCCTATTATATTTTATTTTAAGTTCCGGGATACATGTGCAGGATATGCGGGCTTGTTACATAGATAAACATGTGCCATGGTGGTTTGCTACACCTATTAAGCCCAGATGCATTAGCTACTTTCCTTCCCACTGCCCTCCTCATAGGCCCCAGTGTGTGTTGTTCTCCTCCCTGTGTCTGTGTGTTCTCATTATTCAACTCCCCCTTATAGGTGAGAACATGTGGTGTTTGGTTTTCTGTTCCTGGGTTAGTTTCTGTTCCTTGGTTAGGATAATGGCTTCCAGCTCCATCCATGTCCCTGAAAAGGACATCATCCTATTCCTTTTTATGGCTGCATAGTATTCCATGGTGTATATACCACATTTTCTTTATCCAGTCTATCACTGATGGACATTTGGATTGATTCCATGTCTTTGCTATTGTGAATAGTGCTGCAATAAACATACACATGCATGTATCTTTAAAATAGAATGATTTACATTCCTTTGGGTATATACCCAGTAATGAGATTGATGGGTCAAATGGTATTTCTGGTTCTAGGTTTTTGAGAAATCACCACACTGGTCTTCCACAATGGTTGAACTAATTTACATTCCCATCAACAGTGTAAAAGCATTCCTGTTTCTCCACAGCCTCACCAGCATCTGTTGTTTCTTGACTTTTTAATAATTGCTATTCTGACTGGCGTGAGATGGTGTCTCATTGTGGTTTTGATTTGCATTTCTCTAATGATGAGTGATGTTGAGCTTTATTTCATGTTTGTTGGCCACATAAATGTCTTCCTTTGAGAAGTGTCTGTTCATGTCCTTTGCCCACTTTTTAAGAGGGTTTTTTTTCCTCATAAATTTGTTTAAGTTCCTTGTAGATTCTGGATATTAGACAATTTTCAGATGGATAGATCGCAAACATTTCCTCCCATTTTGTAGTTTGTTCACTCTGATGATAGTTTCTTTTGCTGTATTTTCACCCTATATTCTAAGTGTATTATTTTCGTTTAACCTGCTTGGTAGCAGATGAGTATGAAGCACTTGACATAGTGCCAGAGATGGAGTGTGCACTCAATAAATGTTTGTATTATCCATTATCTTCTTTAATCTTTACAATCCTACATGGTAGATATTATTAATAGCTCATGTTACAGATGAAGAAACTGAGGCTAGGAGGATATAAGTAATTTTCTCAAGGCCATTCTACTACAAAGTGTCAGAGCTAGGATTTATAGCCAGCTCTGTTCAACTCACCACCAACAAGATTGTACTGAACAAAATAATAAAACTTGAAGTGGTCAAACTGGAATTTTGCTCCATTGACTCAAGAATCCCAGCTGCCTATCAAGAACACAGGATAATGTATTTTCCCCCTCATGACTTCTTACTGCTCTCCCCTAGGATGACCTCCTCTACCCTCTCTCTTCTTGTATTTGACTCAATACCAACACAACTCTCATCTCTAGAGACACACAAGCTGAATTCACATCTCACCTCAGCCCTTTAGTAGCTGGATGATTTGAAAGAAGTTCAGGTTACCTAAGTTCTTTATATGTCAATCTTTTAATTCTAAAGTGGAGTTAATAATAAAATCTAGGCCAGGCATTGTGGCTCATGCCTGTAATCCCACCACTTTGCGAGGCGGAAGCACTTGAGCCCAGCAGTTAAAGGCTGCAGTGAGCTATGTTTGCACTGCTGCACTCTGGCCTGGGTGATAGAGTGAGACCTTGTCTCAAACAATATATAAAAATAAATAATAGAATCAAAACCACTGGGCTGTTGTAATAATTAAATGAGATGGTATATGAAAAACCACTTATGGCAATAATTGGCTAAGTATACTCTCAATATATCTTTGTTGTTGTTGTTGTTATTGTTATTATTCTTGGCTACATCCATCCTTCTTATGAGAATTTCAGTCCCCTGAAGAGAAGGATGTATTGAAGGGGTCACCAACTTAGAGTAGTACAATATAAGCAAGTGAATCTTGATCATCCTGTCTTCTAGCATTTTGACACTATGTTAGTGGTGCATTGCTGGAAGATAAAACTCCTTCCAACTTTATGTCTAATGTATCAAGCATTAGGGCTAGAATAAAGGGGCTATATAGGCCAAATATTTTCTCTAAATCTATTTCAAAAAAGAAATGTTTATAATCTTTAAACTCTAAAGGAGTTTATAATTCAAGAGGAAACAATATATAAACTTCCAAAATTTTAATTTGTTAAAGGTCTTGGGAGCAACAAAGATGAGCAAAACTGACACATAAATCAAATCAAATATTAGTGGGAGTAGTTTTGCTAAGTTTGTGTAAAGTATACTAACATAAACCCTGTTATTCATGAGAATACTCAGTCATACTTTGAGGGAAAAAACAATATTTTTGTAACAGTTGCTTTTAAAGTTAGAGTTGAGGATGAAAGAAGTCTCTATTTTGAAATTTTTGAAAATATATTGGAAAAAAGGGTTTTATGTGAACGAAGTTTGGCTTCCTTTACCTGAAAATGGTATTTTTTTCTCCTCAGTTTTCAAAAATGGCTAAGTTTTCTTGACAATCTTCAAGAAAATATCACATCATAAGCTCCCAAGGAGACAAGTTAAAAAACTGCAAATATTTTTAACCCTTTTCCCGTTTAGAAAAAACAAAGTGTATCTCACTGCCAGTACTCATTTAGTTTTACATAAACACACTCTTTGAGGCTGAAGCAAATCTGATTGATTTCTAATGTGAAAATAAAATGTAAAAACTGTTCTTGGAGTTATTTCTAAACAGAACTAACAAGAGAATCGTTGCAATCATCTGAATCATCTATTTAGGAAAAAACCGAATTCATCAAATGAATCTTCGGCCAATGCTGTTTGAGAAAGATGTTAACATCACACATAAGAATGCTATGATTTCGAGGGGGTTGCAAGATGGCCAAATAGGAACAGCTCCAGTCTGCAGCTACCAGTGTGAACGATGCAGAAGACGGGTGACTTCTGCATTTCCAACTGAGGTACCAGGTTCATGTCACTGGGGCTTGTTGGACAGTGGGTGCAGGACAGTGGGTGCAGCCCACCGAGCATGAGCCAAAGCAGGGCGAGGCATCGCCTCACCCAGGAAGCACAAGGGGTCAGGGAATTCCCTTTCCTAGCCAAGGGAGGCTGTGACAGACGGCACCTGGAAAATCAGGTCACTCCCACTCTAATACTGTGCTTTTCCAACGGTCTTAGCAAACAGCACACCAGGACATCATATCCCACGCCTGGCTCGGAGGGTCCCACACCCATGGAGCCTCACTTATTGCTAGCACAGCAGTCTGAGATCGAACTGTAAGGTGGCAGCGAGGCTGGGGGAGGGGCACCCGCCATTGCTGAGGCTTGAGTAGGTAAACAGAGCAGCCGGGAAGCTCAAACTGGGTGGAACCCACCGCAGCTCAAGGAGGCCTGCCTGCCTCTGTAGACTCCACCTCTGGGGGCAGGGCATAGCCAAACAAAAGGCAGAAAAAACCTCTGCAGACTTAAATGTCCCTGTCTGACAGCTTTGAAGAGAGTAGTGGTTCTCCTAGCATGGAGTTTGGGATCTGAGAATGGAGAGACTGCCTCCTCAAGTGGGTCCCTGACCCCCAAGTAGCCTAACTGGGAGGCACCCCCAGTAGGGGCAGACTGACACCTCACACGGCCGGGTACCCCTCTGAGACGAAGCTTCCAGAGGACCGATCAGGCAGCAACATTTGCTGTTCAGCAATATTCTCTGTTCTGCAGCCTCCGCTGCTGATACCCAGGCAAACAGGGTCTGGAGTGGACCTCCATCAAACTCCAGCAGACCTGCAGCTGAGGGTCCTGATTATTAGAAGGAAAAGTAACAAACAGAAAGGACATCCACACCAAAACCCCATCTGTACATCACCATCATCAAAGACCAAAGGTAGATAAAACCACAAAGATGGGGAAAAAAACAGAGCAGAAAAACTGAAAATTCTAAAAATCAGAGCACCTCTCCCCCTCCAAAAGAACGCAGCTCCTCACCAGCAACGGAACAAAGCAGGACGGAGAATGACTTTGACGAGTTGACAGAAGAAGGCTTCAGACGATCAAACTTCTCTGAGCTAAAGGAGGAAGTTCAAACCCATCGCAAACAAGCTAAAAACCTTGAAAAAAGATTAGACAAATGACTAACTAGAATAACCAGTGTAGAGAAGTCCTTCAATGACCTGATGGATCTGAAAACCATGGCACCAGAACTACATGACGCATGCACAAGCTTCAGTAGCTGATTTGATCAACTGGAGGAAAGGATATCAGTGATGGAAGATCAAATGAATGAAATGAAGTGAGAACTTTAGAGAAAAAAGAGTAAAAAGAAAAGAACAAGCCTCCAAGAAATATGGGACTATATGAAAAGACCAAATCTACGTCTGATTGGGGTACCTGAAAGTGACAGGGAGAATGGAACCAAGCTAGAAAACACTCTGCAGGATATTATCCAGGAGGACCTCCCCAACCTAGCAAGGCAGGCCAACATTCAAATTCAGGAAATACAGAGAACGCCACAAAGATAATCCTCGAGAAGAGCAACTCCAAGACACATAATTGTCAGATTCACCAAAGTTGAAATGAAGGAAAAAATGTTAAGGGCAGCCAGAGAGAAAGGTCGGGTTACCCACAAAGAGAAGCCCATCAGACTAACAGGGGATCTCTCGACAGAAACTCTACAAGCCAGAAGAGAGTGAGGACCAATATTTGACATTCTTAAAGTAGAGAATTTTCAACCCAGAATTTCATATCCAGCCAAACTAAGCTTCATAAGTGAAGGAGAAATAAAATACTTTACAGATAAGCAAATGCTGAGAGATTTTGTCACCACCAGACCTGCCCTACAAGAGCTCCTGAAGGAAGCAATAAACATGGAAGGGAACAACTGGTACCAGCCACGGCAAAAACATGCCAAATTTTAAAGCCCATCGATGCTAGGAAGAAACTGCATCAACTAACGAGCAAAATAACCAGCTAACATCATAATGACAGGATCAAATTTACACATAACAATATTAACCTTAAAAGTAAATGGGCTAAATGCTCCAATTAAAAGACACACACTGGCAAATTGGATAAAGAGTCATGACCCATCAGTGTGCTGTATTCAGGAAACCCATCTCACGTGTAGAGACACACATAGGCTCAAAATAAAGGGATGGAGGAAGATCTACCAAGCAAATGGAAAACAAAAAAAGGCAGAGGTTGCAATCCTAGTCTCAGATAAAACAGACTTTAAACCAACAAGATCAAAAGAGACAAAGAAGGCCATTATACAATGGTAAAGGGATCAACTCAACAAGAAGAGCTAACTATCCTAAATATATATGCATCCAATACAGGAGCCCCCAGATTCATAAAGCAAGTCCTTAGAGACCTACAAAGAGACTTAGAGTTCCACACAATAATAATGGGAGACTTTAACACCCCACTGTCAACATTAGACAGATCAACAAGACAGAAAGTTAACAAGGATATCCAGGAATTGAACTCAGCTCTGCACCAAGCAGAACAAATAGACATCTACAGAACTCTCCACCCCAAATCAACAGAATATACATCCTTCTGAGTCACACCTATTCCAAAATTGACCACATAGTTGGAAGTAAAGCACTCCTCAGCAAATGTAAAAGAACAGAAATTACAACAAACTGTCTCTCAGACCACAGTGCAATCAAACTAGAAATCAGGATTAAGAAACTCACTCAAAACCGCTCAACTACATGGAAACTGAACAACCTGCTCCTGAATGACCACTGGGTACATAACGAAATGAAGGCAGAAATAAAGATGTTCTTTGAAACCAACGAGAACAAAGACACAACATACCAGAATCTCTGGGACACATTTAAAGCAGTGTGTAGAGGGAAATTTATAGCACTAAATGCCCACAAGAGAAAGCAGGAAAGATCTAAAACGGACACCCTAACATCACAATTAAAAGAACTAGAGAAGCAAGAGCAAACACATTCAAAAGCTAGCAGAAGGCAAGAAATAACTTAGATCAGAGCAGAACTGAAGGAAATAGAGACACAAAAAACCCTTCAAAAAATAAATGAATCCAGGAGCTGGTTTTTTGAAAAGATCAACAAAATAGATAGACCACTAGCAAGACTAATGAGAAAAGAGAGAAGAATCAAATAGACGCAAAAATAATGATAAAGGGGATATCACCACTGATCCCACAGAAATACAAACTACCATCAGAGAATACTATAAACACCTCTATGCAAATAAACAGAAAATCTAGAAGAAATGGATAAATTCCTGGACACATACAGCCTCCCAAGACTAAACCAGGAAGAAGTTGAATCCCTGAATAGACCAATAACAGGCTCTGAAATGAAGCAATAATTAATAGCCTACCAACCAAAAACAGTCCAGGACCAGATGGATTCACAGCTGAATTCTACCAGAGGTACAAGGAGGAGCTGGTACCATCCTTCTGAAACTATTCCAATCAATAGAAAAAGAGGGAATCCTCGCTAATTCATTTTATGAGGCCAGCATCATCCTGATACCAAAGCCTGGCAGAGACACACACACAAAAAAGAGAATTTTAGACCAATATCCCTGATGAACACAGATGCAAAAATCCTCAATAAAATACTGGTAAACTGAATCCAGCAGCACATCAAAAATCTTATCCACCATGATCAAGTGGGCTTCATCCCTGGGATGCAAAGCCTCGTTCAACATACGCAAATCCAGCATATAAACAGAACCAAAGACAAAAACCACATGATTATCTCAGTAGATGCAGAAAAGGCCTTTGACAAAATTCAACAGCCCTTCATGCTAAAAAATCTCAATAAATTGGTATTGATGGGACGTATCTCAAAATAATAAGAGCTATTTATGACAAACCCACAGCCAATATCATACCGAATAGGCAAAAACTGGAAGCATTCCCTTTGAAAACTGGCACAAGACAGGGATGCCCTCTCTCATCACTCCTATTCAGCATAGTGTTGGAAGTACTGGCCAGGGCAATCAGGCAGGAGAAAGAAATAAAGGGTATTCAACTAGGAAAAGAGGAAGTCAAATTATCCCTGTTTGCAGATGACATGATTGTATATCTAGAAAACCCCAATGTCTCAGCCCCAAATCTCCTTCAGCTGATAAGCAACTTCAGCAAAGTCTCAGGATACAAAATCAATGTGCAAAAATCACAAACATTCCTATACACCAATAGTAGACAAACAGAGAGCCAAATCATGAGTGAACTCCCATTCACAATTGCTACAAAGAGAATAAAATACCTAGAAATACAACCTACAAGGGATATGAAGGACCTCTTCAAGGAGAACTACAAACCACTGCTCAATGAAATAAAAGAGGACACAAACAAATGGAAGAACATTCCATGCTCATGGATAGGAAGAATCAATATCATGAAAATGGGCATACTGCCCAAGGTAATTTATAGATTCAATGCTATCCCCATCAAGCTACCAATGACTTTCTTCACAGAATTGAAAAAAACTACTTTAAAGTTCATATGGAACCAAAAAAGAGCCCACATTGCCAAGACAATCCTAAGCCAAAAGAACACCTGGAGGCATCATGCTACCTGACTTCAAACCATACTACAAGGCTACAGTAACCAAAACAGCATGGTACTGGTACCAAAACAGAGATATAGACCAATGGAACAGAACAGAGCCCTCAGAAATAATACCACACATCTGCAACCATCTGATCTTTGACAAACCTGACAAAAACAAGAAATGGTGAAAGATTCTCTATTTAATAAATGGTGCTGGGAAAACTGGCTATCCATATGTAGAAAGCTGAAACTGGATCCCTTCTTTACACCTTATACAAAAAATAATTCAAAATGGATTAAAGACTTAAATGTTAGACCCAAAACCATAAAAACCCTAGAAGAAAACCTAGGCAATACCATTCAGGACATTGGCATGGGCAAGGACTTCATGACTAAAACACCAAAAGCAATGGCAACAAAAGCCAAAATTGACAAATGGAATCTAACTAAACTAAAGAGCTTCTGCACTGCAAAAGAAACTACCATCAAAGCAAACAGGCAACCTACAGAATGGGAGAAAATTTTTGCAATCTACTCATCTGACAAAGGGCTAATATCCAGAATCTACAAAGAACTCAAACAAATTTACAAGAAAAAAACAAACAACCCCATCAAAAAGTGGGCAAAGGGTCTGAACAGACACTTCTCAAAAGAAGACATTTATGCAGCCAACACACACATGAAGAAATGCTCATCATCACTGGCCATCAGAGAAATGCAAATTAAAACCACAATGAGATACCATCTCATACCAGTTAGAATGGCGATCATTAAAAAGTCAGGAAACAACAAGTGCTGGAGAGGATGTGGAGAAATAGGAACACTTTTACACTGTTCGTGGGACTATAAACTGGTTCAACCATTGTGGAAGACAGTGTGGTGATTCCTCAAGGATCTAGAACTAGAAATACCATTTGACCCAGCAATCCCATTACTGGGTATATACCCAAAGGACTATAAATCATGCTGCTATAAAGACACATTCACACATGTGTTTATTGCAGCACTATTCACAATAGCAAAGACTTGGACCAACCCAAATGTCCAACAATGATAGACTGGATTAAGAAAATGTGGCACATATATACCATGGAATACTATGCAGCCATAAAAAAGGATGAGTTCATGTAGGGACATGGATGAAGCTGGAAACCATCATTCTCAGCAAACTATTGCAGGGACAAAAAACCAAACACCACATGTTCTCACTCATAGGTGGGAACTGAACAATGAAAACACTTGGACCCCTCACATCACACACCGGGGCCTGTCGTGGGGTGTGGGGAGAGGGGAGGGATAGCATTAGGAGATATACCTAATGTAAATGACAAGTTAATGGGTGCAGCACACCAACATGACACATATATATATATGTAACAAACCTGCACATTGTGCACATGTACCCTAGAACTTAAAGTATAATTAAAAAAAAAAAGAATGCTATGATTTCTAGGATTTGACATTTTTAGCGATTGAGAGTTACTATATTTTGTAAATGGAAACACCACTACTAAAAACAGAATGCTACAAATAGAACGATGTCTTTTGTTTCCAAAGTCGATATCCTAGATTGATGCAAAATAATAATAAAAGCGAGATATTTTGTGGCAAAGTTTTCTCGGAGTAAAAGCTGCAGCCACAAGTGCTACCCATGTGTATTCTGAGACAAATGGAAAAATAGTTAAAGGATCTTTGGGGATAAGAAGATCAATCGTCATGTAGTCAAATCAATTTCAGTAAACAAAGTTTTACTTTTTTACTAAAAACCAACAATTTATCCTAACTGAACTGATACCAGGGTTTTAATTACAGTTACTATTATCACCATCTTCATTTTACTGATGAAGAAAACCAACGATTTCAGTTTGTAGAGTAACATGGCCAAGGGCACACTAGTTGTGAGGAATCAAATTCAGGTCTACTTGACTCTAAACCTGTGCTTACTTTGGTCTTTAATTTAAATGTAAATAGATAGCCTCGTGTGGCTGGTGGCTATTGGACAGCACGTGTTTAGAAAATAAATAGGTGTCCTTGAAGAACTAGAATGTTTCATTGATCACAATCTAAACTGAATAGACTGTTGGTTATTCTGGTTGCCCTTAAAGTCGCCTGTTCTTAGAGCAACAGCAACTTACTGGAGAGTGATGTATATAGTGCAAAGGTTTTGAGACTAGATAGTTCTTTCATTCTTGTTTCCTCCACACTTTTGCAGAAAATGTGTTCCCAGGCATACAATTTTAGAAGTTTGATGCCTTTCAATATTTCATTTGTTTTCTTGAGTCTCTCAGTGGAATAATCCTATAAAACAAAGGAAGAAAAATAATACCAGCTGCATCCAAGTGAATCAGAAAGGCAGAACCATGTAATGGACAGGGATTGAGGAGACCTTGATTTCAGACTGGCCCTGCCACTCACTAATTAGGTTGTGAAGTTCCCAGGAGAAGCAATTAAACCCTTTGTGCTTCATGAAATAAAGAGTTTAATGAGATGGCCTCAACATTTCTTTCCACCTAAAAACATGTATGTCTCTGTTGCTTTGGTTTACATAAAAGCTAAAAACAATTTTCTAAAGTTTCACATGATTTCCTTGAATCATGTCTGCAGATAATATAGACATAAATTTACATAATAAGGAGACTTATAATGACTCCTAACATCTAACTTAATTTCTTCTGCAGTCAGCTCTATCACTCATACTTACAAGAAGAAAAATAATAAATTTAAGAAAAGTTAGTGGGCTTCTTATTTGAAAATATGAGGGTACAGTGTTCTGTGCATTCATATTGCATCTTCATAACACAGTTATTGAAACTAAGCCTATTATCTTAGCTATCAAGAGATTTCCACATACTTCTTTGTAAGTTCTTGGGTAAGGCTTAAGTTAGATTTACTAACAACTTGGAATAATCATAGAGAGATTTGTAGCAGATACGAAACCTTCATTTTAGCCAGCTGTTTCAGCTTCCTTCATCACCACATGTCATACTAGAATTACTAACAAGGTAATATATGACTAATTAACTATCAAAAGGGGCAGTAGAGTGGTCAAAAGACAGATAGGAGAAAGCAAAAGTAGCAAACAGCCTGGTTTTTGTTCAATGTTTTGTCTTTACAGGGTGTTTAAATGCCTATCAAATGATTGTTCAATGAGTGAATGAATATGGTATGAATAGCTAAATGAAAGACAGATGTTTGGGAATCATCATATCTCTCCTAAGCTCCCCTTCCACACCTTTCTGTATTTGTGTGCTGGAGTAAAAAGGATAGCTGGCTCAGACAGAAATAATGAGTAACCTACCTAAAGGAGCAGAAAAACAAGTGATAAACACCGCTTGCGTGACATGCAACTCGCTTGTCATAGTAGAAACACGAACTTGAGAAACAATCCTGTCAGTGGCAGCATCTTCACATTTTATGCCTGATTTACAGACAGCCTTGCTCATATTTAATCAAACTTTATTTGTAAACATGCTGTCAACAATTTTATTATTTGCAAAGATTTCTCTAAAAGCAGCAAATTCGTGCTCAAATGAAATGATTTCATGGCAAATTGAAGCCAGAAAAGGTCAATAATTGGGCTTTTTCTTGCTTGCCAAGTTGACCAGAAATATATTCAGCAAGAGCAGCTGCCACTGAAACATGTCAATGTGACTCCATAGATCCTCACATGCTTTGAGTCTACCCTAGGGAAATATAATTTCAGAAGCAGCAAACTTGACCCTTCACTTGCACCTTGATCCATTTCTTGCATGTCAATAACTGACGTTCACTAGCCTCAAAGTACGCTTAAGATTCTTTAGACAAGTGATCTAAGAAGACTGAAAGCCTTATCACCTCATGGTACTTTAAAACATGGGGAACGGTGATTCTAGTATTTTGAGTCTAAGATCATCAAGTTTTAAATTTCCAATCCACTTTTAAAAATTGTTTTTGCAACATGGAAAATACACATTTGCTGCTGAAGAACTGAAGTGAAATAGAATTGTTTCCAAATTATCTTTAGTGGTATGTATTAATTTCCTATATTATAAAATTAAAACAGCATTTCTCATTTTTGTAATTAAGTTTCCAAAAGATGTTACTTACAAGTGTACTTTTCTGAGCCTCTGCCAACTTTGTAGCAATAAAGTACTGAATTGGCGCAAGGAGCACAATGACAGCTGCACCGACCAATGCACTTGATCCAAGTAAATTATAGAGCAGAATCACGCCCATTATGATCTAGAGAGAAAAACACATGGAAAAGAGAAGATGAATGGGTTGTGGGAGCCATTGCATGAAAGGACATAATTTTTAGTGCAAATGTAGTATTTCTTAATTATTATATTGTTTATTTGGAAGTCAACGGTATTAGGGTTCTCTAGAGGGACAGAATTAACCATCAAGTCAACCCAGCTGTGACAGTTGGGTTTTACTCTGATTTATTTGGGGAAGGCTAAGTGCTAGGAATGTATTTTTAGTATGATAATCTGTACAACTGATGTCAAACCAATGTATTGCATGAATTTGCAAAGTGGTCCCATGACACTTCCAACCTTTTAAGTAGTCTTCAGATTTTTAAAAGGGCATAAATTTTTTCTTGAAAACGCTGTCACCCACCATAAATTTGACTTTCTATATTCTCTTGGAATTGTACTAGCTTTTCAAGGCTGAGAGGATGAAAAGTAGGGGGCAGCATCATGTGAGTAGAGGATGGTTGTCTGTGGACTAAAGGAATGAGCTGAGCTCCTCACCTTCTTATGACTTCAGAAATCACTTACTGACAAGAAGGCTGACGGTAACTAAAACTGTTAAAAAGCTAAAGTTAGTGTCCTATCTTAATATACTTCTCTTTCCCCAAACCAAGGGCAAAACCATTCAGACCTGTCCTCTCTGGTTTGCCACTGTCTTCTTTTTCCTTTAAAACTCAGAATTTACCCCTGCTATCCTAGTCTCTCTCTCTCTGATTTATCATGGCTCAAAACATCAATTAATGAACTGTATCCATGCAGTTCAAGTATATAATTTATGCCTATATGCCAATGATAATAGCTTAATAGCAGCTGTCTGGGGCCAATGACACGTTTACTGCCTAACTAATTAGGTAGTTTGAGATATCCAATAAAAACAAAAAATTCCTTAAGGTCACCCATGATGCAGTCATTCAGAGACTTTTGGTGCACTTAAAATTACACCATCTAGGCAGCTACCTAATTCACCTTTATATAAGTATATTTTGATAAAATGAGACAAAGTACATCTCAAATCCTACTTTGTGCCAAGCACTGTGCATAATATACACTTTTTTTTGCCTTGGTTTTCTATTAAAAAATGAAAAGGCAAACAATAAGTTAAAAACTAGCATCTTCTTTATTACTTTATGCACTTGAATAAATGTGGGACACAGGGACTTAGATGACAGATTTTTTCAAATAAGATCTAGCACTTAAGCTTCATCTACAGAATGCAAAACTTGAGATAATTAAAAATGTCCAGTTTATACAGAGGAAAAAACTGAGTATATTTCTTTTGCCATTTTTACCCAGCTAGGGGAAGAAGAAAACGTGTCTTTACTAAAATGTTATTTTACATAGGAAATAGCTAAATAGCACTCCAGTTTGTCACTGTTCCTACCATTTTATGCAGTTTGACATTTTGCAATATACTAACTATTGAAACTATGGGATTGATTAAAGCAATTGCTCTCGTTTAGAAATGCTGTAAGAGAGCTTGCCAAAATAAAAGGGGTCAAACCATGGCTCTGTGACTTACATGAATCGAGGCAATAATACTAACAACTAACAGTTACTGGATGCCCAGGAAATGCTGGGCACTATGCTAGATGTTATAGACATATTAATCTATTTAACCTTGACAATTCCCACAACTTTACGAGAAGTACTATTATTATTCTCATTTACAGTTAAGAAAACTAGGGCTTTGAGGAGTTAAGCACTTGTGTAAATGACGGGGTAGGGCAGATATTTGAACTCAAGCAGTATAATTTCAAACTTCTCTTGCTTAACCTATGCTATAACATTTCTGAGTCCCAGCTTCCTTTTCTATAAAAGAGTGTAATATTTGCACATTCAAAAACTATACACCTTTTACAGAGCTAAATACATTACTGCTTTTTTTGTTTTATTTCCTCTGCAGACAAAAATCTTACTTATATTTATCTACCTACCTGAACAGGCATAGCCCATAGATTGGGACACAGGAACAAAAACCACATGAGTTGATTAGTTTCAATGGCGACTAAGTTGTTGATCTGCCCCAGAGTCATCTCCCCCATGGATAAGTTAGACGTAGAGAGCCTAAGGATTTTATTATAAATCATGGCCTACCAAAAAAAAAAAAAAGAGTACATAAAGCTCTAAACTTAAAATTGACACTATGATTATTTTCACTGAAAATAAATAACAAACATTTAATTTTTTTGAGAAAAAAGAAAAGAAAAATTCTATAGGATCATCTTCTTAAATCAGCCACTACAGTTATTTCTACTTCAGTATAGTTATTTTCAGTCCTTAACCAAATACAGACTTCCTTTTTTCTAGTGATATAATAAAAACATGCATTAAACTTTAAGCATAAGCCCTAGAACAAACAGAAAGAGATAAATAAATGTAAGATTTCAAAATATTTTTCTTAACATTATTTGAAAGTTATTTTTAATTCAATAGGTTTATTAATTAGCTCTGTTTCTTTCATTAAGTAGATTATAGAAACGTTGTTGTTGTAATACCAAAATGAAAATGGAATGAAAAAACAAAACTGAAGCTACCGCTATTCTTTTCACTGAATGGTATATAGCATTCTTAGGAAACAAATAGTATTCACAGCCTTTACATACCAGCAGAGCTCCACGGAGGTTAATGCCAGTCTCTATGGTTACATAGTAGGAAGCCTGCAAAAATGTCCTTTGCAGAATAAGAGCCAAGAAGAGAAGAACTGCTAGAACGTAAGCGTTTTCAAGAAATTCCTTTGATGAGAGGGTTTCTGAAATCTGGTCCCCAAAGAAAAAAAGTGTCATATTAAAACTCGTCTTTTTATAGACCAGGTGTACAGTTTGCATTTATTAAAAGATACATAATATTTAAATACAAAAATTCAATGTATTTATTATACAGCAGTGAAATACAATACAAACCAGGTAAATCCATAAAATCCCTAATTGATTAATGAGTGATGGAAATGCCTAATTGAAGAAAAAAAAGGTAGAATTTATTTTTAAAAAATTAGAATGCATTTCCTGCAAAGGTATATCCAACCTTAGTAAAATGGTAAGCAGCAAATAAAAAGACAAGTTAGTTTACACTCTAATTTGGAAGTAGAAGCTATAAAATTGATAGTTGGCCAGCAAGACCAATGGAAGACATATACAATTTTGGTAGCCTTATTAGTTTAAAATAATTCCACTCAGTTGCCTTTTTCTGATTCTCAGATATCTTAATTTATGCTAATAAGATAAATAATAAATTATAAAGTAGGTAATTTGGCTATATCACCCATGCAACACTACCAGTAACAAAACATAACTTACAAAATTTTGTTTTAGTAGGAATACGACTGAATTCAGCATAAGGATATCCAAAATTGATTTTTGTTTGTAACAATAGCATATGGTAACTTGTTTGTTAGAAAAGAAGGAAAGATAACATTTGACTAAGTACATTACATCAGTTTGGACACTATTTTCTATGATTTAGACCTAGTAGAATTCTACTTCTGGTCCCTTCCTCCTTTTTTGTGGGAATATATACAAATGTGCAAGTCCTATTCTTTCTTAGCAAAACGTGGTTAATATATGCAAGGGAGAAGGATGATGGATAAACTCTGTGGAATTTAGATATCCGTATGTAATTAGGCTAGTAGGGACAAAACATCACCAAAGTGTATTCAGTGGTGAAAATATCTGGTTCATGAACACTAATGTATGCAAGGATCTGGGCTAAGCATTGTGAACACAAATATGAATGGCTCACCGTAATTGTTTCATAAGCTTACAACCTAGGAAGATAAACATATCTCTAAGTAACAGGCTTCAGTAAGTGCCAACATAAAGTAAAGAGTGTGTTAAGGGACTATCAAGGAGAGTCAGATTCCAACTAGGATGATCAGAAAAAGCTTCACCGAAGAGGCAACATTTAAGGTCAGTTCTCATATTGCATAACATTTTTATACGTGATGGAAAGAGGACAGGAAATCAGATTGAGAGAACAGAAAAGGAAAATGGATTAATCTGGCGATAGTTTCTATATGTAGAACTACAAAAATCAATACTTAGAAAGAAAGTAGGAAGTTCACAATGCAGTCTTTATTAAAAGTAGAAAATAAAAATTATATATTTATGATCATAAACACGCAGTATTTTAACTATATAGCCCCAATATAATAACATAATGTCTAATAAAATATCATAATGTGACTTGCCCTGAACATTGTGAAACAGGGTGGTGGGTTTTTATTATATAAGAAAAGAGAAATGTACAATATTACAAATCACATTGCTAGTATTATTGGTCACAGACCTCTAAAGAAGTGACTCAGCCACCCATCATGTATAAAAATTCTTTAAAGAGTTCCTATAAAGATTAAATAAAACAATCAATGCACAATTTCTACACAAAGTTTCTGGCATACCGTAAATGCTTGTTAAATGTTTATAGGCTCTGAATCTGAGAAATAATTTTGGTGGCCAGATTCATTCAATGAATAAATACATAAACACGTGATTTTTTTCTAAAAGGAAAATTACTGTTTTCTTTCTTTTAGAAAGCATTCAATTCTCTGAAAAAAAGCCTATTTGAACAACTCATAAAACTGCATTAATAAAAAGTGACAATTACAATGAAATCCATCAATAATATGTTTCCATTGAAAATCACCAGGAACTTACTCCAGTTGTGTTATTTGTCCCATTCTGGGTTTCATTCACACGCTGAACTATTCCAGAAATACAAAGAGGTCCAGCAAAACCCAGTAAATCAGCCAGATAGCGGAATGTGCTACTAAGTAGAATTGGTCGCCCAAAAGCTCTGTACATTGCAAGCCATATAGATGGAGTCCGATTTGGATGATCTGCAACTTTTTTCTGAAGAAAAAAAAAAGAAAAAAAAAACAGATGTAACAAAATAAAACTGCTTAGAGCAGTAACTAATCTCATGTATGGAAATTCCTTCTTATACTTCAAAAATACTTTAAGGGTTTAAAAATTGATGTTAATGTGTGCCTTTCAGCATAGCATGCATAATTCTGTATCCTTGCCTTCTACGAAAATAGTAGCTACTGAATGCATTTTAATAAAATAGAGAGAATGAGAAGTAAACAAGACAGTTTTTCTAAGACTCTGTATTATTTTACTTATCAAAGGATGACACAGGATTCTTAAAGCCTAATTCATTTTCAGTTTTCTTTGATTGGGAAAATATATATTTGTCATGCAAATTGCCAAATAGCATTGCATAGCAAGCAAAAGAGTAAAGCACAAACATCAAGGTTATAGGCAGACTGGTCAAGACTTTTGGAGTTACTACATCACCACAGGTTTGCCTATCCAATAATTACCAGCTAAACAAAACAGATTATCCCAACTTCAAGTTGTTTCTCCTCCATGGTATTTCTTATCTCCCTGAATGGTAGTCAATACTTTAAAAAATTATGGTAGACTTGTGTTTCCTAGGTATTCCTCAAAGAAATGCAAAATGAAGAACAGCATTTATACTTAAGTCAACTCATGGCTTCACACAGCTATAGTTGTTTGTTGTAAATAAAATTTTAAGACCTGAGCAATCATCATAATTAAAATTTAGGGAGGAGGTAGATAAAGTTTTTTCATTGTGACAAGGAAGTCAACTCACTAGAATAGAGCTCAATTATGTTCCCTATGCAACCCCCTGTTAAACTAAATAAATAATTTGTTTTCCAAAGTTTATGTAGACGTTAACACACCAAGTTCAAGCTAATCTCTGTTGTAAAGAGAACTCAGAAAAATTAAACTATGCTTAGGCTAGACTGCAAACATCTTTACTTTAGCAGTTTTAAAAATTTTATGCAATACTTTTCCCAGAGGTGAAACCAGAGAAATGACTCAGATTCATTTGTTGTAACCTTTTCCTGCCATTTAATTTCATAACACATATTTCTGACACAAAACAGAGATTATTTTCATCATTTACCATAAATGTTTCATTGATCTTCATTTAGAACAGCCAAAAACTCATTAGCTGTTTTACCATACTCTATTTCCTTCCAGTGTTGTTGAGAATCCTAATATTTTAAATGGCAATGATATTTGTAGATGATGGCAATAGAAAACACATCTACCACTGTGGGTAGCATGCATGACTATTTAGAATGATAAAAGACAAAATGAAAATATCCAAAGACTCTCATCTTTAAATTTTTTAAAACAATAATGAATACTTAGGAAAAGTGCCAGAGGAAGCCAATTTTGACAGCCATATAGGATGATACATGGAAGAGGAAGACAATGCCCTTTTATTTAATTTAGTCTCTCATTTTGAACTATAGAAGCTAAATTTTAGTCACTAATTAATGTAAGGTTTTTAATTTCTCCAAAGTGATTATTAGTTGGTATCTATTTTACCTCTTTATATAACAAACATATTATGCTTGTGAAAAGACAATAACAAAAATTTCATGAGTTATTAATATTACGTGGTAATGGATTAGTTATACATGATCATTGAACTTAATTCTTACTTTCCACTTGGTGACATGTCCCAGAGAAAAGACAGTACTCACTCTATCCTTCCTCATGTATTAATGGAGCAACTAATATAAGTATACTTCATTGGCTCTTCCAGTCTTCCAGGCCCAATTTACATGATTCAAAAGTACAGAGGAAGACAGATAAAGGAAATCTGCTCTTCCTCAACCATAGATATGATTTAAGCTTTGTGTCCTTTTTTTTTTTTTTTTTGAGGCAGAGTTTCACTCTTGTTGCCCAGGCTGGAGTGCAATGGTGCAATCTCGGCTCACCACAACTTTCGCCTCCCGGTTTCAAGCAATTCTCCTGCCTCAGCCTCCCAAGTAGCTGGGATTACAGGCATGCGTCACCATGCCCGGCTAATTTTTGTATTTTTAGTAAAGATGGGGTTTCTCCATGTTGGTCAGGCTGGTCTCAAACTCCTGACCTCAGGTGATCCATCTGCCTCGGCCTCCCAAAGTGCTGGGATTATAGGCATGAGCCATCGTGCCTGGCCTAAGCTTTGTGTCTTTATATATATATGTGTGTGTGTGTGTGTGTGTGTGTGTGTGTGTGTGTATATAATGTGTATATATATGTGTGTATATATACATGTGTATATATATATAATGTGTATATATGTGTGTATATATAGACATGTGTATGTATATATAATGTGTATATATGTGTGTATATATAGACATGTGTATATATGTATGTGTATATAGACACGTGTATATATGTGTGTATATATGTGTATATATGTATATATGTGTGTATATGTGTGTGTATATATGTGTGTGTGTGTGTGTGTGTGTATATATATATATATTTTTTTTTTTTTTTTGAGACAGAGTCTCACTCTGTCACCCCGGCTGGAGTGCAGTGGCCCAATCCTGGCTCACTGCAAGCTCTGCCTCCCAGGTTCATGCCAACAGGACCATTCTCTGTAATTAAGCACATGGAAGACAGACGCTAAATCACCTTTTGTTCTTCATATGCATCTTTCAGGCAAACATAATTTGTTACTGCTCTCATTGCTATTGGCAATTTTCCAATTGCCTTCAGATCAATAGGCTTTTTGTGAGCAGATATAATAAGTGTGTTCATCCACCAGTATGTTGCTTTTGACAGCAAATTCACAAATGGTTGAAGAAATCTCACTCCCAGATCCTGGAGGTCTTCAGGAGGCTTTACTTTCTGAGGATTCATGAAAAATACATATCTCTGTGGCAAGAAAAATTCCACAGTATAACAATTAGTCCAATTATTTTCCACATATTAAAAATAAAATTTCAACCTTTTCTACATTTTCATTTCAGGTGACCAAAATTTATATTTTAATGCCTCCTTCCATCCCTTTCTGAAATATTCTTTGAGATATTTCCTTCTGTTGTGACTAGATGAACTAGTTAATGCCAGAATTTTGCATGTAATCCTCTTGGGGTCAATTCTAAAAGATCACTTAACCTTTTAAAAGATAGTTTTTACTAAGAGTCAGTGTTTCATGATATCCTATGATAGGGTCAACCAAATGAAGGTTTTTACTTTGTTTAGATTTTAAAATGTATTATCAACACCATTATTGAGTCTCTTGATCTATGGTTTCCTGATGTTAACTGACTACTCTCCACATGCATTGCAGCATATATCTTTCTACTCACAGATCAAGTTCAAAGTTCTCTGATAAAAAATGAATACTGGAAAATCTATCTCTAGTATCTCACACAACATAACTGACAGTATTAAGTGGTGGAAAGTACAATCAATATGCAATTACAAACCAGGTGTGTGTCTTGACCATATTACTTTGGATATATAGCCAAAGCTATCTCTACATGTTTCTTCATCAGCAAAATGAGCAAACTGGATTAGATTATTTTCTTTTCAGTTTTAAATTTCTGAGAATGCAGTATTTTGCTTAACCCAGGTGTGCTTTGAGACCAATCATGGATGATTGAACTTTCTCCTAAAAACAATTTCTTCTGTAATATAAACTGAGCATAATATCTGACACATAGCAAGCATTTGATCAATCAATATTTGTGAATGAATAAATAGTTTCTAGGGTCACACTGAGATTTCTGAAACATTAATGGCCTGAATTTAGTGATTAGTTCAACTTTATATTTATATATATAAATCAAATACATGTGTTCATCCTTGTCAATACTAATGATTTCTAGCTAACTGTAATCTTTCATATTGGGGTCTTGAATCCAAGTAACTAAACAAAAGCCATTAGCTACCTACCCTGACTCGAATGACATTGATCTCCACAGCCATCAAGAGCCCATTCAAGATGACCATCATGCCTGTGATGCAGAAACGCAGGTTTGATATGTCCAAGCCAGACTGACAGTACTTAACCAATTTTATTGTTTTTGTAATAAAGGCCATTACCCAATACAGGAACAGGGCTGAAAAGAAAAAGACAAAAAGAGAAAGATGCAATCTTTTCTTAAACATCACTAGCATTTGAATGTAATTATGATGCTTTTTAATAACAAAGGCAATTTTATGTACTATATTTCCACATGGTTTTACTTGGTAAGAAAACAACATATATGATTTAGTGTACTTCTGGAGTTTTGAGTTGAAGGAGTAATAACTTGAAAATGTTGAGTGCGTCCATCCTGACCGTACATGATAGATGGGAGGATGTAAAGAGATATATAATAGGATAAACTAGACTCTTCAAAATGTACGTGTAAGTCTATAAATTTTAAAAAGTAGCTTTATCTTCTGGTCCTGTTTTCAAAGAGCCTTAATTATATGAATAATTCACAAGTTGGTGTCTGTATAACCTACTTCATAGGTGTGTTGCAAACCCAAGGATATGTCTCATGGTATTACCCTGGAATTATCATGGAATTCATGTATCTATGTAATTGAGTTTCTGCCTTACAGATTCTTATTCAAGTAGTAAGTGACTTTCCTTAGTCAAATGGTTTAAAACACCACGCACTTTCACATAGCACAAAGAACAATGGTCTTATAGAGCGAACTGAAACGTCAAGTACTAGGACCAGAAAGGCAAGGATTACACTGCCGCAAAACTACAATCAGCATTTTGCAGCCAATATGAGATAGAAGCAGAGACTTTCCTAGAAATATTTTGGCAAGGATACAATCTACTTTGAACTTTGAATAAATGTAAGTACAAATGAATATGGTCTAAGAAAGAAGAAATCTAAGACACACATAAGACAATCCAGCTTGGACAACATTTATCAGAACCAGAAAAGTTGAGTGATCACTTCATTAGTGAAAAATACTGATCATTGGCATATGAACTCAATGTGTATCTTGTTTTAGCTTAAATGTAGAGTCAGAATGGATTCATTAAAAAAAAAAACAGACCAAATTATATGCTATCTAAAGAGATTCACCTTAAGTATTAGAGTAGCTTAAAAGTAAGTAGATGGGAAAGATATACAATGAAAACAATTAAGCGTAAGAAATTTGGAGTTGCTATATTAATGTCAAACAAAGCCGACTTCAAGACAATTATTATCAGAAATAAAAAAGACTTTTAATAATAATAAAAGTGTCCAGTTTTTAGAAAGATACATTAAAAAATAGACATATGACCAATGAAGATTTAGAAGATGTATTAGAACACTATCAAATACCTCATACTATTTGATATTTATAAAACTATTTGAGATTTGGTACTCTAAAAATACTTCTAACATCTTCAGATTGTACCTTCGTATTAACTGAATATGGTACTGGTATAGATTATATGTTTAGCCAGAAAACAAAGAGAAATGAATTTGAAATAACAGAAATCATATAGAGTACGTTTTCTGACCACAATAAAGTTAAATTTAAAAAATCAAGAACAGTCAGACTATTGATTTTCTATCGCTACTTAACAAACTATAACAAACTGAGCAGCTTAAAACTGCACACATTTATTAACTCATGGTTTCTAGGATTCAGGACTTTGAGCCAGGGTCAATTGGGTTCTCTATTCCAGGTTCTCACGAGGCTGGGTTCTCTGCTCCAGGTTCTCACCAGGTTCTAGGTATTGACTGGGTCTGCTGGCTCAATAAAGACTCTACTGATTGGAGACCTTCCTCCATGCCACAGTCTAGTGGCTAGAACCCAGGCACAGGTCCTACTCACACTCAAGGCAAGAGAGTCATAAAGGGCAGGAACATCAGACACAGAGATAAGGAGGTAACCTTTGATCTTTTCATGCAGTAAGATATCTAAAAGCTTCAAAATATTTGGAAATTAAACAACACATTACTAATAATCCACATGTTAAAGAAGAAATCACTAAAGAGGTCAGATAATATTAAAATACATTAACTATAATAAAAATACTACATATTTAAAATTCAAGAAGTACAACTAAAATAAGACTCAGAGGAAAATTTACAGCTTTAGATATTTATTTTACAGTATAAGGTTCAAAACTGCATAGCTACCTTTAAAGCTCAGGAAAGAATAAAAAAGGATCCCCCAAAAAAGATGAAAACAATAGAGATGAGTAGAAAGCAATAAAATAGAAAAATGAACAATTGATAAAATGGACAAAATTGATAATGCCATTCTTTGAAAAGACTAATAAAATTGATAAGTCCCTAGCTAGACAGTTCAAGAAAAGAAGAACACAAAAACCAATACTAGGAATGAAAGAGGCACTATCCCTGCATACCCTACATACTTTAAAAGGAGAATCAGGAAATATCATGAATAACATTATGACAATATATCCAAAAATTTACATGAAATGGAAAATTACTTAAAAATGTACCTTATCAAAACTAACATAAAAAGAAGTAGATACTCTGAAAATTCTATATAGTCACTAAGGAAATTAGACAATATATTTACTAAATTATAATAAAATTTAGACCTAAAATTTTACTAGATATAAAAAAGTATTAGACATAACACTCTGTCTAATACAGAAATAAATTTATAATTTTAAATCCTCCCTTAGCCCAAATTCCAGGTCCAGATGACTTTACTAGTGATTTCTATTCAACATTTAAGAAAGAGATAAAATTAACCTTATACAAAGTCTTTCAGAAAAATAGAGAGAAAACACTTTCCAACTCATTTATGAAGCCAGTTTAATGCAGCCTGTATAAGCCTGAAGAAAGGAATTACAAGAAAATAACTGATGAATATCCTTCATTACATAGATGTAAAAAGCCTTAACAAATGAAATCTAGTGATATCAAGCATGCATAATATATTATGACTATGTGTGGTTCTTCTCAGAAATGCATTGTTACTTTATTTGAAAAACAGATCAATGCAATTTAGCATACTAACAGAAATACAATTTTCCTAATGGATACAGGAAAAAAACTTTAATAAAATTCAACACCCATTCAAGACTTTAATAACACCCTGAGTAAGCTTTAAATAAAAGAAAACTTACTAGGCAAATAAAGGTCTGCTATGAAAAACCTATAACTAACATTACAATTAATTATGAAAGACTGACCATTTTCCCCTAAAATCAGGAACCAGAGAGGATTTCAGTCTTATGTCTATTTGGCATTTTACTGGACATCTTAGCTACAGCAATAAGACAAGCAAAAAGAAAAAGAAAAAAGAAGGCATAAAGAAGGTTGAAAGAAAATAAGTGTCTCTCTTTGCAGATGGCATGTTTGCTTATACAGAAAATCTTAGGAAACCTACAAAGCAATAACTAAAAGTAATAAGTGAATTTCTAAGGCTGCAAGATACAAAGTCAACATACAAAATCATTTTATTTTATTTTATTTTTTATTTGTAGGTATATATTTATGGGTTACATGAAATGATTTGATACAGGTATGCAATGAGTAATAATCACATCAGAGTAAATATGGCATTGATCACCTCAAGCATTTATCCTTTCTGTTAAAAATAATCCAATTGTACTCTTTAATTCTTTTTTAAATGTACAATTAAATTATTATTGACTGTAGCCATCCTGTTGTGCTATCAAATACTAGGTCTTATTCATTTTTCCTAATTTTTGTACCCATTAAACATCCCCATTTGCCTCTCCCAGCACCCCACGACCCTTCCCAGCCTCTGGTATCCATCATTCTACTCTCTATCTCCATGAGTTCAATTGTTTTTATTTTTTTGCTCCCACAAATAAGCGAGAATATGAGATGTCTGTCTTTCTGTGCCTGTCTTATTTCACTTAAACAATGACCTCAAGTTCCATCCATGTGGTTGCAAATGACAGGATCTTATTCTTATTTTATGGCTAAATAGGACTCCATTGTGGTACATGTATCACAGTTTCTTTATCCATTCATCTGTTTATGGACACTTAGGTTGCTTCAAAATCTTAGCTATTGTGAACAGTGTTGCAATAAACATGGGAGTGCAGATGTCTGTTCGATATACTGATTTCCTTTCTTTTGGGTATAGACCTAGGAGTGGGGTTGCTGAATTGTATGGTAGCTCAACTTTTTGTTTTTTAAGGAACCTACAAACTGTTCTTCATAGTGGTTGTACTAATTTACATTTCCACCAATAGTGTACAAGGGTTTCCTTTTCTCCTCATTCTTGCCAGCATTACTTATTGCCTGACTTTTGTATACAAGCCATTTTAACTGGAGTGAGATGATATCTCATTGTAGTTTTGATAAGCATTTCTCCGATGATCAGTGATATTGAGCACCTTTTAATACACGTTTGCCATTCGTGTGTCTTCTTTTGACAAATGTCTATTCAGATCTTTTGCCCCTTTTTTATTGGATTATTAGTTATTTTTTTCCTATAGAGTTGTTTGAGCTCCTTATATATTCTGCTCATTAATCCCTTGTCAGACAGGCAGTTTGCAAATATTTTCTCCCATTCTGTAGATTGTGTCTTCACTTTGTTGACTTTTTCCTCTGCTGTGCAGAAGCTTTTTAACTTGATGTGATCCCATTTGTTCATTATTGCTCTGGTTGCCTGTGCTTGAGGGGTGTTGCTCAAGAAATCTTTGCCCAGTCCAATGTCCTAGAGAGTTTCCCAATATTTTCGTGTAGTAGTTTCACAGTTTAAGATTTTAGATTTAAGTCTTTAATCCATTTTGATTTTGTTTTTGTACATGGTGAGAGACAAGGGTCTAGTTTTGTTCTTCTGCATATGGATATCCAGTTTTCCCAGAACCATTTATTGAAGTGACTGTCCTTTCCTCAGTGTATGTTCTTGGCCCTTTTTAAAAGATAACTTCACTATAGATGTATGGATTTATCTCTGGATTCTATATTCTGTTCCACTTATCTATGTGTCTGTTTTTATGCCAGTACCATGCCATTTTGATTACTACAGCTTTGTAGTATGAAATCAGGTAATGTGATTCCTCTGGTTTTGTACTATTTGCTTAGGATAGCTTTGACTATTCTAGGTCTTTTATGGCTGCCTATAAATTTTAGAATTGTTTTTTCTATTTCTGTGAAAAATGTCATTGGTATTTTGATAGGGATTGCATTAAATCTGTAGATTGCTTTGAGTAGTAAGGGCATTTTAACAATGCTTATTTTTCCAGTCCATGAATATGGAATATCTTTCCATTTATTTGTATCTTCTTCAATTTCATGCACCAGTGTTTGATAGTTTTTGTTACAGAGATCTTTCACTTCTTTGGTTAATTCCTAGGTATTTTATAATATTTATTGATTTGCAAATAATATTTATTGATTTGCAAATGTTGAACCATGCTTGCATTCTAGGGATAAATCCCACTTGATCATGATGAATGATCTTTTTAATGTGTTGTTGAATTTGATTTGCTGGTATTTTGTTGAGAATTTTTGCATCAATACTTAATTGCATTTCACATAATGGAAGAAACAATTGAAAATGAAATATGAAATAAATTTCACATACAATAAAAGGAAAGCAAAGAAAAATACTTGAAGTAAAGTTAACAAGACATGAAAGACCTCTACACTGAAAGCTACAAAACACTGCAAGGGGAAACAAAAGACCTAAATAAATGAAGACTGGATTGTGAAACCCAATAGTGTGAAGATGCCAATTATCTCCTGAATTGTTTTATAAATTCAATGCAATCCCCATAATGGTCCTACCAAGCTTTTTTTTTTTCTTTTTTTTTTTTTTTTGGAGAAATTGTAAACCTGATTCTAAACTGTATATAGAAACTCAAAAGAACTAGAATAGCCAAAGCAAACTTCGGAGGAAAACAAAGAAAATGTTGTGTGACTTATAATTTATGACTTCAAGAACTCCAAAGCAAGAGAAAATGTTAGTCGCATAAAAATCTATGAATACATCAAAGAAACAGAAAATAGAGCCAAAATAGATTAAATTTAAATAGTCATTTGATTTATTTTTTTTTACATAAGTGCCAATGCAATCTCTTGAGAAACAGAAAGTCTATCCCACAAATGGTGCTGGAACACATTGATATCCACTTGGAAAAAAAAAAAAAAGAACTTTGACACCTATCTTACACCATATACACAATTAATTTAGAAAGAATCGTAGTCCTAAAAATAAAAATGGAAACCATAAAGCATCTAAAAGCAAACAGGAGAATAAGAGGGAAACATATTTAGAGGGAAGACAAAGATGTCTTAAGACACAGAAAGCAGTAACTAAGGACTAGAAGAAATGATAAATTATACTACATCGAAATTTAAAATCTTCTGCTCATTAAAAGACCCTATTAAATAAATGAATATGTATGCCACAGACTAGAAGGAAAACATTATCAAAACATGTAACTGATGACATACTAATATCTAGTATGCACAAAATATTCCTACAACGCAATAATAAAAGTGCAACCCAATGAAACATGGGCAAAAGATATGAATAGCCACATCCCAAAGATTAAAAATGGCCAATAAACTCATCAAAGAGTGTTCAACATAATTAGCAATCAGATAAATGCAAATTAAAACCGCAATGTATTACCAGTACACACCCACTAGCATGACTAAATTAGACCAAGATCACCAAATGATGAACATGTGGAACTGGAACTCTTACACCTTGTTAGTGAGTATAAAAAATGATACAAACATTTTGGGAAAAGATGTCAGTTTCTTAAAATATGAACATTTACCCACTTATTGTATGACCCAGAGATTTCACTCTTAGGTATTTACCTAGGAGAAATAAATGCATATAGCCACAAAATACTTAAGAATGTTGATAGCAGCTTTTACTCTCATGATGGCTAAAACCTGGAAATAGTACAGATGTCTATTAACAAGGGATTGAAAAAACTATGATATAGTTATACAATGAAATGCAACAATAAGAAAATATTGATCTATGCTACATTACGGATGAGCATCAAAAAATCATGCTTAGAAAAAGAAGCCTTACTTAAAAGTCTATACTGTGTCATTCAATTTACATGAAGTTCTAGAACAGGCAAACCTAATCCATGGTGGGGGTAAAAATCAGAACAGATATTGCTTCTGTAAAGGTGAAATTGAGTATAAGAAAATTTGCATGGATGATAGTTATGTCATGATAGTGTTATATAGGTACATGCATTTAGCAAATTAAGATCGCTGTGTTTCATGTATATAAATTTTGTCTCACAAAAAGATACGCATGAAGCGTTCAGAGGTAAAGTATACTAATGTCTACAACTTACCTTAAAATGCATCAAAACTAAGATGGAGAGAGGTATGAATAGAAGGATGAAAAGATGTAGATATGTGATAAAACAAACAGAAAAAATGTAATTTGAAGAATTCAGATGTTGGGTAAGTGGGAATTCACATGATTCTTTCAACTTTCTGTACATTTGGTGATTTTCATAATGAAATGTTGAGACAAAATTACTATCTTTGTGGTCTTAAAATGAGTAACTTTCCTAGGTCCAAATTTTTCTCTGTTAAAATAACAAGAAATATTATATTTTATCTCCATGTCCTTCCAGCAATATGATCAAATTGTGCTGTCTTGCACCTAAATAACAATAATAGGCCTCTTCTGATTGCATTTCCATCAAAACATTATTAATATCTAAATTCCTTTCTAGTTATAACCTTTCTTTTTACCATCAACTTTTCAAAAATAGATATTTAGCTTATTAAATTCTCAATTTCACATATTTTTTTGCAGCTACTTGTTGGAAATTTCTTTCTCTTTTTTTGGCATTTTCTGCAATAATGTCTGCCTCTCATTTTGCACAAAAGACCTTTCTATTAAGATAATTCAAAATGTGACAGCCTTTTAAATTAATATTTAACCCTCTCTACCTTTTTTATTAGATTGCCTTTAACAATCATATAATGTGACACAACATATAATTAAATAATCAATATCTTTCATGCATCCATTTTAAATTTTCATGTCCTCTGGACAAATGAATAAAATACTGTGTGTGTGTTTTCAATATTTCTTCTCCTAATTTCTATATCATTAGCCAACATCATTTTCATTATACAACAATCAAATAAAATCAGAAACAGTAAGCATCATTCACACAAACACATAATTCGAACTACAATTTCAGGAGGTTCATAGCCCATCTGTGATTCTTGTTCCATACCTTTATCTCTTTAAGAAAGAAAGTATACTCCAAGGAATACAGTGATGGGTCAGAGTATTGAACATAACTCATATAGATGCGTTATATAATTTTGACCCAAGGCAAAAATAAAATTAGGAATATTTTAGAGAGCCTCTGATTTCCACAGAACAAGGAAGCAAGAGAGGCTAATAAAACAATTTTAGTCACAATGCAGGTGCGAAAGGCCGTGATGTAATGGCAGCTGCTCCTCAGGACAGCATACTTTTCATTATGCTAGAAACATACTCTGCTACATAGTAATTCTAGTAAAATGTGGCATTCCCACAGCATCAGTGAAAGGCTTGAACCTTGGGAAAATGTCCTTGGACTCCAAGCCAGAGACAGAAACACCTGGAACTAGAGGAGATGACTTGTTCACAGGGCAGCATGGTGCCGCAGCTCCTCACAAGAGCTCTGATTCTTAAAATACAACTTCTGCAAGCCAGAAGGCCAGCCATATTTCCTCCACTTTCTTCCCCCACCCCCCTACACCACAGAGAGCATTTATTGCAGAAGAGATGACCTGGGGGTAAGGAATTTTCACAGCCTAGAGCAACTCAGCTTATCTTCAACCCCACATTTACTGGGCAGCTACAGGAGAATTAATCACTGGTTTTCCCATACTTTCTACTCCCCACACACTCTGATACTATTTACCCTGAGGAAAAAGAAAAATAACCCTTTGGGGGGAAAAACAAATATCTCTTTAAGGAGAAACAACAAAAGTGATCATACTTACCTAAAAGTAATTTAGGAAAATTTGATGTTTCGATATTATGATAATACACTATCGATGTTGTAGTGGCAACGAATCCCATCACGGCTGGCATAAAGAGGTGGAGGTGCCTTGATTCCCGCCGCCTAGAAAGAGCAGTACGTCAACGCCTAAAGCTGATGGTTCCAGATAATTTCTTATTTTTTTTCAAATTTTTTCATAAGAACTCTATCTTAGCAATAAGATGTTTAAAATACAGAATGCAATAGTAGTTTCCAAGATAATACATAAGGGAAGAATATATTGAAAGACATCGTTCTGCGGAAACGATTTATCTTAACATGAATGGCCAAGTAAACAACAAAACTATACCTTAAAATGCTTACAAAGAAACAAATGTATAGCTACTCCTATACTGTAGGGCAGAGCTGCTGAAATAATTTAAGAACTAAAGCAAGTGAAAACAGTTAACTCAATCTGAACTCCAATGTGTGTGAAAAGTGTGTTTGTTCCTTTGACAGCACTCCCAACTTGATAGTCTTCAGTGATTTCTCCATTCTCATTAATTCATTCAATGCATCTGTGATTGCTGGTCCAGCTACTTGGATGCAACCATGAAGAAAACAAGACGTAACATCTGTAGTAAAAAAATCTAGTATATTGAGGATACCAATAGCAAATAGGAAATTACAACACAGCTGAAGGGACAGTGTGAGAACATAGAGTGCACGTCTGGGACAAAGAAAGCTTTGAGAAGGAAGTGACTTCTAAACTGACACTTCAAGAATCAGGAATGGCTACTCAGAGGAAGAAGAGAGGAAGACAGTTCCAGGCAGAGGGGCCAATGTGTTCAAGGGTATTGCAAGCAATTCAGCATGACTGCAAGGAGAATAGACTTCACTCTGAAGGCAACAGAGATCACCAGGTGACCCAGTGATTCCAGACCAGATGTGCATAGTAGACAGCCCTCAACTCCATTGGCATTAATAATGCCACAGAGTGAAACATTTTGCTTTTCTCAAATTACTTGAAGATATTAGTACATAAATGGTATAGAGAAGAGAGTGACTAGTTCAAGATTGGGGGATAGGAGAACACTGAGAAAGTCATTCCAGGAGAGGTATGGTTGACAATGGGAACTGAAATATGGAAAGGAATCCACTGGTCAGGAAAAGGGTCATTTTAAAAAAGGAACAGAATGTGCAAATACATAGAAGCATGAAACAATACAACATGTTCAAAATTCCAAGTAGTTTAATATTCTTGAAACAGAAAGTTTAAGATAGAATGTATCATGGAAGGCTTTGTATGCCATGGTAAGAGGCTGGCATCTCAACCCGTGGAAAACTGAAACACTTGAATAGGTAAGCGGTATGATCAGATTTGTTTTAAACGGATAGCTCTAGCAGTCATGTGGATAAGGAAGTTGGTTGGTAATACACGAGTTTGTAGTGGAGGGAGAGAAATGGAAGGAAGAAAAGCAGTTAGGAAACTATGGGTATAAAGTCAGGTGACAGATGATAAAGGTCTGACTTCAGCTTTGGCAGCAGTAACATGAAGGAAATAATACATTTGGAAAAGACTGATTGGTGAAATAGACAGGAGTTTACTAACATTAGGGTATGAGGGTGATGGCAATAGAGAAGTAGAAGATAATTCCTAGGGTGTCTGTGTGGATGGCCGTGTGACCAAATAAGATTTTAAGAGGATGAGCAGATTGGAAAGAGGAGCTAATAAGTTTCGCCAGACATTTATGGATTGTGAAGGTGTCCAATAAGCATGCAAATGGAATTTAAGTGTCTGTAGACATTTGGAACATGGTCAGTGATATAATTTGGAATCATTAATATAGACATGGTAATAAAAATGTGAAAGTAGTATGGTAGCGCTTAAAAACCACCTACCACCTCCTGTAAATAGATCAAAATCATCAGAGGAAAAAATAGATAACTATTTTGTCAGTACAGAAATTAGGAAATGCTTCTAATATTCTCTGACTATTGAATCAAAGAAAGAATCTGGCTGGACGTGGTGGCTTACGCTTGCAATCCCTGCATTTAGCAAGGCCGAGGTGGGCGGATCACTCGAGGCCGGGAGTTTGAAACCAGCCTGGGCAACATGGTGAAACTCCATCTCTATTAAAAATACAAAAATTAGCCATGTGTGGTGCCACATGCCTGTGACCCCAGCTACTTGGGGGACTGAGGCAGGAGGATCGCTTGGACCTGGGAGGCAGACATTGCAGTGAACCGAGATCACGCGGCTGCACTCCAGCCTGGGCAACAGAGCAAGACTCTGTCTCAAAAAAAGAAGCAAAGGAAAGGAAGGGGAGGGGAGGGGAGGGGAGAGGATGGAAGGGGGAAAGGAAGGAAGGAAGGAAGGAAGGGAGGGTGGGAGGGAAGGAAGGAAGGAAGGAAGGAAGGGAAGAAAAAGAGAAAGAAAGAAAGAAAAAGAAAAAGAGAGAAAGAAAAGAGGAAGGGAGGGAGGGAGGAAGGAAGGAAAGAAGAAAGAAAAAAAGAAAAGAAAAGAAGGGAGGGAGGAAGAAAGGAAGGAAGGAAGGAAGGAAACCAAAATTCACTTACTAATATTATTTAGGAAATTTTAAAGTGAGCACACTCCCTATCCAATCCTGTAAAATGTGGTCACAACCATACTCACAAGAAAGTTTATAACCTTAAACAGGTTTGATAAGAAATAATTATAATAAATAAATTAAAAGTCAATTTAAGATTTTAGAAAAAGAATGACAAACCATTATTAAAGGAAGCAATAACAAAGATTTAGTAAAGATAATAGCAGCTACAATTAAGTTTTGTACTTATGGTGGCACTCCTTTATTAGGGATTTAATATGTCTTTTAACCATGCTAGTATTTTTATAGGATTGCTGTTATTTTGTTAGTTCTCTATTTACAAAGCTGCGTAGGTTTTGAATGGTCTTCAAATGCTAATTTTTTCCCTTAAGCTATGTTCTTTTTAGAGTATGATTTGCACACCTCGATGGCTTGGTAGGAGCGCTTATGTCCCATTACAGCAGAAAGTCTTTAGTCAGAACATTGGAAAGAAATTTTTAAAGTATTATATTGCAAAGGTGAAAGAAATCATTTTGAAAGACAGAAAATGATAAAAATAAAAACCTAATAAAACACAGTAATAGTGAAGATTTTAATACACTGCTTTTAGAATTTTGACAGATTAAATAGTATAAAAACAAGCAACATATAGAACTTCAGTAATACAATCAGTAAACGCAATAAAATTTTGTCTCCTACAAAGTGTATATATTACTTTCTAATACTAATTAAATATTTATAAAATAATGAAGTATTTGACTATAATAAAAATGCTAATAAACCACAAAGAGTAATCATTTTACAAACTACATGCTTTAATAATAAACCAATCAAATTAAACAAAAGAGCAAACTAAAAAGGATTCCTAAACCTAGGAGAGTAAACCGGAATCACAGGTAGAAATAAAAAGGAGAACAAAAACTAATGCAGAACAAAGGATGTTCCAAAAGAAAAATTACTAGCTTTAAATGCTTCTATTACTAAAAAAAAAATCAAATATTCTATTAGGAAAGACTTTGCACTGTTTTTCTAATTGTAATGAGCATTTGTCAGATATTAAGTAAATAATTCATAAAGGTTTTATTTAAAAAAAGAAAGATGGAGTGATCAGCAGTGTCATAAGTCATAATTATGATAAAGATAAAAGAGTCTCCATTAGTTGTCATTAATAATCATGAAGATTCTTACGGAAGCAGTTTCCAGAATAAGATGGGGCAAGAGAAAAAGCAAAACTAAATGTTTGGATTTAGAAGTAACTAGAAGAGTGTGTTATCATTCCTCTTTCTTCATTATAAAATTTTAGATATTGTCAATTGGTTTTGTACTGGGTATTAATTTTATATATACATATTTTTTTATTATACTTTAAGTTCTAGGGTACATGTGCACAACATGCAGTTTTGTTACATATGTATACATGTGCCATGTTGGTGTGCTGCACCTATTAACTCGTCATTTACATTAGGTATATCTCCTAATGCTATCCCTCCCCCCTCCCCCTACCTCATGACAGGCCCCAGTGTGTGATATTCCCCTTCCTGTGTCCAAGTGTTCTCATTGTTCAAGTCCCACCTATGAGTGAGAACATGCGGTGTTTGGTTGTCTTTGCAATAGTTTGCTGAGAATGATGTTTCCAGCTTCATCCATGTCCCTACAAAGGACATGAACTCATCCTTTTTTATGGCTGCATAGTATTCCATGGTGTATATGTGCCACATTTTCTTAATCCAGATAAGTGACAGAAAGTTTTGAAAATTATCTTTATTCTACAGGTTATTGATGTCATATTTCTATATAATATGGGACCATAGAATTCTTCTGATATGTATTGTAAAGTTAGGATAATTATAAAAGTGTAACACTGCCCAAGTAGTCAATAAACAGATCTATATAGCACTATAAAAATTCAAATTTTTTTTTACAAATGAGGTTTTCAAAAAAGCAGACCTCTGAAAGGAGGAAGGAAAGAAGTTAAATGATTGGCATACCTGGGGAGGTCATGTTATACACAGATAATCTTAGGTCTCATCTGTAAAACTAAGACAAGATCCTCTCAGCGTAGATAATGTCACAGAATTACAGGCCAGTGGAGCAGAAAGGTGGAATAGGACTCTCCAGCACAAATGAGTTGAAAATTTATGTCTACACAATATGTGCAAACGTGCACAGAAATGTTTATAGCATTTTTTTTGATAATGGCCAAAACTTAGAAGCAATCCAGATGCCCTTCAGTGGGCAAATGGATAAATAAATGGTGGTATATACAGACAATAGAATATCATTCAGCACTAAAATGAAATGATCTATTTGGCCATGAAAAAACTTAAAGGCACCTTAAATGCAGATTACTATGAAATTATATGGGATATATACTGTGGGGTTTTGATAGCAGGGAAGATTGGGCATATGTGGGGGAAAGATGTATATAGGGAATCTCTCTATTTTCTACTCAATTTTGCTGTAAACCTAAAACTGCTCTAGAAAAATTAGTTCATATTTTTTAAAGTACCTGAGTTCAGAAAATGTAAGCTTTATTTGCTAAAAATATAGAAGCACATTTAAATTTAAAAATTAAATTGAGCTATGATATGGTTTGGCTGTGTTCCCACCCTAAATCTCACCTTGAATTGTAATCCGAATTGTAATCCCCATGTGTTGGGGGAGGGACCTCATGGGAGGTGATTAGATAATGGCAACAATTCCCTCATGCTGTTCTCAACATTATCAGTGAGTTCTCACGAGATCTGATGGTTTTTTAAGGGTCTTTTTCCCCTTTGCTCTGCACTTCTCTCTCCTGCCACCATATGAAGAAGGAATTGTTTGCTTCCCTTTCTGCCATGATTGTAAGTTTCCTAAGGTCTCCCCAGCCATGTGGAATTATGAGTCAATTAAACCTTTTTACTTTATTAAAAAAAAAAAAGAAGTAACTAGAAGATGATGTTTCGAAAAGCCTGAATAAAAAGGGTAAGGAGAAGTCTATACCTAAAGAGTAGAAGAGCATAACACAGAATCAAGGCTGTATTTTTACCTGTTTTTAGGACCTCTTTTATCATGACCACTACAAACAAGTTTCTACCATTAGGATATATCATTATTATTGTGAGTTCAATCTGTGTTTTGTGAGGACCTGACTGAATCTACATATCAACCAGAGGAGTCTTCTTGTCCACATGATGTCAAGTTTCAAAAAAATATTGGATGATCTATCTTCTACTTTATACATACGCATATAAACAGATACAGTAGCCTAAATGCTACTGTATAAAAATTAAGCCTAGAATTGGCTATGCTAGTATAAATAAATATACCAGCATTTTAAACAGTTACCAACAAGATAATATCCAATTAAGCTTCTAAATGTCTGGAGGGATGGCATCTATTAGAGTCTCTAATTTTTCTTTTTATCAGAAATTAAGACATGCACATACCTGCGAAAAGCCCTCATAAAACATTACAAAATAGTTGGTTCCATGACAAATGCTTAGAAGTTTCATTCCTTGTTAATTGCAACAGAAAACACAAACAGATGTCAGGGAGGTTCCAGTTCAATAAGAAGAAAATAAATTTTAGACTTTCCTATCAAAAAATTTAAAGGTCTTCTAATATTAGCTCCTCAATGAAAGTTACACCATTTAGCATAATTTCATAATCAAAATTTACCTATTCTTGAGTTTATTTTGTTACTATATGAGAAAAATATTTTCACCAGATTATGTTCAAGTTTATAAATATAATTCATTATATTTTAACTGTCTAATGAAACATCTTATTTTATAAAAATAACAAAATTCCTTTAAAAATATGGGTTTTTAAAACTATAAAACCCTGGAAGACAACCTAAGCAATACCATTCAGGACATAGGTATGAGCAAAGATTCCATGACAAAGATGCCAAAAACAATTGCAACAAAAGCAAAAATTGACAAATTGCATCTAATTAAACTAAAGAGCTCCTGCACAGCAAAAGAAACTATCAACAGAGTAAAAAGACAACCTACAAAATGGAAGAAAATTTTTGCAAACTATGCATCCAACAAAGATGTAATATCCAGCATCTATAAGGAACTTACACAAATTTACAAGAAAAAAACAAACAACCTCATAAAAAAGTGGGCAAAGGACATGAACAGACACATGTATGGAAAAAAGCTCAACATCCTTGATCATTAGAGAAATGCAAATATAAACCACAATGAAATACCATCTCATACCAGTCAAACGGCTACAATTAAGAAGTCAAAAATAACAGATGCTGGTGAGGCTGTGGAGAAAATAGAATACTTATGCACCATTTGTTGGAGTGTAAATTAGTTTAGCCATTGTAGAAGACAGCGTGGTGATTCCTCAAAGACCAAAAAACAGAAATACCATTTGACACAGCAATCCCATTATTGGGTAATGGGAATATAAATCATTCTATTATAAAGACACAAGCATGCATGCATATGTTCATTGCAGCACTATTCACAATAGCAAAGACATGGAATCAACCTAAATGTCCATCAATGATAGACTGGATAAAGAAAATGTGGTACATATACACTATGGAATACTATGCAGCCAGAAAAAAACAAGATAATTTCCTTTGCAGGGACATGGATGGAGCTGGAGGCCATTATTCTTAGCAAACTAACAGGAATAGAAAACCAAATACCACATGTTCTCACTTGGTAAATGATGAGAACACATGGACACACAGAGGGAAACAACACACACTGGGGCTTTTGCTTTTCAGAGGGTGGAGGGTAGGAGGAGGGAGAGGATCAGGAAAAACAACTAATGGGTACTAGGATTAATACCAGGGTGATGAAATAATCTGTACAACAAACCTCCGTGACTCAAGTTTACCTGCATAATAAACACGCACTTGTACCCCTGAACTTAAAATAAAAGTTTAAAAAATTGGTTTTATTACAAATCTTGATTTTAAAAGTTTTGTGGTTTGCATCAATTTATGGCTCTATCCTCACTGATTCTCAGACTCATTCATCCTGACTCATCTATCTTTGCTTCTTTACAAAATAAATGGAAAAATCTGAGAAATAATTAATATATTAACATAAGTATATAGCTATTAGACCTATGTGTAAATGTAGACAATCTTTCCATTTATACCTATTTTTAACATTAAAAAGTTCAAAAAGACATAAGAACTTCCTGCAAGAGCTACATGGATCAGAGAGCAAAAAATATAAAGCACATTTATGGGCACAAGTTACAAAGATGTGAACTTGTGTAATCAATATACCCACTGGTATACTGCAGTGGTATTATTTAACTTAGATCACTTACGAGTCTGAAACAATGCCTTCTGCTATTTCACAGACATGCACAAACAGGAGAGCGAATGTAAGAATCCATCTCAGGTTATGTCCCGGAAAATGAAGCCATGTGTTGTGGTGAATTTGTACTTTTGAGCTTTGGCTCCCCCACCCTGGAAAAGAGAGAAAAGTTAAAAACAAAAAGACATAAACCGAAGGCTCAATTGTAATAAACATAATTTAAATTATGATAAGCTTTAAGGCAGGGGTGGGGGGGTCCTGAAACCTTAAAACTTTCTAGAGTAGCAATGGAAATCCTAGTCTATTTTCATTATTCAAAAGAATTACAATTAACTTTTACAAGACTACTCAGGCTAACACATTAACATTTGTGGCATTACTCAGGAATAATACCAACTCTGGATGACAACATGGTTCTACCTCATGCTAATCAGAAGCTCTTCCTGACAGCTTTCTGATTAATTCAAAAGGAAATAAGTTGATGATAATAATACATGAAATTTGGTGTAGAAAATCTTTGAAGACATGAAATCTACAAGGGGCTAAATCAAGAAAAGACATATTTGGTTACAAAATACAGGACTCATTAGCTGAGTCAACTCTTAATCATATGCACATCATATGAGAAAAATTGTTATGTATGACTAGGCAGGCACTATTATTCAACAAGTAGTACTGATACTTTTCTCAAAGAAAGCTAAATTTCTTGATGATGAGCTTTTAAGCAAGCTCAAAACCATTATAGGTCCACCGTTAGCTTGCCACTGAAGAAAAAAATTCAAGGTTGTATGTTAGTAAAATTCTGATCGTTTTCTCCCTAAAGTACTATACAGTTTAGTTACTACGTAGAGTAATACTAGGTCATGTAGAGTAATACTAGGTCATGTAGAGTAATACTAGGTCATATGTGGTGTGCTAGTAGGCCCCACTTTTGTCTTGTTTTGTTCTTTTTTCTCATTTTTTGACTGTAGAAAAAAAGCCCCACCTACTTCAAGAACAAATGGGGGTTTGGGCTTGAAATACTGCAGGAAAGAATTTCTGTATAGGCAGCAGATGCCCCTTTTATTTGAAATGAATATTCATGTCTTAGTTGTTTTCAATTTATTCATCATTGGAAGATTAGTTATATTTAATATATTCTACTAGAACTTATGCTGTAAACTCCCATAGGCAAGTTCTATGTCTTTTTTTGCAACCTTATGATTTTCCTAGTACCTGATAGTTTTTAAGATTGATTTATGATCCTTCACTAATTCAAGCAGCCAATGTCATAAATGAAAAGTCTGAATTTTTTCTATTTCCCTTTAACAATGTCCCCTCAAATTCTCTTCTATTCAAATACCCTGGTGCCAGCCTCTTTGCTGGATGCTAGGGATACAAAATGGAATGTCCCTGTTCTTGCTCTCAAAAAGTTAACCAGATGTCAATAACTGGGGAATTATTAATTGTGGAATTACAGTTAAAAAATCCATTTTTCTACTTTTGGCCAAAGGGCGTTCTTCATGGCCTACAAATAATACTACATAAACAAAGACTGATGTTTCTACATATGGCCATTCTGGTCTCAATATATTTAGCATCTGTACATTTGTTCAACATAACTATGTACCAAGAATTATGTTGGCCTGTGTATATACCATATGATGAGTTCTTTAATCCCCCTTAGAATAATGCCAAGCACATAGTATCCTCTCAATTGATATTTGTTAAATGAATAAATAAAAGTGTATGAATGATTTTCAAACATTCCCTTAAAGTAGATCATTAAATTTTGCTAGTTTTCTTAAGAAAATGCATCTGAAAACTTTTTCACTTATTTAATTGGAAAGATACCATACATGAAAAAATTGAACACAATCAACTCAAAATAGTGGTTGTCTCCTGTGAAAAGATAGGAACGTAGGATATGGAAAGAGTCACAAGACCAGGAAATGGTGTGCAGAGAGAGGTCCTTTCATTCTTATTTCTATATTCTTTAGATGAGCGTTGGTAGGCTCAATGGATATTTATTATATTAATGTCCATCATTTTAGGTATCAAAATACTTCATAATTTTAAAAAAGTTAAAGGGTCTGTTTGGGTAAGTTATACAAATTATTCATAATTGCCCCTAATTATCAGATTTTATACATATGTAAACTGTAAAATAATAGACAAAACTGTATTGTTAACTTCTTCCCAAATTCTTTGTGAATGTCCTCTTTCTACATAAAACACAACCTCATCACTCCCACTGTAACTTGCATGCTTGGCATCTTCCAGTTCCCCAGACATGTCACTCACTATCTTCCCCACCACCTCCAAAGAGTGAGTTGTTTCAGCAGGTTAATTTGTTCCTGTGCTTGTAAATAGGCTTACAATGTGGCATAGTCATTTCTCATGACTTTAACACATCTGCCCCACTGGACTATTCCCTGAAGGCAAGTACTCTTTTATTCATTTTCCATTCCCTTTACCTAACCCAAAGTAAGTGCTCAACTAATGCTGTAGATCTATCTCATATATTTCTCTTTCCTTCTTTTTAAAAAACTGCTGCTGCTACCTGAAGGCCATGCCTAAGCAAGCATGTGACCTCAATTTCACCTACGGAAGATCACCTGTCAAAAATATATGTTTGAAAAACACAAAATACTTGCTTGTTCGTTTCTCACAGCCATCAGCTTCCATGTTACAGAAATTAAGTCAACATTATCCCAAATCTCAGCCATTAGCGAGATATATAAACATCAAATGGTATAACATAAGATACTAGATTACTTACCAATAAACAATATTGGAAAAGTGATAAACAACAGAAAGACATGAGGGACCAGGTTGAGGGCATCCACAAAGCAGGAATTTTGTAGTACACCATCGTTGATATTATATGAAGAAATGTTGTTACCACAAAATGAAAGGCTCATTTCTTCTTATATGGTTTACTCTAAAAGGGAGAGAAATGAGAAAGAAAAATCCTCTTATTAGTAAACTCTTGTTCATAAAATTATTAAAGCCTTGAATAGAGGGCTATATCATAAAATTAATCCCTTTTACTTTGATAGCTGAGGAAATAAGAAACTCTGTGCCAAAGCAACTTGAAGCTTTCTTATAAAATACGTCCTATGAGATCTTCTTTTCCATAGCTTTTACTTCCAGAGAAAAATGCTTTCATGTGGAAAATGTATTATAATTAATATCTACCTATAGTAGTACCTCAAATGAGTGTCTGACTAAAATGCTTTCAAAGAACAAAAATGGTCATATATTAAGAAAAAGGAGAAAAAAAATTGAACCAATGACTAAAAAGTCAAAATGGTATAATTTCAAATATTTTCCCATACTCACTGAAAATGTACTAATAAACAACAAAAGTTGTTCAGTAAACTGTGACAGAGTTTGCTGAAACATTTCACTAGTTGTGGGAAATACTAATATACAGAAACAAGTGTGCCTGCAGTAATGGCTAACAGTAATCAGTCTTTCCCTGAAGAATATTAAAAATCAAATGCTCAAGATGAATTAAACCTAACTCAAATGACAAGTCAACGAAACTACTCAGATTCCATAGTTAGAATATTCTCACAAGAAATACACTCTACGCAAGTTTGAAACGCAGGATGTCTTTTAACTGGAAATTGGTACTCCATGAGTAGAAGTAGATGAGTTTAGAGAGGAAACAGAGGACAAGGTCACACTGTGCTTTGTAAGTCATTGTCAGGATTGCGGCTTCTACTCTTAGTGAAGTGGGCCACTGGGGATTCCGGGGCAGAGGAGTGACGTGCTCTCACTTACATGTTAAATGGTTCTCTATTAATGCTGTGCCCAAACAGATGGGAGATGAGCAAAGGTCTGCTCCATGAAAATACTGCTGTGAAATTCCAGGAAAAGCTTTGACATTCTGAAAACTTATTTTATAATGCCTACTACTTATTTAAGTTCTGGGCACTTTGCATATCTTAAATCCTCAGAACAACCTTGTAATTCATCTTTTACAATGGAGGATACTGAGGTCCAGATAAGTTCAGTAACTTGCCAACCAGTAAAGCGGTCATGTCCACACCCAAATATCTGACTTATAAACTATTTCTTTCCACCGTATTACACAACCTCCAACCTGCTTTTTAAAGAAGCTATCGTATCTATTCTTTAAAACAAGTAGCAGTTTAAGATTTTAACCTCACTAGACCTAGTTTCTATATTTATGTCACAATGGATTCTGAGTTGCATTACAAAAGGCTGGCAAAAATTTTATTAACTAGCATAGTACCTTTTCTTTCTTTCCTTTCATTGATAATTGATTTAGCAATGGTCACAAACAATACTTTTCCTAGGAAAAAACAGTGTTATACAGAAAAGATTGTCAATGGTAGGTAAATTATTAGAGAAATCAAATTTCAAGCAAAGGTTTTATAAAGCATTATATGAATGCCTCAGCTAAAGAGTCTGTGTATTTACAATCTTAGATACTTATACAGAATGCCTCTCACATATTGTTCCTGATAAGCTCTTTTTATAATAAATAGTTGATATGCTCTCTAGTTGAGTCTTTCCCTCATCTTTTTTTAAAAAGTTGTATTTTTAAAACCTCAAGGTGAAGTTATACACTGGGTAAATTCTAACAAGCTATTAAGGTATTAATCTGGATAAAAGAATAAAAGGGACTTGAAGTTTTTAAAAAACAGCAAAATGGAAGTTATTAATTTATAGGTGTATGTTAGATGTATTTCTGGCAAAGACAGACAAAAACAAAACTAAAAACTAATAGCTAGTAATGAATTTTTTAGACTACTTCCTTTATTTAGTAGAAATGATAAAAAGAAAACTTAAAGCCCACTCTTAATTGAAAGACATATATAAACTTTCCTCGCACAAACTAGAAAATGATTTTTACTTTAGCAACTTTTATAATCTTATCCAAAATTATAATATTCCAGTTGGCCACATTTATAAACTAGTATCATTGAGGTAGATGCTAAAATATAACCTGCTGCTTTGCAAATTACACCCTTCATTAGCTATAAGCATTGCTTGCCTGGTGTTTAATCAATCCTGAAATCTACCAATTAAATCGCCTTTGGATAAATGTTGTGTGTAACTGGAAAAAAAATCTCAGAGAAGTACAATCACCTGAAAAATTTAAGAACATTTTCAGACATACACCAGATATCTGGAATTCTATGCCATTAACTAATGAACTGTAAAAACACTTATTGATGCTAACTACGTGCTAGTTACTAGGAATCCAATGGTGCACGTCAGAAACAGTTTCTGTGGTTTTATTTAGACTGTATGAATCAGATTACAGTAGTCTCAGTAGCTGTGGGTATATTGTAGGGGTATATGATCTAAAAGATAGGAAAATAAGAAATGATGCAATCAAACAAAAGTGTAAACTTCAAGTTGGTACAGTAAACGCTTTAGAACGATTTTTCTGTCTGCCATAAACTCTAACTTCACATTTCCGGCCGGCTCTGAACCTGTGCATTACCTTACCGCATGTCTCCTTTCACCTTTTCTTTTGACTCCTCATTTATCCTTTCCCTTTAACCCGTAGTCTCCTTATCCAACATCCAGAGTCCATGTGGCACTCTAACAGCCAGCCTCCATTACAACCCAACATGGACAAAAAGAGGGAGGCAGTAAACTTATTGCTGATATATTGATAATTATTGTGTTTATCAAAGGCATTTTATTCAATCCACGTTCCTAATCCTTAAATTTCCAATTGTCATTTAATGTTTCCCTCCCAGACACCAGGTTCAATTGGGAATGTTTGGGGAAGGGTATAAATCGCTGTTCTTGCTGGCTAAACTCTGTCACCTGACATCCTTCAGCTCCACCCCTTCTGGAGCTGTTTAGATTCAGCTAAGCACTGAGGGAGGCCCAAGCATCAAGGAGAGAGAGAGAAGGGAGAGCAGATGGGGAGATATAATGTTTCCCTTTCCACAAGCATAAGCCATCGAAATATGCTCAGTTGTTTATGAGAGGTGATAGAGTTGGAGAACTTGACTGAATAAACTTTAAAAACAAAGATCAAAGTGAAATTTTGCTTCTAACGTATGTCTATGGAGCAGAAAACATAAAATAGAAATACTCCTAATTATCTAACTTACGATTTCATGGCAAGAATCGCACCCTCAGTGTTTTTATTCCTCGAAATGCATTACATGAAATTCCACACATCTAGAACATATACATTTTGGATTTAGTTGGTGAATATAATACCTGACCTATCCAGTCTGTTGGTTCCTCTGCAAGACACGAGCAGTAGTTATCTGATTTAATTCTAAAAACACATTTAAGTGCTGAGGCATATAAGGTACACCATTTATTGTGGCCAGCCCTGTCCTTTGGAAATAGACTACAAGTAAAGCAAGTGAAAACTTGTCTTCCTTCCTGTTCACTTAGCAGAAAGCGTTAGTTCTGATCGAATAGCAATTGCAGAGAGTTTAAAATGCTGGAAACACCTGGAGAAAACATGCTAAATTTAAATAAAAGTTTTCATTCTTACATATAAAAGGATTCATTCTTTAATCGTTTAGAGATTAACCAAATTCTGTTATGAAAGAGAAGCAGGACATTTTAAAGAACTTAGGGCTTTATCATCATCTAGAGCATTTTCAGGATGGATGTCACTTGCAAAAACAAATGCTGTAATCACTTCTTTGAAGTTATTCAGTCCCTAGTTCATGAAATAAAAACTAGAAGATGTATAGCTAGTTAGCTAGCTACCATGGCTATAACTATGACAGATCCAAGTGGGAAAATCACTGGCAAAAATGACCACTGACTTCTGACTTAGTGCCTGATCTGAATCCACCCATTTACTCTTCAGTGGCTGTGAAGTACCATCCCACACCAAAAGAAATGTTGAAATTACTCAGTAGGTATTCCTTAGATACTGCAATGGGATTTTAAAAAAAATCCCAAACTGAACAAATAAAGCAAAAAATAAATACCTTGGGCAATAGCTTCACGCTGCTTCAAACCCCTGCCGGTGCACTTGAGCTACCTTCAAAACACCGACTTCCTACACTGTCTTAAGATGTAAATTTCAAACCCGGACGCAGAACTCCTAAAAAAAAGTAAAGAGTAACAAAAATTAAGCAGATAGAAAACTACTTCTTGAACATACAAGAATTGTCTACAAGAAAGGCGGTAATAATAACTCCTAATAATAATAACTCCTTTCACTGTTTCCAGTTGATTTGAGTAGGAGACGGCAGTTTTGAAGTAAAACTGGAAACCTGATCCCCACCCCTTCACTTCTCGAGCCGGGCCTCGTCCCTTAATTCTAGAAATAGCGATCGCGAAAGCTAAGTGCCGAGAAGTGCGAGAGAGTGCGAGGGCGTTTTTGGATAGCAGAAATGTTAGCTCAAAATCGACAACTTACAGTTATTCCTAAAAATGTTTAAATGGCATTCATGTAAAAGACACGGATTCACTTACTCCGATGACAGTTTTCCTCCCCTAGGCGAAGCACGCAGTGCGCCGGAACGGATTATTTTTAGGGTGGTGGGAGACCAGCTGCTGCCTCCTATCGAGTTTCTAAATTGCACAGACTGCTCTGGGCCGGGGCAGACACCGCGGCTGAGAAGCAGGAAACTGGGCAGAAGCCCCGCGCGCCGCGCCTGGGGCCGGAGACCTTCCCCATCCCTGCTCTGCTCAGCTTTGACTTGGGGCGGGCGCGACGCCGCGATTTTACAAACCCAAGTAATAGGCGTCCCCTTAAACTTCATTAGACACTGAAACTTGGAATATGATTCCATGATTCTCCGGAGTCGGGTTTTCAAACGTCAAAACACTCAAGGTATTCTTGTTTCTTTGTTTTGTTTTTCCATGCTCTGTAAGCACCCCTTTATTAGCCACGTAAGGAAGCGGATTTGGGGATTTCGCTGTTTCCCCCTGAACGGATCCGGGAAATGAAGGGCTCATTCTAGGTAGAGGCACCCACTGCTGGGTTATGAGTGCACGAATGTCTCACAGGAGCAAGGCTGGCTCAAGTCTAATTTTCCGCTTTTCCCCGGCGACCTAGAAAACTTGGTTTCTCTGGTGGACCAGCCGCCGCGCTATCGAAGGGCGACCCTTGCCCACCGTCCCCTAAAGTGAGACGCTGATTCCCATGGACTGCGTAAACAGTCACCCTCTTCTCCTGTTTCCAACCAGAGACATAATTAACTCTCGAGATAACGTGTTTATATTAAGATCACCCCACAACCACTCCCCCGCGAAACACAAGCCGTGAATTTTGTCCCCGACAACCCTCTTTAATTAACACCGGATTTTCTCAAGAGCCAGTTTTGAGTCAGCTTGAGATAAGCATTGTTTTCAGGAACTGTCGTATTTTAATAAAGGATGGTCAGCCGGGCGGACTTCTGCCCCTGAGGCTCCGCATGCCGTCCTCAAGGGGCGCCGCTGCAGGACTGCGGTCTGCTGGCGCTGGTCCCCAGATCTGAACCCTAAACACCGGTGGCCTCGTGGCCTGTGCGATGCAGGCCGACTCCAGCCCTGCCAGTCCCAGGGGATTTCTCCGCCGGCGCCCCACTCTTGGGAAGGTCGCTGCGCTTCCGGGTGAGTGCCTGACCTGCGTCAGCGGCTGGGACTTGAACCCGCGGCCGCTAGGAATCTGCGAGGCCATATGGGGCCGAAACCTGGGAGGGTCCGAAGACTCCGTTCCTGTGGCCTTTGAACGCTTGACAACTTTACCCTGGAGCTGTCTGCAGCGGCGCAGGGAAATAAGAGAGCGTTTCAACAGTGAGGATCCTGGTACTATGGATGCAGCCCAGGGTGGCCGGGTGAGCAAGCTGGACGCGAGGCCAGAGGCTCTCCAGGGCATCTATGGAGAGAGAACTGGAAATAGGGGGTGCCAATAATCCCAAGATGAAAACTCTTGAGTGTGACTACACAAAATGAAGTTTACTTGAGGATTATAAAAGAATATTACAATTCATTAAGGTCATTTACAATGTTTAAAAATCATGCTTATTGTAGAAACTTTGGAAGATGTGAAAGTGTACAGAGGAGATCAAGGAGCCCCCCGTAGATGCACCTGTGCACACACACCCATAAAACTACTGAAAACATTTTTTTTTATGTTTTAACAAACACAGGCGGTATGGTGCATTGATTAAGAGTGTGGACTAGGAAGGCAGCCTGCTCGATATCACATCCTGCTAGTTAGTTCAGAGACTGAACAAGTCACATAAACCCTCTGTGTATCAGCTTCCTCCTCTGTTTAATGGGACAATAAAGATAAATAATTTAAATAAATATAGAATAATTTTTAAAATAATTTAAATGGCTATATACTATTCCATTGAAAGGCTATACCATAAGATTCATTTTCCCGTTGTTTGACATGTATTTGCCCAATTTTACTAATATCTGTGATCATATGATGACCTTTTTTCATAAACTTTTTTTCTTTCTAACAAGTAATGTTTTAAGATAAATTATGTGAAAAATAATTACGGGATCAAAAGTGGTAGATATTTTTAAGGCTGTCAACATAGAATGCAAAATCACCCTTCTATGAAGTTCGTATTAAGTCCCCCAAATTGTATGAGATGAGCTATTACACTTATACTCAAACCAGCATTGGATATTGCTATTTTTTATTTTAAAAAAATATTTTAACTTGACAGATAATATTCAATTCTGTTATTCACATTCAACATTTCCCCACTATTGATTAATCTTTGTATCCCCTCTTTTGTGGCAGTTTGTTCACATACTTGTGTACCTCATGGGTCTTAATGAAGTTTACCATTTGTATAAATGTTTCATAAGAGTATACTAATCAAATGTTTAATAAGAGGATACTAATCCTGCTTCATATATGACACATTTTTCCCAATTTGTCATATTGTTAAAAAATGATAGTGCTGCTGCCTTTCAAAAAAGTAAGAAAAAAGTTTTCATGTGTTCTGTAAAGATTTATTAGAGCACACACTATGTGCTAGACATAGAAGCTAGTGATGAGTCAGATCTCTAGGGTCTATTGCACTTCATTGAACTTTCTCCTAAGGGAAATTTTACGTAGGCAAATTTGCTGCTTGTTGCCTTTGCAATGTATTAGAACACTTTAGTTAATAAATATTTACCTTCATTTATATTTGTTTAAAGGCTTTAGTAAAAATTTGATTTTGGAATTTATTTTGGCATACACTATGGGATGAAAATCTGCATTTATACTTTATTTGTTACACCAACACCATTTACTGAATAATCTTTTTCTTCTGCATTGTGGTGTAATACCACTTTTGTCATATACACATAATTAGTTCATAATAAGATCTGTTTCCGGGCTACCTATTCTGTTCAATTGATCTGTTTCAATTTTTTATTATATTGCTATGATTAGACTGATTTGATTATCAGAGATTAAATTATATTGTAACCCTGACAGTGCCAGTCCCCTTTTCACTCTTTTCAAAATTTTCAAAGCTCCTCTCTTTTGGGGATTTTATTGGAATTTCATTAAAACTAGGAAGTAATTTATAAAGAACATATTTTTAGTGCTTTGTCTCTTCACCCAGAAATGTAGTTTCCCATTTATTTGTCTTCCTTTTATCCCAGTATTAAATTTATACAGGTCTGTGCATATTTTGTAAAGATTGATCATACAAATTTCATATTTTTGTTTTAATATTTTGTACTGCTATTAAGGATGTACTATTTATTTTGTCCAAAAAAAGTATATTTATCTTATATCCAGACACTTTATTAAGACTTCTCAGTAATCCCAGAGCTATTTCACCCTGTTACCTTGACTTTCCAGAAATACGATTTCATCTGCAAATAGTGGTACCCTTCCATTTTAAAATACTTACAGCTTGTTTGCATTTTATCTCTAATCTTCATTAAATACATTCCAGAAGTGTTAAATAATACAAGAAGATAAACCATTGTTTCTTTCAGAAATATATACAATATATTTTTAAATCAACATTGTAAGTATAATTTTCATGAAATAAAAAGTATCCATGATACATGTAAAATCCAAAGTCTTTTGAAATAACCATGATCCCAAAAAGATACAAAGTATTTCTATCTCCCAAGGAAGTTATCTTGTGCCTTTAACTAGTCAGTCTAACTGTCTCTCACTTAGGGTAACAAGTGACCTGAAGTCTATCACTGGAGATTAGTTCACAAATGTCATATAAAAGGAGTCATACAGTACATACTCCCTTGTGTCTGGCTTCTTTAGGTAAGCATAATATTTTTGAGATTCATCCATGTTGTTGTATATATGAATAGTTTATTCCTTTTATTGCTGAGTAGAATTTCACTGTATGAATATGCAGTTTGTTTATTCGTTCACCTATCTGTATACGTTTGGGTTATTTCCAGTTTTGGGCAGTGATGAATGAAGTTTCGGTGAACCGTTTTGTAAACATAGGTGTTTTGTTTTTTTTTTCCTCTTGGGTAAATATTAAGCAGTAGATTTGCTGAGTCATATGGTAACTATACATTTAACTTTACAGAAATTACCAAAATGTTCTTCAAAGTCATTGAAACATTTTACATTCCCTCCAGAAAAGTATGGCACTTGCTTCACAATCTTGCCAATATTTAGTATTATCTTGTTCTTTTTCTAAATTTTAGCCCTTATATTGCATGTGGACTGGTTCTTGATTGTGGTTTTAATTTGCATCTACCTTATAACGAATGATTTTGAACACATATTTTCATGGTGTTACTGGTCATTTATATATTTTTTCATGGTAGGCACAACTCTAAGGTGGCTCCCATGACATTTACTCCTGGTGTTACTCCCGTGATTACATTATGTTACAAGACAAAAGGAATTTTGTAGATGTAATTAGGGTTACTAACTAGTTGACTTTAAAATAGGCATATTAGGGGTGACATTAGCAAGACGACAAAGTAGGAGATGCCAGCCTTTATACTTCCACAAAACACAACAATTAGACAGCTATCCACAAACAAAAATAGACCTAGGAGGGCTCAAAAATCCAGTAAGCAAGAACACAGTGGAAAAAAAAAAGTCACTTGGGAGATTGGCTTAGCAATGTCTGCAGATGGCCATAAACAAAGATTAAACAAACAGGGATGAGTTATGTGTATCAGCCATATGTTGGGTCCCATCATGATCCACAGTGGCCTATCCTCTAAAGGACCTTGGTAGTCTTAGCCACTGAGGACCTCAACAACCCCCACAGCAGAAAACCCCATAGTGTTTGTTGGCACTGACCCCATTGGCCTACTCTACAGAGGACATCAGTAGCTTTTGCCACTGAGGTAACCAACAGCCATCCCACCATAGATCTCCAGGAGAGGGAAACATTGCTGCGTACTGTCTAAAAGGATGTGCTTTTGTGTTGACCAGAGACCAGGGCTGCCACCCCTACCCCCAACCCCATGACTGCTCTGGAACACAGAGCCACAATTTCTCTGCACACACATGCACCTCGGACCCCAGTTCTGCGAACACTCTGCACATGCCCACACTCCATACCTAGCTCTATGGCTGTTGCACATACGCTTGTGTCTCAGGCACTAGAGCCACAGCTGTCAAAGTATAGCCAGTGCCCTGGACACAGAGCCACTGTCTATCTGCATGTGTTCACACTCTGGACCCTGGCTATATGGTCACTTGGCAGGCTCCTGCATCTCAAACATTGGAACTCCTGTCAATGTGGGCTAGCCAGAGCCCTGGACCCTGGAGCTGCTGTCTGTCCACAGTGCCTGCACTCCAGACCCTATCTCTGTGGCTGCTCCGCAGATGCCCACTTGTGCATCAGACACCATTGTCACTGCCACTGTGAGGGTGCCTATGTGCTGGGCTTGGCACCAAGAGGGATCCCCTCAACCATGACATCTCCTGTGGGAGAAAAAGAGATCAAGAGGTTCCTAGCAGCCACCAAAGATCCCAACTGCTTTCATCACCACTGCAGACATGCATTGCCTTGGCCATTAAAGAATCCTGCAATCTTTGCCAATGTTAACCTCAGCTGATGAAGCCATGTGGAGATTATACTGGGCCTTCCCCAAAGCTATAATTTCCACACTCCATCCAGTCAGTGCCCTCACACCAACCTGCAGGTGAATGTCTTTTCCCGTGAAGCTAGTCTATAAAGTCTAGAAGGAATAACTGCTCCATCAATTGCTCAGATACCAATGCAAAACTATAAGATACATGCGAAGTCAAGGAAACATACCATCAGAGGAACACAATTTTCCAGGAACTGATCTAAAAGAAGTAGAGATCTGTAAATTGCTGGGCAAAGAATTTAAAATAAATGTCTTAAGGAAGCTCAGTGAGTTCAAAGAGAACATAGGTAACTCTGAAATAAGGAAAACATACAAACTAGCAGCTCAATGGAGATAAATAATAAAAAAGAACTTCTGGAGCTAAAGAATACAATGAATAACATGAAAAATGCAATAGAGAGCATCAATAGCAGCCTTAATCAAGTAGACCAAAAATCTGTGAACTGTAAGACAGATCATTTGAAATTATCTAGTCATTCTAAGTGAAGTAGCTCAGGAATGAAAAACCAAACATCACTTGTTCTCACTCATAAGTGGGAGCTAAGCTATGAGGAAATTCTTCAAGCTGAAATGAAAAGAGACTAATTAGTAACATGAAAATATATGAACATATAAAACTCACTAGTAAAGGAAAGCATATAGTCAAATTTAGAATACTCTAATACTCCAATGGTGGTGTGTAAATCATTTAACTCTAGTATAATGGTTAAAAGACAAAAATATTTTAAAATAACTAAATGTAAAAAATTTGCTAATGAATATACAATATAAAAATATAACATCAAAACACAAATTGTCATGAGAGTAAAAGGGTAGAGGTTTTTCTAAGCAATTGCAATTAGGTTGTTGTCAGCTTAGAATAGACTATTATAACTACAAGATGTTTTATGTATGCCTCATGGTAACTACCAAGCAAAAACCTGTAGTAGACTCACAAAAGATAAAGAGAAAAAAAACAAAGCATACCACTACAGAAAACTATCAAATCTCAAAGAAAGACATCAAGAAAGAAAAACTATAAAACAGTTAGAAAACAATGAGTTGACAGTAGTAAGTTTTTATATAGCAATCATTAGTTTACATGTAAATGGATTAAATTCTTCAATAAATACTTCGTTAAATGGCTAAATAGATGTTTTAAAGGGCCCAACTATTTGCTGCCTGTGAAATACTCACTTCAGTTTTCAGGAAACATATAGGCTGAAAATGAAGGGATGAAAAATATATTCCATGCAAAGGAAAACTAAAATAGGGCAGGGATGGGTAGCTATACTTTTATCACACAAAATAGACTTTACCTCAAAAATGCAACAAGAGAACAAATATAATTATGTTACAATAAGGGGGTCATATAACAACTGTAAATATATATGTATCCAACATTAGAGCATCTAAGTATATTAAGCACATATTAACCCAACTAAAAAAGAAATAATCAGCAATGTAACAACTTTAAGGAATTTTAACACCCCACTTTCAGCAATAGATAGATAATTCAGACAGAAAATCAATAAGGAAACACTGGAATTGACATCTTAGGCCAAATGGATCTAACAGACATGTACAGAGCACTCCATCCAACAATAATAGAATACAAATTCTTCTCACGTGCACACAGAATATTCTCTAGGATGGATTATATGTTAGGTCACAAAACATGTCTTAATAAGTTTAAGAAGACTGAAATCATACCAACTATCTTTTCCAGCCACAGTGGTGTAAAATTAGAAATGAATAACAGGAGGAATCTTGAAAAAGTCACAAATATGTGGAAACTAAAGAACATACTCCTGAACAATTAATGTATCAAAGAAGAAATCAAAGGAGAATTTTGTTTTAAATCTTGAGACCAGTGAAAATGGAAACACAGCCTCTCAAAACTTATGGGATGCAGCAAAAGCAGTACAGGGGGAATTTGGTAACAATAAATACCTACATTAAGGAAAATGAAAGATCTCAAATAAAAAAGCCCTAATGTTACACCTCAAGAAACTAGAAAAAGAACAAGCTAAGCCCACAATTAGCAGAAAAGAGAAAATAACAATGCTCAGAGAAGAAATACATAAAATAGAGACAAGAGAAACAGAAGAAAAGACCAATAAAATGAAGAGCTGATTTCTTGCAAAGATAAACAAAATTTAAAATCCTTAGCTATACTAAGAAAAAAGAGAGAAGACTCAAAAATGAAAAAGACGACATTATGACTGATGTGACAGAAATACAAAGCATCGTAACAGATTACTATGAAAAATTATATGCCAATAAACTGGATAACCCCCAAAAGAAGGATAAATTCCTAGAAACACAAAACCTACCAAAATTGAATCATGAAGAAATAGAAAATCTGAGGAGGCCTATAACTAGTCAGGAGATTGAATCAGTAATCAAAAGTCTCCCAACAATGGAAAGTCACTACCAGATGGCTTCACAAGGGAATTCTGCCAAACATTTAAAGAAAAATTAATACTAATTATTCTCAACTGCTTCCAAAAAAAATTGAAGAGAATGGAACACTTCCAAACTCATTTTATGAGGCCAGAATTTCCGTGATACCAAAGCCAGACAAGAAAACTACAAGAAAAGAAAATACCAGCCAATATTCATGCTGAATATAGATATAAAATTCTCAACAAAATACTAGCAAACCAAATCCAACAGTGGTTTATCCCAGGGATGATTCAACGTATGCAAATCAATGAATATGAAAAGCCATATTAACAGAATGAGGGGTGAAAATCCTATGATCATTTCAATAGATACAAAATGTTTGCAAAATATTCAACATATTTTATAATAAAAATTCTCAACAAATTTGATATTTAGAAGGAATGCCCCTCAACATAATAAATGTCATATATGGCCAGCCCATGGCTAACAACGTATTCATCATGAAAAGTTGGAAAGCACTTCCTTTGAAGTCAGGAAGAAGACAAGGGTGACCACTCTCATCACTCTATTCAACATACTACTGAAAGTCTTAGCCAGAATAATTAGACTAAAAAAAGAAATTTAAAAAACAGTCAAATTAGAAATGAAGCAGTATAATTTACAGATGACATGAACTTATATGCAGAAAACTCTAAAAGCTGCACCAAAAAAACCTGTTAAAACAAATTAAAAAGTTCATAAAGTTGCAATATAAAATCAACATACAGAAATCAGTTGTGGCCAATGCCCTAACAACAACCTAAAAGAGAAATGATGAAAGCAACCCAATTTGGTAACATTAAAAAAAAATACTCAGGAATAAATTTAACTAAGAACCAAAAGATTTGTACAATGAAAACTATAAGACATTGATGAAAGAAACTGAAAACATACATTTGCAGCAACACAGATGGAACTGGAGATTAATATGTTAGCTACAATAAGCCAGGCACAGAAAGAGAAATATAGTACGTTCTCATTCATATGTGGAAACTAAAAAAGTTGATCTCATGTAGAGAGAGAATAGAATAATGGTAGCCAGAGGCTGGGAATCAGGTGGGAGTTGCCAGAGGAGAATTAAGAGAGGTTAGTTAACGACCACAAAAATACAGTTAGATAGAATGAGTTCTAGTGTTCAATAGCACAATAGAGTGACTATAGTTAACTATAATTTATTGTGTATTTCAAAATAATTAAAAGATAAGATTTTAAATATTCCCAACACAGAGAAATGGCAAATATTTGAGGTGATAGATTATCCTAATCACATTTGAATATTACATATTGTGTGCATGTATCAAAATGTCACATGTACCCCATAAATATGACAATTATTATGTATCAATTTTTAAAAGCAAGAAGAATTGAAGATATATATAAATAAAAAGTCATCCTGTGTTCATGGATTGGAGGAATAAATACTGTTGAAATGACATACTACCCAAAGCAAACTACAGATTCAATGTAATCCTGATTAAAACCCCAATGGCATTTTTTACAGAAATGGAAAAAAATCCTAAAATGCATATGGAACCACAATAAGACCCTAAATAGCCAATGCAATCTTGAGAAACAAGAACAAAGCTGGAGACATCACACGTCTTGATTTCAAAATATATTACAAAGCTACAGTAATCAAAACAGTATGGCACTGGCATAAAAACAGACACAAAGACCAATGAAACAGAAGACAGAACCCAGAAATAAACCCATACATATATAGTCAACTGATCTTCAACAAAGGTGTCAGTATCACATAATGAGGAAAGAATAGTCATTTCAACAAATGGTGTTGGAAAAACTGGATATTCACAAACAAAAAGAATGACATTGGACTCCTATTATACATAATACACAAAAATAAACTCAAATTTATTAAAAACTAAATGTCATATCTGAACCTATAAAAATTTTCAAAGAAACGATAGGGGAAAATCTTATTGACATTGATCTTGGCAATGATTCCTTAGATTTAACACCAAAAGCACAGGCAACTAAACCAAAAATAAACAAATGGGACCACATGAAACTAAAAAGCTTCTGCACACAAAAAAGGAAACAACAAAATGGAAAGGCAAACTACACAATAGGAGAAAATATTTGCAAACCATATATATGATAAGGGGTTAATATCTAAAGTATATAAGGTACTCATACAGCTCAATATCATTTAAAAAACACAATCCAAGGACTTGAATACACATTTTGCCAAAGAAGACATACACATGGCCAATAGGTACATGAAAATGTGGTGAACATTACTAATCATCAGAAAATGCAAATTAAAACCTCCATGATATATCACCTCACATCCGTTAGGGTGGCTATTATCGAAATGATAAGATCAGTATTGATAAGGATGTAGGGAAAAGGGAACACTTGAGCACTGTTAGTGGAAATGTAAATTGGTACAGCCATTACATAAAACAGTGTGGAGGTTCCTCAAAAAATTAAAAGCAGAACTACCACACCATCCAGCGATACCAATTCTGAGTATATGTCCAAAGGAAACAAAAATCAGTTCTCAAGGAGAACATATCTGTACTCCCATGTTCTTTATGATATTATTCACAATGATCAAGCTATGGAAACAACCTGTCTATTGATGAATAAATGGATAAATAAAACATATACATGTATACTTACATACATTATATATGTATGTAAATACATTTCACATACATATAGAATGAAATATTATTCAGACATAAAAAAGAAGAAAATCTTACCATTCGTGACAACAATATGGGTGGACCTGGATGGCATGATGCTAAGTAAAATAATCCAGGCAGAGAAAGACAAATACTTTTGTGTGGAATCTAAAAAGAACAAGAAAAGTTCAAACTCATAGAAAGTGGAAGTAGAATGGTGGTTGCCAAGGGCTAGGGAGCAGGGGAGGCGGGGAGAAGTTGGCTGGATGGTACAAACATGCAGTTATAAGATGAGTATGTTCTGAGTATCTAATGTACAATATAACTATAGCTAATAATACTGCATTGTATACTTGAAATTTGCTGAAAGTGTAGACTTTAAGTGTTCTCACATTTTAAAAAAGCAATTATGTGAGGTGATTGATGCATTAATTAACTTGAGTGTGATAATCATTTTGCAATGTATATCGAATCATCATGTTGTACAGTTTAAATATATAAAATTTTATTTGTCAGTTATACTTTGATAAAGCCAAAAAAAGAAAAAAGTAGGCAGATTATCCATGCCTAATTTAATCACATAAACCCTTTTAAAATCAGAGTTTTCTCAGGCTGGTGGTAGAAGAGAAATTCGGATAGAGCTGAAGAATGAGAAGTATTTGATGTGAGGGAGGTTCTCTGTTCCTTAGATGAAGAGGGCCATGGGTCAAGGATCTGAGTGGCCTCAAGACCTGCACATAGTCCCCAGCCAACAAGTAGCAACAAAATGAGTGAAATTCTTATAGCCATGAGGAGTGAAATTCTTCCAACAACCTGAATGAACCTAAAAGTGAATTCTCCAAATAAAAATTGGACCCTCCTAATAAGAGCCCAGCCTGGTCAATACCTTGATTTTTGCTTGAGAGACTCTAAGCAAAACACCCCATCAAGCCCACCTGGACCAAGAGAACTATGAGAAAATAAATGGGCATTGTTAGAAGTCACTTAAATTTGTGGCAGTATCTTACACAGCAATAGAAAACTAATGCACTTCTTCTGTAAAGCATCTGTTCACACTTTTGCCCATCTTGTTTTAATTGGGTTATCTTTTTATTATTGAACTGTAACTTTTAAAATATATCTATATATTTAATTTTAATTTTTAATTTTTGTGAGTACACAGTAGGTGTATATCTTTACAGGGTACATGAGATGTTTTGATATGAGCATACAATGCATAATAATCACATCATGGAAAATCCATCCCCTTAAGCACTGATCCTTTGTATTGCAAACAAAACAACTATACTCTTAGTCATTTGTAAATATGCAATTAAATTATTATTGACTACAGTCATCCCACTGTACTATCAAATACTAGGTCTTATTCATTCTTTCTATTACTTTTAAAAAAATGTATTATGCATATGTTATTTGTCAGCTATATGTATTGAGAACATTTGTTGCCCGTTGGTGGCTTGCTCTTGGTGTTTTTAAGGAATATTTTAATTTTGATCAATTCAAATTAGCAATTTTTGTTTATTCAGTAGCTTAATGCATTGACTTTCCTCTCTAAGAAATTTTTGTCCAGCCTAAGATCATAAATATATTCTCCTAAATTTATTTTTAGGAATTATATGGTCACAGCTTTTATGTTCTGTGTTATAGTTTTGGTTTACTTCTGTGTAAAGTATAAGGTAGGCATTGAAGCTCATTTTCTCATTTTTTTGTGTGTGGACAAAATTCATTTTTGAAAAAGCAGTCTGTTCCCCCATCAAATTATCTTGGTATGTTTTTTGAAAATAACTTGACCGTACATGTAAATCTCCTCTTGAACTTTCTGTTCTGTATCATTTATCCATGTCTATTTTTTGCCTATGCCATTCTGCTTTATACTGTAGATTTTTAGTAAATTTTGAAATAATGTAGAATAAGTTCTCCAAATTTATTCTTCATTTTCAAGATTACTTGAGTTATTCAATGCACCTTTCATTTCCGTATAAATTTTGAAATTAATTGGCTTGTCAATTTCTACAAAATTCCACTAATATTTTGATTATGATTGTGTTGGATCTGTAGATCACTTTAAGGAGATTTACATCTTAACAACCTTGAGTCTTCCAATCCATGAATACAACATGTCACTCTATTTAGCTAGGTCTTCCTTTATCTCTCAGCTATGTTTCCAACTGTGTTCTGTGTATATATCCTATATATACCATAGCTCACTAAATCTCTCTCAAAATATTTTGTGATTTTGATAGTACTGTAAATGGTATTTTTAAATATCATTTTCTAATTGTTCATTATTAGTATGGAAGTGTCTTTGTATCCTGCAACATTGCTAACTTCACTTTATAAATTCTAGTACTGTTGTAGATTCCTTAAGATTTTCTATGTTCATGAAGTATCATCTACAAATAAAGACAGATTTGCTTCTTTTCCATCAGTATTTTTTTCTTGTCTTGTTACACTAGGTATCACCTCCAGTATGATGTTGAATAGGAATAATGAGAGTGGACATCATTGACTTGGTATCAGTATGAGAGGAAAAAGGATTCAGTCTTTCACTATTAAATATTATATTATGGTTAGGATTTTTATAGATTACTTTGTCATATCAGGGACATTTCCTGTTATTCATAGTTTGCTGAGTTTATTATGAATTGTTATTCAATTCTGTCAAAAAATTTTTTGTGCATATATTGTGATAATCTTAAGCTCTTTCCCTTTTATTCTGTTAATAGGCCAAAATGAATTGTTTGATTGTTGAGTATTAAACCAATCTTGAATTCCAAGGATAAGTTTTCCCTGGTCATGATATCATCTATATATTCCTGGATTCAATTTACTTATATCTTATTTATAATTTCTTCATCTATCTTCATGAAGAACATTTTTTCATTTTCTTTTCTTTCTTTCTTTTTTTGTGGTTTAGGGGTTGTTTTTTGTTGTTTTATCAGCAATGTCTTCATTCAATTTTGATATTAGGATTCTGCTAGTCTCATAAAATAAATCTGGAGGTCTTCCCTCCTCATCCATTTTCTGAAAGAATTTTATTTAATTATTATTTCTTCCTTAAACTTTTGGTAGAATTAAAAGTTGAGATCATGAGAGCCTGGAATTTTCCTTGTAAAATGGCTATTAATTTCTTTACTAGACATGATGGTACTCAGATTTTCTATTTCTTCTTCTGTCAGTTTAGATAACCTGTGACTTTTAAAGAATTTGTACATTTTTTTCTAATTTATTGAATGCCATGGCATAAAGTTGTTTACACTGTTTCTTTAGTATCTTTTTGATGTATATAGAATTTTTATTGATATCCCTTCTTTCATTCCTAATATTGCTAAGTTATAGTTTCAATCTTTTTTATTGATCAGTTTAGCTGAAGATGTATCCAGTTTATTTAGCTTTAAAAATACTTTTGGTTTCATTGACTTTATATTTACCAGTTTTCTTTGAAATTTTTTATTTGGCTCATTGGTTATTTAGAAATGTTTGTTTTAATTGCTATATATTTGGAGATTATCAGTATATCCCTTTTAAACATTTATTTAGCTAAGGCTTATTTAGTTAAAGTTTATATGCAATAAAATATAACTTTTTTAGGGTAGCAGTTCTTTAAGTTTTGGCAATTGTATACTGCCATGTAACTACCACCAAAATCAAGATATAGAATCTTTTCATCACCAGCCAATGTTGGGGAAGGAGGCTCAACAAGTCTCTCTAGCAGGAAGAAGAGCATGTGCCAAAGCACAGAAGCTGAAACAATCTTGCATGCTTAGAGAACTTTGAGTAGTTTAATGTGGCATAAATAAAGATAGAGTGAGCTAGTAATAGAAAGATTGCTAGAGTGAGCTATTGACAGAAAGATTGCTAGGAGATTGTGATGGGCATATATTTCAAGCTAAACAATGTGGAATATCTTCTCAGGTTTTCCAAGCAAGTGTGAAGTGTTATGATCAGTTCCCTGCTTTTAAAAGATTATTTTTCATTCAGTGTGAAAGATGAATTGGTGGAGATAAGAATGGAGACAAGGATACAAAACAGAAAGCATGTTCAGTAGTCCAGGTGAGAGATGGTGGGTGCCTAAATCGTCACAGTCACAGCAGGACAGCGAACAAGATTATTATGGAAGTGTAACTGTACTAAATAGTTCCTTAATTGCCAAATGCAGCAGCTTCCTTTGGCCTGGCTTCTCTCTACCACTTTGATAATCTTGGTTAACTCTTCCTTTTTAAAAGTTTTGCTTCCTTCAGTTTGAACACATCAAATTTTTCTTCCCTTGTCATAGTTTACCTGTTTTCATTTGCTTTCAGTGACTCCTCTTTCAGTACTTATTCCTAAATACTGGTTCCATTCTAGACTCTCTATTTTTTTTTTTTTTTTTTTTTTTTTTTGAGACAGGGTCTCACTCTGTCACCCAGCCTGGAGTACAGAGGCACGATCTTGGCTCACTGCAATCTCTGCCTCCCAGACTCAAGCAATTCTCCTGCCTCAGCCTCCCGAGTAGCTGGGATTACAGGTGCACACCACCATGTCTGGCTAACTTTTGTATTTTTAGTAGAGATAGTGTTTCACCATGTTGGCCAGGCTGGTCTCAAACTCCTGACCTCAAATGATCCACCCATCTTGGCCTCCCAAAGTGTTGGGATTACAGGTGTGAGCCACCGCATTCTCTTTCAAAAGAAAATCACCTTATATATTTTCCAGAAGAGAACTTATTCACCCCCATGGCTTTAGCTAATATGGTTAAATGGTTAAAAGTATAGACTTTCCTGAAAATTTTGTCACTACCTGCTCTCAAAGGCTCAATTTCTCCAGCTGAAAATGGGTATGATAATGTTGTCTCCCTAAGAGGATTGTTGAGATGACTTAATGAACTATGTACCACATAAAATGTCTGCCATACAGAAGGTATTCAACAAATAATATTTCCCTTAGTTATTCTTCTCTCAAGATCGACTTCTATAAATGGAAGTCCTATAGGCACTTTGGTAAATACTATAATATTATCTGTCCAGCATCTTTTTCCTAGTATTTTTTCCCTCTCTCGAGCTATTAGGTTGGTGCAAACGTAATTGCAGTTTTTGCATTGTTGGAATTTGCCATCTGATATTGGAATACATTCTTAAATGTGGTTATGTTATACATCATTTTTTCTCATGATTTATTACTTACTGTTTATTTTATGTTTAGACTATGGAAATGATGTTTGGCAAAAAGTAAATTCGAGCAATTTTCTTATTTGAGTTCAAAATGGGCCATAAAGCAGCAGAGACAACTCGTAGCATTAACAACGCATTTGGTGCAAGAACTTCTAATGAACGTACAGTGCAGTGGTGGTTCAAGAAGTTTTGCAAAGGAGACAAAAGCCTGGAACATGAAGAGCATAGTGGTCGGCCATTGGAAGTTGACAATGAAAAATTGAGAGCAATCATTAAAGCTGATCCTCTCACAACTACAAGAGAAGTTGCTGAAGAAATCAAAGTCGTCCATTCTATGATCATCTGGCATTTGAAGCAAATTGGAAAGGTGAAAAAGCTCAATACATGGATGCCTAATGAGCTGAGTGAAAATCAAAAAAATTGTCGTTTTGAAGTGTCTTCTCTTATTTTACACAACAACGAACCATTTCTCAATCAGATTGTGATGTGCAATGAAAAGTGGATTTTATATGACAACCAGCGATGACCAGCTCAGTGGTTGGACTGAGAAGAAGCTCCAAAGCAATTTCTAAAGCCAAACTTGCACCAAAAAAGTCATTGTCACTGTTTGGTGGTCTGCTGCTGGTCTGATCCCCTACAGCTTTCTGAATCCCAGTGAAACCATTACATCTGATAAGTATGCTCAGCAAATCAGTGAGATGCACCAGAAATGGCAACACCGGCAGCTGGCATTGGTCAACAGAAAGGGCCTAATTCTTCAGGGCAATGCCCGACCGCACGTCCCACAACCAACACTTGAAAAGTTGAACAAATGGAGCTATGAAGTTTTGCCTCATCCGCTATATTCACCTGACCTTTCAGCAACCAACTAACACTTCTTCAAGCATCTCAACTTTTCACAGAGAAAACGCTTCTACAACCAGCAGGAGGCAGAAAATGCTTTCCAAGAGTTTGTTGAATCCCAAAACACGGATTTGTATGCTACAGGAATAAACAAACTTATTTCTCATTGGCAAAAATGTGTTGATTACAGTTGTTCCAATTCTGATTAATAAAGATGTGTTTGAGCCTAATTATGATTTAAAATTCACAGTCCAAAATGGCATTGCTTTTGCACCAACCTAATACATGGTTTCTATAGGAGCTGCAATGTCAGTCTGTTACCCCGGACACCTAAATACAGCTCATTTGACATGTAATGGGTGCGCAGCCAAAGTTAGACTGTCAGGGTCTTTCCTTAATATTGTGAAATTGGAACTGAAAAGAAAATAGAGAAGATAAAGAGAGCTCAGTTTCTCCCTAGGTGACTGAACCTGATAGAGATAAATAGAAAGAGAATAAAGGAGATCTGCAGAGAGCCAAGAGAGTCTAGATGGCACTGGTGTCCCATAATCTAGGCCAGCAGCTTATGTCTTCCCTTCAGTTGTGCCAAGATCCCTGTGGATTCCTCATTTTGCTTCAGCTCACCAAAGAGGAACTCTGTGTTAGGAGAAAAATGTCCTAATATAGTACCTTAAATCCTCTAGTCTATAATTGAGCTTATTATTCCTACCACTCCAAACTACTCTAATTTCCTATCTCTGTCCATGCTGCCACTAGCCCTGTAATAGTCATACAATTGTAGTAGTCATACAGTTTAGACACCTCAGAATCAGTTTTGCAGCACTCACATCCAATTGAACATAAATGCCTCTGAGATTTACCTATCACTTCTCTTTTCCTTCCCCATCCCTGATGCTGCTGCCTTAATTCATGCTCTTATTTCTTGATGAGACTATTTTACACCTCAAACTGGCATTTCCATGGCTGAACTGTCCTCCTTTGCCTTTCTTCCACAAGATCCAGAATCATCGTCATATACACAAATCTCATCATAACACTCTGCCCCAATCCTTCAAAGTGTGGTCCATCAAAGACCTTCATCAGAAGCACCAGAATCTGCCTATATGTTTGTCCAAAAATGCCAATTCCTTGGCCCAATGCTGCCTAGATCTACTGATCAGGAGAAGGAGCTCTCCTACCAAATATCAATATGTTTTACAAGAATCCTAGGTGATTTTTAGCACTATTAAATTTGAAGAAAGATTGATCTACTCAATAAAAGCTCAATGCTTTAGTTTTCCCTATAATTTTTCAGTCATATTTTTAAGATCATCCAGCTACCTTATGTTCTAGGCACACTTAGTGCCTACTGTCCATGAATTATATTTTTATGTCACCTAAATCTTTGTTCATGCATTTGCTCCACTTGTCTGAAATGCTTTTCAATTCCTTGTCCAGCTGTTGAATCCAGTTTGTTAATTATATTCTTTAAGCTTCCGTGATTGCTGGTAGTTATGTCTTTTATTGAACTGGACATTATATCATATTTATTTATGTGTCTTTTTTCCCATGAAGTTTTAAACTTTTTAAAAGCTGGAACCACATCGTCTTCAACCCTGTAACTTCAATATCAATTACATTATCTGGAAAACAACAGACAATCAATGAATATGTGATGAGTGAAATCTGAGTTATCTCCACAATTGTCGTTTTTTACACTTTATTTTTCTGTGGTGTTGTTATAGGCCAAGTGATGCAGAAAGGAATAGAATGCAGAAGTATGTCCCTGTGGTATAGCAAAGAACTACCTTGCTTGGCTCTATCGAGCCCTCCCTGGGCTTAATGACAATAAGCCTTGGAAACTAAGACTCCTCCAAACTGGAGGGTTGGTTCCTCATTCCAAGTAGGCTATATTCATCACCAGATTTCAGATGCATTTCTGTAAACAATCAAGAGGCATTAGGAAGCAATAGCATCCACTTGCCTGCTAGTATTCTTATCTAGAGCTTATCTATGACACTGTCTTTTCATTGCTTTGTTAATAAATCTTAGTGATATTAACTTCATGAGCACTGGTTTCTTTGAATTGGCCCAGCCAACTCCAGATACGCTGTTTATTTCTTTGTGCAAATTAAACACTGACATGGTGAAACAATAAAAAAGAGGAGTGGGAAACCATTAACATAAATGATATCAAGTATTAAAAGTAATATAGTTGGAAAATAGGATGGGAATTTCCAGTCCTTAGTTGTAAAATAAAGGGGGCTAGCCTGTCTCTAACATTGCTCAAATTTACTAAAAATATTGATTTCAGAAAATCTAAACATCCACACAATTAGTGACTCATACTTTTGTTCAGTTAATATTTCAGAAACTATATTTTTTATTTATTTAAACAGAAAATAGTAAAATTATTTTCACTTTGGTATAATAGTAATTTTGATTAGATTATTTACGTTTGTAGTATTTCTGACAATAGCTTATCAGATTAATATTATAAACATTTCAAGGGTGTTAATTACATAAGGGCCTATGCTAGTTGCCTCCAGCTCTTTTATAAGGTACTGATCCATTCATGAGAGTGGAGCACCCATGACAATCCTAAAAGGCCCCATCTCTTAATACCAACACAATGGGAATTCAGTTTTCAGAAGTACTGGAAGTCCTAGCCAGAGCAATTAGGCAAGAGAAACAAAATAAAGGGTATCCAAATTGGAAATGAGGACGTCAAATTGTTCTTCCTTACAGACAACATGATCTTATATATAGAAAATCCTAGACTCTACCAAAATCTCTTAGAATTAATAAACAAATCCCATAAAACTGCAGGATACAAAGTCAATGTACAAAAATTACATTATTTGTAGCTTTCTATATACAAATAATGAACTACCTGAAAAAGAAATCAAGAAAGCAAACCCATTTACAATAGCTAAAAATAATAAAATACCTAGGAATAAATTTAACCAAGGAAATGAAAAATCTCTACAATGAAAACTACAAAACATTGATGAAATAAATCAAAAAGGACACACACACACAAAATGGAAAGACATCCTGTGCTCATGGATTGGAAGAATTAATATCATTAAAATGACCATACTACCCAAAGCAATCTACAGATTCAATGTAATTCCTTTGAAAATACAAATGACATTCTTCATAGAAACAGAAAAACCTATCCTAAAATTCATAGGTAATTACAAGATATCTTGAATAGCCAAAGCAAAACTGAGCAAAAAGAACAAAGCTTGGCTGGGCACAGTGGCTCACACCTGTAATTTCAGCACTTTGGGAAGCCAAGGTGGGTGGATCATCTGAGGTCAGGAGTTCAACACCAGCCTGACCAACATGGTGAAACCCTGTCTCTACTAAAAACTACAAAAATTAGCTGAACGTGGTGGCATACATTTGTAGTCCCAGCTACTTGGGAGACTGAAGTGGGAAAATCGCTCAAACTTGGAAGGCAGAGATTGCAGTGAGCCAAGATTGTGCCACTGCACTACAGCCTGAGTGACAGAGTCAGACACCATCTCAAACACACACACACACACACACAGCTGGAGACATCACACTACCAGATGTCAACGTATATTGCAAAGCTATAGTAACCAAAACTGCATGGTATTAGTATAAAAACAGACTCATAGACCAACAAAATGAAGACCAACAAAATCCAGAAATAAATAAACATATTTATGGTCAATTGAATTTTGACAAAGGAGCCAAGAATATACATTGGGAAAAGGATATCCTCTTCAATAAATGATGCTGGGGAAGCTGGATATACATATGGAGAAGAATAAAACGAGTCTCTCATCATGTACAAAAATAAATTGTCTAAAGACTTAAGTGTAAGACCCAAAACTATGAAACTACTGGAAGAAAACATAGAGAAAATGCTTCAGATCTCAACAAAGATTTTAAGACTAAGATTTCAAATGCATAGGCAACAAAAGCAAAAAGACAAATGGGACTATATTAAACTAAATGGCTTCTGCACAGCAATGGAAACAATCAACAGAGTAAAGAGACAACCTGTAGAATGGGAGAAAATATTTGCAAACTATTCATCCAACAAGAGACTAATATTCAGAATATACAAGGAACTCAAACAACTCAACAGTAGAAAAAAAACCTGAATAGACATTTCTCAAAAGAAGACATACAAATGGCCAAGTATATGACAAATGCTTAACATCACTAATTATCAGAGAAATGCTAATCAAAACAAAAATGAGATATCATTTTATACCAGTTAGAATGGCTACTATCAAAAAGAACAAAAATAATAAGTGCTGCAGCAGATGCTGAGAAAAAGCAACTCTTATACACTGTTGGTGGAAATGTAAATCAGTGCAGCCATTAAAAAAAATATATGGAGAGGCGTTTCCAAGATGGCAGAATAGGAACAGCTCCAGTCTACAGCTCCCAGTGAGACTGATGCAGAAGACGTGTGATTTCTGCATTTCCGACTAAAGTACCTGATTCATCTCATTGGGACTTGTTGGATAGTGGGTGCAGCCCATGGAGGGTGAGCCAAAGCAGGGCGGGGTGTTGCCTCACCCAGGGAGCACAAGGGGTCAGGGGATTTCCCTTTCCTAACCAAGGGAAGCCATGAGTGACTGTACTTGGAGGAATGGTACACTCATGCCCAAATACTGTGCTTTTCCCACAGTCTTCACAACTAGCAGACCAGGAGATTCCCTCCTATGCCTGGCTTGGTGGGTCCTACACCCACAGAGCCTTGCTCGCTGCTAGCACAGCAGTCTGAGATGGACCTGGGACACTGGAGCATGGCAGGGGGAGGGGCGTCTGCCATTGCTGAAGCTTGCACAGGGTGGTTCTACGCCCACAGTGTAAACAAAGCAGCAGGGAAGCTTGAACTGGGCAGAGCCCACTGCAGCTCAACAAGGCCTACTGCCTTTCTAGATTCCATCTCTGGGGCAGGGCATATCTGAAAAAAAGGCAGCAGACAGCTTATACAGACTTAAACATCCCTGCCTGACAGCTCTGAAGAGAGCAGTGGTTCTCCCAGCACAGTGTTCGAGATCTGTTAACAGACAGACTGCCTCCTCAAGTGTGTCCTTGACCCTTGTGTAGCCTGACTGGGAGACACCTCCCACCAGGGGCGGAAAGACACCTCACAGAGGCAGGTGCCCCTTTGGGATGAAGCTTCCAGAGGAAGAGTCAGGCAGTAATATTTGCTGTTCGGCACCCTCTGCTGGTGACACCCAGGCAAACAAGGTCTGGAGTGGAACTCCAGCAAACTTCAACAGACATGCAGCTGAGGGGTCTGTCTGTTAGAAGGAAAAATAACAAACAGAAAGGAATAGCATCAACATCAACAAAAAGGACATCCACATCAAAACCGCATCGATAGGTCACCAACCTCAAAGACCAAAGATAGATTAAACTACTAAGATGGGGAGAAACCAGAGTAGAAAGGCTGAAAATTCCAAACTCCAGAATGCCTCTTATCCTCCAAAGGAACACAACTCCTCGCCAAACAAGGGAACAAAACTGGACAAAGAATGAGTTTGACGAGTTGACAGAAGTAGGCTTCAGAAAGTCGGTAATAACAAACTTCTCTGAGCTAAAGGAGCATGTTCTAACCCATCACAAAGAAACTAAAAATTTTGAAAAAAGGTTAGACGAATGGCTAACTAGAATAAACAGTGTAGAGAACAGCTTAAATGACCTGATGGAGCTGAAAACCACGGTACAAGAACTGCATGAAGCATACACAAGCTTCAATAGCCAATTCGATCAAGCAGAAGAAAGGATATCAGTGATTGAAAGTCAAATTAATTAAATAAAGCAAGAAGACAAGATTAGAGAAAAAAAGAGTGAAAAGAAATTAACAAAGCCTCCAAGAAATATGCAACTATGTGAAAAGACCAAGTCTACGTTTGATTGGTGTACCTGAAACTGACGGGGAGAATGGAACCAAGTTAGAAAACACTCTTCAGGATGTTATTCAGGAGAACTTCCCCAACCTGGGAAGGCAGGCCAACATTCAAATTCAGGAAATTCAGAGAACACCACAAAGATACTCCTTGAGAAGAGCAACCCCAAGACACATAATTGTCAGATTCACTAAGGTTGAAATAAGGAAAAAATGTTAAGGGCAGCCAGAGAGAAACGTCGGGTTACCCACAAAGGGAAGCCCATCAGACTAATAGCAGATCTCTTGGCAAAAACCCTACAAGCCAGAAGAGAGTAGGAGCCAATACTCAACATTCTTAAAGAAAAAAATTTTCAACCCAGAATTTCATATCCAGCCAAACTAAGCTTCATAAGTGAAGGAGAAATAAAATCCTTTACAGACAAGCAAATGCTGAGAGACTTTGTCACCACCAGGCCTGCCTTACAAGAGCTCCTGAAGGAAGCACTAAATATGGAAAGGAAAAACTGGTACCAGCCACTGCAAAAACATGCCAAATTGTAAAGACTATCAACGTGATGAAGAAACGGCATCAATTAACAGGAGAAATAACCAGCTAGCATCATAATGACAGGATCAAATTCACACATAAAATATTAACCTTAAATGTAAATGGGCTAAATATCCCAACTAAAAGACACAGATTGGCAAATTGGATAAAGAGTCAAGACCCATTGGTGTGCTATATACAGGAGACACATCTCACGTGCAAAGACACACATAAGCTCAAAATAAAGGGATGGAGGAAGATCTACTAAGCAAATGGAAAGCAAACAAAAAGCAGGGTTTGCAATCCTGGTCTCTGATAAAACAGACTTTAAACCAACAAAGATCAAAAGAGACAAAGAAGGCCATTACATAATGGTAAAGGGATCAATTCAACAAGAAGAGCTAACTATCCTAAATATATATGCACCCAGTACAGAAGCACCCAGATTCATAAAACAAGTTCTTAGATACCTACAAAGAGACTTAGACTCCCACATAACAATAATGGGAGACTTTAACACCCCACTATCCATATTAGACAGATCAACAAGACAGAAAATTAACAAGGATATCCAGGACTTGAACTCAGCTCTGGACCAAGTGGACCTAATAGACATCTACAGAACTCTGCACCCCAAAACAACAGAATATACATTCTTCTCAGCACCACATTACACTTATTCTGAAATTGACCACAGAATTGGAAGTAAAACACTCCTTAGCAAATGTAAAAGAACAGAAATCACAACAAACTGTCTCTCAGACAACAGTGCAATCAAATTAGAACTCAGGATTAAGAAACTCACTCAAAACCTCACAACCACATGGAAACTGAACAACCTGCTCCCTAATGACTACTGGGTAAATAACGAAATGAAGGCAGAAATAAAGATGTTCTTCAAAACCAATGAGAACAAAGACACAACATACCAGACTCTCTGGGACACATTTAAAGCAGTGTGTAAAGGGAAATTTATAGCACTAAATGCCCACAAGAGAAAGCAGGAAAGATCTAAAATGACACCCTAACATCACAATGAAAAGAACTAGAGAAGCAAGAGCAAAAATATTCAAAAGCTAGCAGAAGACAATAAATAACTAAGATCAGAGCAGAACTGAAGGAAATAGAGACACAAAAACCCTTCAAAAAATCAATGAATCCAGAAGCTGATTTTTTGAAAAGATCAACAAAATAGATAGAACACTAGCAAGAGTAACAAAGAAGAAAAGACAGAAGAATCAAATAGACGCAATAAAAAATGATAAAGGGGATATCACCACTGATCCCACAGAAATACAAACTACCATCAGAGAATACTATAAGCACCTCTATGCAAATCAACTAGAAAATCTAGAAGAAATGGATAAGTTCCTAGACACATAAACCCTTCCAAGACTAAACCAGGAAGAAGTTGAATCTCTGAATAGACCAATAACAGGTTCTGAAATTGAGGCAATAGTTAATAGCCTACCAACCAAAAAAAAGTCCAGGACCAGATGGATTCACAGCCAAATTCTACCAGAAGTACAAAGAGGAGCTGGTGCCATTCCTTCTGAAACTATTCCAATCAACAGAAAAAGAGGGAATCCTCCCTAACTCCTTTTATGAGGCCAGCATCATCCTGATACCAAAACCTGGCAGAGACACAACAGAAAAAGAGAATTTTAGGTCAATATCCCTGATGTACATTGATGCGAAAATCCTCAATAAAATACTGGCAAACCAAATCAAGCAGCACATCAAAAAGCTTATCCACCATGATCAAGTGGGCTTCATCCCTGGGACACAAGGCTGGTTCAGCAAACACAAATCAATAAATGTAATCCCTTACATAAAGAGAACCAACGACAAAAACCACATGATTATCTCAATAGATGCAGAAAAGGCCTTTGACAAAATTCAACAGCCTTTCATGCTAAAAACTCTCAATAAACTAGGTATTGGTGGGATGTATATCAAAATAATAAAAGCTGTTTATGACAAACCCACAGCCAATATCATACTGAATGGGCAAAAACTGGAATAATTTCCTTTGAAAACCAGCAACAGACAAGGATGCCCTCTCTCACCACTCCTATTCAACATAGTATTGGAAGTTCTGGCCAGGGCAATCAGGCAGGAGAAAGAAATAAAGGCTATTCAATTAGGAAAAGAGGAAGTCAAATTGCCCCTGTTTGCAGATGACATGATTGTATATTTAGAAAACCCCATAGTCTCAGCCCAAAATCTCCTTAAGCTGATAAGCAACTTCTGCAAAGTCTCAGGATACAAAATCATTGTGCAAAAATCACAAGCATTTCTATACACCAATAACAGACAGAGAGCCAAATCCTGAGTGAAGTTCCATTCACAATTACTACAAAGAGAATAAAATACCTAGGAATCCAACTTACAAGGGATGTGAAGGACCTTTTCAAGGAGAACTACAAACCACTGCTCAATGAAATAAAAGAGGACACAAACAAATGGAAGAATATTCCACGCTCATGGATAGGAAGAATCAATATTGTGAAAATGGCCACACTGCCCAAAGTAATTTATAGATTCAATGCTATCCCCATCAAGCTACCACTGACTTTCTTCATAGAATTGGAAAAACTACTTTAAATTTCATATGGACCCAAAAAAAAGCCATATAACCAAGACAATCCTAAGCAAAAAGAACAAAGCTGGAGGCATCATGCTACCTGACTTCAAACTTTACTATCAGGTTACAGTAACCAAAACAGCATGGTGCTGGTACCAAAACAGAGATATAGACCAATGGAACAGAACAGAGGCCTCAGAAATAACACCACACATCTACAACCATCTGATCTTTGACAAACCTGACAAAAACAAGAAATGGGGAAAGGATTCTCTATTTAATAAATGGTGCTGGGAAAACTGGCTAGCCACATGTAGAAAGCTGAAACTGGATCCCTTCCTTACACCTTACACAAAAATTAACTCAAGATGGATTAAAGACTTAAAATGTAAGACCTAAAACCATAAAAGCCCTAGAAGAAAACCTAGGCAATACCATTCAGGACATAGGCATGGGCAAAGTCTTCATGACTAAAACACTAAAAGCAGCGGCAACAAAAGCCAAAATAGACAAATGGGATCTAATTAAACTAAAGAGCTTCTGCCCAGAAAAAGAAACTATCATCAGATTGAACAGGCAACCTACAGAATGGGAGAAAAATTTGGCAATCTATCCATCTGACAAAGGACTAATATCCAGAATCTACAAAGAACTTAAACAAATTTACAAGAAAAAAGCAAACAACTCCACCAAAATTGGGCAAAGGATATGAAACGACACTTCTCAAAAGAAGACATTTGCAGCCAACAGACATATGAAAAAATGCTCATCATTACTGGTCATCAGAGAAATGCAAATCAAAACCACGATGAGATACCATCTCACGCCAGTTAGAATGGTGATCATTAAAAAGTCAGGAAACAACAGATGCTGGAGAGGATATGGAGAAATAGGAACACTTTTACACTGTTGGTGGGAGTGTAAATTAGTTCAACCATTGTGGAAGACAGTGTGGTGATTCCTCAAGGATCTAGAACTATAAATACCATTTGACCCAATAATCCCATTACTGGGTATATACCCAAAGGCTTATAAATTATGCTACTATAAAGACACATGCACACGTAAGTTTATCGCGGCACTATTCACAATAGCAAAGACTTGGAACCAACCCAAATGTCCACCAATAATAGATTAGATAAAGAAAATGTGGCACATATACACCATGGAGTACTATGCAGCCATAAAAAAGGATGAGTTCATGTCCTTTGCGGGGACATGGATGAAGCTGGAAACCATCATTCTTAGCAAACTGTCACAGGACAGAAAATTAAACACTGTATGTTCTCACTCATAAGTGGGAGTTGAACAATGAGAACACATGGACACAGGGAGAGGAACATCCCACACTGGGGCCTGTTAGGGGGTGGGGGGCTGGGGGAGGGATAACGTTGGGAGAAATACCTAATGTAAATGATGAGTTGATGGGTGCAGCAAACCAACATGGCACATGTATACCTATGTAATAAACCTGCACATTGTGCACATGTACCCTAGAACTTAAAGTATAATAGTAATTAAAAAACAGTATGGAAGTTTTGCAAAAAAACTAAAACTATAACTAGTTTAGTTATGGTTCAGCAATCCCACTACCGAGTATTTAAGCAAAAGAAAGAAAATTAGTATATTGAAGAGATATCAGCACTCCCATGTTTATTATTATAACACTATTCACAATAGCCAAGATATGGAAGCAACCTGAATGCCCATCAACAGATGAATAGATAAAGAACATTTGGTTCATGTAGAGAATGGAATACTATTCAGTCATAAAAAAGAATGAAATCTGTTCATTTGCAGCAACATGGTTGATCCTGGAGGACCTTATGTGAAATGAAATGTCAGGCCTAGAAAGATAAATACTGTTATCCCTCATATGTAAGAGCTAAAAACAAGTTGCAATCATAGCCCTCATATGTAAGAGCTAAAAACAAGTTGCAATCATAGAAGTGGAGAGAAGAATTGTGGTTACCAGAGGTTGGGAAGGGCAGCTGGGGGAGAAATAGAGAAAGATTGGTTAGAAAATACAAAGCTACAGGTAGATAGGAGGAATAAGTTCTAGCATTTGATAGCACTGTAGAATGACTGTAGTTTGACATAATTAATTTTCTTTTATATTTTCAAAAAGATAGATTTTGAAAGTTCCCTAAACCAAGAAATGATAAACATTTGAGGTGACGGATATGCTAATTACCCTGATTTGATCATTATACCTTATATACATGTATCAAAGTACCATTCAGTATCCCATAAATACCTACAATCATTACATGTCAAGTAAAAAGGAAAAAAAAAAGAGAGATTACCAGATGTGAAGAAAAAAAGAGGGAGAAAGTTATTCATGCTCTGCCAGTGTTCAAAGGCCACAGGCAAAGAGTGTTCTTTGGGCCAGGAGCTAATCACTAGTTTCAGTGAAGACACTATATGTTTGTTAAAGACAACCAACCACTAACAGCCAGGGCAGCTCACAGGCAGAGTAGGAACCTCAAAAACTCTACATCTGCTCAACAGAAGTTCAGATCCTATTTCTCTCATGCTTCTCCAGCTTTACATATGTTTCTCCAAAGCTGTTCCACAGAGCTACCCTCAACATTTGAGAACAAATGTATATCTTCATGAACCTGACAGTTTAATCCAAAGAAACCCATCTCAAGATCAATGTTTCTTATCATCTTGTGTTTCAACTTAAAAGTAGATTCAAATTTGGCCCTTTATCCTATAACTCCACCACTACCACCAATAAAGAGCCATGTCCATTTTCTAAATCAGAATTTTGTAGCATCTGACATTCTGCCTGAATGCAATAAATATTTATTTAATTACTAAATTATACATCCGAGTTGACTTTAATGGAAAGAGGTATATCTTCCTATATTTTCAAGTAAAATCAGTGCACCAGGAATACCCTTCATGATTACTCTGTTGCGTCAAGTATCAAAGGCACATATCACAGTTTAGAAACATGGTGGTATAATGGTCTCATAACTGATTCTTTACCACGATAGCTCCCAGAAATATTTTTAAATACAGGCAATAGTGGAGAATCATTATGCCAAACATAGTTCTTGGGCCACAGAAAATATAATTTAATCTTGATCTTTGTTTCCTTACTGAGTTAGCTATGCACTAGAGAAATAGCCATTTAAACAGTCAAAATCAAACTTTTTACTACACAAGTAGTTAGTGCCTCTCTTCCTTCAGCAGATTGTTTCAGCAATTTCTTTGTCCAGATTCTGTGAAGAAGAAAGTGGAAGCAATCATCCTCATCATTTAGGTAAAAATTGACTGAGTTGGGAAATGACACAATTATATGGATAACCTGGTTGGAGAAGGAGCCAGAAAAGAAAAGTAAAAAACCATCCTATCTTTATGATTCTACTTGGAAGTCACAAGGATTTACTACTTTATTCATGAAAAGTCACAATAACGACCGCTAATTTGAGCAATTACCATGGGCCTAGCACTAGGTAGGCAAACCTCACTTCCATTCTATAAGCTAAGTTTTTAATAATTCCTGTGACATTGGTGAAGAAACTAACAAAAGATAAATAATTACATTCCTCTCCACCCCCACCACCAACTTAGTGGCACTGCGGATATGGTAGAATTTTTCCTGCTGCCTTCCAGGAGCAAGGAGCATAGAGAACATTATGGAGTGGAGATAAATAGGCAGGTAATTAGAATATGTCTGCTTCACAAATACAGTGAGGGTTAGACATTATTTTGAAGGACAGTAGGAAAAACCTAGAATATTGATATTGGTCAAGAAAAATTTCTACATATCATTAGGACTTTGGTAAAATCTAAACTTTTTTCTTATATAAAATTCATAATATTAGAGTGCCTTGGAGGCATAATAAAAATTTAAACTACCCATAGTCTATTTCTTCTCTTTCCCTGCTCCTAAACTAATTCCACCTCCAACTTTCCTATGTATTGCACTGGTGCCTCTGACTTAAAGCCTTGCTTGGAGTTAGTCTTGAATTCATCACTCACTGTCTCTCTGTTCCCTTCCATTCTTATACAAATATTCAATCATTTACGATACACTCAGCAATGACTGGCCTCCATCTCTTCCTTTCTGCCTCTTTTCTCCTTTAGATTAGTTATTGTATTAGTAATGTTATTGTATCGATAGTTATTAGTTATTATATCAATCATTAATTATTGTATCAATCTTCTAATTGGCCTCTCCCACCTGAACCATTTTACACATACATATCATGTTAATCTTTCCAGAATACATCTCCAATTACAGCTTTACCACACACACAAACCTCCCATGACTCACTGATGTTGTCACTCTGTCATTTAAAGTCTTCACAAAGCTTGCCCATCTTCACTGATTCCTTATATTCCAACCAAACTCTACCACTTACAGCCCCGGCACACCCCTGCTCTAACCACTTCAGTGTCCTTACTTTGTCTCATCCAACTGCCTAAGTAATCCTTTTCTATTTTTCCTTTCTGAAGAATTCTGTCCTGTTTCAACACTCTTCCCAGATATCTCATTTTATGTGTCACCTAACTCTGGGTCTAGCAGTGTCTGCCACACATACTAGGTATTAAATTGGTGCTAAAACCCTTTCTTCCTGTAACTGCAGTAGTAGCACCACCTTTGATATGGCTTTTGCAGTGTTTCCCCCACTTAGCATAGGCTCCGGTTACAGCAGCAGAATCCTCACCAAATAAAGACAGCCTAGAGGCAGCAGTCTTAGTGGCTGCTACTCCTTCCTTCTCTTCTCCCAAGTGCAAACATAGATTACCCAGAGGACAAAGGAGAAAAAGCCAGCAGGCTCAAATGAAGCAAGCCTACACCTCAGCTCCCACTGCCCCATAGCAACTTTCATGGAAAACTTGGTAGTGTTCCATCCATAACTCTTTAGAATGAGAGCAGAGATTCAAGTGAAGATAACTATCCAGCTTAAGAGTAATGAGCTGTGCTTCTGGAGAGATATCAGTGAGGACACTTGTAGATGTGAGCCCAACAGGATCCTGAGACAGACAAATTGTTTTTGAAGCAATGAACTTTGTTCTAAATCATACTACAGTTAACATGAGTCAAGCAATAGAAACTAGAGAGCAGTTTTCCCCAAAGATGACAGTTTGTGGGAATACTCACTTGTACAAAACAAAAAGATACTCACTTGTACAAAACAAAAGCATAATTAAGATGTATATCTCTATTATTATGTATCTTATAATTTTGGAATACCAACTCATACACATGCCTTTAATACTTAATATTCAAAATTTCTATTGAGGATGTGAATACAGATGAACTTCCTTAGGAAATGCTATAAAAGGTTAAAGTCAGAAAAACAAAAAAAACTTGATGTTGTTCCTGGAATAGCAGATCACAGAGACCAATCTGGGAACCAGATCCTGAGGGCATTTAATACGCTTAGATAAGCACTAGCGATTACAGTAGTTTGGTCACGTAATAACAATTTTTTATTCTATTACAAATGTAAACCATTTAAACAGTGCATTTCCTTCTCTAATGATTCATTTGGGGAAACAGATATCGGTCTTAAGCCTGAGAAAGTACAGTTCATCAGATCTTGATGAAAAGAAAGTAGTGAAAATCAACAGGTTTATATTCTTGGTTCTATCAGCCACAAACCTCAGAAATCATTTGTTTCTTGAAACAAAGAGTATTAAGACTTGGGTTAATGTATTCTTTTCACAAATATTTACTGAGTGCCCACCATGTGACTCACATGTGGTAGAAGAAAATAGCATGAAGCAACTTAGACATACCTCTTGTCTTTCTAGAGCCTTAAGTCTAACAAGGAAGAAAACCATTAAATAAATAATACCAAAGACTTTTAAAATTAAAATCATGGTAAGTACTAAAAAAGGAAAGTACAGAATGGGATGAGATTGTATTATTGCAAGACTAGATCTAATCAGAGAAGTTTCCCTATAGAAATGACATTGGAGCTGCAGCTTGGAGGATGAGAAGGAGTAAGCCAGGTGAAGGCTAAGACAGTTTTGGGAAGATACTCATGTTCTAAACCAAAAGAGCATATGCAAAGGCCCTGCAGAGGAAGGAGGTACCTTTGAGGAACCAATAGAAGGCTTGTAGTTGAAATATAGTTAGTGCAAGGAAAAGTGAGGTGATACGAGACAGAACAGTCAGGGCCTTGGTCATAATAAAGATCTTGGATTTTATTCTAAGATCAGTGGAAAGCCAGCCAACAGGTGAACATTTAAATTGTTTACTTTTTTTCCTATTTTGCATAAGCCTATATAGAGATCTTTTATACTCATCTGCTTCTTTGTGTTATTTTTTGACACATGACTACGAATAGACTTACTAATTAAATGGTAGAAATGTCTTTATTTCTCATACTATATGTTAATATAAAGTTTTTTTAGAAGCAAAAGCAATACAAGCAACTGCATATCATTTACCTACCTGTAATCTTTAGCATTATGATTTTCCTCTTGTACCTTTTGCTGATTTACTAAGTACATGAATCAGTACAATACTCTCTCAGAGACCTCAAAAGTCTTCTTACTGTAGATGAAGGTTTATGTTTCTGATGAACAGCTGGGTTTCCTCCATGTGACTTGATGTGACTCTCCTCCATGTGACTCCCCTAGCTGGTGGGTCTGCTATCCCCTAAGACAGTCATTCCCAAGCTTTGCAATTAGAATTACTTGGGAGGTTTTAAGTTTTTTGATATCAAGATTACACCCCATATGAATTAAATCAGAATGTCTGGGGCATGGTAGTAAGGCATTCAGAGAATGATTGGGAAAAGAGAGTGTGAAAAAGGCACAGTCTCCCTAAATGCCTTGTCTCAGAAGGGACACATATTCTGTTGGTTAGAGCTAAGTACACAGTCATGCATATCTGCAAATGGGGCTGGAAAATATAATCTAGCTGTATGCTCAAAAGACAAGGGAACAGCTACAGGCCTTTAGAAAGTATTTAAGAAAGTATTAAAAGACCTTATGTCTTTAAGAAAGTATTAAAAGACCTTATGTGTTGCTATAAATTTTGTCCCGTTTTTTAATGACTGTTAAATGTGACTTTTCAATGTTTTTCAAATATTTGAAATTATTTTAAATATTTTTGTTTTGTCTGGGCTTAGCATCTAGAAGATCAGAAGTGAACGTAGAATTTTATATTAGCTTATACAAAGTTGATGCTCAAAAATGTTGGGTGATGATCTTCTGAGATGTGAAGCCATGTATTTAATATCGAGGATGAATTTTGAAGTGGGGACCATCAATTTTGATAGACAACCAGATCTCATGGCATTTACTTCTGTGTAAGCAGTGCATGGGTGCCACTAGGTTTTCAAAAATTTATTTGAAATAAGCTATCAAAATAGAAGTTTTGACTGAGACTAACAGATACCATATATCAAACTGAGGCAGAACACCCTGCAGGACTTGCAAAAATAATGTGGCTAAAACCAATTAGATAATTCTTAAAATGTCCTTGCCCACAAGGGCAAAGAAGGAGTCAAGGATTAGCATGCAGAAGATGATTTTTGAAGGGGACTTTTGAAGAAGCGTCTTTAAATAGAACTCTCCCAAAAAGGAAGAGTCAGGGAAGTTTCCTCCTAACCCCATGTTGTTAGAGAAGGGACTTAAGGAGATCAGTTTGTGGGCTTAATACATGTCTCCCGCAGTTTGAAAGACAAAGTGGACAATATGGCATCATGCCTGATAAATTTAAAGGGGGAGAGGCAAGATCAGGAGGTGAAGTTTGGGAAGTGCTATAACTTCACTCCCATCCTTTGTGCTTGTTCCACTGTGTGTGTGACTGCTCTGAAGTCTGCCACCCACCCAGAAGCGAGGAGAGGGCTGCCTGGTAAGTGTCTGGTATCTCTGAGATCTACTGTCTTAAGGTCTCAAGAAAGACTTTTGTTTTCACATTCCATTACATGTTTTTTCAGTCTGCTTCATTTGCTGAAGCCTCTGAAAACTCCGAAAGCAACAGTTCAGCCTTTTGGGTATTTTTACAAAAGGTTAAAATAAATTAAAGTGGAAGCCCTTGGCAAACTGTAAAACACCATAAAATTATAAGACATTATTATTTTGTGCTTATTTATCATACATACTTGTTGCACTGAAAAAATCCCTTCTCAAAACATAATATAGGCATATGTGACCATATTTTAACCAGACTCCATTTGTTTGGAGCTTTCTTATATTTAGTCTCTAGTCAAGATGTCATGGGCTTAAACTTGGCAAGGAAAGTAAAAAGCATTAAAAAAAAACATTAAGTTCACTTAAAACATTTTCCACAATTTTCTTTCTCTTTCCATCTCTCCCTCAATTTTTTGTTTCCCTGAAAAAAAACACCAGGGAAAATATTTCAAGTCATTATTTTAAAAGACAAAGAGGAAGTTAAGTGGAGTAAGATCTCTCTTACTCCATTTAAGAAAACAGCAAATAGTACAATGGACATAACCCATGTCTGAAAATTGACATATTAATTATAAAGGTGAGGATCTGATACCTGTCCTCATTAGGAAACAAAAGCAATAACAACAAAACCTAGTCAAAGGATGGGAAAATATACAAAACTTTTTTTCCAACTGTGTTAGTCTCTTTTTATTCTTTTGCAACTCCCTTCCAGAGTTAAGTATTGCTGTTTGTAGGTGACGAAATGCATAAGGACCCACTTCAAATACTGGTACTACTTTCAGCATGGTCTTTCCCTTTGCTTTAACTCAGAATTAAGACTTTTGATTTATATTCCAGACCCAGAAGTAGTTTTCACTGTAGAAGTTATCTGAAAACAGTCTATGTTTTGTACTAGTGGTCTATAACCAAACTCTTAAGATTCTCTCAGAACATTGCAGGATGATTTACTTTAAATATGTATTAAACTATGAATGCTTCTTAGTTTAATACAAATTTAATGCATTTAAATTCATTTAAATGCATTTTATTTTTGGACTTGCAAAAATAATGTGGCTAAAACCATTTAGATAATTCTTAAAATCAAAAGTTTTAATTCTGAGTTGAAGTAAAGGGAGAGACCATGCTCAAAGTAGTACCAGCATTTGAAGTGGGCCCTTATGCATTGCTTTCTTTCTTTTTTTTTTTTTTTGTATTTGTTGTAGAGTGCAGAATCAATACCCCAAAAGACAGAGAGTTGGCAGGGAACAGTGGCTCATTCCTGTAATCCCAGCACTCTGGGAGGCTGAAGCTGGTGGATGACTTGAGGTCAGAAGTTCAAGACCAGCCTGGCCAACATAGTGAAACCACATCTCTACTAAAAATACAAAAATTAGCAGGGCGTGGTGGTGGGTGCCTATAATCCCAGCTACTCAGGAGACTGAGGCAAGAGAATTGCCTGAACCCAGGAGACAGAGGTTGCAGCGACCTGAGATCGTGCCACTGCACTCCAGCCTGGGCGACAGAGCCATCCTTTGTGCTTGTTCCACTCTGTGTGTGACTGCTCCGAAGTCTCCCACCCACCCAGAAGTGGGGAGAGGACTGCCTGGTAGGTGCCTGGTATCACTGAGCTCTACTGAAAGACTTTTGTTTTCACATTCCATTACATGTTTTTTCAGTCTTCTTCATTGTTAGATTCTCTAGAAAGCAAATGTCAACATGAGTTAACAATGCAAACAGTTTATTGGAGAAGTAATATCTTAAAAAGAAACTGTAGAAAGTAGAATTTGGAGCTTTCAAACCATGACATGAACATGACGAGGTTTCTGCCAGCGCAACAGGGAGCTCCAGAGCAGTGTGTCCAAAGTTAAGCCCTTGTTCATACCACCTTGTAACACTACTTTGCTCAGTCGTTGGCCGCAGGGGCATACTGTGAAGAACTTGACCTCTAATTAATAGCTAAGGCCGATCCTAAGAGAGCCAATTGTGGGAGATTGTCAGCTACTATATTCCTCATAGCTGGGTAGAAAGCCCTCTTGAAGGAAGATCTGAGCAGTACATCTTAGTGTCTGTCACAGACACACAGAGCTTGGATGACTCAAAAAAAGAAAAAGAGAAATAATTCTTCTGATTCTAAATATGTAACCCTCATTCCCTGAGGCGCAGTACTTCAAATTTAAGAACAAAGTTATAAAAACAACTAGTTAAGAAAAAAAGATCTGTAATCCTACTTACTCCTCAAGCAATATAACCCCCAGAAGTTCTTCTCGAGTAAATTTATGAATATCCAGTGGGTGTCTCACAAGAGTTCTAATAACATGCTGTTGACTACCATCGGGGATTCTACCAATTTTCCTATCTCCTAATCTAGATCACTGGATAATGTGTCTAATTGCTCCTAAGTTAAGAGTGGTAGCTATGCCAAACCATTGGCAGTTTCACTTCCCAGACACTACTCCTGAGGATGCTACATAGCCCAAGACTGAGGGTTCTGACTTCTATTCAGGGGTTCTGATGTTTTATATCCAGAGAATACAAGGCACTGAAATCAGCATTTTATCATTTTATCAATAACACAACTCATCAACATTGCTAACATTCTGTCCCTGTGTCATCAATGTCATCACTTCTAAGAGGACTCAATGTCTCATGAAGGTTATAGAACAACAGCTTTTTGAGATTTTACTTACTTTTTTGTTGCAGCTTTCTTGCTCTCAGATTGAGAATGGCTGGTCTAATTGATAGGGGCATACTGTGAAGAACTTGACCTCTAATTAATAGCTAAGGCCGATCCTAAGAGAGCCAATTGTGGGAGATTGTCAGCTACTATATTCCTCATAGCTGGGTAGAAAGCCCTCTTGAAGGAAGATCTGAGCAGTACATCTTAGTGTCTGTCACAGACACACAGAGCTTGGATGACTCAAAAAAAGAAAAAGAGAAATAATTCTTCTGATTCTAAATATGTAACCCTCATTCCCTGAGGCGCAGTACTTCAAATTTAAGAACAAAGTTATAAAAACAACTAGTTAAGAAAAAAAGATCTGTAATCCTACTTACTCCTCAAGCAATATAACCCCCAGAAGTTCTTCTCGAGTAAATTTATGAATATCCAGTGGGTGTCTCACAAGAGTTCTAATAACATGCTGTTGACTACCATCGGGGATTCTACCAATTTTCCTATCTCCTAATCTAGATCACTGGATAATGTGTCTAATTGCTCCTAAGTTAAGAGTGGTAGCTATGCCAAACCATTGGCAGTTTCACTTCCCAGACACTACTCCTGAGGATGCTACATAGCCCAAGACTGAGGGTTCTGACTTCTATTCAGGGGTTCTGATGTTTTATATCCAGAGAATACAAGGCACTGAAATCAGCATTTTATCATTTTATCAATAACACAACTCATCAACATTGCTAACATTCTGTCCCTGTGTCATCAATGTCATCACTTCTAAGAGGACTCAATGTCTCATGAAGGTTATAGAACAACAGCTTTTTGAGATTTTACTTACTTTTTTGTTGCAGCTTTCTTGCTCTCAGATTGAGAATGGCTGGTCTAATTGATAATCTAGTGACAGTAACGTATTGGACTTCTCCAAGTTTCTGTATTTCCACTTTCTCCTTTTTTTATAGAATGAGTTCTTTCTTAGTGGAAAAACAGATTGTTGTGTTGGCCCTCTAGTATTTCAGATTTATGCAGATATTCTTATACCCTAGGATGGTCATGGCTTCACGTAAGGGCAAGCTGAGATACCTGCTACCTTTGCCTAAGAGTTTTCTCTGATTTCTAAGGAATGGGAAATTAATATCAGAAATTAACTGAATAGCTGATACTTTTTATATACCATAATCATAACTATCTCTATAAGACACTGACTACAATTATCACTAGCAGTGTAAATAGAGTTATTCTCAACAAATCCTTTTCCTGTCTTTATAAAGCGTTAAAGAACTCTTCCTTGCAGGATGGTGGGCCGCACGTGGCCATTATTGCTATAAGTCTGTTTCCCAACTGGGCAGAATCAACATGCAACACTCCTTATAAATAGTCTTGAGGCTTCTCTCTGATTTTGTTATGTGTTACACTAATACCACCCTAGAATATTTTCAGTCCAGCAAGTTACCTTTAAGAAAGTCAAAATCATGCTTTGTGTTTTGGAACTATAGCTTGAAGAGGTCAGTATTGGTCCTGCAGCTTTGCATTTGAATGATTTGTTAAAAGTTTTTCTTGCAGGAAGCCTACTTTCTTCTCACATGGCTTTATATGGGCTGTTACCAGGTAGGACAATGGTAATTTTCACTAACAATTAGAAGGGGCAAAATTGTGTCAGTACTTTTAGGATAGCAGTACAGAAAAAAAAAATCAGAATTCAAGACATTATTCTACTTTTCAGTCATTCATTCTGCAAATAGGAATTTCCAATTTCTTTGGAATAAAATGAAAACCAAGGAAAGCTGTGTTTCGGTTGTTCAGTTATTCTAGAAATCATATATTATTTTCCAGGAAAAAAGAGTGTAAAAGAGAGACTTCCCTTGCCAATTCCTCTCATGCTACCAAAATAAAATACATTTGTAGACCACAGAGCATACAAATATGTTCACCTCATCCTCTGGCTATAGTGGTGATATGTTCTTCCTGTTTATCTTTCTTGAGGATATCAACTTTTCTCCACTTCCATTCTCAGAACTCTTTAATCTCACAGTGTTCTCTACACCCTCTCTCCAGTGTTCCTCCATCACTGATCTCAACATCAGGGCCATTTAGGGTTCACTCAAGACTGCCAGGGTCCAAACCAAGACTAAAAGGATAAGAATCTTACTTCCAGTTTGAATTTGAACACACTCCCACAAAACAACAACAACAACAACAACAACAACAACAACAAACCGTTTGAAAGAGAGACAAGATAAAAGATCCAAAGTTGAAGGACTAAGTAAGCAGAAAACCAAAATAACAGTAAGAAGAGCCCTTTCACAGACATAGTCCAAAGTTTGTAAGCAGAATAGTGTGCAAACATGTACAGTCATAGATTCATAGTTTCCTGAGCTTTTTCTAATGTAGAAAGCATGAAAAAAGGAGCTCATTTTTTTGGAGTTAAAGGCATTTCACACTCTTTGGTTACAGTGACTATCACTGAATGTAGCAAAACCATAGGAGCTTCAATGATTTCATTATATAAATGCTAGGCAAATTGAGCTAAGGACCATATGCAGTTAAGGGTTTGCACTTAATTCAAGAAACAATGGATACCACACATATTTATTGAGCTCCCACCGTGACAAAACTGAGCATAACTGAAACATTTGGTTAAGAGCATTCAAGACAAAAAAACTAACGTAAGCAAAAGTAAAGAATCTGTAGTAGAATCAAAATAGCAATAGATTCAGTTTGACCAGAGTTCAGGGAGGATCTGAAGAGTAAAAAAAAAAAAAAAGAAAGGAAATAGGTTAGATTGCAATCAAGGAAAACTTTAGTTGACAGATTAAAGAATTCATTATTTCATGAGGAAATAGGAAAAAAATTGAAGATTTCTAGACAGGAAAAATACATAATTAAAACTGTTTTTTAGATAGATTAAGTTGACTGTGACCTGCAGATTGGATGCTGGAATAGAGACCTACTCGAGGTAGAGACATCTCACAGCTATGAGATTGTTGCTTCATTTTCATGGACCAGAGTAATGACAATAAGGGTAGAGATAAGAGACTAAAGGGGAGAACTCATTAAAGTAAAATAACATGATTTGGGAAATAATAGTTGATGTCATTGAAGCTCCATTGGTTTTGCTATAGTCACTGATACATACTGTAATCAAGAAGTGTCTGCATACCATTAACATCAAAATAATGAGATCTTTTTTTTCACCCTCTCTACATCAGAATCTCATGTTTTATTGGAACGTGAGATATCAGAGAAAAGGAATAAAAGGTATTTCAGGTTTTAGACCAAAATTTCTGAAATGGGGCTATTACTACAACAATGTAGTTTCTGAAAAATGTAAGCACTCCATGAGACTGTTTAAAATAACATTGATGACTAAGGAGTTTATGAGAAAGTGAACATATTTAGCAATAAATGTGTACAGCAAAGTATCAAGACATTTTTACTTTCAACTCATTTTATAACTAGTGACTGAGAAATAATAATGATCACTGAGTTCTTATTCTGTACAAGAAATTATGCCACTATTACAAATATGTGCCTGGCACCATTCTTTCACATATCTATACTCAAATTTTTGTGGTCTCACATATGGACTATTAACAAAATAATGTTTGTTTCTTCAAGGAAGATATTTTCTTAGACAGTCATTTGTTTGACAAATCTTTATCAAAGGTTTACAATTTACGTGGTCCAAGTTATGGAGAGCAAAACACATAGTACCTACCCTCAAGGCGCTTATATTCTTATAATGAACAGGCAAACGTTTATTAGGACTCTGGATTTCAGTAACGCGGAAAAATCATTCACACTATGAACTCCTAGAAAATCTGGATTTACAGAAGATGTTGATGCATAGCTGAGCTCCCTCAAAAGAAAAAGAAATAGCGAGATATCAGAATCAAAGGGTTGTAAGTATAGAGTTTATACTATGATAGCCCTAGGGGGTGATACAGAGGGAGGAGGAGGGATAATTAAATTAGCTAATACCTGGGTTGGATTTTAACCCTTGCATAGGACAGGGGATTAGGGTTTGGAACTGAAACTTTGCTTAATGGCCTTTCCCAGAAGAGCTGTATCCTCAATATAAAGAGAAGCTAGGAAGGAAAAAAATGGCTTAGCAGCCCAGGGACCTAACCTTCAAGCTTGCCTTGGCTTCTGCTTGGCTTCATTTGTTTGGTGAAAACAAATCGTAAATAAGAAATCAGCTCCTTTGGCCTGCACTTTTCACAGGTTAAGAATAGAAACCTACATGGTATCCGAGAATCCCCAAGCTGAGAAAACAAACATCAATGTTGATTCTTAGCCAGTTACATTCTTCAGTGCCTGGCAGAATCGAATGCAAAATTGCCCATGGGAGTCATTGTCGTGGATAATGTCAATGTCCAATGCTTCACCCAGATCCCCTGGGCCCATTTTTACTATTTTGGTGGGGGGGCTGGGCAGGGGACTCCCTTTATGGTGTGTTTTCCCATCCAACAGCCAGCATCTACTGAGTCTCCTTTTGCAGAGGACTGCCCTCCAAGACACATCCCCCACCCTAAGTTTTTCAGCAGCTCTCTTGCCTCTGTTTTCATAACTCTAAGGCATAACTTACCAGAGTCCCCTGCAGGTTAAGCCTGAGATCACTTTCTGTGGGATTTTGCCTGAGCTCATACCCTTGCTTGGCTTCCTCCACTTCTCTGTTCAGTCTTCCCCCACTCTCTTGCCAATTTCCTCTAGAGAACCTCCTTAATAGAAACTATCTCTGAATCCTCATCTCACATGTCTGCTTCAAAGGACCAGGACCCAACACATTGCTGTGGGATTCCCGCAGGAAAATAAACAAGCACCTCTAAAGATAAACTCAAGAAAATAATTGCAATATGTACAAGGGAAAAAATTCATCTAAGACAGTCTGCAGAAACAATAAGATGTATTAATGCAACAAAGAACTTCATGTAGTAGAAAAATAACTTGACAAAATGTATAAATTATCCAGGATACAGATGGAGAGAACCAAAAATGGAAAGTTTGACAGAGAGTTTAATATATACAGGGATATAATGATAAGGTTTGACATAGATCTAACAGTAGTTCCTAAGAAGAGAGAAGAAAGAAATGGAAAGGGACTCTCTGAGGCAATATGTATAAGGAGTTTACAGAAATTATGAAATACAAGTAAACATACAATTCCTAAGTAGAGTAAATAAAAATTAAATCCACATGAAAGAAAGGTTGCACAACTCAAAAGTAGAGAAAACATCTTGAAAGCAACCGGAGAGAAAAGACAGATAACCTGTAAAGAAACAAGAATTAAACTGCTAGGAATATATTATCAATAGTAACAACAGATACCAGAAGATGGCAAGATAATGTCTTCAAAGGGAAAAATAACTGTCAACATAAAGTAAATTAACTAAAATATTACTCAGGAAGGAGGATAAAATAAAGACATTTTTAGATGATAACTGTGAGATTTCATAATATAATAAATTTTCACTGAAGAAAGAAATTGACCTCAGAAGGAAGAAGTGAGAGGCAAGAAACAAGGTGGAATAAGCCAACAATGGGTAACGTATGTGGGCTCAACTAAATTAGCATCAACTCTAAAAAAAATAACAATCCCCATAACAAAAATGGTTAATTTGGAAACATGGGTGCTTAAAAGCAAGATTAAATTTAGAAGCAATGACATGTGAGTAGAATGCAGAGATGAGAGCTAATGCATTCTACCAATTAGATATTGTCTGAGAGGAGAGTAAAGATACCACTTATCTTTATCCTCTGCACATAATATATGAACATTACAGATTTATCAACTTGAAGCATAATGACTTAAGCTATTCTTACTTCTGGAAAAGAGGCCTCGTCCTAGATCCCAAGGGCAGGTTCTTGGATTTTGTGCAGGAAAGAATTCAGGGTGAGTCACAGTGTACAATAAAGTTAAAATAGCTTGTTAGAAACTACTCCAATACAGAGTAGAGTGTCCTCAGAAAGCAAGAGGAGGAATGCCCCTACCTCAAATGTAACTCTTGCTTATATCGGATATTACAGATAAGAACAGTGTACTTTATTATAAACGCTTGTGATTAGCTTGTGACAGACTGTTAGTATTGTTTTCTCTTTTGTAATTATTAATTTCAGGAAGAATTTATGAGTGTACTATTATCTTTAGAGCCAAAGTTATTTTTTATTTATTTATTTTTTGAGACGGAGTCTAGCTCTGTCGCCCAGGCTGGAGTGCAGTGGCGCGATCTCGGCTCACTGCAAGGCATGAACCTCCTGGGTTGATGCCATTCTCCTGCCTCAGCCTCCCGAGTAGCTGGGACTACAGGCACCCACCACCACGCCCGGCTAATTTTTTATATTTTTAGTAGAGACAGGGTTTCACCATGTTAGCCACGATGGTCTCGATCTCCTGACCTCGTGATCCACCCACCTTGGCCTCCCGAAGTGCTGGGATTACAGGCATGAGCCACTGCTCCAGGCCGAGCAAAACTTATTTTAAACTGAGAGTGCCTTTTTCCATTAACTCGTTTCTTCAACCAGAAGCATCTTGTGATCAAGACTGCCTAACTTTCTGGGAATGTAACCCAGCAGGTATTGCTTTCTCCAGCCTTTATTCAAGATGGGGTCACTCTGGTTTAGACGTCTCTGACATTCTCACCGTGCAATTACAATAAAAGGAGATTTTGAAAAATCATCATTTATCCAATAGGAAGAGAGAAGAAAGGACACAAAGTAAAATACAGGAAGTAGAAAAACAGAATGATATGTGTGGGCCCGCTAATCAGGTGATAGTGGCAGCGACAAAATAGACAATTGGGTGGGAGGAAGCATTGTTATTTGTAAACAGGGTTGTTACACCATGATAAAAGGAGCTATTCATTAGAAAAATACGTTAATTCTAAATCTGTATATGCACCTGACAATATATAAATTACAATAATATGAAAAGCAAAAACTGACACAATTACCAGGAGAAAGTGACAAGTCTACAATCATGATTATAAACTCTAGAACAGTTCCTTCAGTAATTGATAGAACAGATAAAAAATGAGTCAAGAGGTGATTTGAACAACAGTTCACATACTTGATTTCTATATTGCACATAAAGAAACATTATTTGAAGTACAGAAAGGATATATACAGTCATACTCCACATAACAACATTTTGGTCAATGACAGATTGCATATTTGAAGATGGTTTCATAAGATTAGAATACAGCTGAAAAATTACTATCACCTAGTGACACCTTGTGACATTGAAGCCATTGTAACATCATAACACAAGGCATTACTGACCTGTTTGTGGTGATACTGGTGTAAACCTACTGCACTGCCAGTCCTATAAAAGTATAGCACATACAATTATGTACAGTACATAATAGTTGATAGTGATAATAAATGACTTGCTGGTTTATATATTTACTATACTTTTTATAGTTACTTCAAAGTGTACTTCTTCTTATTAAAAAAAAAAGCTAATTGTAAAATATCCTTAGGCAATTCCTTCAGAACTTCCTTCTTATTCCAGAAGCAGGCATTGTTATCATAGAAGATGACATGGGTGTTATTGCTCCTAAAGACCTTCCAATGGGTCTTCCAGTGGGGCACGATGTGGAGGTGGCAGACAGTTATATTGATGCTCCTGATGCTGTGTAGGCCTAGGCTAATGTGTGTGTTTTTGTCTTAGTTTTTAGCCAAAAAGTTTTAAAAGTAAAATAAATTTTAAAATAGGAAAAGCTTTTAAAGGTATAAAGAAAGAAAATAGTTTTGTATAGCTATACAATGTATTTTAAGTATCATTGCAAAAGAGTCAAAAAGTTAAAAAAAGATTGAAAAGTTTGTAAAAGTAAAAAAGTCAGCTAAGATTAATTTACTATTGAAGAAACAATTTAAAAAATAAATTTAGTACAGCCTAAATGTACAGTGTTTATAAAGTCTGCGGTAGTATACAATAATGTCCTAGGCTTTCACATTCACTCATCACTCATTCACTGACTCACCCAGAGCAAATCCAGTCCTGCAAGCTCCATTCATGATAAGTGCCCTAAATAGGTCTACCGGTTTTTATGTTTTATACTGTATTTTTAGTGTACTTTTTCTATTTTAGATATGTTTACATACATTAGTACTTACCATTGTGTTACAATTACCTACAGTATTCAGTATAATAATATGCTGTGCAGATTTGTAGCCTAGGAGAAATAGACTATAGCATATAGCTTAGGTGTGTAAGACGCTACACTATCTAGGTTTGTGGAAGATCACTCTACGATGTTCACACAATTAGAAAATCAGCTACGGATGAATTTCTCAGAATGCATCTCTATTGTTAAGTAAAGCATGACTGTATAAAAGTTGACTTCATATTAGGCTACAAAGCAAATCTCAACAAGTGCCACAGAATTTATATATCTTGCAGAAGCACATTTTCTTACCATAACAAAATTAAAAATTAAACCAAGGTAATTAAGAGTCCATATACTTGGAGATTTAAAAGTACACTTTTAAAACTTTAATTGTCAAAGAAATCTTTTTTTTTTTTTTTCCCTAGAGTCTGGATCTCACTCTGTCACCCAGCCTGGAGTGCACTGGTGTGATCATAGTTCACTGCCACTTTGAACTCCTGGGCTCAAGTGATCCTCCTGCTTCAGTCCCCCAAGTAGCTAGGACTACAGGCATACCACCACACCTGGCTAACTTTTAAGGTTTTTTTTTTTTGTAGAGACATGGTCTTTCTATGTTTCTCAGGCTGGTCTCAAACTCCTGGACTCAAGTGATCCTCCCACCTTGACCTCTCAAAGTGCTGAGATTACCGGTGTGAGCCACCGCGCCCAACCTCAAAGAAGAAATCTTAATTATGATAAAAACATACTTCATGTTTTACAAAAACACTGCACATCAAAACACAGAATAAAGTTGAAGCAATCCTTAGATGAATTTTATAGTGTATGTTCACATATTACAGATGAGGAAATATTAAAAATGGGTTATCTAAACATCAAAATCAGGAGTGAAAAAATTGTAAACCCAACGAAAGCGGCTTACAAAAAAAAATAAAGAGCAAATAATAATAACAAAGTGAAAAAAACACACTCAATAGGGTAGATCAAGAAATTATAGCACAACATGATAACTTGTGAGGAGAGTATGTTCAAGTTTCCTCCTGTGCGCAGCGGCTTCCTAGAGTCCTTCGTGCCGAGTCCTGTCTCCCTGTCTAACCCCACTTCCTTCTACTCTTCCTCTCTCTCTCCTCTTCTCTTTCTTTTCCTCAAACATGCCAACCTCCTTCCACCTATTTAAGACCTTTGCACTTGCTCTTTTCTCTGCCTGGAGCACTCTGCTCTGTTTTTGCATTCATCACAAACTTCTTTGTTGCATTCACATTTGCATTAAAAAAGTGTTTACTGAAAATCAGTGATGTTCCTGACAGTAGAGATACAGCAGTGAACAGAATAAACAAAAATATCTGTAATTATGGAATGTATGTTCTAGTAGCTGGCAAATTTTCACTCAGTAAGGTCTTCCCTGACCACCAATATAAATGCCAATGTTACTTATTTTCCTGTTTTCCTATTTATTACGTTTCTTTGCACTAGTGTGCCACATCTTTGAGAGAAGAGACCTTGTCTATCTTGTTTGTCACCTTTACTCTGAGGGCATGGAATGATACCTAAAACAATTATGTGTTCAAGAGCTATTAGGTAAAAGAATGAATGCATGAATAGGGGATTCATGGAAGGTGTCTCCTCAATTATATTTGAGGAAAACATTTGCCTGAAGCAAAGGGGTGTGTGTGTGTGTGTGTGTGTGTGTGTGTGTCACCAAGCAGAACAAAGATTCTGTGTAAACTCAAGAGAATGGATACTGTGGCATTAGAATGAGAGGTTAGATGGGCAGGCAGGGACCAGATGCAAATAGTCTGGTTGCTATGCAAAAAGAGTGGACATTTCATCTTACAAATAACAGTGCGCATGATGGCCATTTGTTTCAACACAAGATGGGAAATTTAAATCTCCTTTGGGGATTTAATTTTAAAAGTAAAGAATGTTTCTATTTGGTTTGAAAACAACAACTCTTTGGTTGTAATTATTTTTATGAGCTCAGTTTTAGTTAACATATAATATATAACTGCAAACACTATACAGTTGATAAAGGACATTTCATTAATAATCAACTTTACATGGTGCTTTATTGGAACACTGAAATAGGTGTAGATCAAGCACTGGAACTTAGTTATGTACAAACTTAGAATGTATTTTCCCATAACTGGTGTCAAGTTTACTTTCAGTGTGCCCACTTGTGCCATCATCACCATCAACATCAGATCTCACATGGATTGCATGGCTCTTATATTCAAGTCACTGTTCTAATCCATTTAATTTTCTCAAAAACTCTCGGTGCAGGGACAATGAGTTGCTCTAAGTCCCATAGCTAGCACATGGAGTAGGCAGGATTCAAAATGTGGTAGTTCAGCTCTGCAGCCTGTGCTCTTAACCCTTATTCCTCACCGCTTCCGTCCTTCCTGAATTCCATCCCACCCACTGAGTTTTGTCACCTAATCTTATGGAAACATGTACTCTGCAGATTTAGGTCATCTTCCCATGCCCTCCTTCTCCGCCTCACTGATTTTCTTTGCCTACCTCCAATCCTGTTCCTCCTCACAAGCTTCTGCCACTGATGCCATCCCTGGTCTGACCCCTGGAATGGAAGGTCCTGGTGAAAGACAAAAGTCATAGTCGGGTGCTTTCAAAGGGACGGGAGTCTGTGTTCTCAATCAGATTCAGTCTGTCAGTTGTCTCTAGGGATGTGGGATCTTCATGTAGGTGGCATATGGAATTTTCTAATCAACGTTTATCTTCCCCTGACCCCTCATCAGTGGTGCACACACCTTCCTCTGTGTACATTCTCCTGAGCAATCTGAGTGGCTCCTGTCCCTCTGTTCAACTCTTGGCTCTCTCACTTGGAATCTTGAGAACTAGCCTCCGTGAACTCTGGGAACTGGGATATAGTGGCCCTCAGCTCTCATCTTCATAGGAACACTGTGATACTCTCATGCTCTGCTGGCTTCTGGCATCAGAGGATCTCCTCGGCAGTGGGGTTTCTGCCTTCACGAGTCTCCAGATGAAAAGTCAGTGGCATTCTCCAATTTTTAGAACCCTTCATATTTTAGAATATATAAATCTAGTGCCTCCTTCAATCTAGGGGTTGGGGGAGAAGTTAAATGCTTTAGAAATTGTGTTCTCAAGAAAGTGATCGCAAGACTCCATCTCAAAAAAAAAAGAAGAAAGTGACAATTTTTACCCTTCAGGGTGCTGTGAGAACCCATCATTTTATGAACTCAATGGTGGGTATCTCATACTACGGGAGTGGGGAACAGTAGACATTGTTCATGTTAAAAGGTGAACTCCCAGTGCCTTTTGTTCTCAGCTATTAGTTTAGCAAGTCCTACACAAAAGCAGTAACACCAGGGAGCTGGAAAGAATCTAAGTTGGTACATCACATCCCATTGTCCACATCAACACACTCATGACATAAAACCTTGCAAAGAAAGTGATATCAGCACCACTTGAATCAGTATAAGGAATTACAAGGACTTTATAGAGTTTAAGTGACTTCTGACAATAAGCACTTCTATGTATTAGCTCAAATATGTTAAGATTTAAACCATCACTTAAAATTCAAGAACAATATGACCTAGGCCTTTTATTTTGGTAATAAGATATATAGTTTACTTCTGAATGATTAATACTTCTACTAAATGTCAAAAGCCAAAAGCTACAAATTTTTCTTAGATAATACACATTTTTAGGTCTTTATATTAAATCAAATAATAAATTTAGCCATACTTTGTATCAATCCTAATAATATTCCTGACTACCAATATGAATGTTAATCTTACTTATTTTCAGTATTATATATTACATAAATATAGTATGATGATCCAGTAATTATTTCTTTAACACTTGGCTTATATTAAGCCTATTTTCCAATATGAGAAATACAGCTGGAACTACCTACCTCATTAGGGTCATAATAAACTGTACATAACAATACATTTAAAGCCAAGGACAGGCACTTAGTACATGGTAGTCATCATTCTGTCCTCAGTACTAAAATTTTTGCATAATTCTTTGTCTTCCATTCAAAATTTTTTGAATTTTTCAAAAAGTTCTTATCAGAAAATAACACAGCATGTCCTGTGCATTATATAGTTATTCATTCTAAAAGTACTGTGTTTTCAAGGGTCTGGTCATTGCCCAGGTCAAAATTGTATTGCTTGTGGCCAAAAACGTTTCTACCCACTTATTCTTGTCTTATCCTTGCTGATTGGTGGCACTTGTCAATAAATATTGGCAGTAAAGTCTTTGAGAGTGATGTCTCCTAGTCTCCTAGATACTGTTTAATGTAGATTTCAAGCCCTATTCTTGGAAAAAAATCCCTCAAAAAGATTTCAGTTCTCCAAAGCGGTATCTCCAGCTTTCCCTAACTTTACTGACGGGTTAGCCACTCACCTCCACACACTGTTAGACATTCTACCTCCTTTCAGCCATATTTTTTTTCTGAAATTTTGTGATTTTCAATATTGCTATAATAATAGTGAAGCTCACATTTTCATAGCTTTTCTTCTGCACTGTTGCTCCCTCTAGTGCTGAGTTGAGAGACTGGATATTCGTAAGACAATGTAAAAATTTTCCTAATTTAACTAATAGAAAAGTTAACTGTGGAAAAAAAATATGTTATTAACACATTGAAAGTATTTCTACATGCCAGGGCTAGGGTACCATTCGTTACCATATCTCCAGCAGCCAGTGCAGCATTGACTCCTAACAAATATGCTTTGAACCAAACTGCTGAGAGAATACATAGGACGGAAAAAAAATTAAGACTCTATCTCTATCTTAACTTTTTTAATTCAAGATGTGCCTTTTATAGTGACACCTAAAGTTTTAGAAAGATCTTATCATAGAACAGCATTATTTAGCTAGCTATGAAAAATGAAATAATGCCAGGCACAGTGGCTCACACCTGTAATCCTAGCACTTTGGGAGACCGAGGCGGGCAGAACACAAAGTCAGGAGCTCAAGACCAGCCTGCCCAACATGGTGAAACCCTGTCTCTACTAAAAATACAAAAATTAGCCGGGCGTGGTGGCATGCGCCTGTAATCCCAGCTACTCAGGAGGCTGAGGCAGGAGAACTGCTTGAACCTGGGAGGCGGAGGTTGCAGTGAGCTGAGATCGCGCCACTGTACTCCAGCCTGGGTGACAGAGTGAGACTCCATCTCAAAAGAAAAAGAAAAATGAAATAAGTAATTCTTCAGAATATTTGTCATAAGAATAAGGTATGTGATTCAAATATATGTAGAAAGAAGCAGCTTAGCAGTTTCTAACTTAGCGGGAATTCTGACATTTGGATGTTGTGCACACAGACTTTTGAGGAATTCTTCTGCATACCACAAGCTAGAGCTACTAAACTTCTGTGAATCCCACAGTCTGTTGTTGGGGATAGCTGCTGGCAAAGCTTACTTCACTCAATGCGATCTACCCTATCAGAGTTATCTTCAACTCTTGTCTCAATAGTCAGCCATTTGCTTCCAGTATTGTCTTTACTTTTCACCTCTCCTGCTTAATGCTCCCAAATCCAAACAGCTCCATTTTACAGTTGAGCATACTTTATTCACTTTACTCTTTAACCTGCAGGTTGTTGGCTAGGATCCTCTCTACAATACTCACTTCAGATTTGGAGCAGGATTCTCCATTTAAAGCAACAGGGGCAGGAAGACATCCACGTTTTGCATGACAGGTCATATACTATTCAATATGTTATAAGATACCTATATACATCTAACAGGCATTCTATTGATTTTTATAATACAGTCTACAGAAAGTAAATTTAACAAAATTGCCTTCGCTGGTGAGAAAACATAGATTCCCCAGTGACTTTCAACTATGCCCTCAAGGGCCATGTCAAAATCCCTGAAAGTGGATGGTCATAAAATTTTTGTGTTAATCCATGGGTTTTCAATAGTTGAGAAGTAGGGGTCTAATTTAGAGGGGACTGTCTAAAGAGGTATGAGGGTTTAAGTCTATGACCTTATTAAACTCTAAGACTGATTGCTCACAATTACACAATCCAGCTACCAAAAAGTAATTTCAGAATAACTCAATATCTTTACTTTTATTTCACAAACACTGTGAAGTTTATACATAGACCCCTCTTCTTTTCCATCTTTCTTTCCTCCATTCCACAGTCTTTCATATTATTTGTCCTGCGCCTGTCACTTTTTTCCTTATTCTGCAAAGCTCAGAAGAACCCAGATGGCAAAAAGCAGAACTATTCACAGAAGGTGAAGGAAAGAAGACTTGGCAGATTGGTAGACAGAGTTAGAATCTCTTAGGTCAGCAAAAGTTAAAAAAAAAAAAAAAAAAGAAGGTTAAGAACACACACACGTATTTGCACATATGTTAAAATGTTTTGACCCATCACATAAATGTGTGTGAATTGGGGGTGAGGACAAAAAAAAGATGGAAAGACACATTTCTGTCTCTTACACGACGGAGGAAACAAAATACCTCTGGTCATTTCTATTCTGATTATTCACTGCATGTTTAAATAAGGTTTAAAGAGACTCTCAATGCCTCTCTAAATTATGGAAGCAAGTAGCTGATTCTTAGCTTTCTTGTAAATTTCACAAAGACTCCTTTGAGGGAAAGCCACAGTCTCCTAGAAGCTGTTAACTTGCTTTAAATCAATTGCATTAAACCAATTGCATGAGCAATTGGTTTAGAGTTAGGAAATTTTATTATCGCTTTAACCACAAGAGTATGCAAAAAGATAAGACAAGATTCTAGTGTAATAAAGATTCCTACCTAGCCGGCTAGTAATCTATATAGAAGAATTAGATAAGATTATTTCCAGTGTTAAATAATGCAAAATTTCAAAAATATTGCTGAAGCACATTTGGGAATCCCATACTTACCTGTGCCTCACTGTTGTTTAGACAGTTAACACTTCATCAAATGTGCTTCCTGGATTGCAAGTCCAACTATCATATTAGTTGATGCTGGATAATTTTGGTTTACTAATGCACCATTTTATGCTAGCATAAGGAGCCCTACATTTCTTAGGATGCAAGCAACTGGTTTGGAAAGGATAATTTTCCTATTTGTAAGAATATAGTAATAAAACACAGTGAATGTTTGTCTTAGAGAATTTGTCTTTTCCAATGCACAGGACAAAGAATCTTTCCCACTGTTATCTTTGAGATCCTTCTTCAGAATGTGGTTTCTACCTAGAATTCTGCTGCTACTTTCCTGTGGCTTCTGGTTCTTGAAATTGCTTGCCATATAACCAAGAGAAGGAAAGGGTATCAGTTAGGATTCGGTTCAGCTTCATAGAACAGAGACCCTACTATGGAGGCTTAAATGTGCAGGTTTATGCTCTTAAGTTTAATGAAGATTAGAGAACGCAGCTGGGGCCTGATACAGTGGCTTCCTAGAGTCGTAGGGGCCCACAGAGATCTCTGAGCTCTCCCATCCACAGTGCTTACAAATGCATTGCATCTGCATCTTAAGCAGCAGGAAGGAGGAAGTAGCAGAGAGGCCAAAGGGCACCCTCCAGCTGTCTTTTATGAAAATTTCTCAGAAGTTACACACTTCCACTTCCACTTCATTGATGGTGCTGAATAAGATCAAGGCATAAGGAAAGAGAAAGATATAGGGGCAGACAAACAACAGTCTCTGTAGCAGAACATGACGATGACACAGCATATCATCTTTTCTGATTTTAAAGCAATCAACTTAGTATTTAAATTCAATCACTCAAGATTTTCCTTTGTATCTTTACTTTTCCTCCCTTTTCTTAAAGTAAACTTAAATTTCCAGAGAACTTACATATTATGCTGCAATCAGAAGAAGGGTCTCTGCCTTAGCTATAGTGTTGCTGATCACAGCAAGACTTTTTATTGCCATCATGAGGCCGGTATTACTGCTGAGTCTATGCTTTCTCTGTGGTCCTTGGTCGTGAAGTTCATACACTCCAAATCCTACTCATTCCAACCTCAGGTCTCTTTAGGGCCTTCAATCTTCTGCCGTTTGTAAGGTTGGAGATTCTGCCCTTGCCCATGGTTAGGATAGGAGAGGCTATGCTGCAGAGAAAAGAAAAGAAAAGAAAAGAAAAGAAAGAGAAGAGAAAGGGAGGGAGGGAGGGGAGGGGAGGGGAGGGAAGGGAAAGGAAGGGAAGGGAAGGGAAGGGAAGGGAAGGGAGACTATCCCCAAATCTCAGTGATTGAACACACAAAAGTTTATTTCTAACTCACACTGCATGTCTGTCGAGGTTTCTGGAAGCCTCTGTATAGTCACTCAGAAGCCTAGTCACTGTGCATAGTCACTCAGTTGGTTTGTAGAACCTTCCTCAGCAAGGCCTCTGCTGTAGTGGGGTCTTTGAGTGACTATGCAGTCACTCAGAGGCCATGCTGAGGAAGATTCTGCCAACCAACTTGTAGTCATCTTATCTAGACCATGTGGTCTTCTCTGTCACTATGGTAGGGGAAGAGAGACTGGAGAATCACCTTGGGTTTTTGCTATCAGCTCCCTAATTGATACAGCATCACTTCCTGCCAGGGATTGAATGTTTGTGTCCCCCAACATTCATATGTTGGAACCCTCTCCCCTAAAGTGATAATATTTAGAAGTGAGGACTATGGAGGCTAATTATATCTAGATGAGGCCATGAGGCTGGGGTCCTCATGATGGGATTGGTGTCTTTATAGGAAGAGACCAGAGCCAACTTCCTCTCTGCCTCTGCCATGTGAGGATACAGCAGAATGGTGGCCATCTGCAAACCAGAAAGAGGGCTCTCACCAGACACCAAATATGCTTGCACCTTGATCTTGGACCTTCCAGCCTGAGAACTGTGAGAAATAAATGCTTGTTGTTCAAGCCACCAATATACAGTATTCTATTATAGCAGCCAAACTGACTAAGACACTTCCAATCTCATTTTATTGATCAAATTAAGATATGGTCCACCTAATTGCAAGAGTAGAGGAAAATGTTTCTTTCAATGCCTGTGAAGAAAGAAGAAAGGAGTAATGGATAGAATTGATAATGTCTATCTATCTCTCAAGCTGACTATGACTCTGTAAGTCCACCCTCAGGCCCCTCAGTCTAGTCAACTCACTCAATCACTGCTGATCTACCTGTAAGGCACAGTGACATGGAACTTCTCTGTGAAGTTTGTGGTCTCCTAGGCCACTTTCCAGAGTCCAGAAAATGGTTAACATTTGCTCTTTAATACTTTCAAATGTATCTGGGATTTCAATTCTTTCTTTCCAGGAGTGGGTAGGAAAGGATGTTTCTTAGAAACCAGCTTGTTCTAACCTCTCAATACATCACCTTTATTTTCTTCTTTCATTTGGTCAAACTCATCTCTCTCTTTTCCTGCGGGTAATATAACTTATTCTTTGGTGTCATGTCGTATATACAATAATCTTCTTCAAGTCACAATGGCTCAGTCATGTCAGAATTCACTTACCTTTTTTCTCTCAATAGAGCCTTGCTCTCACAAATGAAAGCTATGTTTTCGAGATTATTTGTTTCTGCTATAGATTTATAAGTCTCATTTAGAATTTTAATTAGCTTATTTGCTGTACACTGTCCTATCTACCCAACCCTCGAGGGTGGTGCATATAGAAAGCTGTTTTTAGCACTTGGAGGATAACAATAAATGCAAAGATAGGGGGAGGGTGCAAATAATTTAAAAATTTTAAGTCTATTATACCAATATATCTACAAAGTTAGGAAAACTACTATTATATCAGGTATAATATCTGGAAAACTTTAAGCACAAGTACACTCATTTCATTTACACTGTGATTCTTTGTGATTCTTCATCCTTTAAATTATGTGCATGATTAGGGAACCATGCACTTCCTAATCAGCTTTGATTATCTCATTAGATTTTTTTATTATTTACTCTTTAAAGAGAGACTTGATTTAAGAGCCAGACTGTATAAAGAGAAAGGGCATTCCTAAACTCCAAAACGCCATTTACAAATTACAAGGCAAATCTCGTGGACTTTGACAGTGGAGCTATTCTACAATTCAGAGTGAAGAGTGCTCAGAGAACATGGCATAAGTAATGCTATCAACTCGATAGGAAGGCAAGATGCAGGTGGGGTGGAGGAAGAAGTTAGACTCAAGGGGTCCTACTCCTTTTCTCAAGATTGAAATATTTTAAAGTGTTCTTGAGATAGTAAAAAAAAAAAAAAAAAGTAAGCATGTCAATAAGGGAGCCAAAGCAGATCCTCTTGGTGCTCCGACAGGAGATGGTTTCAAAGAAATAGATACCGTTTTGCCATCACAATGCATTTACTGCAAAGGAGAATGATATTAAAGCATGTGTAAGAAGAGAGTACTAGAGATAGCCCCAGCCACCCCACATGCCTTTGCCCACTGCTATGGTCTGAATGTCTGTAATCCTAACCTCCCAATGTGACGGTGTTAGAAGGTAGGGCCTTTTGGAGTGATTAGGATATAAAGATGGAGCCCTCATGAATGGGAGTAGTGCCCTTGTAAAATAAACCCCAGAGAGCTACTCATCCCTTCTACCATGTAAGAACTCAGCAAGAAGGTGCCATCTATAAACCGGAAAGTAGACCCCCACCAGACACTGGATCTACCTGTACCTTGATCTTGGAATTCCCAATCTCCCGAAATGTGAGAAATACATTTCTGGCCTTTATAAGATACCTAGTTTACAGTATTTTGTTACCGCAGTTCAAATGACTATGAGACCCACATTCCTGGCTGAAATGGGATATTTCCACAAGTTTCCTCATGCTGTCAGTAATGGACACAGTGTACCACCAATATATCCTTCATGAATAAAAAATTTATTTTCCTAACTGCTGGAAGGATTCCCAGCAGATAGCCCAGCTATCCATTCTGTTTAGTGAGTTCCTCTGCTGAAGAGTCCCAGCTCCCCGATGGTCATGATTTCTTCCAAGCGTGGTCTATATTCACTGATTGATTCAGGGACATAAATATCTGTCCCTTTGCCCTAAGTTGAGACAACTCTAAAGGGCTATCTGTCCCAGTTTCAGAACTCCCCATGGAGTCAGTTGAGGCCTCTGTTGAGACTATGTTTCAGCCCAATTTATTCCTCTGCCCAATCCTGTCTCCTGTTGCTTTTCCATTCCACACATACTGATTCCGAGCGCATTTCCAAAGGAACTTCCTGCTCTGCAATCTCTGAGTCTGCTTCATAGGGAACTAACCATGCAATATTACCAGAAGTATAGTACCAGTACCAATAGTACCAGAAGTGGAGTCAAGAAAGCAGACATTAAAATGGACTTTTGAAGTTGAATTACCTACCACTCAGCTGGTAATGAGGATTTCAGCACTGGTAATAGTTGAAACACAGATGGTCCCTGCACTTGATCTTAGCCAAAAGGCTGAGAAGTAGTACAGATAGTCCCTGGCATAAAGTCTCCATGCTACTGCTAAAACTCATCGATGGTGAACTGCAATGATATTTTGGTGAAAGAAAGTACACTAGCATGTGTGATGTTTCTGGCATTTGAAAAATACTGGGTAAGTAATAGCTATAAGGACAGAAAAATTGGATGCTATATTCTATGGGCACTTTAGGAAAAAATTAAATGATGAGGGTGATTAATAGGCAATTAAAAGTTAAGTTAGCCAGGGTACTTCCTTTGTACCATGCAAAATATATTTTGATCTTCTACAGTTAGTGGGCAATAAAAGCTGAAGACCAAGCCCAGCACATAGTAAGAGTAGTGGAACTTCAAGTTCTGCTGCTATGCCTGCTGTGCCAAGATCAGGCCTTGTATGGGAAAGAATGGGGTTCTGACTCACGGAATCGTGACATCCAAAATCCTTGAATCCCCAGATTCCCCTTCTTTGAGAGCCTCAGAAGTGGTCTACTCCTTTCTATTAAAAGTCTGAATTCCCCCTTTACTTGAAGATAATGCAGACAGGTCATCCCCTGCAGCACAGTAGAAGCTACAACCAGGATCTCCGCAACTTCCCCTCCTTGCCACTGGGACAATAATGGCCCAGCTGGAACATGATGGAACATCCTGATAAAGAAGAAAACGGACTCTACCCCAAAGGAGCTGTAGGACCTAGCCAACATATACTGGCAGAAGCTGGGAAAATTCACATGGTGCTGGATTCTGAGAGTGCTAGATCAAGAGGGGTGGAACATAAATTTGAATAAGAGAGAGCATCCTCCTGACATACATGCTTTCAAATTCTGGCAAAGACCTAAGGAGATGGTGTAAACATGATGTTAAGATGGTTCCTAGAAGCATAGGAAAAGTGATGGCCCAAAGTACACGAGGTAAAAATAGACTTAGAAGTATTAGTTCTCATAGAACTATATAAATGGTATGGCTACCTATAAAAATAATAAATTCCATGCAACTGGAATAACTGAATATTACAAAATTCAGATTACATAGTTATTTGCATAACAATGTTTTATTCTCTGTCAGTAGATTTGAAGCTGTTTGAGGTCAGAGACCATATATTTTGTTCAGAACTCCATACCCAGTGCTTACCAGAAATTAATAGACTTCTAAATATCAGGTAAGCAAATAAATTAAGGAATGTAATTAAGAGAAATTATATTTCACGTAAGTAGACTAGAGATATGCAAGATATCTTTGAGATATTTTTCCACCTCTGACATTCTAATTTTTAAATCTTGATTCCACAGAATTTTTCTGTAGTGTTAGTCAACATCTCAGAGCATTTAAAGAGAATGCTTTTGCTTTTTAAAAGGCCTTTTGCTAAACCAGTTCTTCCTTTGTCTTTTTTGGGGGCATAATTATTTTGGGTACAATATTACAGGATGGTTTTTAAAGGAGCCAAAATAACATAGGTTTGAGTTGGCCTGAGGAGAGCTCTTATCTGTAGAAAGTCATCAAAAACCTGATCTAAAAAGAACATACTGACAGTCTTTTGGTTATTGTCCTCTTTCAGTTCTTCTTGTGGTGATGGGAATGGGTAAAATTTTACACAAGTGATGACGGGAGGTACACACAGTGTTAGCCCTTGAGTGGTTATAACAGCAAAGACAAAAGACAGGAGGGAGACACTGGTTATTGTCCAATAGATTTTGACACCTACGTTTATCCTCTACTAAGGAATTTTTTTTGTCTTGCCACATTACTTCTGGCAATAAAAACCCACTAATGACAATAAAGAGTAAGTCTAAAAAGCTCCCTCCATTTTGAGAAAGTTTCTGGAAAGGGCAATAAGGAAGAAGCATTAGTTGAGGCTTGTCTCAAAATAACTGAAGTGTTGCTACTGGTTGGTTCTTTTTCCTTTCACATTCCTCTTTACAAAATAAGGTTTATGTTCATTGATCAAAGTATTTCTTTTCTCTAAACCCAAGAATTTTCAAGTTGTTGAATTGTTTTCCTCAATTCATTTGTTTCCATTACATTCTCCATATGAAAAACTCATTATACTTTTTGCTACCGTGGGAATGTCTTATTGCTTAAAACAGATGTTAATGACAATTTGATTAGAATGAGATGTCAGAAAAGTCAAAGTGACTGTGGGAAAGAGTGTTAACACTCTCTGGGGTTAGGAAAATATCTCCATGTTGTATTGACACACTTGGAGGACTAATGTCACAATTCTTTTTTTGGTTATTTGTTCATGTGAAACAGATTTGTAAGCCAACCTTGAAGGTTTCTCCACTCAAGAGACATTTTCCTAAATGATTAGTTTTGAAATTTTTCTGGAGAGGAATAGTAAAAATATTCTTCCTAGTTATCCCACACTATTTCTCCCAGCTCACCCCCACCCCACCTCCTTGTATCAACAACTGAAGTACCAGGTGGTCTCTGTACTTGCTCTAGCATGAAGGTGTGGAATAAAGAAGGGGGAGAACCCAGATGGGGCTGAATGAAATACCTGCTCAGGACATAGATTCTGTTTTGTCTTCTGAGATGTTGTTAATTATGCTATATCAGAGGCCCTTATTTCCAATCAGTGTGTGACTCTTGTGAACTATAACTCATTTGCTCCATCTCTGCTCAATTACCTAGGGCCTCTACTGTGGACTTCAGATGGGATGCAGGGGTTTCTATTCTTGCTTTAGCTTGATGTATTCATGGATTCTTTCCTTGCACTGTTCTCTTGCCTTCTGACTGCATTAGCCAGCTTCTCTTCAAAGTGAAGGATGTTGGTGATGCTTCTTAGGATCTTATCAGTTCCTCTTTTGTCCTCAGTACTGCTCTTGGATGAGGGTGCTGGGAAAAAAATGTAGCAGCATCAGAAACTTCAATTTCTGTTATTAAAAAAAAAAAGAATTTGAAATGTGTGTCCTGATGTCATTCTCTATTCCTTAATTGGTTTCTTCTGGTGAATTCTTAGCTTTGCTTAACGTGGTTATTATTGTTGCCTACTTTCATTGGGTACTGGGGAGATTTTAGGCCACTATAGCACTATGCTATCCTAACTTGCAAATGTTTCCGCTTAACACATAGCATGCAAGAAATCTGAACTTTGTGGGGAGACTTAACTAGGGGATGCAGAAAGAACCAGGACCCATTGATAATCTATCTGGACAGATTATCTTCTTTAATAAGATGACAAACTGAGGTGACTAAGTCCATGTCTTGTTAATCACTGATCCTTAAATAAAAGAGGAAACATAAGAGCAAGTTTGTATGCTAGGTGTTTGACATGCTCCTCTTCAGCAACATATTTTGGCACACTTCAGTCAAATCTATACTATGTAAACAAGGAAAAATAAAAATATGAGCAATTATTATTTGAGCTTAGGCAATGAATAAACTACATGTAATTATCAGCCTTAGCTATTTCCTTTGATTAAATTCATGAAAAAATTTCCTGATGTTTCTTTTTAAAATTAGCTTGCTTCATTTGGATTTCCAAAGAATTCGAATGTGATTCATAATTTAAAAGTCTGATTTTAAACACATACACACACATACACACACACTTACAGCCATGCATCACATAACAAGAGGAATACATTCTGAGAAATGCATCATGAGGCAATTTCACCATTGTGTGAACATTATCAAGTGCACTTACACAAATGTAAATGATACAGCCTACTACAAGCCTAGGTTATATGGTATAGTGTATTGCTCCTAGGCTACTACACGGCACAGCGTGTTGTTCTATCAAATATTGTAGGCAATATTAAGTTTTGTGTATCTAAACATATTTAAACATAGAAAAGGTACAATCATCGATGATCTTTTATATCATAGAAATATGATATAAAAGATAAAAATGTTACACCTGTAGAGGGCACTTACCATGAATGAACTTTGGAGGACTGGAAGTTACTTTGAATGAGTCTGTGAGTGGTGAATGAATATGAAGGCCTAGGACATTACTGTAGACATTATAAACACTGTACACTTAGGCCACACTAAATTAAAAAAAAAACACTCTTTCTTCAATAATAAATTAACCTCAGCTTACTTTAAATTTTTGTTTTATAAAGTTTTTAATTTTTTACCTTTTAAAATTCTTTTGTAATAACACTTAAAACACAAACACATTGTACAGCTGTACAAAAATATTTTCTTCCTTTATATCCTCTTTCTATAAGCTTTTTTATTAAAAATATTTTTATTTCTTTTTTTACTTTTAAAACTTTTTGTTAAAAACTGGGACACAAAAATGCACATTAGGCTAGGCCTACACAGGGTCAGGATCATCAATATCACTGTTTTCCACTTCCACATCTTGTCCCACTGGAAGGTCTTCAGAGGCAATAACATGCATGGAGCTGTCACCTCCTGTGACAACAATGCCTTTTTCTGGAATACCTGCTGAAGGACACGCCTGAGACTGTCTACATTTAACTTTCCTTTTTAACAAGTAGAAAGAGTACGCTCTAAAATAATGATAAAAAGTACAGTGTATATATATATAACAGTAACAGTTGTTTATGATCATTATCAAGTATTATGTATTATACATAATTATATGTGCTATACTTTTATACTATCAACAGCACAGTAGGCTTGCTTATACCAGCACTACCACAAACATGTGAGTAATGCATTGTACTACAATGTTAGGACAGCTACAGAGTCACAAGGTGATAGAAAATGTTCAGCTCCATTGTAATCTTATAGGACTACCATCTTATATGTGGTCCGTCATTGACCGAAAAATTGTTAGGTGGTACCTGAGTATATACATACACAGAGACAGAGACATTTTGAAACTAGGATTAAAAAGTAAGCCTTTATACAGTCCTTCACTTCTTTAAAAGATAAATTCTATCTAGATTCCTTGCTTAATGCCAGGAAAAATATCTATATATATAAAGAATTCAACCCATAAAATTAAATTAGAAAATTATTGGCATACTTAACTTGTATCATCTCTTTTAAAAATTCTGAAGATCTTTCAGTATTTAAAAAATTTTTTCAAGTCAATGAGAGGATAGGATTGATAGAAGGAAATATAAGGAATTAGCTTTGCATTTTGAGTATCTATTTATTTATTAAACATTTTGTATATAGAAGGTATTTAAGGTTTAGTTTCTCCAAAGATACCTATAATTATCTCATATGGAATGTTCCATTCTGCTTTGTTCTTATTTGTCAACAAATAAATTATTCACTTAAAACTATATGTATGTATATTTTAGCACCTACTATCTTTTCCCTTTTCAAATATGCACAACAAAACTTGCAAGCCAAAAACACAACAAACAAGAAGTTATTTGATCTGCATAAGTGATATAAAATACACATATTACAGCTGAATTTATGAAATGGTTGCTTTCAGGCACATTACTCTTAAAATAATGACTCAATTTTGAAGTAGATGCTGATTCTCCTTTCATAGATTGTGTCTTTCGGGTTTCAGGTAGTCAGTGATGGTAAATGTCAACTAACATCTTTTTCAAAATTACATGTCCTTTGTGAACTTTCTTAATAATTAGAAATTAAGTATTTAATTTTTCAAAAGATAGGCACTTTTGTCTTTTGGAGCTCACTATTGCCTAAAATTATGACAAAATATAAAAACACTACCAAACAATAATATATAAATAGTTGCAAATTTCTACTATACAACAAATGACCAAAAAAACTATAAGAAACAGTGCATTATGTATGACTGAAGACTGCCCAATTACAATTTCCTGTATATATTTCATATAGACCTAAGCTGTGATTTCCTACAATTCACCCTAACCCTAGCAACTGGTGGTCTGGCAGCTTCCTGCCTCTTGCAGACTGTGGCATAGACTGGTGGGTCCTTTAGTGGTGGCAAGAGCAGTGAGTGTGAACACTTCTCTACCACCGCCGAAGACTTGCAGGATTTTTCTGTCTTTATATACACCTTTAGGCATTCTGTATACTGCCATTTAAAGAGAAGTGTTAGTTACACTGCATGTGAGAAGGGTTACAAAAGAGAGAGCGTGTTGCTTGCTGTCTTTCACACTTAATCCCATGTGAAATAGAATCTTCACTGCTTATACTTCTCACACACTACCTAGGACCAGTGCAGAAAATAGAAATAAAAAGTGGAGCTCTATCAGATCCATGCTGGATTATTTTACTGCAACTATTAATAATAATGCTTAATTGGAAAATAAAAACTGAGACAAATGCTAAGCCAGACAGGAGATTAGGACAGATGGTATAATCTGAGATTTTCTGGGCAAACTAGAATATATGGCCTTTACCTCTTAGTTAACATTATTATCATGGCCTCTCCTCAGCCATTTAATATGCACCTGAAAACTATTTCGTAGGCTAGGGGCAATACCCTGTGTGTAGTCTTTTGCTTCTTGGTTATAGAATGTGGGTTTCAGACTGTCCTTCAGCCTTTGAGATGAAAAGATCACTGTATGTAAAAGGACTCTGCACTGGACTAGTGTTTATGTCCCTCAAATTCGTACATTGAAATCCTAACTCCCAAAGTGATGGTATTAAAAGATGGGGCTTTTGGGAGATGATTAGGTCTTAAGGACAGAGACCTTATGAACAGGACTAGACTAGTGTCCTCATAAAAAAGGCCTCAGAGAGCTTGATCACCCCTTTTGCCATGTGAGGACACAGCAAGAGGGCACCATCAATGAATCAGAAAGCAGGCTCTTGCCAGATGTCAAATCTGCTGGCACCTTGATGGTAGAATTCCCAGCTTCCAGAACTTTAAGAAATAAATTTCTGCTTTTTATAAGCTATCCAGTTTATGGTATTTTGTTGTAGGCATCAGAGCAGCCTCAGGTCCCTCAGGGAATAGAACCAGGAATTAAGGGCACATTAATTCTCTCTCTCTCTCTTACAGAAACACACACACACACACACACACACACACACACACACACACACTTTTTCATCTTTCTGTGTGTTGGGTTTATTTCCCCCACCTGTGAACCAGTTCTTTTCACATGGCCATATGGTTGAGTCATAGCCTGTGGCTGCTGTACTACGAAAGCAAAAAATCTTCTCGCCTAATTTATTTTTTATGTCTTTTTATTGATACATAATATTTGTACATATTTATGGGGTGCACTTGATATTTTGTTACATGCATAAAGTGTGTAGTGATCAAGTCACAGTATTTAGGGTATCCATGGCCTTGAGTATTTATCCTTTCTATGTGTTGGGAACACTTCAAATCCTCTCTTTTAGTTATTTTTAAATATACATTATGTTATTGTTAACTATAGTCACCCTACTCTACTGTTGGACTTTAGAACTTATTCCTTCTATCGAACTATATGTTCATACCCATTAACCGAGCTCTCTTCATTTGCCCCTCCCACCCTTACATCCTCCCTGCCTCTGGTATCTATCTTTCTACCCTCTACCTCATGAAATCGACTTTTTGCATTTGTCTTTCTGTCCCTAGTTTATTTTACTTAACCTAATGACCTGCAGTTCCCTCCATATTTTTGCAAATGACATAGTTTTATTGTTCTTATAGCTGAATAATATTCCATTGTGCATATATACCACATTTTCCTTATTCATTCATATGTTGGTGGATGCTTGGGTTGATTCTGTATCTTTGCTATTGTAAATAGTGCTGCAATAAACATGAGGACGCAGGTATCCCTTTGGTATGCTGATATCCTTTCCTTTGTATAAATACCCAGTAGTGGGATTGTGGGATCATATGGTAGTTCTAGTTTTAGTTTCTTCAGAAATCTCCACACCGTTTTCCATACTGGTTGTAGTAATTTACATTCCCACCAACAGTGTATAAGAGTTCCCTTTTCTCTGCATCCTTGCCAACATCTGTTATTTTTTTGTCTCTTTAATAGCCATTCTAAATGGGGTAAAATGACATCTCATTGTGGTTTTGATTTGCTTTTTCCTAATGATTAGTGATGCTGAGCATTTTTTTTCATCTGTCTGTTGGCCATTTGTATGTCTTCTTTTGAGAAATGTCTATTTATTTTCTTTGCCCACTTTTCTTTTTTCAAGACATGGTCTCATTCTGTCACCCAGGCTAGAGTGCAGTGGCACAATCATGGCTCACTGCAGCCTCCATCTCCCAGGATCAAGCAATCCTGCCACCTCAGTCTCCCAAGTAGCTGGGACTGCAGGCATGTACTGCCACACCCGGTTAATCTTTTTATTTTATTTTGGCAAAGACAGGGTCTCACTATATACAAGGCTATCTTTTGTCCAATTTTAAAAGGGTTGTTTTCTTACTATTGTGATGTTTGAGTTCCTTGTGTATTCTGAACATTAGTCCCTTGTCAGATGAATAGTTTACAAGTATTTTCTCCCATTCTACATATTGTCTCTTCATTCTGTTGACTGTTTCCTTTGCTGTGCAAAACCTTTTTAAATTGACATAGTCTCATCTGTCTATTTTTGTTTCTGATGCCTGTGTTTTTGAGATCTTAGCCATAAAATTTTTGTCTAGACCAACGTCCTGAAGTATTTCCTTTATGTTTTCTTCTAGTATAACTTTCTTTTATAGTTTCTAGTCTTACATTTAAACTTTTAATCCATTTTGAGTTGATTTTTGTATATGGTGAGAGATAGAGATCCAGTTTCATTGTTCTGCATATAGATATTCAGTTTTTCCAGCACCATTTATTGAAGACGATGTCTTTTCCACAGTGCATATTCTTGGTGCCTTTGTCAGAAATTAGTTGGTTGTAAATATGTGGATTTATGTCTGGGTTCTCTATTATATTCCATTGATCTATGTGTCTATTTTTTTTTTTTTTTTTTTTTTTTTTGAGAAGGAGTCTTGCTCTGTCGCCAGGCTAGAGTGCAGGAGCATGATCTTGGCTCACTGCGACCTTCGCCTCCTGAGTTCAAGCGATTCTCGTGCCTCAGCCTGCGGAGTAGCTGTGATTACAGGCATGCACCACCACACCCAGCTAATTTTTTTGGATTTTTAGTAGAGACAGGGTTTCGCCATGCTGGCCAGGATGGTCTCAATCTCCTGACCTCTAAATCATTTACCCAAATAAAGTATAGGTGATAGAAATTGTATCTTGACGCAATAGATATAGTACCGCAAGGGAAAGATGACAAAACATAACCAAGCATAAAATAGGGCAGAGTGCGTGATCCGCCCACCTCTACCTCCCAAAGTGCTGGGATTACAGGCATGAGCCACCATGCCCGGCCTATGTGTGTATTTTTATACCAATACCATGATGTTTTGGTTATCATAGCCCTGTAATATATTTTGAATTCTGGTAGTATGATGCCTCCAGCTTTATTCTTTTTGCTCAGAATTGCTTTGACTATTCAAGCTCTTTTATGGTTTAGGATATTTACTATTTCTGTGAGAAATGACATTGATATTTTGATAGAGATTGCATTGAATCTGTAGATTGCTTTGGGTAGTATGGTCATTTCAACAGTATTAGTTATTCTAATCCATGAGCATGCTCTTTCCTTTTTTTTTCTGAGACAGAGTCTCACTCTGTTGCCCAGGCTGGAGTGCAGTGGCACAGTGGTACAATGTCGGGTCACTGCACTGCAACCTCCACCTCCCAGCTTCAAGTGATTCTCCTGCCTCAGCCTCCTGAGTAGCTGGGATTGTAGGCACATACCACCACACCCAACTAATTTTTGTATTTTTAGTAGAGACGGGGTTTCATCACGTTGGTCAGGCTGGTCTTGAATTCCTGACCTCAAGTGATCTGCCTGACTCGACCTCCCAAAGTGCTGGGATTAGAGGCATGAACCACCATGCCCAGGCTTCTTTTCATGTTTGTGTGTGTGTGTGTGTGTGTGTGTGTGTGTGTGTGTGTGTGTGTGTGTGTCTTCTTCAATTTATTTCATCTGCGTTTTGTGGTTTTGTTTTTTGGTGTATTTTGTTTTTTGTTTTTGTTTTTGTAAAGGTCTTTCACCTCCTTGTTTAAATTTATTCATAGGTATTTTACATTTTTTGGCTATTGTAAATAGAATTGTCTTCTTGATTTCTTTTTCAGATAGCTCATCATTGGTGTAAAGAAATACTACTAATTTGTGTATGTTGATTTTGTATTGTGCACCTTTGCAGAATTTTTTAACCAGTTCTAAGAGTTTTTTGGAGTAGTCTTTTGGTTTTCCTAAATATAAGATCATGTCATCTACAAAGAGGGACAATTTTAGTTCCTCTTTTCCAATTTGGATGTTGACATGGTTTGGCTGTGTCCCCACCCAAATCTCATCTTGAATTATAGCTTCCATAATTCTTATGTGTTGTGGGAGGGACCTGGTGGGAGGTAATTGAATCATGGCGGCAGTTCTCCTCATACTGTTCTCATGGTAGTGAATAAGTCTCATGAGATCTGATGGTTTTATAAGGGGGAAACTCCTTTTGCCTGGTTCTTATTTTCTCTCTTGTCTGTTGCCATGTAAGATGTGCCTTTCACCTTCTGCCATGACTGTGAGGCTTCCCTAGCCACGTGGAACTGTGAGTTCATGAAGCCTCTTTTTTTGTCATAAATTACCCAGATTGGGTAGGTCTTTAAAAGCAGCATGAAAACAGACAAATACAGTAAATCGATACCAGTAGAGTGGGGCACTGTGGTAAAGATATACACAAATGTGGAAGTGACTTTGGAACTGGGTAGTAGGTAGAGGTTGGAACAGTTTGGAAGGCTCAGAAGAAGACAGAAAAATGTGGGAAAGTGTAGAACTTCCTAGAGAACTTGGTCAAATCAGCATTTGACTAAAATGCTGATAATGATATGGACAATGAAATCCAGGCTGCGGTGGTCTCAGATGGAGATAAGGAATTTGTTGGGAATTGGAGTAAAAGTGACTCTTGCTTTATTTTAGCAAAGAGACTGGTGGCATTTTGCCCCTGACCTATAGATTTGTGGAACTTGGAATTTGAGGGAGATGATTTAGGGTATCTGGTGGAAGAAATTTCTAAGTAACAAAGCAGTCAAGATATGACTTGGGTGCTGTTAAAGGTATTCAGTTTTCAAAAGGGAAACAGAGCATAAAAGTTTGAAAAATTTGCAGCCTGATGATGTGATAGAAAAGAAAAACCCATTTTCTAAGGAGAAATTCAAGCCAGGTGCAGAAAATTGCATAAGTAACGAGGAGCCAAATGTTAATTGCCAAGACAACGGGAAAAATGTCTCCAGGGCATTTCAGAGACCTTTGAGCCAGCCCCTCCCATCACAGACCAGAGGCCTAGGAGGAAGAAATGGTTTCCAGGGCTGGGCCCAGGGCCCCCTTGCTGTTTGCAGCCTACAAACTTGGTGCCCTGCATCCCAAATGCTCTAGCCATGGCTAAAAGGGGCCAAGATACAGCTTGGGCTGTTGCTTCAGAGGGTACAAGCCCCAAGCCTTGGCAGCTTCCATGTGGTGTTGTTCTGTGGGTGCACAGAGGTCAAGAATTGAGGTTTGGGAACCTCTGCCTAGATTTCAGAGGATTTATAGAAATACCTGGATGTCAGGTAGTGTTCACTGTCCAGGGCTAGAGTAAGTGCGGTCCTCCGGCCCTTGTGGCCCAGAGCCATGCTGAGGAGCTGTGCTGCGTGCCTCCGCATGCTGGGGTCCCTGCGCCCACCACCGGTAGGCCTGCCCCTGCTGGGTAGTGAGCCGTGACCTGTGCTGACCCAAAGCTTATGAAAGAAGAACAGATATCACAGGCCCAGCTCTTCACCAGAAGCTTTGATGATGGCCTGGGCTTTGAATACATGATGTTCTAGAATGACATTGAGAAAAGGATGGTTTGCTTATTTCAAGGAGGCCCTTACCTGGAAGGACCACCTGGATTCGTTCATGGAGGTGCCATTGCAACGATGATTGATGCTACTGTTGGTATGTGTGCAATGATGGCTGGGGGAATTGTCATGACTGCCAATCTCAACATCAATTACAAAAGACCTATTCCTCTTTGTTCTGTTGTTATGATAAATTGCCAACTTGATAAAGTTGAAGGAAGAAAATTTTTTGTTTCCTGTAATGTTCAGAGTGTTGATGAGAAGACCTCATACTCAGAGGCAACAAGCTTATTTATAAAGCTGAATCCTGCTAAAAGTCTGACATAAAGAGCTGCTGGTGAACTCCATCTCATTCTCTCCCCTCCAGAAGAAGCAGTTGTCCCCTGAATACTCTGCTCCCTCACTGCTGAATCCCTGTAGGGAGAAGCCTGCCAACAGTGACCTTCTGAAACAGCCTTCTGAATACGAGGAGGATTCAGTTTCCATCTTCTCAACTTTTTAACACAGAAACACTTCCTGCGAGCATATCAACAACTCTTAGGCTGGGCACTATGGCTCACACCTATAATCCCAGCACTTTAGGAGGCCGAGGCAGGCGGATTGCCTGAGCTCAGGAGTTCAAGATCAGTCTGGGCAACACGATGAAACCCCATCTCTACTAAAATACAAAAAATTAGCTGGGCATGATGGCGTGTGCCTGTAGTCCCAGCTACTCAGGAGGCTGAGGCAGGAGAATTGCTTGAACCCGGGAGGCGGAGGTTGCAGTGAGCCAAGATCATGCCACATCACTCCAGCCTGGGCAACAGAACAAGAACCCATCTCAAAAAAAACAACAAAACAAAAAAAACTCTGTCTCAGGATATGTTACCTGCTCAACTGCGGACTAGAGAAATAAATGTGTATTGAAACTTTTGCTGCAAACTTCAAAATGCCAGAAAACCAAGCATGAAGAATAAATACATGGCGGGGAACACACAGGCATGTGCATATGCATATACATTGTAAGTTAGTAAGTTAGAAAGCTAGCTTTGTTGTATCTGAACACATGAATCTTTTTGATCAGAGTAGGAGGCACAGCCAGATCCTATAGGAATGAATACCTCAAATCTGTTTTCTGGGATTCTAGAGATTAAACCACTGTGCCATTAAAAAAAAAAAAAAATACCTGGATGTCCAGGCAGAAGTTTGCTGCAGGGGTCAGGCCCTCATTGAGAACCTCTGCTTAGGCAGTGCAGAAGGGAAATGTGGAGTTGAAGCCCCTACACAGAGTCCCCACTGGGGCACTGCTTACTGGAGCTGTGAGAAGAGAGTCATCGTCCTCCAGACCCCAGAATGATAGATCCACTGCTAGCTTGCACTGTGCACCTGGAAAAGCCACAGAAACTGAATGCCAGCCCATGAAAGCAGCCAGGAGACAGACTGAACCCTGAAAAGTCACAGGGGTAGAGCTGCCCAAGACCATGGGAAACCACCTCTTGCATCAGCATAACCTGGATGTGAGACATGGAGTCAAAAGAGATCATTTTGGAACTTTATGGTTTAATAACTGCCCTATTGGTTTTCGGATTTGCGCAGGGCCTATAGCCCCTTCATTTTGGCCAATTTCTCCCATTTGGAATTGCTGTATTTATCCAATGCCTGTATCTCCATTGTGTCTAGGAAGTAACTAACTTGTTTTTGATTTTTCAGGCTCATAGGTGGAAGAGACTTGCCTTGTCTCAGATGAGACTTTGGACTGTGGACTTTGAGTTAATGCTGAAGTGAGTTAAGAGTTTGGGGGACTGTTGGGAAGGCATGATTGGTTTTGAAATGTGAGGACATGAGATTTGGGAGGAGCCAGAAGCAGAATGATATTGTTTGGCTGTGTCCCCACCCAAATCTCATCTTGAATTTTAGTTCTTATAATTTCCATGTGTTGTGGGAGGTACCCAATGGGAGTGAATAAGTCTCATGAGATCTGATGGTTTTATAAGGGAAAAACCCTTTCACTTGGTTCTTATTTTCTCTCTTGTCTGCTGCCATGTAAGACATGACTTTCACCTTCTGCCATGATTGTGAGGCCTCCCCAACCACGTGGAACTGTGGGTTCATTAAGCCTCTTTTTCTTTATAAATTACCCAGTCTCAGGTATATCTTTGTCAGCAGTGTGAAAACAGACAAGTACAGATGTCTTTCATTTTGTCTTGCCTGATTGCTCTGGCTAAAACTTCCGGTATTGTGTTGAATAGTAGTAGTGAAAGTGGGCATCCTTGTCTTGTGCCAGTTCTTAGAGGAAAGGCTTTCAGCTTTTCCCCACTTGGTATGATTTTACCTTTAGCTGTGGGTTGGTCATAGATGGCCTTCACTCTGTTGAGGTATGTTTCTTCTATTATGAGTTTGTTGAGAGGTTTTATTATGAAGGGTTTTTGAATTTTATCAAATGCTTTTTATGTGTCTATTGAGATGATCATATAGTTTTTGTCCTTTATTCTGTTGATGTGATATATCATGTTTATTTATTTGCATATGTTGTGCATCCTTGCATTCCTGGAATAAATCCCACTTGACCATGTCATATTATCTTTTTCATTGTGCTGCTGAATTTGACTTGCTAGTATTTTGCTGAGGACTTTCCTTCTAATCTCAGTTTAAATATCACAGGAGCATCTCCTCAGAGATAAGACACCTAACTACATTAGAAGGTCATTGATACCATTACCATTAAAATGACAATAAACAGGCTGAGCGCTGTGGCTTATGCCTGTAATTCTAGCACTTTGGGAGACCAAAGCGGGTGGATCACTTGAGCCCGGGAGTTCGAGACCAGCCTTGGCAACATGGTGAAACCCCTTCTCTATAAAAAATACAAAAATTAGCCGGGTGTGGTGTTGAATGTCTGTAGTCCCAGCTACTTGGGAGGCTGAGGTGGTAGGATCATTTGAGCCCAGGAGGTTGAGGCCGCAGTGAGCCATGGTCACGCCACTGCACTCCAGCCTGGGTGACAGAAGTGAGACCCTGTCTCAAAAAATAAATAAATAAATAAATAAAAATAAACATACACTTTCCCTATACTTTGGAATCACACAGGTATTCATAGCTATAGAACCTCAAAATGAAGTTTAGTTTTTGTGTTTTTTAATGTTATGAAAGCTTTGAAATGAGATGATAAACCAAGTGACACACAACTAAATAGACCTCCCAAAACAAACTTTGAGACTGAGTTTGTTTGCAGCCATTCCCATTCCAACATTAGTAGGTATTAAAAACAGAACAAACAAGCTGGGTGTGGTGGCTCATACCTGTAATCCCAGAACTTTGGGAGGCTGAAGTGGGCAGATTGCTTGAGCCCAAAAGTTCAAGACCAGCCTGGGTAACATGGTAAAACCCCATCTCTACAAAAAATACAAAAATTAGCCAAGCATGGTGGCATGCCTGTAGTCCCAGCTACTCAGGAGGCTGAGGTGGGAGGATCATTTGAGCCTACAAGGTGGAGGTTGCAGTGAGCCATGATCACATCACCGCACTCCAGCCTGGGTGACAGAGCAAGACCCTGTCTCAAAAACAACAACAACAAAAACATCCCAAAAACAAAAACAAAAAAAAAAAAAGAAAGAAAAAAATGGTGATAATTCAGGTCAGGTACAAAGCTGATTTGTTTGATATTATATGCTTTTCAAATGATATATATGTGTATGTATGTATATATATATATGCATATGTGTGTGTATATATGTGTATGTGTGTGTTATAAATTTTGTTCTGTAGAATTTTATTACTGCATAAATAATTCTTACCTGCATTTCTACAAAAATATTTTCTTTACAATGCAAAAGCAAATTATGAACTAGAACAAGAATAAAGAAGGTTATTAAGCCATAACAAGAGAAAAAGCATGTTTTATGTTTTGAGGCTAATTGAATCATACAACCTAACTCTACATGCATGCCTAGTTTCTATTTTCCATTCAAACAGCACTACTTAAACATCTGTCTTTTCCCTGTCTGTTCCACTGAGCATACCTGTTCTATATTTATGGTACTTTTAAATATCTTGGCAGAAATCATGTCAATGAGAATGTGCTGGTTAATTTCCAGAAAAAGAAAGATAAAAAAAAACACAGATTGTTCTTAACTATCCAGCTTTTTCCCCCAAATCATTTGTTTGAGAAAAATATTTCACCTGACGTTGTCAAAATCTTGTTCTTTCAAGTGGAATTAAAGTTTGCAAAATTTGTCCAGGCACAGTGGCTCATGCCTGTAATCCCAGCACTTTGGGAGGCCAAGGTGGGTGGATAGCTTGAAGTCAGGAGTTCCTGCCTCTAATCTCAGCTACTCAGGAGGCTGAGGCAGGAGAATCACTTGAACCTGGCGGGGCCAAAGTTGCAGTGAGCTGAGATCACACCACTGTACTCCAGCCTGGGCAACAGAGAGAGACCCTGTCTCAAAAAAAAAAATAGCTTTGCAAAATTCAAGGCTACTCTGGAAAATACAAATATATTCTCAGCAATTACATGTAAGTAAAAAATCTTTATTGTTAACAAATTATATTTTTGATGAATTTTTAAAATTTGAGCACAATACTATTTCATTGTATTTGGCCATTATTTACAACACTTTGGCTCTGAATTCTGGCTCCACCACTCCATCACAGGTTAATTGATGAGTAATCTTCAGCAAGTTAGGTAACCTCTAGCAATTTCTTCCTCCAGAATAACAGAAATAATATTAACTTTCTCAGAATTGTTACAAAGAGTAAAAGAGATGGGATATAGAAAGCACTTAATATAGAACCTGGCATATAGTAACATTCAATAAATTCTTCAGTAGGCTTTGCTATAGGTTGAAGTCTGCTCAAAAGATAGCTAATCAAGGTTTTATGCGAAGTAAAGTAATTCCTCGTAGCATAAGAATCAGTTCTTCCTCAGTCTTAGAAATACGATGGCTGGGGAGCCCTACTGGACTTTGATAATATAATAACTAAGACAACACTTAACAAAGAAACAGAAAACCTGCCCAAACCCTTCCAACTTTATCCATACACCAAATTTTTTTCTGTTTGGCAGGGAACATAATTTGAATTTCACAGGAGTATAACAGAACTACATAACAAAATAAATGACTTCTGCTGTTAGGTAAACTGCTGCTCTATTTCAATTGCTTTGGATGCTTCATTAATATGGGGCTGAAACTGCTAATTCATTTTATCCCTGTGATTGGTAGTGGCCAACAAGAGTAGTATCACTGTGTTGAAAGAAATTGTAAAGTGATAGATAATATCCCCTTGCTGTAGTTGAGATTCTTGCTTTTGGTTTGTGAGGTACCAGGTTTAAATTATAGCCCTTTCTTTCTGCTGGACGCTCATGGCAAAGATTGAATGTAACTTGCCTTTGAACCTTCAGTTTAATTCCTAGCATATCAATCATGATATGTGGTTGTTGATCTGAGCTGCACCACATCATATCTCAGTCCTCCTCCTTGTCTTTTCTGTTGTATCACCAGGGCTTTGTGTTGGCATGAGCAAGAATAGTATGAAGGTAACACTAAGCCCAAAGCTACAGAGAATGGTCTTTTATTAACTCATAGATATTGGGGGTTTACGATTCTCCCTCTTCCCTTCCCCCACAGAATGGCATATGAGGACGTCTGGTGTTATATTATCTCAGCTACTCAGCTACTTTACATAACCTTAAATTGGCCCTTCAGGCCACCAGAGAACCGAATTGACTCTCATAAGCAAGGAAGCTGTTCATGTGGGAAGTGTTATTCCCATGGGATCTTTTGCAGAACTGTTCAAATTTAAACAATATATCTGGGGAAAATAAAGAATGTGGGAAAGAAATATAGTAAATTGTTCCTGCATGTTTGTATAATTTCTGCTTTTTGGCCAAAAGGAGTAATATGTAATCAATGGTTTTACGTTTTTTTGGCACTTGGTCCTGAGCCAAATTGAAAAATAGCTCCTCTCCCACTGAGGATTATTCTAAGGCTTTAGTGTCTCCTTTGTGTTGTGAGAACCACAACCCAGGATGTTTCCCTTGTTGGGAAATGGGGAGAGTGGACGTGCAGACCTGAGCGCTGTGGCCTGGTCATTAACACTCACCAGCTGTGTCAAGACATGTGATCTCAAAATAAAAGTCATGCAGAACATCCTCAAGCCTCAAAAGTCACTCGACTAACACTGGGGCATGAGAGAGAAAAGAACTTTCTGAGACTCTGAGTTATAGCTTAAGTGCCAAGGGAACACTTTCCCTGGTGGTATTTCCACAAAACGGGTATGGGGAGAATCTGGGCTCCGTTTGATCATTAGCCGTCTCCAGAAAGCAGGGGTGGGGAGCAGATGTGTGAGTTAGGCGACTTCATTTCATTTCAAAACAACAGATGACCCTTGCATGCACTTTACTTATGTTTTGCCCTTTGAGTCATTATCATCCGGAGGCTGGGACCGGAAGCAGAATCTACTTCAGACAGAAGAACTTTGTTCTATTTTTTTTTTCCCATCCAAGTTTAGGAGAGGAGATAGATAGGTTAATTTTTTATGGGAATCAACCCAAAATCTAGCTTGGCTGCCAGAGTGGTCAGAATAATCAAATTGACTATGTCCCGGTCAGGTTGATTTTATTACATAGATTACTTTGCTTTGTCCTTAATGATGGAACTAAAGAGTTGAATGTACAGTAAGACTTGAAAAACACTATCTTCAGTTATCCAGATATAGAGTATGAAGGGACCTAACATCAGTGTTTCTTTTTAATCTATCTCTTATCTAAATCAAAATAAAATAAAATAAAATTGATCCTGGACCAAGGTTGAAATTGGAGGTGGGTCTAGAAGTTGATTGAGGTCTCTCTGGGCTATAAATGTTCATAAATCACCGGTTTGTCTATCTGATTTTTTATTACCTGTACTTGGCCTTGGCACAACAAATACATTCTGTTAAAGATTTAAATATATTTCCTCTTAAAGAATAGTGAGGCAGAATCATGTCATTAATGACCATGAGCTTAGGAAACAAAACTGGATTTGAATCCCAACTGTGCTCCCAAGTAGTATGTGACGGTGGCCAAGTAATTATATGTTCCCAAGCCAAAACCTCCAAGTCAGGAGAATTAGGGCAATACCTACATCCCAGAGTTGCAAGGAGTAAATGATAATATGTATGTGAAAGACTTGTATGTTAATAGCCTGATTAATGTCAATTTCCTTTCTTACTGGGCAATCTAGATATTCAATATATTAAATATTTCTCAAACCTTAGACACTTTCTTATTATACCTTAAACTGTGTGAATTATATTTTTAACTAGGCCAGCTGTATAATATTTTGAAATTTCATTCTAGTTAAGTCCACCACTGGTTCAATCAGCTTTAAAGGAAAAAACAACTATTATATCAGTGAATCATCCTTAAAAATCCAAGTGATCATTTCTAAATTAACAATCTAAGCAATCTTTAGAGACCCTGAATACTGAAAATGTATGGTGCACTATCTTCCCAGCATTCATTCATTTATTCATCATTTAATAAGTATTTATTGATTACCTACAATATTTATTGATTACCTACAATTAGGCATTGTCCTAATCACTAACAGAGGAGTGATTCAAAAAGACAATCTCTGTTCATATGAAGCTTATATTTTAGTGCAGAAAATAATAAATATAATAAGCCATTATATAATTCCTATATTAGTTATAAATGTATCTATATTATTTCTAAAATATATTTATATTTTTATATACTATATAAAAATGATATATACATTATACCAAAGATGATATATTATTTGGAGAAAATAGAGAGTAGGGTAAGAGAGATGGGATGCTGGGGCCAGTGACAAAGTTTGAAACTGTAAGTAGTAACTTCACTATACCCCTCAATGTGAGAGGAGAAGAGAACAAGGAGGGGAGAGAGCAAGCCACAGAAAGAGTAAGAGGATGGCCATGCACAGTGGCTCACGCCTGTAATCCCAGCCCTTTGGGATGCCAAGGCGGGCAGATCACCTGAGGTCAGGAGGTCGAGATCAGCCTGGCCAACATGGTAAAACGCCGTTTCTACTAAAAATACAAAAATTAGCCAGGCGTGGTGGCCTGTAATCCCAGCTACTCGGGAGGCTGAGGCAGGAGGATCACTTGAACCTGGGAGGCAGAGGTTGCAGTGCCTAAGATTGTACCACTGCACTCCAGCCTGGGCAACAGAGTGAGTGAGACTCTATCAAAAATAAAATAAATAAATAAGAATAAGAGGAAAGCCTTTCAGGTAAAGGAGACACTTCGTACAAAGGCCCTGAGATAGGAGTGCACCTGCCGTGTTTGTGGAACAATAAGAGAGGCCAGTATAGTTTAAGTGGATGAAATGGAGTGAGAGAGGGGAAGAGCAGTAAGAGATGAGCTTAAAGAGGTAATGAGGACTAGGTCATGTTAGACCTTAGAGTATATTCCAAGGACTTTGATTTTTATTCTGCATGAAAAGTGGAGTCACTACAGAATTTTGAGCAAGGATGAAATAAACTGACTTCCATTTTGAGAGCAACTCTGGCTGCTGTGTTGAAAGTGGATTGTAAGGCAGTCAGGATGGAGGTTGAGAGGCTAGTTGGAGGGCTAGTGCAATGACTCAAGTGAAATGTGATAATTGATTGGATGGTAGGAACAGTGGAGATAGTGAGAAGTGGTCAGATTCTGGGTATATGTGGAAGGTACAGTCAACAGGACTTCCTGGCAGGTTGAAAATAAGAGTCAAGAATGCTTTCAATGGTTTTGGCCTGAGCAATGGAAAATATATGTAGTTAACATTACCTGAGCTGAATAAGACTGAGGTGGAGGAGGTTTGGTGGTGGGGAAAAAAATCTGGGCACATTTAATTTGAGATGTTAATTAGGTATCCAAGTAGAATTGCCAAGTAGGCAGTTGAATTTATGTCTGGAATTCAGAGAGGAGGTCTAGGCTAGAGATATACATTTGGGAATCTTCGCCATAAGAATGATGGTACACAGAGGCTACCATAACACATCTCATGATTTTGTGGAACTTAAATGTGACTTGATTTGCAATCAGATTCTCCTTAAAATACTGTAATAGCTCCTTTCACACAACTGAAGCTTTTGAACTCCACTTAAAATATGAAAATTTTACTTATATTTAAAACCATAAATCTGGATGATATCAGTGAGGCAATGAGTATGGATAAGAAAAAAGTTGATCAAGAACCGATCTCTGGGGCATTCAACATTAGAAGATTCAGGGGAAGTCAAAAAAGCAAAGAAAACAGAGAAGGACCAGTCAGTGATGTAGAATGAATACTAGAAGGGTGTGGTGTCCTAAAAGCTAAGGGAGGAAAAAAAAGATGTTTTCAGGAGAAAAGAGTAGGGCCGGGAGCAATGGCTCACACCTGTAATCCCAGCACTTTGGGGGGCCGAGGCAGGTGGATCACTTGAGGTCAGCAGTTCAAGACCAGCTTGGCCAACATGGTGAAACCCTGTCTTTACTAAAAATACAAAAAATTAGCCAAGTGTGGTGGCGGGCACCTGTAGTCCCAGCTACTGGAGAGGAAGAGGTGGAAGGATCACTTGGGCCTGGGAGGCGGAGGTTGCAGTGAGCCAAGATCGTGCCACTGCATTCCAGTCTGGAAAATAGAGACTGTCACAAAAAAAAAAAAAAAAAAAAAAAAAGAGTAATCTGCTGTGTGTGAAATACTGTTGATATGTCAAACATCATGAGGCCTGAGAATTGAAAACTGGATTTAGCAACATGGAGGTCAGTGGTAACGTTTTTTTAAAGCACCATTAAAAATTCAAAGTAAAAAAAAAATCATAATAAATATTAAGAAGACCAACAAAATTCTAATTTTGACATTAAATCTACTTTGTTTTTCTTTCTTTCTTTCTTTTTTTGAGACCGTCTCACTCTATCACCTAGGCTGGAGTAAGTGACATCATCATGACTAGCGATTGAGCTCCTAGGCTCCTAGGGACTACAGACACATGTCACCACACCTGACTAATTTATTTATTTTTATTTTTTTGTAGAGATTGGATCCCATTATGTTTCCCAGGCTGGTCTCGGACTTCTGACCTCAAGCTATCCTCCTGCCTTGGCCTCCCAAACTGCATAGCTTATGGGCATGTGCCACCATGCCTGGCCTGATTTCCTTTTAAAAAATCAGTATTTAAAAATTGAGGGAAAGGTAGCTCATTTGTCAGTGCCTAAGGAATATACTCAGTCTTTATTTTGGATAATGTAATACTGAAATGATTGACTCATTAAAATTATTCACTATACTAAATTAAACAATAATTTGGTATTGGAGTATCAGTAACATAATATTTTTCTACTGTCTCACAGACAGACACGCACACACCCTTAATAGCTATAACTGAAAGTATTTCAAATAAATTTTGGATATACATTCTAAATATATCAGAAATATATTTCTAGGCATTAGACAATGGTCCATTTTCCGAACAACATTAAGCGCAACAACTTCAAGTATTAAATACAAATTACGTGTCGGAGTTTATTATAAATTAATTTGGTCTCTAATGAATGCATACTTATAGTGCCACCTACTGTCTGGTAGTAAAATTATAACATCAATCATCCATACAGGTGAATTAAGATAAAGAAATAAAATACATAATCCTCTTATTATCAGTAATCTCTTTTTGGAAATCAGACATTCTGTGCGACAACACTAACTTAGAGAACATATCACATTATTTCAATGAGGAAAAAGTATAACATATTACTTATCAACCTGCAACTCCTACCAATTTTATAAAATATATGAAAGCCCACTAAAGCATACACACACACACACACACACACACACACACACACACAACGAATCATTACGTTAGGATGTAAATGCTTAAAACATTACTTTTTGATTACCAATTACGATAGTTTTTAGTAAACAGCGGTTTCGTAGTGTGTGGTAACATTTGTTGACCATTGACATATATTCCAAAAGTCTACCAGTGATTGCAATTTTATTTGTGATGTTACTTTAGGCATTTTCCCTAATCATTTTTTTAAATATTTATATCTACTATAATGCTATAGAGTTACCTGTAGGGTCTATCATTATACTTAAAAATGTAAGGTAGAAAACATTGGCCATAATCTATCATTTATTTAAGAAAAAGGGGAAAATATTATAATATACAGTGACCTTTGAGCAGCATGTGTTTGAACCGCAGGAATCCACTTAATGCATGGATTTTCTCTTCCCCTGCCATTTCTGAGATAGCAAAACCAGCCCTTTCTCTTCCTGTTCCTCCTCAGTCTACTCAACATAAAGACAATGAGGATTAAGACCTTTCTGCTGATCCACTTTCACTTAATAAACAGTAAATGTATTTTCTCTTCCTTATGATTTTCTTTCACATTTCCTTTTCTCTTGCTTACTTTTTTGTAAGAATACAATATACAATATATAGAATATACAAAATATGTGTTAATCAACCATCTGTGTTCTTGATGGTTTAAGGCTTCTGGTCAACAGTAGGCTATTAGTAATTAAGTTTTGAAGGAGACAAAAATTATGCTTGGATTTCTCACTGCATGGGGGATCTGCATTCCTAACCCCCACATTGTGCAAGGGTCAATTATCTATATATAGTTATATAAATACATAAGTATATATAGTTATATGTGTGTTAAGTGGTATCCCATAGAAGGATAAGGAGACTCGAGCAGAGAAAAAAAAAATTGAAACAAGGCTTCCTTAAATATACCTTGCTTAGTAGATTCAACTACATAATTATAAAGCACGATTAAATAGGACAAGCAATTCAATTAAATACAGTGAAAGAAATTAAAAGCTGTATGGGGTTTTAGCAATGTAAATAGAAAATATGTAAACTAGCAGAAAAAAATTGCAATAAGGAATAAATATGTTCTATGAAGTTAGGGTATGGAACACCAACAGCCATTTTTAATAGGAAATTGTTGAATAGGGGGAGTTCTGTGGGGGCCTGTGGACTTTGGCACATTGAGAAGAGTAAGGACTAAATTTCTATTAACTAATGTCTGTATGTTGCACAGACTTGTCACATCTTTGATAGACAACAACCTGACCTGGATTCAAATATTATCACCTAATTTCAGATATTCACAAGCTTTAACAAAATTTTATATTCAACATTTTCTCACCTTATGCTCCCTTTTTAAAATTCCCTTTAAAATTACACAAAGATATTTTGTTTGATAAGATGACTTTAATTTTTAAACTACTAGGATATAAACCTTTGTGTTTTCATAATACAAGGTCATTGTTTGGCTCTTTTATTTTTCTTTGGGTTTTAAGTGCTCTGCATCTACAACCAAGTTAAGTGTCATTTTACCTGTCAACATTCTAATTATTCTACAATAAGTTTACAGAATAACTGGTAAACATTAAAGATGTGAAGTTAGTAAAATATCTTTATGCAGCTGAACGCGGTGGCTCATGCCTGTAGTCCTAGCACTTTGGGAGGCTGAGGCAGACAGATCGCTTGAGGTCAGGAGTTCAAGACCAGTCTGGCCAACATGGTGAAACCCCGTCTCTACTAATAGAAAAATTAGCCAGGTATGGTGGTGCCTGTCTGTAATCCTGGCTACTCCAGAAGCTGAGGAAGGAAAATCACCTGAACCCAGGAGATGGAGGTTACAGTGAGCCAAAATCATGCTGCAGCACTCCAGCCTGGGCGACAGAGCGAGACTCTTGTCTCAAAACAAACAAACAAAAAACCTTTAGGCTTTCCTCTGTTCCTTCCTCGCCTCTATACTTGCATTTGTTTAGTCATTCAGCAAATATTTATTGAATTCCTGCTACATGCAGGCTCTGGGTGTGCAATGGTGACACATGCAGGCTCTGGGTGTGCAGTGGTGACACATGCAAGCTCTGGGTGTGCAGTGGTGAGCAAACCTTGGTGCCATGAAACGAAGTGTGAATCATAGGAATAGAAATGGCAAGGAGGAAACAAAGACAGAAAGTATATATGCAGAAGGTCTCAGCAGGTTTTCATTTTATTTTAACCAGTTATTCTTCGGCCCATAGTAATACTCCATTGTGTTAAAAAGAAAGATGAACTCTCAAATTCACTGTGTCCTCAAATTCACTTAGTAGGCAAAGAAAAAGAGGCCTTGAAGGAAGAGGGCCAGAGAGAGAAAAGGGTAGTGATGAGAGAGAAATAAAACCACCTGTAGTATCTGATAGCATAAATTTTCCTGTCCCATCCCATCAATATCTGTTAAAATTCCCATATCTTTGTAGGGCTTATTTCAAAAGCCCATATAATCCTTGAAGTCTTTTCTGATCCTCCAAACTTGATGTAATTTCTCTGAACTCGATGTAATTTGTTTCTCCCTTTAAACAGCCAAACTCTATTATTCGTCTTTTGGTACTTAGGTTTCTCCGCTTATCTTCTGTTAAATCTGTTTGTATAATGCCCTTCAATAATTCCTTTAGTAGAGAAACTGTCTCTTATTCACGCTAGTGTCTTCTACATAACATGAGCTTAATAAATGTTGATTTGATTGAACCTTAAAAAGTTATAATTCATCTGCCTATAAGCAAGTTACTCAAATCAAACTGACTTGTTTACCACCTATTGTCATCACACAGCTTGGAATGTAAACGTCCTCATTTCAAAACTGTGTACACTCACACACATATATACATGTATGGTCACATATATTTATAAAATTATATATTTGTATTTATTTAGTGAAATGTTTCAGTCTATATGCTATTCTATTGCATTTCCTAAGGGATCTCTTTAAATTTGAAAGGTTACTTCTTCAGCACTTCCAAACTGATCTCTTTTAAATAAATAAAATCATTTTCCAGGTTACTGAGCTATTTTTCATCTTCAATTCGTAACCTTTTATATGAAAGTAAAAGTTATGATAAAAATTCTTTGTTCATTTGAAACCTCATAGGATATAACCCCCCAACACTGTGTGAGGTCTACAAAAGAGTATTTGTGATTGAAAGATCAAATCAAAAGGAGACAACAAAGGTAAAAGTAACATTTACGCAATTTTGTTTACTTAGCAAAGTGAACAATGTTACAAAATCTGTCATGTCATTCAGGAATTGAGCATAATGCAATAATGACGTTTTGTAGTCATCTCCGGGGAAGGCTTCTTTCCAAATTTTCTGAAAATAAAATGCCTATGAATTAATTTAACACAGACCCAAAAGAAAGTAGCAGGTTACAATGTAGGTAGCCAGAGAAACAGTCCAGGCTATTAGAAGAACCATTAAGATGCTTAGTGCTAGAACCCAAAAGGTTCAAAATAGATTTAGAATAAGAATCATGGCGACTAAGGTACCAGACATATAAAATATGACACCAGAACAAATGCTTCCTACAGGTACTCCTTTGATTCACCTCTATAGTGGAGACAAACATCTACTCAAGCAATAGTTTTTGTTAGGATTTTTAATCTTCATTAAAAGATTATTACAAATAACTGATAAGAGTAGTTTAGCATGTAGGTAGTAAATTAAGGCAAAATAGTAGCATGATTGTTAATTTTATTTGTCAATATAATGGGGCTAAGTGGTGCTCAAACAGCTGGTAAAATATTATCTGTGTGTCTGTGAGGATACTTCTGGGATAATCTGAATCAGCAGACTGAGTAAAGATCACCCTTAGCAATGTGGGGGTTATCCTCCAATCCATTGAGGGCCTGAATACAACATAAAGTTGGACCAGATCAAGTTTATTGATATGGGCCCACTAAGCAGATTCTGCATTTAATGTTGCAGCTACAGAAATCTGTATAAGTAATGAGGAGCCAAGTGTTAATCGCCAAGAAAGTGGGGAAAATGTCTCCAGGGCATGTCACAGATCTTTGCAGCTGCCCCTCCCATTGCAGGCCTGGAGGCCAAGAAGGAAAAAAATGGTTTTATTGGCCCCCTTGCTGTGTGCAGCATAGAGACTTAGTGCCCTGCATCCTAGCCACTCTAGCCATGGCTAAAAGGGATCAAGGTACAGCTTGGGCCATGGCTTCAGAGGGTGCAAGCCCCAAACCTTGGCAGCTTCCATGTGGTATTAAGCCTGTAGGTGCACAGAAGTCAAGAATTGGGATTTGGGAACCTCTGCCAAGATTTCAGAGGATGTATGGAAATGCCTGGATGTCCAGGCAGAAGTTTGCTGCAGGGGTGGGGCCCTCATGGAGAACCTCTGATAGGGGAGGGCAGAAGAGAAATGTGGAGTGGGCACCCCCACACAGAGTCCCCACTGGGGCACTGCCTAATAGAGCTGTGAAAAGAGGGCCACTGTCCTCCAGATCCTAGTATGGTAGATCTGCCAACAGCTTGCACTGTGTGCCTGGAAAAGCAGCAGACACTCAATGCCAGCCCATGAAAGCAGCCAGGAGGGAGGTTGCATTCTGCAAAGCCATGGGAGGTGCTGCCCAAGACCACGGGAACCCACATCTTGCAGCAATGTGACCTGGATGTGAGACATGGAGTCAAAGGAGATCATTTTGGAGCTTTAAGATTTGACTGCCTTGCTGGATTTCAGACTTACATGGGGCCTGTTGTTCCTTTGTTTTGGCCAGTTTCTCCCATTTGGAACAGCTGTATTTATGCCTGTACCTCCATTGTACCTAGGAAGTAACTAACTTGCTTTTGATTTTACAGGCTTATAGGTGGAAAGGACTTGCCTTGTCTAAGATGAGACTTTGGGCTGTGAACTTTGAGTTAATACTGAAATGAGTTAAGACATTGGGGGACTGTTGGGAAGGCATGATTGGTTTTTAAATGTGAGGATATGAGATTTGTGAGGGGCCAAGGATGGAATGATGTGGTCTGGCTCTGTCCCCACCTAAATCTCATCTTTAATTGTAGCTTCCAGAATTCCCACATGTTGTGGGAGGGACCTGGTGGGAGATAATTGAATCATGGGGGCAGTTTCCCCATACTGTTCTAGTGGTAGTGAATAAGTCTCATGAGATCTGATGATTTTATAAGGGGAAACCTCTTTCACTAGGATCTCATTCTGTCTCTTGCCTGCCAGCATGTTAGACGTGACTTTTGCCTCCCACCATGATTGTGAGGCATCCTCAGCCACGTGGAATTGTGAGTCCATTAAACCTCTTTTTCTTTATAAATTACCCAGTCTCAGGTATGTCCTGATCAGCAGCATAAAAGTGCACTAATATAGCCAGGCAGGTCTTGAACTCCTGACTTCAAGTAATCTGCCCACCTCTGCCTCCCAATGTCCTGAGATTACAGGCATGAGCCACCATGCCTGGCTATGTGATGGTTAATTTTATGCGTTAACTGGGCTAAGGAATGCTCAGATAGCTTGTAAAACATTATTCCTGGGCTTGTCTGTGAAAGCATTTCTAGAAAAGATTAGAATTTGAATCAATAGACTGAATAAAGATCACCCTCACTAATGTGGGTGGGCATCATCTAATTTTTTAGGGCCTACAAACAGAACAAAAAAGCAGAAGCAGGGTTAATTTTCCCTCTGCTTCAGCTGGGACATCCTCTTTTCAGACATCAGTGCTCCTGGGACTTAAACTATTGGCTCCATTCTCAGGCCTTTGTGTTTGGACAGAGACAAAATCACAGGTTTTTCAGGGTCTCCAGCTTACAGATATCAGATGGACTTTTCAGACTCCATAGTAATATAGGCCAATTCCTCATAATAAGTATTTTTCTATTTCTTATGGTAGCAATATTTATAATAGTAAAGACATGGAAACAAAACAAATGTTCATGAAGAGTTCACTGGACAGAGAAAATGTAGTATACACTGCAATGGAATGTTAATCAGCCTTTTTAAAAAAGGAGGGAATCCTACCATTTGTGACATCACAGAAAAACCTAGAGGTTATTACACTACATGAAATAAGCCAGTCACAAAAAGACAAATGCTCATGATTTCACTTATATAGGGTACCTGAAATAATCAAACTCATAAAAGCAAAGAATAAGTGGTGATTGCCAGGGGGTGGGGAAAGGGAAAATGGGAAATTATTTTCAATAGGTATAAAGGTACAAAGTTGTAATAGGTATAAAGTTTTAGTCATGCTAGATAAATAAGTCCTAGAGATCTTGTGTACAACATAGTGCCATAGTTAACAATACAGTATTGTGCACTTTAAAATGTGTTGAGGATAGATCTTATGTTAAGTGTTCTTACCAAAACACACACACACACACACACACACACACACACACACACTTTTGGAGGTGATGGATATATTCAGTACCTTGGTTTTGGTGATGATATCACAGTTTTATGCATACATTCACATTCATCAAATCGTATACATTAAATATGTGCATTTTTGTATATCAAATATACCTCATTAAAGCGTTTAAAAACACTGATATGATACTAAAATATATTCACATTGAAAAATATTAAAAATAAATGCAAACCATTCTGTTATATAATGAATACTTAAAATTATTAGCATTATTAAGTATTTGCATGTTTAATTAAAGATTATATTTTATTATTATGGGTCTAAGTAAGCCAAAATTAAATAGGCCAGGCAGAATAAACATTCTCAAGTAATCCAAGGTTTTTCTATGCCTCATCAACTTGCAGAGGATTATAATTTTAGAGCAAGCAGTTATTTTATATATCAGCAAACACATGAGGAAACTTTTATGCAAATGCTGAAGGAAAAGTTTATAGTGCTAAATGCCCACATCAAAAAGTCTGACAAATCACAAACTGACAACCTAACAGCATACCTCAAGGAACTAGAAAAACGAGAACAAACCGAAACCCAAAGCTAGTAGAAGGAAAGAAATAAAAAATATCAGAGCAGAACTCAATGAAATTGTAACCAAGAAATAATACAAAAGATTAATGAAGCAAGGAGTTTATTCCTTGAAAAGATAAACAAACTGACAGACCATTAGCTAGATTAACCAAGAAAAGAAGAGAGAAGTTTCAAATAAGTTCAATTAGAAATGAAAATGTAGACATTATGACCAACACTACAGACATACAAAATATCATTCGAGCCTACTATGAATACCTCTATGCATACAAACTGAAAAATCTAGAGGAAATGGATAAATTCCTGGAAACATACAACCCTCCTAGCTTGAATCAGGAAGAAATAAAAACCTTGAACAGACCAGTAACAAGCAATGAGATTGAATCAGTAATTTAAAAATTGTCACAACAACTAAAAAAGTCTAGGGCCATACAGATTCACAGCCAAACTCTACCAGACGTTTAAGAAAAATTGGTACTGATCTTACTGAAACTATTCCAAAAGACTGAGAAAAAGAGAATCCCTTCATTCTATGAAGTTTTACTCTGATACCAAAGCCAGGAAAGGACATAACAAAAAAAAGAAAGCTACAGAACACACTAATATCCCCGATGAACATGGATGAAAAAATCTTCAATAAAATACTAGCAAACTGAATCCAACAGCACATCAACAAGATAATACAACATGATCAAGTGGGTTTCATCCCAGGAATGCAGGGAGGGTTCAACATATTCAGCTCAATAAATATGATTCATCACATAAACAGAAGTAAAAACAGAAACCATATAATCATCTCAATAGATGCAGAAAAAGTATTCAATAAAATCTAGTTTCATTTTCTGATAAAAAAAAAACCTCAACAAACTAGGAATAGGAGGAAAATAACTCAAAATAATAAAAGCCATGTATGACAGACTCACAACCAACATCATACTGAGTGGGGAAAGGTTGAAAGCATTCCCCCTAAAAACTGGAACAAGACAAGGATGCCCACTTTTACCACTTATTTTCAACATATTACTGGAAGTCTTAGCCAGGGAATCGGGCAAGAGAAAGAAATAAATGGAATCTAAGTTGGAAAAGATGAAGTCAAATTATATGTTTGCTGATGATATGATCATATACCTATAGAATCCTAAAAACTCTTCCAAAAGACTCCTAGATTTGATAAAGGGATTCAATAAAGTACCAGATTACAAAATCAATGTATGCAAATTAGCAGCACTGCAATACATCAATAATGACCAAGCTGAGAATCAAATAAAAAACTTAGCTCCTTTTACAATAGCTGGAAAAATAAAATAAAACAGAATACCTAGGAATATACTAAGCCAAGGAGGTAAAAGATCTTTACAAGCAGAACTACAAAACACTGCCAAAAGAAATCACAGATGACACAAACAAATGGAAATACATACCATGCTCATGGATTAGAAGGATCGATATTGCAAAAATGACCATGCTGCCCAAAGCAACCTATGGATTCAATGCAATTCCTAGCAAACTACCAAAATCATTTTTCTTGAAATTAGAAAAAACAATCCAAAAATTTATATGGAACCCCAAAAAAGAGCCCAGATAGCCAAAGCAATCCTAAGCAAAAAGAACAAACTTGGAGGCGTCACATTACCCAACTACAAATTATACTATAAGGCTATAGTAACCAAATCAACATGATACTGGTATAAATGTAGATACACAGACCAATGGAACAGAAAAAAGAGAATGCAGAAATAGAGCCAAATACTTATAACCAACAGATCTTTGACAAAGCATGCAGAAACATAAATTGGGGAAACGACACCCTATTCAATAAATGGTTTTGGGAAAACTGGATAGCCATCTGTGGAAGAATTAAACTAGATCCCTATCTATCACCATATACAAAAGTTAACTCAAGATTGATAAAAGATTTAAATCTAAGATCTGACACCATAAAAATTCTAGAAGAAAATCAAAAAAACTCTTCTGGACATTGGCCTAGAGCAATAATTTATTACTAAGACCCCAAAAGCAAGTACAACAAAAATAAAAATAAATAAATGCGATCTGATTAAATGAAAATGCTTCTGCACAGGAAAAGAAATAATCATCAAAGTATACAGACAACCCACAGAAAGGGAGAAAATATTTGCAAACTATACATCTGGCAAAGGACTAATATTTAGAATCTACAAGGAACTCGAACAAATTAGCAAGGAAAAAATCCCATCAAAAAGTGGGCAAATCATATGAATAAATATTTCTCAAAATAAGACATACAAATGGCCGAAAAACATATAAAAAAATCAACATCACTAATTATCAGGGAAATGCAAATTAAAAGCCCAACGAGATGCCACCTTACTCCAGCCAGAATGGCTATTAATAAAAAGTCAAAAAATAATAGATGTTGGCATGGATGTGGTAAAAAAAAAAAAAAAAAAAAAATGGAACACTTATGCTCTGCTGGTAGGAATGTAGATTAGTACAAACTCCGCAACGAAAAGCAGTATGGAGGTTTCTTGAAGAACTAAAAGTAGATCTACCATTTTATCCAGCAGTATCAAAGGAAAAAGAAAAGAAGTCATTACATCAAGAAGACACCTATATGCACATATTCATCACAGCACAATCCACAATAGCAAAGATGTTGAACCAAGCTAAGTGCCCATCAACCAGTGAGTGAATAAATAAAATGTGGTGTGTAGACACCATGGAATACTAGTCAGCCATAAAAAGAATCACATTATATTTTCACTATAAGTGGGAATGCAGAGGCATACAGAGTGGTATAATGGACATTGGAGACTCAGAAAGGGGGAGAAGAGGAGTGGGTGAGGAATTAAAAAAACATATATGGGTACAATGTAGACTACTCAGGTAACTAGTGCAGTAAAATCACGGACTTTACCACTGTATAATTCATCCATGTAACCAAAAGCCACTGTACCCCTAAAGCTATCAAAATTTTTTTTAAAAAGAGAAAGAGACTTGGCCAAATTATCAAAGCTGGGTAAGTTAAGAACCAGGACAAAGTATTGAATTGATATTGAGGTGATGAAGCTAAAATATGACATTTGACTGAGTTTTAAGTTCTCTTTTTTAACCAGTTTTATTAAGGTGTAATTGACAAATGAAAATGATATATATTCAAAGTGTACAAAATGATGCTTTGATATATGTATACACTGTGAAATGATTACTGCAATAAAGCAAATTAACATATTCATCAAATTTGGGTCTGGGTAAGGGAATTAAGAAGGAAAACTTGGTATGATAAACATGCAAGAGTAGCATAAGGGACGGAGTCTGCATGTCTTGTTCCAATGGCTATCTTGAGTTATTGTCAGTCTGGTACACACTTGTATCATCTTGACAATGGCTGTGTTGTTAATGAACCAGCCTGAGGTAATCTCTAGATGGGGAGGATTCCACAGCCGGATCTCCATGCTGGGTTTATTTCAAGATTAGCCCCTGTCATTTCTAAACAAGTACATAATTAGATAAACTAGCCCAGTGCAAAAAGTACCCAGTGGGAGGGGAGGGAAATAAAAGGCTTCAAAGAACATTCCAAGGCCAGAGAGAAGAAAAGAAGCATTTTAAAATGAATTATGAAGCTAAGTTACTTGGTTATGTTATTATGCATTATAAATTGAAATTCAATGGAATACTTAAAAATATTTTATTAGTAAAATCAAAATTACAAAAATCTTTAAATAAATACAGATTAAAGCCAGGCATGGTGGCTCATACCTGTAATTCCAACACTTGGAGGCCAAGGCAGGCAGATCTCTTGACTCCAGGAGTTCAAGACACCTGGATATCATGGTGAAACCCCATCTCTACAAAAAAAAAATGATACAGAAGGGGGTCAGGGAAGTGCTGGGTAGAGAGGGTGAGGTCTCTGGCAAGCAGTCCACACTTGGGCCTGTGCCAACAGACTTAAGTGAGAACAGGCACTCCTGTTTTCATGCCCAAATGTTGCATTTTCCAAGACCATTCTGGCCTACCATGCCCCCCATCCTATGCCCATATAAACCCAAGACCTTAGTGGGCACACATGCAAGTGGCTGAACATCGAGACCAGCAGGCCAGCAGACCAGACATGGCAGAATGACATGACAAGAAAGAGAGAAGAGGAGGGATGTCTGGATGCTGAGGGGAGTTTGGCTGGGGGTGTTCATAGAAGAGTCTGGCCACTGGGCAGCCCGACTCCAAGGAAAGACCACCATCCCACTCCACCCCTGCTTCTGGCTTCCCATACTTCTCATTGAGAGCCACCTCCACTACTCAATAAAGCCTTGCACTCATCCTTTAAGCCCATGTATGGTCCAATTCTTTTGGGACACTGGGCAAGAGCTCAGGATACCGAAGGCTGTCACACTGGCCCTCTGCCCTTGTGATAAGGCAGAAGGTCCATTGAGCTGATTAACATACAGGCTGTCTGCAGGCAGGAAATCTGAAAGAGCCATGCCCATGCCCACTTGGGCTTCTGGAATTGCAGACACCCACCCCTAGACACTGCCATGGGGCCAGAGCCCAAAAGCACTTGCCCTGGCCTCTGCACCTGCCTGTCTGCATGCTCTCCCTACCCACTACGGGTTTGAGCTTTGGGGCAACCAAGCAGGTGAGCCACACCCCTGTCACATGCCCTGAGAGGGGAATAAAAAGCTCTTCTGTTTCAAAAATACAAAAAAAATTAGTAGGGTGTGGTGGTGCATGCCTGTAGTCCCAGCCACTCAGGAGACTGAGGTGGGAGGATCACCCCAACCTGAGGCCGAGGCTGCAGTGAGCTGAGATCATGCTAGTGCACTCCAGCCTGGGTGACAGAGTGAGACCCTGTCTCAAAAAATAAAACAATAAATATAGATTTGTTGCTTTCAAAGACTACAATTACTATAAATTAAATATTGCTATGGCTTAATTAAATGTTTATGTCCCCTCAAAATCCATATATTGAATTCCTGCCAAGCTGTCTCTTGTGGAGAAAATCTACAATCTGAAGAGAATCCCCTTTTTTTTGAGGTCTTTTTCCCTGATTCAGGAGAAAATTAACTAACAGTTTGGCTCCCTTTTAAGTCTGATAAGAAACACAATCTATTCTCTCTGAAGCCTGCTACCTGGAGTCTTAATTTGCATAAAAAAACTCTTGGTCTCTACAAGCCCTTATCTTAACATAGACACTCAACACTATTGATTCCAGGTCTTTAGATAAACTCTCTCTACCAATTGCCCTGTGAATCCACCTGGAAACTCCCACTTCGAGTTGTCCTGCCTTTTCAGATCAAACCAATGTACATCTTACATGTATTGATTGATGTCTTATGTTTCCCTAAAATGCATAAAACCAAGCTGTAGCCTGACCGCCGTGGGCACATGTTCTCAGGATCTCCTGAGGGCTATGTCACAAGCCATTGGGTGGCCATATTTGGTTCAGAATACATTTCTTCAAATATATTTTTTAAATCTATATATTGAAATTCTAATCACCAAGGTGATGGTATTAGAAGGTCGAGCCTTTGAGAGATGACTAGGTTGTGAGGCTTCTGTCTTCATGAATGGGATTGGTGCACTTATAGCTAGTCCCTTCCACCATATGAGGGTGCGGCGAGAAGACTTCTTCTCTGAGCCAGATGGTCCTCACCAGACACCAAATCCACGGACTCCTTGATCTCAAACTTCCAGCCTCCAGAACTATCAAAAATAAATTTCCATTTTCTTGATGTATTGCATTTTATTATAGCAGCTCTAAAAAAAGTACTTTATATTTGTTTCATATTATTAGAGCTACTATAAAATAGCAATAAAATAAAATTATTTGGTTTTATATGTATATATAAAATTGGTCAGTTATATATATATGAAACAATTTTACATGATTTGAGATATATATTCACACTATATATATAAAATACTTGAATATTTTGGATATATATTTTGGATATATATCCAAAATATTTATATATTTTTATATATATATATATATATTCAAAGTCAAATACAATCAGTAGGGTACACTACAAATATATATTAGCACAACTTACTTAAATTCAAATCAAAGAATCGTATACACTCTGCAAGAACCTGTGTTATGTAATGTGGTTAATATAAGCTGAAAAAGGCATGGCTCCTGTGCTTCAGGAAATCCAAAAGTAATGAGGAAGGCAGACACATACATGGCATGCATAGATGGGTATAACACATAAGTTGAGAAAAGGAAAAAGAAGAATTCCAGATGCGGTGGCTCACACCTGTAATCCTAGGCCTTTGAGAGGCCGAGGCAGGCAGATCACTCGAGCTCAGAAGTTCGAGACCAGCCTGAGCAACATGGTGAGACCCCCATCTCTACTAAAAATGCCAAAAATTAGCCAGGTGTGGTGGTGCACGCCTGTGGTCCCAGTGACTCCAGAGGCTGACGTGACAGAATCGCTTGAGCCCGGGATGCAAATGTTGCAGCCAGCCAAGATCACACCATTGCACTTCAGCCTTGGCAACAGAGTAAGAACCTGTCACAAAAAAAAAAAAAAGAAAGAAAAAGGAAAGAAAAGAAAGAGAGAGAGAGAGAGAAAGGAAGGAAGGAAAGAGAAGGGAAGGAAAGGGAAGGGAAGAGAGGGAGAGAGAAAGAGAGAGAAGGAAGGAAGGAAGGAAGGAAGGAAAGAGAAAGAAAGAAAGAAAGAAAGAGAAAGAAAGAAAGAAAAGAAAAAAACAGAAGGAGGAAGGGAGGAAAGGAAGGAAGGAAGGCAGGAAGGAAGGAAGGAAAGAAAGAAGGAAGGAAAGGAAGGAGAGTGTGAGGAAATGAGTGACTAGCAAATGGATATTTTGAAAGGTCCTCTTTAAGCAGAACCTTGAATTAGCTTGATTCAATCATTCTATATTGTACACACATGTCATAATATCCTTGCATAGCCCATATTTATATGCAATCATAATTTATCAAAAAAATAAAAATAATTGTTTTTAAAAAGAAGATCCTTGGCAGCTAATCATAACATCAGCAAATGGGGATGAATAAATAGTCCTATCAGGAAAAGAATGAAAAATAAAAAAGCTATGGCAATCAATGAATGAAGGGTAGAAAACAACCAATAATTCTATGTTAGTAGAGAATTTGGATGTCAGTTTATGGAAGGTTAAAGAGATTATTCTGTTTGTGTTGGTGAACAACAAAGACTTTGCAGGAAAGCAGTAACATGATCAGATATATATATTATATATTTTATGTATATAATATATATTATATATTTATATTGTATATAACATATAATATATTATATATTTATATTGTATATAACATATAATATATTATATATTTATATTGTATATAACATATTATATATTATATATTTATATTGTATATAATATATATTATATATTTATATTGTATATAATATATATTATATATTTATATTGTATATAATATATATTATATATTTATATTGTATATAATATATTATATATTATATATTTATATTGTATATAATATATTATATATTATATATTTATATTGTATATAATATATTATATATTATATATTTATATTGTATATAACATATAATATATTATATATTTATATTGTATATAACATATTATATATTTATATATATTCATATTGTAGATAATGTATAATATATTCATATTGTAGATAATGTATAATATATTCATATTGTAGATAATGTATAATATATTCATATTGTAGATAATATATAATATATTCATATTGTAGATAATATATGTATATAATATATAATATATTCATATTGTATATAATATAAATATATTCATATTATATCTAATATATAATATATTCATATTGTATATCATATAAATATATTTATATTATATATAATATATATATACATATATTTTTTCTGTCATCCAGGCTAGAGTGCAATGGCATGATCTTGGCTTACTGCAACCTCTGCCTCCCAGGTTCAAGCGATTCTCCTGCCTCAGTCTCCCAAGTAGCCAGGATTACAGGCACCTGCCACCATGCCCAGCTAAGTTTTTGTATTTTTGGTGGACATGGGGTTTCACTATGTTGGCCAGGCTGGTCTTAAACTCCTAACCTTGTGATCCACCCGTCTCAGCCTCCCAGAGTGCTGGGATTACAGGCGTGAGCCACCACGCCCAGCCGGATCAGATATATTTAAGGAAGTTGACATGGTACAATAAGCAGGCTAACTAGATAAGACAACCAAGAATATTAGGTATGGTATCCAGATATGGGGTCCAGACTAGGGTCTTATTAACAGAAATAAAAAGGAGACAATGAGGCAAGAGATATTTTGAAAACAGAATGAACAGAAAAATGGCACCAAATAGGATTCCAGTCGTTTCAGCCATGTTAGCTGGGAGAACCTGTGATGCCATTGATATAGAGAATGACAATAATGGAAGTCTCTTGGGAATATCCATGTGAAACTGACAGTAGGCCAAAAAAGAGACTAACCAATAGGAGAAAAGCAAGAAAAAGATGGTGATTCAATAGTTATTTCATTTAGATGAAACTGTGAGCACAGATGAAACTACAAAGAAGAGTATAAAGTGAAAGAAGAGGGAGAAGAAAAGCAAGTGCAAGAAATGTACAAATTCAAGAAAGAGACATTTGTTTCAAAATAGTAGTGTAGAGTTGGCATTTCTGACTTTTCCTGGAACTCATCCAAAAGCAATGAGGAAAAAGAAGAATAAAAGACTAAAGCTATTTTTGGCAAGATGAGAAGTCAGTTAAAACTTCACCATAATATAGGTGAAACGAATTTCAAACAGCAAATTCTTACAAGGGAGCAGAGAAAAAACATGCTGCTGCTGTTCACCTCAGAAGGAGCCAGAATGAAAGGACATTTCATGAAACACGGTGACACCCTAAAGTGCAAAAATCTATGTCCCTGGTCCACAATGGTAGGAAGAAAAAGCATGCACTAAATATAAGAAGTCAGTTTGTTTTCAAATGGTGCAGGCTAGGCCACATGAGGAACCACACACAGGGGCCGTTTTGGTTGAAGCAGGCCTTCTCTGTGGCAGTAGAGGAGAGACTTTGCCTTGTTAAAGAAACAAACAAAACTTAGCTTGCCTATCCAGCTATTCTGACACAAGACCTTGGTCCTCCCTCACGCCCACAAATTCCTGTAGCTATCTGGAGGAATGTACTTGTTTCAGTGATAAATAATAAGAAGGAAGTCTGTTCAGAACCCACATAAAGATTCTAGAAGGAGGGGGAATATAAGAATGGGGTGGGGGGATAGGAAGAAACAGGAAAATCAACTGACACATTAGGGACACTCAGCAGAATAATTTTGCAAAGGATTAAATAATTCTTGGCGGATGTTTGATATAAATGAGAAAATCTTAATGTAGCAATTGCCTCTGTGGAAAAAAAAAAAAAAAAAAAAGCAGCAGCAGCAGCAGCAAAGATCCACCAACTCAGCAAAGATTTAGTGAGAAAATAGAATGAGATGAAATAAAAGCTGGGAGAAATCAGAAATGAGGGGAATACATAGAATCATTACAGAACAAATATGAGGTGGAAGAGACACAGGGGGAAACAGGTACTGGTGAAAGTACAGCAAGTGACATCAAAGATAAAAATCAAGTGAGCTCACAAAATTCAATGAAAATGAAGAGTTACACATGATTAGAGAAAAAGTAATAGAAATTGACAAAAGGCAAAGACAGATAATACACGTCACCAAATTTCCCATGTTAAATAAAACTTCAATAATAGGACAGAAGATGCATTTGAAGTGACAGATGACCCTTGAACAACACATGTTTGAACTACGAAGTCCACTTCCATGCAGACTTTCTTCCACCTCTGCCACCCCTGAAACAGAAGATCAACTGTTCTTCTTTCTCCTCCTCCTCAGTCTACTCAGTGTGAAGACAATGAGGATAAAGACCTTTACAATGATCCACTTTCACTTAATAAAAGGTAAATATATTTTTCTGTTACGATTTTCTTAACAACATTGTCTTTTCTCTAGCTTACTTTATTGTAAGAATACACTGTAAACATGTGGAACATACAAAATAAATGTTAATAGGTGGTTTACGTTATCAGTGAGTCTTCCAGTCAACAGTAGGCTGTTAAGTAGTTAAGTTTTGGGGGAGCAAAAATTTATACACAGATTTTTGACTGCACAAGGGGTTAGCACTCCTAACCCCAACGTTGTTCAAAGGTCAACTGTATACTAACAAAATTTCCTGAAATAAAAGTGGGTATGAATCTCTTCAGGGAAGCAATCAACCCTAGCTCTGAAGTCTTACCATTTCCCCAGTCTCTGCTTAGGAACAGGGCATTGGTCTCTTCTGCTTTCGGAGTCTTCAAGGTTACCTGGTATTTTTGCTCCCCTCCTTATACCAGTAGCCTGGTATATATTCTGGACACACTTAAGTGAAAAGAGGAGTTTTCTTTTAGTACATAGTACTTTTAAAATACACGAACCAAAGCTACATCCGTACACATGTACATGTGTCCATGTATATGTACACATATACATGCGTAACCAAAGACATATATGAACCATAATAGGGTAAGTGTCTGTGAACAGGAAGAGAAAGTTAGTGGGGAGTAAGAATGAAAGGGAAGGCCGGGCGCGGTGGCTCACGCCTGTAATCCCAGCACTTTGCGAGGCCGAGGCGGGCAGATCAGGAGGTCAGGAGATCGAGACCATCCTGGCTAACACGGTAAAACCCCGTCTCTACTAAAAATACAAAAAATTAGCCGGGCGTGGAGGCAGGCGCCTGTAGTCCCAGCTGCTCAGGAGCTTGAGGCAGGAGAATGGCGCAAACCGGGGAGGCGGAGCTTGCAGTGAACCGAGATCACAGTAACAGAATGTAATAAACAAGACTGTTATCTCAAATCTCATCACCTTAACTTAGGAAACAAAACAAAACCTGCTGCCCAAACAGTGAGAAGGACAACCAGGTAATAGGGAGAATACATTAGTATTTTTCAAACATTATTAGTATTTCAAAATATTATTCTACTACAATATTTTTACTTGTTTCCATTTCATTTTTGATTGGTCATTTAGAGAACAAAGTAAAATTCTCTATTTTTCCCATTTCCTGGACTTTCTAATGATTTCAGATCAATTTTATGGATACTTGTCATTTCTCTTAGGTCTAGGGATATGAATGCTGAATTTATAATGGCTGTGTTTCAAGATTTTATTTTTTGTCAGTTGTTTGGAAGCTCAAACACATTTTCCTAGTGTCATAATATTATAAATGTTAGTGAAAGGAAGTGGCAATGTATCAAGTATAAAAATAAAGAATGTCTGACAGTTGAATGCATGAAGATTGAAGACAGCTTATATTATATATTTTATTTCCCATATGTCATATTTAATAATTTACACATCTGTTTTCTTCCATGAAATCTTAAGGTTCTTTACAGTTAGAGCTGTGGGTTTTCAAAAAAAATGTATATAACCTAGCACAATACTTAGTGAATGTGTTTTGCTCAGAATAGGCCTTCAATAAATGTTTGTTTGATGAAGAGATGGATGAATATATTGTTGTTAACAACATTTAAAGTGAAAAACAGTTAAATTCATTTGTATTCTATCCTTCTATCCTTCTCAAAAGGAGAAAGAAATTAAATCTTTGAAACAAGATTAATTTCAGTGTTTTTCCCTCCTACATTTCAAGCCCACTAGGTAACATAGAATTGATATGACTTCATAGATAAGAAGGTCCTGTTCAACGTGCAAGTGACCAAACACTTGTAAGTAAAAGAGAGTGAAAAACAGGAACTTGTGCATTAATCTAACCCTGTAAAACAAACAAACGAAAATAGTACCCACAGACTATAAGTGCTCAGGTTATTGCTCTGGCATACCATAGCGATGTGCAATAGGCTGAAGCCAGCCCCCAGGGCTCAAATCAAGGCATCCACAGTCCTGAGTTCCTTCTGGAGGCTCCAGGGGGAAATTATATCCTTCCCTTTTCAAGCTTTTAGAGGCTGCCTGCATCCTTTGGCTAATGGCCCCTTTCTCTGTCTTCAAAGCCAGTATCTTCTCTCCTCCCTGACCCCTGCTTTCCATTTTTACAAGGTCTCTGATTCTGACCCTACTGTCTCCCTCTTTAAGGGCCTTTGTGATTACACTAAGTACATTGTCCTCACCTGGATAAAACCCAGGGTCATCTTGTTATCTCAAGATCCCTAACTTAAATGCCTCTGCGAAGCCCCTTTTACCATGTAAGGTAACACACTCACAGGTTCTAGGGATTCAAATTTGGAGATTTTTGGAGAGCCAATATTCAGCCTACTGCACTGTCCTTCAGCCTTCATGAAAACAAAGATAATTGAGTAATTCAAGACCCATCACCATGTTTGCCAATCATTCGCCAACATTATTAAGTTTGGAATCAAACTAGTAATAATTGTAACCTAAGTATCAGTTGTGTATAAGTCCTCAGAGTCCTTGAGCCTGGTGTGGTTACAACTGAAGTACAATTTTACTAAAAGATTTAAAGAAAATTTCCTCCAACTCCTGCATTACATATAATTGGGTAGCCATTATCTCTCCATGTTTCTCAGAGCACTTGGGAGGCTTGCTCTTCTGCTCATCAGCAGTTCTGACTTCTTGCTTTTGCAGTATTCACAATCCTACTCACATCTGGTATCCTGTGCTTTCTATGCCCCTTTAACATGCTCTCCCACATGCTGGACATAGCCCTGAGGACTGCACTTCCTTAACCCTGACCCTAATCCAGACAGAGGCTATCTGGATAGCTGATTCTAGTTGAAACAGGAAGGCACAGAAGGTGTTTACAGCAAAGCACAGCAGGAACACAGCAAACATCTTAAAATGCCCTAATTCTAGCTCATCCTGGCCATGCCCTCCACCTCTTTTATATGGAGCCTCTCTTGGTATTATGCTTTAAGAAAATCAAGCACTTCAGTTATTTTCTTATGAAATATGTTATTTTGCATCTGCTTGTAAACTACACTTTGTTGACATACAAATATTTTAATAACTCCATTTGTTGGACTCTTATTATATGCTATTCACTGTGCTAAATCCTTTTTATGCATTGTCACTTAGTCTTCGAAACAACCTTATGATGTGATCATTATTATTATCATATCTATGAGACAGATGAGAAAATTTAGACTCATAGAGGATAAGTAATTTTCCCAAGGACAGTTCACTCATAAGTGGTTAAGGAAAGATCTGAACACATAGGCCATTGAGCACAATGCATGCACACGTCACATCGTGGCAGCTGGAGAAATGGACAATGTGTTAACTAGGACAATCTGGTATTTCTGGCTTCTTCCCAGGGTCACAGATTCCTACTTATCTGAAAGGAGCAATGCTATCTAGTCCCATTCCCACGTTGACAAGCAGCAGCACAAGTAGGCAGGGACACGGGGCAACTTTGTGACATTTCCTATAGATAACTCACCTTTGTCTAGAGCCTCCTTTTCCCCAACATGGGCTCCTTCAGCAATGGGGCTGGCCCCTGTTGATATGTTTCTGTGTGACTTGGGGCTAGTAGCTGTCTTCTGCTCAAGACATCTGGGGACATAGATCTGGTAAGATGACCCACCCTCTTCATCCTTTGATGAGGGGTTACACTTTTGTCTTTACATCCTTGGTGGTTCCAATTGGAACAATTCCTTCCTACCCTACTCCAGCCTTAATGCCTCTCTAGTGAGTGTGTGGTGAACAGTGGAATTCTCCATCAGCACCCTTCTAGGAAGTAACCTGGGAGGATATTTGATATTAACAGTACCAACTCTCTTCTTGGCCTCACTCCTGAAATCTCATCTACTATCTTGCCCAAGGGCCCCATCTATCTAAAAGAAGAGAACATGCTATAAAGATATCTCTCAGTAGATTATATCTATTCTGAGTCTGGGTAGATGCTAGATGCCTCTATTTTTTTCTCTCCCCATCAAATTCAACTTTACTAAATCATTCAAGCTGGTTTTCATAGCATAAGGGCTTAGAATGCTGCTTCTAGGGCTTAAGACTACATTCAAATGAAACCCCGTCTCTACTAAAAATACAAAAATTAACCGAGTATGATGGCAAGTGCCTGTAATCCTAGCTACCTGGAGGCTGAGGCAGGAGAATCGCTTGAACCCAGGAGGCGGAGGTTGCGTTGAGCAGAGACCACGCCATTGCACTTCAGCCTGGGCAACAAGAGAGAAACTCTGTCTCAAAAAAAAAAAAAAAAAAATCTTCCCTTGACCACTTGCCAGCTGTGGGGATTTGAATAGGAGTTAAACATCTCGAAATGAGGCTCGGTTTTTTTATCTGTAATTGGGGATGAAGTTAAGTGGTTAAGAGTTGTTGAGGGATAAAATGAGATAATGCATGTAAACACTGAGCAGTCTGAATGCCATATAAGTTCTCCATAAAGGTAAACTGAATATGTTTAGGTATCTCTAGAAAATGACCTTTCTCCATTAATATTATCAAAGCAGTGAGCATTTTTCATTCATCGTATCGCAGGGTATTGTTCTGGAAGCATTCTTTTTCCAGGGCTGCTAGGCAGAACTTTTTCTGGTTTTGGTGGTCTTAAATCAGTTTGAGGGCTCGGTTCTATAGCTTCATGCCCAGAAAGTTCAACTTTTCTATTACTAGCCAAAGCCAGTCCTTCCACCTAGAATTAGATTACATCCCCTATGGTCTAATCAAGGAAATTGCTTCAGCAGTTCTTCCTTCTCTTCTCTGTTATCATTAATTTTCCCCCTCTCTATTGGATTACTTTTATCAACACACAAAGATAGTATCATTTCCCACCTCTTAAAAAAAAACAACTCTTTTGACACCTATTTAATCCTTCAACTACTATCCCTTTCCTCTTTTAACCAAAACTCTTCAGTTGTCTATACTCGTGATCTCCACATTCTCTCTTCTCATTCCCTCCTCTTATTCCCTCCTTAATCCATTCTAATCAGGTTTTTGGCCACCACAAAACCAGTGGACTTACTTTTCTTAAGATCAACAATGAGTCCTCGTTCCTAAATACAACAACACATGACAATAGATTGTTCCTTTTTAGGTTGACACCATGTAAGAGGGAGAATATATTGTCATGTGCTGTTGTGTTTAGGAATGTGGACGCACTGTTGCTCTTAAGAAAAGTAAGTCCACTGGTTTTGTGGTGGCCAAAAAACCTGATTAGAGTGGATTAAGGAGGGAATGAGAGGAGGGAATGTGAGGAGAGAATGTGGAATCATGATTATAGACAACTAAAGAGTTTTTTTGGTGTAAAGAAAAAAGAGAAAAGGGATAGTAGTTGAGGGATTAAATGGGTGCCAAAAGAAAGAGCTTACTTGGTATTAGGAGAGAATTACGAGTCAGGATATGCAACTTATGGTGGTTCATAGGCACATCCAATATTGTGGTAAGGGTAAGGTTCTAAAGACAAAAGAGAGAAAGAAGGCCAGGCACGGTGACTCTGGCCTGTAATCCCAGCACTTTGGGAGGCCAAGGTGGGCAGATCACGAGGTCAAGAGTTCGAGACCAGCCTGGCCAACATGGTGAAACACTGTCTCTACTAAAAATACAAAAATTAGCCAGGTGCAGTGGTGGGCATCTGTAATCCCAGCTACTCGAGAGGCTGAGGCAGGAGAACTGCTTGAACCCAGGAGGCGGAGGTTGCAGTGAGCCGAGATCGTGCCACTGCACTCCAGCCTGGGTGACAGAGCAAGACCCTGTCTCAAAAAAAAAAAAAAAAAAAAAAAAAAAAAAAAAAAAAGAGAGAGAGAGAGAGAGAAAGAAGTACATACAAGTTGTTTCGAAACAGAAAACATTGGTTACAGAGTCTTATGGCAGAAATTGACATCTGTTTATTAGTGGAGACAGGCAAGTGTTCTTATGCAAGCAGCTAGCTGTCCTTGTGTGGCTAGCTTTGTGTCCTTGTGTGGCTGCTAGCTCTCATTGTATGACTCATGTAGCAAGCTGCACTTTGAAAAAATTTCCTGTGGTATTTTTTTGGTGGAAGCATAGTGCATGAGTGCCCCTCCCTCATGGCCTTCTGGCTCTATTATCTTAGGGTTAGACATAAGCAACTTCATTTTGGTATTGATAACTTTCACAGTGACAATCACAGCATTTGATATAATTGATCACTTTTCCCTCCTTCCATTACTTTTATTCGCATAGATTTCAGGGTACCCTATTGGCTTCTGTTTTGCATTCTGTCTCAGTCTCTTTTGCCATGTCTTCTCATTTCGTTAACCTCTAAGTGTTGGAGACCCCCAGGGCGCAGTCTTCGGACTTGTTTTCTCTTCTGTTAACTTTTCAATCTTAGCTGATCTCATCTAGTTTCTTCTCTTTTCTGTCTGCCATCACCTCTCTTTCTCATCTAGTCCTATGGCTGAGAATAGTACCCAAATGCTGATGACTCCCAAGCTATATTCATATCCTAGACCCCTCCTATAAACTCTAGGGTAACATATTCAATAGCCCACTGTTTATTTCCCTTTGGATAGCTAATAGATATTTCACACATGGCATTTATAAAACAGAATTCATAATTTTGTCTCCAAACCTTAGTCCTTCTTATCCTTTCCATCTCGGTTAATAGCAACTCCCTCCTACTAATGGTCAGGCCAAAGATCCTGGAATCACACCAATTTTCCTGTTTCTCTCATGCATTTCACCTAGTCTGTCAGAAAATCCTATTAGCTATACTTTTAAGATATATCCGGAAAATTTGAGCACTTTTCATCACCTCAGTGTATTTTCAGTGCCCAGAAAAGTGCCTGACACAGTTGTCATGCAATAACGATTTGTTGAAAGAATGGCGTGAATCAAGTTATATCCCTTCTATCTGTAACTTCCTTAACAAAGCTGAACACATAAGGTCTTTATGTGCTGTAATCTGGCCCACGCGTTCCTCTCTATTTTCATCTTTCGCCACTAACCAACCAGTATATTCTGCTTCAGTCATAGTGACTCACTTCAAGTTTCCTAAATCATCATGTAGTCTCATTCCTCTGCACCTTGCACAATGCCATTCCCTCAGCTGAGGTCTTTTTTGTACTTTAACAATCTTTCAAGAGTCATCTCAGCAAAGAAAAGTTTTACTCTAGCCTAAATACCTCCCTCTGTGCTTGCCTACCTCATGTACACTTTTTCACAGCACAAATCACACTCTACTGGGGTGTGCCTGTCTCCCTGTCATAATGCTAAGTTCGCTGCCTTTCACCTCTTGGTTTGGTATTTTTAACGTGTAGCACAGAGCCTGGCTTTTGGAATGCAGTGAATGTGAACAAATGAGTGAGTCAAAGGACTCCTCTGTATACAAAGTTTGTTTACATACAAAATCATAAAACAAGAGATAATATAAGGATATATTCTTTCACAATAAATACGAATGAATTATTCTTCAGCAGCAACACTTCATACTGATCTTTAAAGGAAAGATGACCGAATATTTGCTTTGAGAGTAGTTTATTTTGTTCCTCAAAACTAATCCAAAGAAAAAGACAGGATAACCCATCCTCTTCCTCTTCCTGGAACAATCATTCTCTCTTTGGACTAAGTAAAAATATTGTAAAAGAGTAAACTCTAATTTCATTTTTTAAAATTCATCAAATTTCTGTGTGCCATATGCTGAACTAGATGCATCACCTTCCCCTTCTACTACCACCACCTCTCTCTCTTCCTTTGTCTCCGTCTCTCAAGATTGGGAGTAGCTAAGTGTCAGGTCTAATCAAAATTGTGCTGTAACCATACAAAGGATATAAAATGCTTTATTATCATAAGTTTGCAACTATATTTTAAAAAGCATGCGTGGGCAGAGACTGAAAAAGTAATATGAGAGGCAGTTCACCAATGTTTACTGAGCAGTACTGTGACCCATGCATTGTTCTGGATGAGAAGATTACAAAGAAGGAACAGTCCCTCTCCTGGAAGAGTTCAAAGTCTCTTGGTATTTATGTAAATCGCTATAATCTCATTTGATAAGTAACAGTGGTGCCACTTGCTCTGTTCCCAGCTTAGAGGACACCAATATGCCCCAGGAGTCAAAACTACTCAGGTGTCTGTGGTCCACTAGGATTTATGGGCCTGTAGGGAATTACTGTGGAGAAGGGCAACTAAATCATTAATAGGAATCAAGATTGTTATTGGGGTGTAGTAGGGGTCCTCACATGACTACCAAAAGCTCAGTGCTGGTGTCTCTGAGGCACAGCAACTGCAAAGGCCCTACTCAAAGAGCCAGTGTATGGGGGCAAGTTGTCCCCTTGCCCTTCAGTGCTGGAATGGCTCATAGAGCCTGCCCCTTTCCCAAGCATGGCATTGATGTCTGCTCACAGCCTCCCTTATCTGTGTCTGCACGAAGCACCTTCTTCCAGCACCAGTCCCAGGAAGGGCTGGGCCCTCAGTTAATTCACAGACTAAGAGATGTAAAGTATCCAGTACCTCTCATAGGACCCAAAACATCAAAGACTTCTTCTCTCCCCTCAAAAATGGCCAAGACCTGAGAAGTACAAAATCCTTTTGCCCTCTGGGAGAAGGCAAGCCGACACACTACAATCCATTCTTTCTGTTTGTATCAGCCTCCATCTCAGAAATGTAAAAGACTCTACTTCCAAATATAGGCTTGCAAACATGCTGAAAGACAAAATGCATGCTAGGTCAGAGATGCCTGCTTTAAAGTCTCTTTTTTTTTTTTTCCTAAGAGAGGTGTGTGTGGGTGTATGTCTTTGAGCCTCTTGGCTGGATCAGGGTTTAAATGCTCAGGCGTGGCGGCTCATGCCTATAATCCCAGCACTTTGAGAGGCTGAGGCGGGCAGATCACTTGAGGTCAGGAGTTCAAGACCAGCCTGGCCAACCTGGTGAAACCCCCAACTCAACTAAAAATACAAAAATTATCTGGGTGTGGTGGTGCCCCTCTGTAATCCCAGCTACTCAGGACGCTTGAGAATGGGTGGCAGAGGGTTGCAGCGAGCCGAGATTGTGCCACTGCACTCCAGCCTTCTGGGGGACACAGTGAGAATCTGTCTCAAAAAAAAAAAAGAGTTTAAATGATGCCTCCAGAATTCTTTCTCTTTAATCCCTACATGTCATTGTTCTGCTTCCTCAGGGAGAACATCAGTCTTCCAGCCCATTTCAGAACAGCAAAGCCCCCCTGCCGCCCTACCCTACCCTTGCCCTGAGGCTTCAGGTTAACAAGGTCCTTAGCACCCAGTCAGCACGAGAAAGATCCTTTCTTTCCAAGACTCTCTGGAAAGGACTCCAGTGGGCTCTGCTTGGTCATATGCCTGTCCCTAGACCACAGGTGTGTTAAGGAAAATGGGGTGCGTAGATGGACCAGCTTGGGTCACACACAGTGCAGAGAATGTGAGGGAAACCCTCACCGGATGAGAGAGGGATCAATTCCTAAAAGGAAAAGATTTTTAGCAGACAACAAAACAAAACCAAAAAACCAAGTGTCGGCCACACTAGAGGTGACCAGTAAAGCTGACTTCCAAATTTCTGCTGCTAGGGAATGCTGATGTCGATCAAAGTGCGGAGAGCATATGAAAAATGGAGTTTTTAAAACGTTGAGTTTAAGGCGCCTGTAGGATATTTGAATGAGCTGGTCAGTAATTTCTTGGAAAAAATGACCCAGGGGCATTAAAAAAAGGTGTATGTTTAAAATGTACATTTTAAAATATAAAATGGATTCGTGTCAGGGTGCATCAAGGTATGCAACGGGAAACCCACCACAATTCTAAAGTGGGGAAGTTCTTCAGCAATTATAAATACTTTTTTTCTTTTTTAATTTTAGAAATTTACAGACACTTGCAAGCACCCCAAAAGCCGCACTTCCTCCAAATATCTCTGGACTCCCACTGCTTGACTTAGTTTTGGGGTCACCTCATCAGAGCCTACTTGGCCTACTGGCCCCAGACGAGGCGGCCGCGGACTACAATTCCCAGCGAGCACCGCGAGGGGCGGGGGAGGGGGCGGGGCGAGGGACGGCCGCGCGCGCCAGCTGCCAGGCGGGGATCGGGCGGCGCCGAGCTGAGGTGGTGAGGGACTAGCTCCCGGATGTGGAGAAGCTGGGGAGAAGGCGTGGGAGGAAGATGGACTCGGTGGAGAAGGGGGCCGCCACCTCCGTCTCCAACCCGCGGGGGCGACCGTCCCGGGGCCGGCCGCCGAAGCTGCAGCGCAACTCTCGCGGCGGCCAGGGCCGAGGTGTGGAGAAGCCCCCGCACCTGGCAGCCCTAATTCTGGCCCGGGGAGGCAGCAAAGGCATCCCCCTGAAGAACATTAAGCACCTGGCGGGGGTCCCGCTCATTGGCTGGGTCCTGCGTGCGGCCCTGGATTCAGGGGCCTTCCAGAGGTGCGCATGTGCGAGAGTGGGCGGCGCGGCCTGGGCGGGGGTCGGGAGAGGGAGTCGGGCTGCTGGAGGGGCTGGGGCCTCCGGGGCCACCGCTCTTGGAAGGGGGCCATCTCTCATGCCAGGGATGTGCAAGATCCGGGGTGCCTGGGGCCGGGCTGAGAGCCCAGGAGGAAGGGCTCCAGCTCCTTCCTTGTTCCGTAGCTGCCAATGGTCATAACCTGGGACAGTTCCTGTCTCCGCCCTTGAGAATCATCCGTAAAAGGGGAGATTACACCTCCCCAACCGTCCCCTCCTCCCGGGTTGACCTTACGGGGAAAAGTAAAGGAGGCCACCCCGGTGCAACATCTGTGATAATATGTGAACTTCTTTGGATGGGGGCCATCGAAGCTCCCCTGTTGCTCAGCCTCTGATAACTGCTTGGTGCTGCTCGATTAGGGAGGCATCAGGTTCATGAATGGAGTTGAGTGTCGGGGTGTCAGAGCTGAATTTCAAGCTCAGCTTGGAGATCTTTTCCTAACCTTTGAAAAATACTCCAGCTATCTTCCTGTGAGTCAGCACAATCTAGAAAACTCCCTACATTTATAAATACGTGAGACTCAGTGGGAAGGTGTACAACTGACTGTTTTATGATATATTAATACTTACAAATCATTTAATCATACCTTTGGAACCTCGCCTGCCCTATGGACAGTTTTAATTATGCGTAATTTAGATACATTGCCAAATTGGTCAGGAGTTACAAGCTGATGTTATTCATAAAAGAAGGGAGATCGAATTCTGTGCCAAGAATGAATTTACACATATAGCTTCAACCTAACTACATTTGAATGTGTTGTTATTGTGGAAATTAATTTATGTTAACCTTTTGATGTTTCGATTTTTAAAGAGATGACTGTTTTTGAAGTCATCTCTTTTTCTTTTTGAACCTATATTTGCTTACCCATATTAATATATGGGTAAATGATTTTCATTTAACCAGTCTTGTTCAAAAACGGGAGATGCCAAAAAAGTATAAATATACTAATTTTCTTAATGTTTCAACCCAAAAGAAGTCCTGGATGGACCAAGGCAAATAGGAGCCACCACTCAGAAGATAACACTAGTGCAATAGGAAGTGTGCGAAGGAGAGATAGGGAAGGACCTGGGGATTTTGTTCAATTCAGTAGCTATTTACTGAGCCCTAATTTCTGCTATACATGTCCAAGGGAATACCAAGATGATTGGGACACAGTTTTTGTCCTTGTGAAGCTCACAAACTTTGGGATATTTTTACATTCTTAGAAAGGGTACAAACTAAAAAGGACTGAGAGAAGTAGGTGCATCCAGACTGCAGTAATATAGTGAAATATCATTTTTGTGAAATGAACTAGAGATCAAAATCATATTCACAGTAAATGGAGAACAAAACTGTTAATACCATTTACAACTCTTAGGTTGTATATATCAGGAAACCCTGTTCAAACTGGCATAACAAAAGAGGGAAAGGCTTATTAAGGTACAGTCAGATTCAAGGACAAAAAAATGATTCATTCATTCAGCATACTTACTGCCTACCTACTATGTAACAGGCACTGTTGTATGTACCGAACCACGTGTAGTAGCAGTAGAGACAGCCCTTAGTCTCATAGAGCTTACGTTATAATAAGGAAAGACATGCAGTATACAAGAACATTAATGTGTGTTGTATCACGTTATGATAAATATTTTTAAGAAAAAGTAAAGCAGGATAAGAGGATGGTGCACTTTGTTGCCAGAATCCTCAATTTCTTAGCTCTGGATAGACCCTTTATGGTTTCAAGGTGGTTGTACTGAGAACTGCAGAACTCTCAGGGTACCTAATGACTTGCTCCAAACCTCTGCTCCAAGAGACTTGACCAAGCCCTAGCATGGCTTCTAGCAGCTTAAGGCCATGTCCCTAGGATGATCTCAGGTTCCCTTAAAATGGCTTCCTGAAGAGGCTCAAAGCTGCCAGAATTTCCTGATTGTTCCAGGAAAAACCTGGTGAGAGGCCCCTGAACCCTCTTTTAGAGCAATTAGTTTAGAAAGCTTGCAATTATAAAAACTTTCCCTGCCTTTTGAGATGTAAATCTACCACACAAAACTGTTTCCTCAAGGACCTGGGAGCCCCAGAACCCTGTCTCAGTGAAATGCGAACATTCTAGGAAATAACTCTTACTCTCCTTCCTAGTCCCTCTGGGAAGATAAAGGGCAAAGTTCAGTGGACACCTTGCTTCAACTTGCTCAGTTGCCTTGTCTCATAAGGATAGAAGATTGTTTCTCTTCCAGATAAGCGCTAGTTAACAAATCCATATGGCCTAGTCACACGGACTAAGCCCTGTTAGCACCCCTCAGTGCCTTTCCCTTAGCACAACTCAGCCTTTAAAGTCTCCAGCCTTTCGTTTTCTGGGGCTGTGAATGCAATTCACATTGGACTCTTTTCCCTGTTGCAGTAGTAACAGAATACAATCTGTCCTTAACACTTTAGTCACCGATTTTGTGTGTCTTTGATAGCAGTCCTCATATTCTTACAGGTTTAAATGTAAGTCAGAAGGAGTGCTCTCCTCGAAGCTCGAAGTTTCATTGTGCCTCATTGGGTACCCTGCTCATTCTTCAACCAGTCACTATGGCAAGAGGAACATAGTGCTTGTATTGCTACAGTATAGCTTCATCTTCCACTCTTGAAACCAGCGATGGAGCCCCCGCTGAAAAACATGACAGGTTCATCAAGAGGAAAATTGGAGTACAATTACCAAAAGTGAGGGGGAATAGATTCTGTTGGTCAGAACCCAACAACCAACCATTACAGCAGGCATTGGGGATTTTGCTATGAAATGATTGGAAAATATGTATATATATTGACCAATGATTTTCCCATTTCCACATTTTAGCATTTGTACAAAACTTCTTTTAAAAAAAGACTCTAGTATCAACCTTTTCTGTACCAAGTAGTTTTATTTAATACTTCTAGACTAGAGTGTAAACTCATTGACCACAGGGATAATGTTTTATACTTCTTCAAGCCACCTGTGGTATCTGTCACTATATCAATGGTGGCGATTAGAAGAAATAAAATTGGCTGGGCTCACACTTGTAATCCCAGCACTTTAGGAGGCCGAAGGCAGGCGGAGGCCAGGAGTTGAAGACCAGCCTGGCCAACATGGCGAAACCCCATCTCTACCAAAAATACAAAAATTAGCCAGTTGTGGTGGTGCATGCCTGTAATCCCAGCTACTCAGGAGGCTGAGGCAGGGGAATCACCTGAACCCGGGAGGTGGAGGTTGCAGTGAGCCGAGACTGGACCACTGCACTCTAGCCTGGGCAACAGAGCAAGACTCTGTCTCAAAAAAAAAAAAAAAATTTTTTTTCTAAACTAGCAAAATGAATGTATTTCTAACTTAACAGTATCATGTAACAATGTGAATTTACTCTGTTCAAGTTTTGTGGCTATGTGCTATTTGTCATCCTTTCCAGGCATCTGGAGAGATTAGGTCAAAAGGTAATAGAAGGGACCAGCACTTCTTCCTCCATGAAGCCTTTACTGATCCCCTCAGTGAAAAGTAATTGTGCCTTTGTTTTCCCATACATAGCTACGTCGTTTGTACCTTCATTTAGTGCATGCCCTATGCAGGGAGATAAGATCACAGACTCTGAAATCAAACTGTGGATTTGAATTCCAGCATCACCATGTGTTAACTGTGCAAACTTGGGTAAATCGCTTAACCTCTCTGTGCCTCAGTCTCTTCATCTACAAAATGTACTGAAGTGTGTGCCTCACAGGCTTGTGGAGGGAATTAAGTGAGATAATGTACGTGCAGCCCTTAGAATAGTGCCTGGCACATAGTATGTAATCTGTTATTGACATTTTCCTCTTGTTTAGAAGGTTTTTACTATCTTCCATGCTTGTAAAATGGGAAACTCTCCCATTGCTTGTAAAACGGGAAAGTTGTAATGATCTTTAAAATTATTTCTGGTGCTAACATTCTTTGACTTTGAAGAGTTAGTGGAAAGATGTCTTTATTCTCTTTTTCAGTTTCAGTGGCCAGCAGACTTTTTCTGTAAAGGGCCAGATAGTAAATATTTTAGGTTTTGTAAGCCAGATCGTCTTTGTTGCAATCACTCAGCTCTACTGTTGTGTATGTTGTGAAGGTGGCCATGACAATACATAAATGAAAGAGTGTGGCTGTATTCCAATAAAATGTTACAGAAACAGGCTGAGGAGTGGGCAGAATTTGGCCTGGGGAGACTCCTGCCATACTAGGTGAAAAGCTAAGCTTCTTATGAGCAAGTACCCTCTTATTCATCATGGTATGCTTTATATACTAGATCATTAAAATGTGTTGACTTATATTCAATTGACTTACTATGAAGCTGTAAGAGGACTTTGGAGCACCCTTCCTGCCTCCTACCCTCTCTTTTGTTTCTTCAAAAAATGTTTACCTTAGGAGAGAGCTGAAGAAAATTGCAGCTGTCTGATTTGTGTTTTTCAGGGCTCGAAGATACCTTTGAGATTATTTTGTTCAAAACCACGATTTGACTTAATTGAGGCAGATTTCTCTGGCCTGCTCAGAATCAAAGCTAACAGTACTTTTCAAGGTTGCTAACTTTGCATACTAACTAGGCTAGTTAGTAGTTAAGAAAAATGCTGAGATAATTTTTTTTCCTTTAGTACAAAGTTATTGCCAGAGTTGATTTTGTAAGAGCTTAATTTTCAACAGTGGTTCAGTGCTGTGTAAGTAAACCTCAGAACAAATTGATTTGTAAGTGTTGCCTAACATACTTGGGAAAAGTAAACATGTTTTAGTTTTATGCTTAGGGTATAGACTTTTGATTAATGAAAGGCCTATGCTGTTATTATCCCTAAAATGGCAGCTTCTGATTTAAAATAGTTATCACAGGCACCATGGTTGATATTCCTGTTGGTCCTGTTAGATGTGGTGTGACTTCATTTGAGGCTAAAGCCATTGGCATTAGACTTTGACATTCACTCTGCTTGACTGGCCTGTTTGTTCACTTGCTCATTTTCTCTTTTGCATAGCCCCATCTTATGTCCCTAAACCAAAGGAAAATTATCTACTCAGTCTCTTTCATAGGTTATGATCATAGTATTTTAAGTGTACATATGGGATACTGTTTTCATATTTTTTTCACAGTGTAATTGCTTAACATAACATACAAATTAGACATTTGGACCTTTGAAGGTCTGGAAGCAGAACTTCAGTCTACCTTCTGAAGATTGAGTGTGAGGATTAAATGAGACAGAGTAGATGTTACTTTATTACCATTCCTATTTTGGTATTTTGAATAGCTAACATTAAATGTTTATTCTGTAGTAAATGGTTTATATTTAATCCTCTAAACCATATGAGGTACCCACTATTATTACTTACCTCCATTTTACTGAAAATTGAGGCATAGGGAGATATGGATTTTTCCCATGGTCATATAGCTAGCATGTGGTGGAGCCAGAATTGAACCTCTTCCTTCAGAAACCATCCTTTTAATCCCTTACTGTTTCATTCATTCAACAGATCTATATTGAGCACCTGATATGTAGCAGGCACTGTGAAAGTACTTTGTAAAAAGTAAAGCACTGAAAAGAGCGTAGTTACTTAATTGATCCCTCGCTTCTCTTTTCCTAATGGTTTAAAGAGAATTACACCGCTATATTGGCCTCAGTCTCCATCAGTAGGCCAAGACTTTCTCAAGAAAATAAACTATGCTCTATATGTTATTACATCCCTAGTGTCCAGAATCGTGCCTGGGACAGAATAAGCACTTAGTAAATGGTTCATAAATTAAGGATGAATGAACGAAAGAAGGAAGGAAGGAAGAAAAGCAAACCTCCTCCAAAATTCTGTTTTTTTTCTTGCTTTTTAAACATTACTTAAAGACCACTGAACCCTCTGGTATTGAATTTTCATTGCAGTAAAAATCAGGATAATGAAGTAAATGGCTTCAGCAATTTATTTCAATTAATGTAAATTAGATGCCAAATTACCATGTCTTTTGCCTTCCCTGTTTATTTTTTATTGTATTCTAATTTCATCTTATCCTCTCGTCATCTCTATTTTAAAAATGCACTAGGTTTTCATTGCTACTTTACTTTGTTATATACCTTTGACTATGACATTTCCCAAGAGAACATTTTTTTCCCACTATTTCAGATTTCAAGATGGAGGAAAATGGGGGCTCCTGCGTTCGCCCTGCATAGAGTGACATAAGTAGATATCACGGGATTCTTGACCCCTAGCCAGTGGCTCATCTTGTTTGCTAGGCTTTCTTTGATTATTTTTTCTTACTGACTTTATCCCTTGATTTAAATCCCTCTATAAATATTAAAGGGAATAAACGAAATAAATAAATGAAATCCAGGGATGTTAGAAGATTTTCTTTAGTTTTTCACTTTCTTTCCACTCATGATAATTGAGCATAGACAAACATGCAGTTCAGCCGAGCGTGGTGGCTTACACCTGTAATCCTAGCATTTTGGGAGGCTGAGGTGGGAGGGTCACTTGAGGTCAGGAGTTTGAGACCATCCTGGCCAACATGGCAAAACCCCATCTTTACTAAAAATTGGTCGGGCGTGGTGACACATGCCTGTAATCTAATCCCAGCTACTCAGGAGCCTAAGGCATGAGAATCGCTTGAACCTGGGAGGTGGAGGTTGCAGTGAGCAGATAATGGGCCACTGTACTCCAGCCTGGGTGACAGAGCAAGACTCTGTCAAAAAAACAAACAAAACATGCAGTTCATCTTTCCCTCAGTAGATATCGAAAGAGTGGGATAAAAGGAAAAATATATATGTGTGTGTGTATATGTATACATATACACACACACATATACACATTATATATACACATTATATATACACGTTATATATAATTTTGTATGTATATAAAATAATGTGTATATATGTTTGTGTGTGTATATATATATATACACACCAAATATATATATATATATACACACACATACACCAAAGACTATAAGTCATTAAGATATCTTTGCATAAATCACTATTAAAACATGGTGGGGGCCGGGCACGGTGGCTCACGCCTGTAATCCTAGCACTTTGGGAGGCCGAGACGGGCGGATCACGAGGTCAGGAGATCGAGACCATCTTGGCTAACACGGTGAAACCCCGTTTCTACTAAAAATACAAAAAATTAGCCGGGCGTGTTGGCGGGCGCCTGTAGTCCCAGCTACTTGGGAGGCTGAGGCAGGAGAATGGCATGAACCTGGGAGGCGGAGCTTGCAGTGAGCCGAGATCGCGCCACTGCACTCCAACCTGGGAGACACAGCGAGACTCCGTCTCAAAACAAAACAAAACAAAACAAAAAAACATGGCAGGGTTTTGTTGTTGTTTTTTGTCTTTTTTTTTGAGACAGGGTCTCGCTGTGTCTCTCAGGCTGGAGTGCAGTGGCGCGATCTCGGCTCACTGCAACCTCTGCCTCCCAGGTTCAAGCGATCCTCCTGTCTCAGCCTCCCTAGTAGCTGGGATTACAGGTGTGCATCACCATGCCCAGCTAATTTTTGTATGTTTAGTAGAGTCCGGGTTTCACCGTGTTGGCCAGGCTGGTCTCCATCTCGTGACCTCAGGTGATCCACCCGCCTCGGCTTCCCAAAGTGTTGGGATTACAGGTGTGAGACTCCAGGCCTGACCAAACATTGTGGCTAGAGTAGTATTTACATCTTCTGCATTTAGCAGTGGGAATTTGTGACTGTCCAGGAAACAAAACTTCAATAGAAACTGGTACCCCTCTCCAAAACAGCATTTTGCCTACTCATCATTTTGTAAAGGCTAAATAGGCAACTGTGTAACCTGCGGTTAATAGAGTATTAAGTTAAATTCTTTTGAGCTAATGAAGTCATGTTCTTCATGTTTGTTGTTATCAATGGCTATAACCCAGCTGATTCTACATCTATATACCCATTGTTTGTTGTTTAAAAAAGAAAGAGTTGTTTCATCTGATTTTTTTTGAGCCCAGACTTGGGCATTTATTATCTTCTAAGCTTGAAACTGTTTCACCTTTAGGGTTTGGCTAAGCCAAGTCCATTTTTTTTTTTTTAGCAAGCATATTAAAATATTTTATACAATATTTTGGATTTGGATGGAGAATAAGCAAGATCTTTAATTTTCTTTAGATTTGACTTCTAGTGCCTTTTTAAAAACGTTTATTTTAGGTTCAGGGGTACATCAGGCTTGTTACAGAGGTAAGTTGCATGTTGCAGGGGTTCGGTGTACAGATTATTTCGTCATTCAGGTAGTAAGCATAGTACCTGATAGGTAGTTTTTTGATCCTCACCCTCCTCCCACCCTCTACCCTCAAGTAGGCCCCAGTGTCTGTTGTTCCTTTCTTTATATAAAGCATATCTAGGACTGCATTTTTATTCATTAATATATTTATATACAAAATACTTTATAATTTCTTACATTTTATACTCCTTTGGATCTGTAACATTATTATCATTGTGCAAAAAATATTCTCACATTATATAAGCTGTATTTTATGGTTACAGAGCTCCATTTTATTGTTAATGATTTCTTTTGATTTGGCTGTTAATTTCTTTTGATATCTGAACAGTGTATGGGTTTCGACAGACCATGATGAAATTGAGAATGTGGCCAAACAATTTGGTGCACAAGTTCATCGAAGAAGTTCTGAAGTTTCAAAAGACAGCTCTACCTCACTAGATGCCATCATAGAATTTCTTAATTATCATAATGGTATGAATTTGATTAATAGTTTATTCAAACCTTTATGTACTTTTCTACTTCCTTTATTATCTTATAAGACTTGTTTTAACATTTGAATTCCAAACCTTAATATTACTTGCTTGCAAGGAACTTTTTTTTTAAATATCCTTTTCATTTCTCTTGTCTTTTTAAGAGGTTGACATTGTAGGAAATATTCAAGCTACTTCTCCATGTTTACATCCTACTGATCTTCAAAAAGTTGCAGAAATGATTCGAGAAGAAGGATATGATTCTGTTTTCTCTGTTGTGAGACGCCATCAGTTTCGATGGAGTGAAATTCAGAAAGGAGGTAATCTCTTTTCAGTCTTTATTTTAGCTGATTTTATTGAGAATCAATTTTTTTGTATATAAATATCCTTTAGGCATGAGGAGAGTAAAAGGGGAGCTGTAAAAGAGAGTATTTGACTCATTACTTTAGTAGGTAATGACATTTACAATCAGCTGTAAATCTGTTATCGAGCCAACACAGCTAGACCAAATTAATTCTTTGCTTTACTCTTTACAAAGGGACATTCTAATCCTCTTATTTCTGTTTGCCTTTTGAGGCAGATATGCTGTTTTTCTAGATCAAATACTTTTATGTTTGTTCTAGACATGTTTGATGAACTCCATACAAGTCATATAGAGATAGAAAGCATCCACCAAAGTGTTCTGAAGGATTTCAAGAATGACATTTTGAAGTTCTTCCCCAAATTCCTAACTCCATATATAAGAAGGGTTCCCTAGGGTTTACTAGGCATTTTGCCTGCCATGTCCAGTGTGCTATAAATCTTATCCAGAGAATTATTATAAACACTGTGTTTTTCCATTCAGTAATGTACATTTTAGTTGTTTCGTAGGGATTCCATTTTCTGTTGAAATTTTCCATTTTTTTATCCATTTTAAAAAAAGGTCATTTCCTCTAATTTAACATATTTTTGATAGCTATTTGAAAGTCCTTGATTGCAAATTTCAACATCTAGTCACTTACAGTTCTGTAATCTGCTTCTTTCTTGATTGTGAGTCACCTATTTCTGCCTCTTCATTTGGCTCATGTTTAATTGTATATCTGGCATAGACACTTGAGTACATATTTTCCTCCAGAGAGGGTACACCTTTTCTTCTATCAGGAAGATAGGATAAGGGGCTGATCACTTTGATTCAATTAGGAGTTGGGCTGGGTTGAAACTTTAATTTCATCTCACCTCTTAGTATAGGTGTCTTATTAGGAGATACATCTTGTATGTGTTACTGACACTCACACCCATACCCTACTCTTGCTAACAAGACTAAGGGATCTGATGACCACAATACTATTATGATGTCTCCCTGCTTTCCAGCCCATTCCCAGCTTCCCACCCAGTACACTCAGCCAAAGTCTTGTAAGGGGGAAGCATTAGGTGGGGAAAAACGAGCTATATGTTTGTGGTTCCTACAGATGACAATCTGTAACTCAAGTCCACAAGGTCATTGAAAGCCCTTCTAGTTTTTGCCTACCTCAGCAGAGTCCCTCTGATTATGCAAAGCTTGATCTTTCTTGTACCTTCTCCTCATACTCAGCAGATATGACCAGGGAGAAAGCAGCCACCGATACTAGGAAAGATTTGTCCCTCTCTTTTCTTCAAAGTACCACTTGAATTATCTAGTTGGTTTATTACCTGTCTCTACCCCTAGATTGTATACTTTTTGAGAATAGAGAGAGTTCTGGTCACTACTCTGTAGCCAGTGCCCATAAAGCTATGTTATCTCTAGCTATTTAATTTGTATTTGCTAAGGTTTTTTCCTGGGTTATTTCAAACACTGGGGTGGAATTGAACAGGGGATGATTTCGTTAAACAAGTAAGTAGAGGTTATTCCTAGAAGCCTGTATAAACACAGAAATGGCAGCAAAAAGTGAAGAAAGATTCTGGAGAGTAACCAGCTATTACACACACACACATACACACACACACACACACACACACACACACACACAGATTTGAGGAAAACTCAGTGGAAAGGCAAAGGAATCTCTACATGACAGTACCAAAGTCTTCATTGATTACATTATGTTCTATTCATTAATGTTGACATTACTGAGCCTTTATTATCAGGTATACTCATAAACATAATTTATTATTATGTTTAGTATATTTTTAACTAATGGTAAGAATGTATAATATGTTACATAAACATTTTCATCAATATAAAATCTTCAATAATTTAATGGAGAAATCTTTACTTTTCAGCAATAATTGTATAAAAACAAGTTCTCAACCACATTAGATAAATAAAACTTATTTCTGTATATGCAAACAATGAGAACTAGATTAAAGGGCCCAAATATTAATATAGGTATTTTATGACAAATTCAGTTCTTTTAAAGCTACTTTAAGGTTGTCTTGATGTCCTCCCAAAGCATAATATTTGTATGAATACCTTAATTGTTCCACATTTCATTATAAAATACTTTAGTTTTCTAGTAGCTATTGGAAAGCAAAGATAAATCATCAGAATTATTACAGATTTTATTCCTTTAAAAAAGTTCTTTTTTTTTTTTTTGAGACAGAGTCTCACTCTGTTGCCCAGGCTGGATGGAGTACAGTGGCGCAATCTCGGCTCACTGCAATCTCCCCCCCCCGGGTTCAAGCGATTCTCCTGCCTCAGCCTCCCAAGTAGCTGGGATTACAGGTACCCACCACCATGCCCGGCTAAATTTGTGTTTTTAGTGGAGATGGCGTTTCACTATGTTGGCTGGGCTGCTCTCGAACTCCTGACCTCAAGTGATCCGCCCGCCTTGGCCTCCACAGTGCTGGGATTACAGGCGTGAATCACCACATTCAGCCTAAAAAAAGTTCTTTATCAGGCCGGGTGCAGTGCCTCATGCCTGTAATTCCAGCACTTTGGGAGGCCGAGGTGGGCGGATCACGAGGTCAGGAGTTCGAGACCAGCCCGGACAACATGGTGAAACCCCATCTCCACTAAAAATACAAAAATTAGCCAGGTGTGGTGGTGCATGCCTGTAGTCCCAGCTACTTGGGAGGCTGAGGCAGGAGAATCGCTTGAACCCAGGAGGCGGAGGTTGCAGTGAGCCAAGATCGCACCATTGCACTCCAGCCTGGGTGACAGAGCGAGACTCTGTCTCAAAAAAAAAAAAAGAAAAGTTCTTTATCTAGATAAAGAAATGCTCTGCATTCTGAGTTCATTTTTATTAACTTTTTTAGTTACTAAATTAACACTTTCTATATTCAGGGCAACGTGGACTTACTCTAACTTTTTGCTTTTAGTTCGTGAAGTGACCGAACCTCTGAATTTAAATCCAGCTAAACGGCCTCGTCGACAAGACTGGGATGGAGAATTATATGAAAATGGCTCATTTTATTTTGCTAAAAGACATTTGATAGAGATGGGTTACTTGCAGGTTTGTACCTTCATTTTGCATAACCCTTTTAAGCGCTTTTGTAGGCATACTTTGAGTTCTAGGGAAGAAGTATGGTACAATTTCTTTATGATAAAGAAAAGTATCAACCTATAGAGGAAAGGTAATAGCCAACAACATTTGCTATCTGAGGCATTTATCCTGCAGGTTTACCCCAAAGTGATCTTTGGAATCCATTCAGTAAATATGCAAGGAATTCTGCTACAACGATAAAAAAATGAATCAAGTACTGGGTGTCTACACATGTCCTGGTACTCATATTATTCCACTCAAAACTACGTAATCCATGTTTGTGTTATAGTTATATTGTGGCTGTAGGGTTGAATAACTTCTATTGCTTTAAAAAGACAAATAATTTCATAGAGGTGAAAAGAGTTACAACCTGGGTGTCAGGAAACCCGGAATCTTTTTATATATATATATATATATATTTTTTTTTTTTTTTATTATACTTTAAGTCAACTGCCTCTTACTATGTAAGCTTGAATATGTATCATTTTATCTGTCCTGACTCTCATTTTCAAATAACAGATTTAATGTCTCTCTCATTTTAGAGCCTGCAACATGGTTGCATCATATATTTCTTAACTTGTTAATTTTAGTTATCATTATTATTTATTATTTACTGTGTACTTCGGAGTAGGTGAAACACTTTGCATATGTTATCTTATGTAATCTGCATAGCGAATGAATGAAGTGGACATTTCTACCCAGTTTTACAGAGGAGGAAAACTGCCTCACTGAAATATGAAGTAATTGACTCAAGGCAAAAACAGCTAATAAATGGTACTGTCAGGATTTGGATTCAGGTTCTTATGTTACTCAAGAAATAGCGGTTTTAAAGAGAGAGAGAGAAACCTCTCCATTGTGTAATAAAAATTCTAATGGGACTATTATTCTGAGCAAAAGAGAGAAAAACATTTTTACAAATCTTCTGGTCAATGTGTAGGCAAACTATAGACTAGCTGTTTAGTTAAATTTAAGTGTTCAGAAAAATTGGATTTGACACACATAGATACTACCATTTTTAAGCTTTTTTCTAAGGAGGACCATGATTAACCCATTCCTAAAGTGTGGAGAAAAATGTTTCTCATTAAAACAAGGTTTATGAAGAGACTGACAATTCTGAAAAAAAAAATGAAATTGAAATTGTCCAGTAATTGATCTTGTCATTCAAATAATTACTATCAGAAGAAAGACCCTTTCTCTTGCTGACCCTTGCCTAGAATCAAGAGACTGCCCTTGCCTTTGCCTGCATGTGACTTGGATGACTATTAGTCATTTTCATCAGTAGCTCAGAGATCTAAGAAAACTCTGTACAACAGATGCTACAGTTATTTTTCCTCCCCTGTGTTGCCTGTTAGTTGCAAATTAGAACAGAAGTTCCAAAAACCTTAATACTGCTTTTGGATGATGACAGGAGAGACTTCTTGAAAAAAAGGAGGATATGATTAAGGGATTTCCACAAAATCCCTTGTGGTCAGAAACCTGGAGGATGTAATATTTCTGCTTTTTTCAATATTAAAATAGAAATTTTCTTAAATAGGGAACTTGAACTGTTTAGATAGAATTTGAAAAATGTTAAGGTTATTTCTTTTGTGTGAGCTTTCTCCTTAAAAAAAAAAAAAAAAAAAAAAAAAAAGCTGGGCGTGGTGGCTGAAGCATGTCATCCCAGCACTTTGAGAGGCCAGCTTGAGGCCTCAAGAGGATAGCTTGAGGCCAGGTTTCCAAGACCAGCCTTGGCAACATAGCAAGATCTTATATCTACAAAAAACTTTTTAAAAATTTAGCCGGACATGGTGCTGTATACCTGTAGTACCAGATCCTTAGGAGGCTGAGGTGGGAGGATTGCTTGAGCCTAAGATTTCAAGGTTATAATGAGCTATGATTGCACCATTGCACTCCAGCCTGGGAGGCAGAGTGAAACCCTGACTCGAAAAAATAAAAAAGTAAAAATAAATTTAAAAATCATTTTTATGTGACTGATTTTTACTGGGTTATTCATTTTTCTCAGTACTGTAGAAATGAATTCATTGTTCTGTATTATAATAAAGTTTTGATATATGTGAATGAATATTAAAAACAGTATTCATGACATTTATACTACCTTTAGGGTGGAAAAATGGCATACTACGAAATGCGAGCTGAACATAGTGTGGATATAGATGTGGATATTGATTGGCCTATTGCAGAGCAAAGAGTATTAAGGTAAAAACAAATAAACCTTTATAACCTTTGTACTAAATCTTAATAATTATATTTCTAGATACTGATTTCTGATACTTCAGACATCTTAGGATCTTTGTAATTACTTTGTTCATGTGAGGAAGACATGTAAAATATGTGTTTACATGGCTTCAATAAAGTGAGAAACATTATCTGGCTAGACCACACTACTTTTACTTACTGTACTATATGTTAAAATATATATGTGAAGTAAATTTGGAGAGTAATGTTTGAATAATTGAATGGAGGGTGACATTTCATGTATTGGTTTAGCCAGATGAGAGGGAGTGATTAGTACTGCACTTGTACTCAAAGGTCTATTTTGGTTTCTTTTAGATATGGCTATTTTGGCAAAGAGAAGCTTAAGGAAATAAAACTTTTGGTTTGCAATATTGATGGATGTCTCACCAATGGCCACATTTATGTATCAGGAGACCAAAAAGAAATAATATCTTATGATGTAAAAGATGCTATTGGGATAAGTTTATTAAAGAAAAGTGGTATTGAGGTATGTGCTCCCTGAATATAGCAGTATTTTATAATATTTTGATTCAGGGTCAAAGAACATGCAAGGAATTAAGAGATTTAAATTTTTAGTATTAACTCTTAAAATATCTGAAATTTGGCCTTCATACGCCTAGAAAATTATTATACTATTTAGTTTTAGATGAGTAGAATTAGGAATTTGTTAATCAGCAAATAATATTTCTTGTTTATTCAGTAAATATAAACATAACTACTTTTAAATGGGAGCTATCTAATGTTTCCCAAAGGATCTTGCAGCAAGAAAGATTCCCTAGATAATAGGTGTACCATTTTAGAAAAGGACGATATCCTGTGGATTTTTAAAATCTAGCTTATTCTTATGAATGACATTTTTGATTCAAAATAACTTAACGTTTAAGTGTATTTTTTTAAATGAAAGCTAGCTAAGATAATTATAATTTACCAGAAATCCTAAATATGTATTGCTAAGCAGCACAAGAGAGAGGTTATAGACTTTCCTCTGGATAAATTGAATTATAGGAGAATCTTAGAGTAGTATCAGACAATATATGTTGTAATTTTTACCTGTAGATAGAATCCTTTCTATTGTAGAAAATAAAATACTGTGTCTCACCTTTATTGGGCTATGAGAAATAAAATGAGCTTTGTTTTAAAGCATCATGATTTTAATTCGACAGTCAGTTTTCTTACTTGGACCTTCAGAAAGTCAAAAGATGACTCGTTTGTGATTTGGACTGTCTACAAGGTCAATTATTATGAAAGATTTCTGTTTTCTTCACTTTTTAATTTTTCCCTTCTTCCTCCAATCCTTTTTTTTTTTTTTTTTAAGGTGAGGCTAATCTCAGAAAGGGCCTGTTCAAAGCAGACGCTGTCTTCTTTAAAACTGGATTGCAAAATGGAAGTCAGTGTATCAGACAAGCTAGCAGTTGTAGATGAATGGAGAAAAGAAATGGGCCTGTGCTGGAAAGAAGTGGCATATCTTGGTTGGTATCTTTTTATTCACCCATAGTAAAATGGACCAGGAATTAATTATTTACTTATTTTTAAAGAAATGACAAAGCACATCCTCCAAATGGGTATGATTGTAGGGAAATAGGAACTCTTTTAACAAACACTGCTGATCAAACTGTTAAACTGGGACAGTCTTTCTGGAGGTTAGTTTGATAATAGGTATCAAATGTAGAATGATTATTAGCACAAGCTGTGAAGTCAGACTGTACCACTGATTAGCCAGTTGTGATAAGATGAATGTTGTTTCCTCATCTGTAAACTGGAGATATCGAGAGTACCTATTACCGTAGGGCTCTGGAAGGGATTAATAAAATAATATGAGTAAAGCACTTAGCAGAATTTCTAGTACATATGAATTACACTCTGAATAGTTTTTGCTGCTAATTGAATGTACATACTTTTTCCTCCAAATTCCAATTCCAGGAAAGAAATGAGACAAATGGGCCAATAGTGAAGTTAAAAGAACCCACTTAAATGTCCTGTGAAAAATAGAATATCCCTAAAAAGGATTACTATGCAACCATTACAAACAGTGCTGTGACCTGTATTTATTTGCATGATCAAATATAACAATGTTTTTCACTTGGATATTAAGCAATACACTTACTTACCAGGTACCTATGATGATACGCAGCATGGAACTGGTTGTGGGAACTGTAGGCTTTCTGCTTGCAGAGCTTACAGTCTGATGATGTCAACATTTTAAAATTGATAAGTTATTAAGATGCATAATAACTATAAATCATGTATGAAAGCAGTATTTACAAGGGTAATATGAGCCTCAAAATAAGAAGCACAGGAAAAACTTTGGGAGCATGTGATCTAGAGACTTCAGGAATAACCCTTAAACCACACATGAAGATTTAATGGACATAAATGCTGCAGAATGTTTGTTAAAGACAGATCCAATTTTTATTAGAAGAAAATTTTAGTGGAATGTATAACAAATTCCAACTATACTTATTATCTTTCTTTGGGATGTTAAGCAAGCTTCTGTATACCTTAGTTTTCTACTTAGAATATAAACACAAACCAAATTTTATAAAGCCATTAGAAAGAAAAACAAAGATAATATAAAATGCTTAACATAGTGCCTACAGATAGTAATAAGTGTATCATTTATATAGGTAAAACTCTAGAATTATATGTGTCAAAATGTAGTGATTATCTACAAATAGTGATAATTAGGATGATTGTGACTTTTTTGCTTCTATTTTTTAAAAAAATATTTCTACCACGAATACGTATTACTTATATGACATTAAAAAAAAAACACACACACACACACTTTAAAAGGAGAGGTAAGAAAATGGAGAAGAGCATTTACATTTTTATTTAAAACTCACAGCAGGCCAGGCATGATGGCTCATGCCTACAATCCCACCACTTTGGGAAGCGGAGGCAGGCAGATCCCTGGAGCTCAGGAGTTTTAGACCAGCCTGTGAAACATAGTGAGGCCCCATGTCTACAAAAAAAAAAAATAATAACTCACTCACCAATGTTTTATATGGGTGACATAAGTGTATAAAAATATATTTCTTAAAAAAATCAATACTTTTATAAGTAAAATTTAGTAAATAGAGCTTAAAGGCTGGATTATGCAAATACTAACTTTTTTTATTTTAGTGAAAACGATTCAAATTTCAACACATTTAATAATAAATGAGAAAATTTCAGTAGATAAGCATAGAACAAATGTAAAAGAAACTCTCTTCAACCAAGATTGTACTATTGTATGTGGTCTAAAGTATAGTAATAGTTTTACTCAGAATGGTGAATTAAAGATACTGGGAGCTTCTGAAATGCATCCTATTCCAAAAAAGGGGTTAACAGAGAGGGAGGAAAAGGATATCGTTATGTCAGTATGATTTAGTATCTATTTTTATTCTTTAAAAATGGTAATTTTTCAGCAACTATTAATAAATGGCATACCAATCAGAACCATTACAGATTAAAAGAGATTTAAGAGATTATATATATATAAACAAAAGACCATATGTTAACCTTATTTCATTCCTGATTCAAATAAGTCAGCTATAAAAGGACAATTTTGAGACAGCTGGGGGTATCTCAACATATACTAGGTTATTAGAGGATATTAAGGAACTATTACTGATTTTGTGGGTTTAATGATATTCTGTCAGATAAAAAATTATATTTATCAGAGATAAATATTGAAGAGTTTTTGGATAAAATATTATGTCTGGGAATTCCTTCTTCTCCCTTTCCCCAAATAAACTAGGGGGCAGTGCATAGAAAACAATATTACTAAGTGATTTTAAATTCTGATAATTTTTCAATATAAAATTGGGGTTCTCGCATATGTTTGAAATTTTGCTTAATGAAAAATTTAAATAACTTACTTAGAATTCATATATAAAATTTCTAACATTTGTAATATGCATGGCAGGTAGCAATTATGCTCCATTCTTCTTCTCTAGCTCATAAGAGTTTATTTTTGATTGCTTAGGGAAAACCCTGGACCTCAATTATACTGTAAAATATTTTTGTTCCATCTAATCTTTAGTATTCTTATATGCAGTGCCCCTAGGTCTTACTGAAGTTGCCAGAGTTACCTGTTGGTTGCTGTCTGCATTATTTAGCTAGAATATTCTTTGTCTCTTTAAATGTTTGCTCAGTATTTATTTTACTTGATAGGAAATGAAGTGTCTGATGAAGAGTGCTTGAAGAGAGTGGGCCTAAGTGGCGCTCCTGCTGATGCCTGTTCTACTGCCCAGAAGGCTGTTGGATACATTTGCAAATGTAATGGTGGCCGTGGTGCCATCCGAGAATTTGCAGAGCACATTTGCCTACTAATGGAAAAGGTTAATAATTCATGCCAAAAATAGAAATTAGCGTAATATTGAGAAAAAAATGATACAGCCTTCTTCAGCCAGTTTGCTTTTATTTTTGATTAAGTAAATTCCATGTTGTAATGTTACAGAGAGTGTGATTTGGTTTGTGATATATATATATTGTGCTCTACTTTTCTCTTTACGCAAGATAATTATTTAGAGACTGATTACAGTCTTTCTCAGATTTTTAGTAAATGCAAGTAAGAACATCATCAAAGTTCACTTTGTATTGTACCCTGTAAAACTGTGTGTTTGTGTGCTTTCAAAGATGTTGGGATTTTATTTATCTGGGGACAGTGTGTATGGTAAGACATGCCCTTCTATTAATAAAACTACATTTCTCAAACTTGATGAAAACTGCCTTGTTGCTCTAGAAGAAATTTACCATGCATTTTCTTTCTTTCCTTTAAACATTAACCAATCTTAGTGAGAAACAAGCCACTCGATGCCGGGGTAGAGCATCTGATTGTACTTCACATATGTATACGTAACAGCATATGGTCTATGTGGGGGTTGGTTCCAGGACCACCCACATATACCAAAATCTGTGCATACTCAAGTACCACAGTCAACACTGTTGAACCCACATATACAAAAAGTGGGCCCTCCATATACTGCATGATTCACATGTATTTTTGATCTGCACATGGTTAAAAAAATTCACATAAAAGTGGACCACACAATTCAAACCCATGTTGTTCAAGGATCAGCAGTATACACAAATACAAATATCCAAATAAATTTATATATTATGAAGATTATGTATTTATTTGGAGGAAGCAAATTATTTGCAGTTACCCCTGAGAGATAATGGTAATTTTGCATACAGGAATATCTTAGAGATATTACGGGTTTGGTTCCAGACCGTTGCAATAAAGCGAGTCATAGGAATTTTTTGGATGCCAGGTACATAAAATGTTATGTTTAAAGTAAACTGTAGTCTATTAAGTGTGCAGTAGCATTATGCCCAGATAAACAGTGTATATACCTTAATTTTAAAATATTGCTTAAAAATGCTAACAATTACCTGAGCCTACAGCGAGTCAATCTTTCTGCTGCTGAAGGATGTTGCCTTGAACAGTGGTGGTTGCTGAAGGTTGAGGTGGCTGTGACAGTTCCTTAAAATAAGACAACAATGAAGTTTACCACATCAATTGACTCATGAAAGATTTCTCTCTAGTGTGTGATGCTGTTTGATAGCATTTTACTCACAATTGAACATCTTTCAAAATTGAAGTCAGTTCTCTCAAGCCACTGCTTTATCAGCTACATTTATGTAATTTTCTAAATTATTGGTTGTCACTTCGTGTTCATAGCATCTTTACCAAGAGTAGATTCTATCTCATGAAACCACATTTTTTGCTTATCTGTAAGAAGCAACTCCTCATCCATTCAAGTTTATCATGAGATTGCAGTGATTCAGTTACATCTTCAGGCTCCACATCTAACTTCATTCTCTTACTATTTATACCATATCTACAGTTACTTCCTCCACTGAAATCTTGAGCCCCTCAAAGTCATCCATGAGGGTTGGAATCAACTTCCAAACTCTCATTAATGTTGATATTTTGACCTCCTTCTATGAATCATGAATTCTGTTTTTTTGTTTGTTTGTTTGTTTTGAGATGGAGTCTCGCTCTGTCGCCCAGGCTGGAGTGCAGTGATGCAATCTTGGCTCACTGCAAGCTCCACCTCCTGGGTTCACGCCATTCTCCTGCCTCAGCCTCCCAAGTAGCTGGGACTACAGGCGCCCACCACCATACCCGGCTCATTTTTGGTATTTTCAGTAGAGACGGGGTTTCACCATGTTAGCCAGGATGGTCTCGATCTCCTGACCTCGTGATCCACCCGCCTTGGCCTCCTAGAATCATGAATGTTCTTAATGGCATCTAGAATAGTGAATACTTTCCAGAAAGTTTTCGATTTACCTATTTCCAACAGAGCAATCACTATTGATGGCAGCAATACCCCTAGAACTGTATTTTTTAAATAACAAGACTTGAAAGTTGAAATTATGCATTGATCCATGGCTTCAGAATGGATGTTGTATTAGCAGGCATGAAAAACAACATGAATCTGCTAGTACATCTCCATCAGAACACGTGGGTGACCAGGTGCATTGTTCATAAGCAGTAACATTTTGAAGGAATCTCTTTTTCTGAGCAGTAGGTTTCAACAGTTGGCTTAAAATATCCAGTAAACCATGTTATAAACAGTTGTGCTATCACCCAGGCTTTTCTGTTTCATTTATACTGCACAGGCGTGGTAGATTTAGCATTATTCTTAAGGGTCCTAGGGTTTTTAGAATGGTATTGAGGATCAGCTTCAATGTAAAATCATGGCTGCTTTAACGTTCTAACAAAAGGATCAGCCTGTCCTTTGAAGATTTGAAGCCAGACATTGACTTTTTTCTAGCTATGAAAATCCTAGATGGCATCTTCCAACAGAAGGCTGTTTGGTCAACACTGAAAATCTGTTGTTGAGTGTAGCCACCTTCGTCAATCATCTTAGCTAGATCTTCTGGATAACATGCTGCAGCTTGTACAACAGCACTTGCTGCTTTTCACCTTGCATTTTTATGTAATGGAGATGCTTCATTCCTTAAACCTCATGAACCAACATCTGCTAGCTACCTGCTTTTCTCCTGCAGCTTCTCCATCTCTCTCAGCCTTCATAGAATTGAAGTGAGTTAGGGCCTTGCTCTGGATTAGGCTTTGGCTTAAGGTAGTCTTGTGGCCTGTTTGATCTTCTTTCCAGACCACTTGAACTGTCTTCATCTCAGAAAGAAGGCTGTTTGACTTTCTTATTATTTGTGTGTTCACTTAAGTAGCACTTTGAGTTTCCTTCTATAACTTTTTCTTTGTATTTAAAACTTTGCTGACCATTTGGCACAAGAGGCCCAGCTTTTGGCCTATTTTGGCTTTTGACATGCTTTCCTCACTAAGCTTAATTATTGCTAGCTTTTGATTTACAGTGAGTGATGTGTGACTCTTCCTTTCACTTGAGTACTTAGGGGCCATTGTAAGCTTATTAATTGACCTAATTTCAATATTGTTGTGTCTCGGGGAATAGGGAGGCCCAAGAAGAGGAAGAAAGATGAGGGAGCAGCTGGTTGGTGGAGCAGTCAGAACACACACAATATTTATGGATTAAGTTTTCTGTCTCTATGAGCATAGTTCACAACCCCCAAAACAATTACAACAGTAACATGAAAGATCACAGATTCACAGACCATCATAACAGATATAATAATAATGAAAAAGTTTGAACTATTGTGAGAATTACTAAATTGTGACACAAAGACATGAAGTCAGTAAATGCTGTTGGACAAATTGTGCCAATAGACTTGCTTGATGCAAAGTTGCCACAAACCTTCAATTTCTAATAAACAGTATCTGTGAAGTACAATAAAGCAAAGCTCAATAAAACATGGTATGCCTGTATTATATATGGTTATTGTCACAACTTTACAGCTGACATAAATCACTCTTCTACCTGATTAGATTCTAACAGTGGAGCATTATCTCATAAATGTGGATATTTACCTGATAAAAATCATTTTTGGTGGAACATTTACATCTATTTCCACCATAAAAATAATTCATGTAAAACTCTGACAAGAAGTTGACCTTCCAGGTCAACTATACAGGAAGCTGCTTTCCTCTGTCAGGACTGTTGGATTTGCGTACTCCAGAGTATGCCCCTGTAGAACAGACATAAGTTGGAGAAAAAAAAAAAACCACCAATTTATTTTAAAAACTTTAAATTAATGGTTTATTTTAAATTAAACCATTAAACAAAAATTAATGGTTTATTTATTTTAAAGCTATTAAAATAAATTAATGGCTTATTAATTTTCTTTACATCTTGTCCTAGTTTTACTCTCATCCTTCCGGTTTTCCTGCTATTAAGTTTATTTTTTCCCACTCCTTTGCATTTACACATCCACAAAGGTTCTAACCCCACTTCTTGTTCTTTCCCAGGTATCACATCTCTATTCAAGGTTTCAGCGACAATCTCCATGCAGACGAAACTCAAATATAATCTTCAACCCCAATACTCTGTTGTGAGTTCTAGTCACATCTCAAATTCTTCATATTATAGGCCAGGCTCCTGGACTTCATCCCTCAAGTTGCTGATTTTATCATTATTAAAATCTTACAGCTTTTCAGTTTCTCCTTTTTATCTCTATTCAGATACCAAAGCTTGAGTTTGATACTACTAACCCAGTGTCCTTTCAATTTATTCAGTACTGTCACCAGATTACTTGTTCAGATTTTTGCTAGTTGTTAACCTTTTTGAAATCTTTTAGTGACTCCATGCTGATGACCACAGAATAAAACATACTTCAAACGAAACACTGTAGCCTGGTCACAACCTAATATTTCCAGCCGTCGTTCCTACAAGTTATTGTGGGCCTCTTCACCCCAGTCATAGCTTATTCTCAAGTCCTACCTTTATCAGCATGAACAATTCATTCCTCAAAAAACTTCTGCTAAAATACCTCCAAAATCAATTTCTCTGTATGAGTATAAACCATATTGGAGTCCTTGTTTCGTTTCAATGACTCCAAGCCAAGTACAAGGAGATAATTCAGTTCTCACTGTTACAACTACTTCCTGTGTTCCTAGCAGTAGGAAATCTTACTCAAGAAAATATCACATGTTCAGCTCCAATATGTAAGGAACTTAGAAGTTGCCATTCCCATCCTTACATCCAGAAAAACTGGACAAACTGGATTTTGTCCCATCCTTACATCCAGAAAAACTGGATTTTGGTAGGTCCAAAAATCAATGGCTTTTGGACCTACCAGAGAACCAAGGACTCAGGGCAAACAGCCACCCATCTGGAGAGATATGCACATCCAGTGAGATACAAGAGCATCTGATACTTGCTTACTTTTGCCACACATCCAGCAGAAGCTCCTGGATGCCCTAAGCTGATAGGAACACTTAACTAGTAATTTTCATGAATTGCTAGACCCTGAGTATGGTCTAATGTGAGAGTGAGAAACTCCTCGTGGTTGCTGTCATGCAGGGGGCAGGCGTGGAAATACTGGAAATATTGGTATTTCCAGAAATACCAGTGGGTTCTCACAGGGAGGTTCTGAGGATTCAAGAATAATCTTCCAATGGCCCTGGTAGGAGGAGGTAAAGAATAGTCATTGTTAAATCCTGCCAGCCCCTTCTCCCTCACAAAGAACTTGTCTCCAGTAGAAAGGACTTCTCCCCAGAGGGCAATACTGAAAACTCACCTAGCTAGGAGAACTCTGAACTCTGCTCAACTCCAGCCCACTTTCCCGTCTCACCTAAGGGACAAAAAAATCCATAGTCAGCAGGGGAGAAGGCGGCAAGGAAGTTGATTGAGAATGCCACAGCCAGGGAAAATGGGGAGCAATGGGAAAAAAAAACTATACCCCTGGAGGAGAAATTGAAACACTTGCGAAGGTCATCTCCCAAGACACAAGCCCACTAAAAGACCAAGACACAGATGATTTTAGAGTGCTCCCTCTGTTCCACACCATACACTACACCAATAAGTCTCCAATGTAATAAAAGTGGATTTCAGCCAAAAAAGCTACAAGACACAGATTTTCTCTAAGGAAAAAAATACAAAAGGAAGTCTTAAAGCCAAAAACAAGGACACTGAAAGAATTTGCAATCTCTGGTATCTATAGCTATAAGAAAGATTAAATCGCATTTTAACTCCAAGCAAGATTAATATAATTTTTCACACTAAAGACTTCTCTTGGTACCTATTACCATAGGCAATATATCTGGTTTTCAACAACAATAACAACAGAAATTGTAAGATATATCAAAAACAAGAAAAAGCAGGGTCTGAAGAGACAAAACAGTCATCAGGTTCAGACTCAGATATGACACAGATTCTGGTACTATCAGGCAGGCAATTTAAAATGCCATGGTAACCAAAACACAGGTTCGGCCACTTGCCACGTGCAGAGTCCAATTAAAAAAGCAAGTTCTGGTATAAAGAAAGTGACTTTTTACTCCAAAACTTGCTTAGGGGAAGAAGTATAGGCTCTTGCCTTTAAGAGTACTGCTTTGCTTTTGGAGCAGAAAGCAAGTGCTTTTAAAGGGGGCCTGGCATGCTAGCATGAATGGCATCCAGAGGAGAAGGAGCAGGTGTGTATTAGTTTCAGCGGCTTATTGACCCCTGGGCAGTTTAGCAGGTGACTGCTGGCCCCTTCATGGGAAGATCTAGGTAGTAAAAGCTTTTGAAAATTCTCCAGGTGAGAGAGAGTTTTGCAGCAGGCACACTTTGGATTGTAGATGGACTGTTTTTCGAGGCAGCCTCCTGGTGGAGAGTTCTGCTCTCGAGCTTCTGAGCACATAGTTAAATGAACGTGCCCTGTAGGGAGTATCTGATGAAGTGGTTGTAAAGACTATACTTCCATTTCTAAAGAGCTAACTAGAGAAATGGGGAAATGGAAGAAAGAGAAGAGAGTGAGAAAATAAACTATCTCTTAGAAAAATGGGAGTATAGCTGGGCGTGGTGGCTCACGCTCGTAATCCCAGCACTTTGGGAGGCCAAGGTGGGCGGATCATGAGGTCAGGAGTTCCAGACCAGCCTGACCAACACAGTGAAACCCCATCTCTACTAAAAATATAGAAATTAGCTGGGCGTGGTGGTGGGCGCTTGTAATCCCAGCTACTTGGGAGGCTGAGGCAGGACAATCACTTGAACCCGGGAGGCAGAAGTTGCAGTGAGCCGAGATCGTGCCATTGCACTCCAGCCTGGGCGACAGAGCTAGGCTCCATCTCAAAAAAAAAAAAAAAAAAAAAAAAGAAAAGAAAAAAGAAAAGAAAAATGGGAGTATTGGGTTACGATTCCCCACTGCCAAGTTCCATTTCATTTCTATGGGATTTAGGTGCCATATTCATTCTGGCTGCTTCCTGCTGAAAGGGGCATAGTCATTGTGTATCAGAATGGAACTGATCTATTTGGAACTGGAAATATTCATGAGTACCCGGATTTACAGATGATATTGGTTGGAACATTATAGTGTGAGGTCTGGAAAGTATATGAAAAATCCTGTCTTGCATTTCCCTACACAGGGTGCAACAGTAGTAAAATCCAAAGCAGAGAAGTATGCCTATTCTTGCAGCCGGGGCTAAACTGATAAGTAGCTTCCACCACCAGGACAATCCTGACCTGAAACTGAATGCTAACCATTGATCTAGCAATATGTGGGGTTAGAAATAGCTTTGATTTGTTGGTTTGTGTCTTGCAGGCTATCAAGACATTTCCTGTATTATCTTGGATCTTTAGGTAGCATTTAGTCTTAATTGTCATGCAGATTCCCCACTGCCAATTATAACCAGATATGTTAACAGGTTGGTTAAATATGTGTTCAACGGATTATAGGAAGAGCTGTGAATATTCACGAAAGTCATCATAAATCCTGTCTAGTTTCTGAGAATGAATCAGTTTAGTTAGCTAGCTGTGTCTCATCTAGGAGGTGGCATTGCAGATGGGTTAGTCCTCTGTATGTGATGAAGGCAAATATATTTTTAATAAGAGGCATTTCTATAGAAACAGAAGAAAAACAAAGGTTAATGTTGGGCACAATTTATCTAGATGATAGACTCAAAGCATCTTTAGTTACAGAGGAGGGCGGTAGCAGGCTGACATATTTTTCTCTCCTGTATTACGAGGAATAAGGTAGTAGTGATTTCACCAAGTCCAAATCAGAAAAATGGAAGGCCAGGCACAGTCTTACACCTGTAATCCCAGCAATTTGGGAGGCTGAGGCAGGTGGATCACTTGAGGTCAGGAGTTCAAGACCAGCCTGGCCAACATGGTGAAACTCTGTCTCTACTAAAAATACAAAAGTTAGCTAGGTACGTTGGTGCTCACCTGTTGTCCCAGCTACTCAGGAGGTTGAGGTAGGAGAATTGCTTGAACCTGGGAGGTAGAGTTTGCAGTGAGCCAAGATCACGCCAAAGATCACTTTGTTACTCCAGCCTGGGTAACAAAGTGAGAGTTTGTCTTAAAAAAAAAATGGAAAAGGAATTTGAAAGCATTCGTTTAGGGACCTGTAACCCAGAAAGAATTCAGGATTTAGTCCAAATTGCAGAAAATAATAAAAACTCTAAAACAAAGGACAAAACTAGAATCAAACAACAGGTGTACTATAGTTTTTTCTGAAATATAATTTTTTCTCTCTCCAGTTCCTGTTATACTAAAGACAAATCATAATAGGACAAATTTATTTGCAAAATAAGTTTTAGTCTTATTATACTTGGCCTGATTATTTGCAGAAAGTGCAGCAAGAATAATTATTTGTCATATTGGCTCCTTTTAAAACTGGCTTTGCTGAAATTTTTACTTATAAGAAATCTTAAATTGACCTTTTAAAACCTTGAGCACAGCCACAGACTCATCTGTACTTGCAAATACTTGTATGAATTGGGTGAATTCCTCTTCTTGAGGTCTCAAGATAATTTGGGGCTCTTGGGCGTGTCACAAAGTGACATTCTTACTTACTACAGGTCAGGAAATCCTGTGCAGGGACTGCATGGACAAGGTATGAGGCCAGTTTTTTTCCAAGAGGCTTTAATTGGCTGTATAAGTCAACTTTGATTCCTTAAAGCAGTCTATTTATACCTGGAAGTATGCCCTTTCAGTCAAAGCCTTGGTAAAATAACTGGTGTCTCCAATGGTGTCCTTTCACAGAAGAAAACAGATTCTTCTTGAACATATGCAGATAACTATACTGCCATAAATTAAGTATACTTACAAATAGTTTTCAAATTCTGGAGAAATCAGGTAAAAACAAAGAAAAATTCTCCGAATTTTGCTCAGAGGACTGTACTTTACTCAACTATTAAAAGCTGTAAATAGCTCAAAAGGAAAAAGGATTTTTGGACTCTGAAAAATCAAAGAATTAGCAGTGTTTCAAACAAAGTGTCATAAAGATTATTTCAGTCTTCCATTAGTTCAGTCTATGTAATTTATTCCTGTTCTGTTTGATATGCATAAATGCATTAGCTTTTTATGGGAGTTTTGGAAGTTTTTTTTTCTTTATTCTAATGTCAAAATCTCCAGTTATTAGAAACCTGCCTTCAAGAGCACCTGTCAGTGTCCTATAGCTGGTTATAAAACCACCTTTGAAAAGAATCAGAGTAAAATAACAATTATGGATGACAAAACTCTCAGAATAGCCACAAAGACACAATCAACAAGGAAACCTGGCTATGTGGCACATAGTAATTTAGCATAACAATCATAATTATTACTGATAACATATGTTAAGACATATCAGAATTACAGGAATCTTATACAATTTTGGAACACATGCTCAAAACATGTTTATATGACTATAACTCAAAGAACTGTAAACACCATTTTATATTTGACAATGTTTCCTGTATGGTTTTTATATACCAAATAAGCCAAATATGTCTCTTTTAGACTTTAAGGGACCTGATATCTGAAAAGGTTAAACAGGTTAAAAAAAAAAAAAAGAACTTAATTTAGAATTTGACTTTTGAAAGTTTATCAAATATCAAAGGTTTAAACACTTGGTATTACAAAATAAAATCTCATGTCACTATAAGTAAAAGGGAAAAATCTTTACTTATTGATAGAGGATAGACAGCTTTTCAAATAAAACCCAATAAAGACAGTATGAGGCCAACTGAATCTGTCTCTTCTTTCCTTTCTTTTTTCTGTCATTTATTCAAAAGGCAAACAAAACATTTTTTATTACTTTTTAATATTACACAAAAATTTATTCAAAAGAGAAAGCCAAATTTCACCTTTGCATTAGTGTACTATTAATGTTAAACCCAATTTTCAATAAAACCTTATAAACAAATCTATCCAATCTTAATTAATTTGACCATAAGGTAAAATTTTCATAAATTTTTTATAATCCTTTACAATGTTGTGTTAAAGAGCAGATCAACTTTCTAAGAAAGCCTTATTATTCAGACACATGGGCCCAGATTCTGGTCCTGCATCAGTGTGCTTTTATTTTAATGTTTGATTTATGGAAAAACTAAATAATCCCTTTCAAATTTTAGCCAGCTTTCTCACACTTGTAGAACTTCTTTTCCAAGATTAATCTCTCACAAATCTTTCACAATTTGTTTAAATTTTCAGTTTTGTTCTATCGTTCTTTTAGCTTAGGCCAATCCTTAAAAACCTCGGAATTAGACAAAATTACATTCCCTTTAGCAAAAACCATATCATACTTATATGCCTTCTTATAACCTTTTACCAAAACCACATTCTACTTTCCTTGTATATCTTGCGTATGAAACTGTTTCTCCAGTAGTCTCAATTAACATGTTACAATGTTAACTCTCAGCAACTTTTATTTTTTGTGAAAAATCTGGTAAGTAAGTAATTTTAACCATATATTGGATTGTAAAGCCCAGGACAAGGGACAGAGCTGCAGACAACTGTCTGACTCTTCCAGCCTAGGTAGGGAACCTACCTAACTCAGTATGTCCCTAGACCTTACCTAGAATCCAATAGCTGTAAAACAGGCAAGTCAAATTATTATTATAACTCATAAAAGTATTTTATGACCTTAAAGCCTCTAGCATCAGGTGAGCACTCACAGTACCTGGTTTTAACTTTGTATCACTGAAAGAGGAACTGAACAGGTAGAAAAAACACTCTTGAATCACCGATGCCACCCCTTGCCCCCTGCCCCGACCCACTGTGGCAGCAGCAGTGTGGGGCAAAGAGTGTCTCTGAGTCCTGGGGGAGGGAGAGCATTCCAATTGTAAGGCATTGAACTCAGTGCTGCCCTGTTATAGCAGAAAGAAAAAAATCAGAGCAAATTCAGCTGATGCCTGTCTATGGAGGGAGCATTTAAACCAGCCCTAGCCAGAGGGAAATCACTGATCCCAACTGTCAGACCCTGAGTTCCTACAAGCCTTGCCACCACGAGCTAAAGTGTTCTGAGGCTCTAAATAAACGTGAAAGACAGTTGAGGCCACAAGGACTTCAACACCTAGGAGAGTCCTAGTGCTGGACTCGGTCAAGGGACAGTGGACTGGAGGGGCACGTGACCTACTAGACACCAGCTGGGGCGGCTAAAGGAGTTCTGGCATCCCCGCTCCCCTAACCCCAGGTGGTTGCACAGCTCCTGGCTCCAAAAGAAACCCCTTCCTTATAAAAAAGAAGAAAAAAACCCAAACTCATCTTTTCTTCCCTCAGTTTCAAAACAGTTTCCAACGTTTACATTCTAGTTAGACCACATGAGTCCTATCTCAGCACCAGCAGCTTAGTAACAGCATATTTAAAGTAGGGAGAAAAGAAGAGAGAGGGAAAGACAGCCTGCACAGGAGCCAGGCCTATGCCCCGGTGAAGTTCGTACTGGGCATGGGAGCCAGGTTTCACAAGTGGGGTGTGAGAAAGAAAGGAGGAGAAGAAAAAAAAAGGTAAAGTGACCAGATGGAACCTTGGGAACCTTCCAACCATTACACAGTGTGGGGGCACCAGGCCCGCCCTTCTCATTTATCAGGGAGAGTCTCAGCACCCTAGGTGGGCAGCTCTCCGAGATAGTCAGGAGGGTGAAATGGGAGGTAGAGAGCAAAGAAAGGCAATAGGGCCCATACAAAAAGTCATTCATTCACACATGCAAATGGTGTGCTTCCAAATGAGTCCCCAGTCAAGGGTCTGGGTGAGGTCCTGAATCCCCCGCCCCAGTTCCAAATGGCTCCACAGGAAGCTGAGTCTGAGCCAAGTTCCTATGGAACTTCATATTCAAATAAATACAAATGCATAAAATGCTCAAATGCTATCACTAGCAGCCAGGTCTTAAATACAGTAGGGCCTTGGGCCAGGCGCGGTGGCTCATGCCTGTAATCCCAGCACTTTGGGAGGCCAAGGTGGGCGGATCACCTGAGGTCAGGAGTTCAAGACCAGCCTGATCAACATGGAGAAACCCTATCTCTTCTAAAATACAAAAATTAGTGGGGCATGATGGCGGGTGCCTGTAATCCCAGCTACTTGGGAGGCTGAGACGGGAGAATCGCTTGAACCTGGGAGATGGTGGTTGCAGTGAGCCGAGACTGGGCCACTGCACTCCAGCCTGGGCAGCTGAGCAAGACTCCATCTCAAAAAAAAAAATAATATATATATAGCACGGCCCCAGCGACACCCCAAAAGAGCCAAGTCTTAAATAGGGCAAGGCCACCCAGTTTGGGTACACTCCAACTACTCACTCAGTTTCAAAGTTTGTCAGCGTCTTAAGAGGCCATTTTGCTTGTACCAGTGAAGCACCAAAGGCAGCAGTTGTCATGCCATGAGGCAAAAGGGAGCTTCCCCCAAAACAAATTCATTTTTGGCAGCTTCTGGGAAGTTTCCTAATGTTCCCATTATGGGGTCTGCTAGCCATGAGCAGCTGGCACTCACAGGTGACCCCACACCTCACCTGGTAGTGAAACTGGGCTGACAAAGTTAGCTCACCCAGGGCATGAAGTACTTCCCCATATGAGCCACAAAAATTGTAACCAAAACACAAGTCCAGTCACTCCCCACTCCACATTTTGTAACCAAAACACAAGTCCAGTCACTCCAATTAACAGGAGCAAGGTATAAAGAAAGTGACATTTTATTCCAAAGCTTGCTTAGGGGAAGAGGAGCAGGATCTTGTCTTTATGGGTACCACCTCACTTTTGGAGCAGAAAGTGGGGTGCTTTTAAAGGGGGCCCAGCATGCTGGCATGAATGACATGCAGAGGAGTCAGTGAGCAGGTGGGGGGTCTGCATACTAGCCTCGGTGCCTTATCTACCGGGTGGTCAAGCTGGTAACTGCTGGTCCCTTTGTGGACAAGACTAGGTTGTAAAAGCAGCAGAAAATTCTCCAGGTGGGAGAGAGTTTCACAGTGGAAATACTTTAGGTAGTAGATGGACTGTTGTTTCTTTAGGCAGCCTCCTGGTAGGAGAGTTTCACTCTGGAGCTTCTAACAACCTAGTTAAATAAACTTGCCCTCTAGGGAGTGTCTGGTGAAGAGGAGGTAAAGGCTATAACTGCATTTCTAAAGACCTAAGTAGGAAGTGGGGAAAAGAAGGAGAGCGAGAAGAAGAAAGATAGTAAAAAACTATCTCTTAGAAAAATGAGGGTACACAGTTACACTATGATTAATAAAAAAAGGGATGGAAAAAAGTACACAACATGCAAAATCAGATAGATAATGTCAATACAGACAGAAACTATGAGAAAGAATCAAAAGGAAATGCTAGAAATCAAAGAAACAGTAGCAGAAATGAGGAATGCCTTTTGGTGGTTTATCAGTAGACTTGAGATAGCTAAGGAAAGAATAGGTAAACTTGAATATTGGTCAAATTTTTTTTTTTTTTTTCTGAAACGGGGTCTCACTCTGTTGCCCAGGCTGGAGTGCAGTGGCGTGATCTTGGCTCACTGCAACCTCCACCTCCCAGGTTCAAGTGATTCTCCTGCCTCAGCCTCCCAAGTAACTGGGATTACAGGCACGCACCACCATGCCTGGCTAATTTTTGTATTTTTAGTAGAGACGGGGTTTCACCATGTTGGTCAGCTGGTCTCGAACTCCTGACCTCGTGATCCACCCGCCTCGGCCTCCCAAAGTGCTGGGTTACAGGCGTGAGCCACTGCGCCCGGCCAGAATATTGCTCAATTTTAAAAGTTCCCAAACTGAAAAACAGAAGGAAAATAAATTTTAAAAAAGAATACAATATGCAAGAACTGTGGGCCAATATCAAAAGGTATAACTGAATACCAGAAGCATAAGAAATAGAACAGGACAGAAGAAATATTTGAAATAATACATGGCTAAGAACTCCCAAAACTAATGACAAACACCAAAGCCAACCTTTCTGTGGCTAAGCTTCCTGGCTCTAATTGAAGATAATAACGGTATCATCAAACTACAAATCCAGGAAGCTCAGAGAAGTCCAAAACAAACAATTAAAAATAAAATCCTACAACCAGGCATTTCATATTCAAACTGCAGCAAATCAAAGACAAAGAAAATCTTGAAGGAAGCCAGAAGGAGAAAAAAAAAAAAACAAACCAGAACTAAGGATACAGATTATATCAGATTTGGCTTCAGAAACACGTGAGCAAGAAGAGTGAGGTGAAATCTTTGAAATGCTGAAACAAACCCTGTCAACCTATATTTCTATATTCAGCAAAATTTTCCTTCAACGGTGAAAAATAAAGCCTTTTGTGGAGAAAACTGAGGGATTTCATTGCCAGCAGACCTGCCCTGCAAAAATGTTAAAGATATTCTTCAGAGAGAAAAAAAAATGATATAGGTCAAAAATTATACAAAGAAAAGCATTAGAAAAGGAACAAGTGAAATTAAAATAATATTTTTAATTGATCTAAAAGATAGCTATTTAAAGTAATAATAGTAACAATGTATAGGGTGACTATAGCATATGGACAAGTGAAATAATTGACACCAATGTCACAAGGAATGGGAGGAATGAATCGGGAGTAGTCTTATAAAGTTATATAATGTTATTTGAAGGTGGACTTATTTTAAAATATATATTGTAAACCCTAGGGATATTACTAAATTTTTTATAAAAGATATATGATATACCAAGTAAAGATATAAAATCAAATCATACAAAATGCTTAATTAACCCCAGAGAAGTCAGAAAAACAGCAGGAGAAAGAAATAAAGAACAAATGCAATGAACAGAAAACAATTACAAAGATGGTAAATTTTAATGCAACTATATCAATAATCCCTTTAAATATGAATGTTCTAAACACACCAGAGACTGTCAGGTTGAATTAAATTAAAAAAAAAAACTAGACTTACCTGTGTGCTGGCTACCACAAACCTACTTTAAATTTAAAGACTCAGAAAAGTTAAAAACAAAATGATAGGAAGAGAAATTCCATGGTAAATCGATCAAACGACAGTATCATATGCTCTGTCAATTATCAATTACTATATAACAAATAGCTTCAAAGCACGTTTACTTGAAAAAATAACTACTTTTTCATAATTCTGTGGATCAACAATTTGGGCTAAGGTAAGTAGAGTTGTTTTCATGGTCTCACTCTGTGGTTGCAGTCAGTTGATGGTGGGAATCGATGAACAGTCCAAGTCAATTTCCCTCACATATATCTACTGGTGTCTGGGCTGTTCTCTTCTTGCAGTCTTTCAACTTTAAGGAAACTAGTTTAAGTGTCTTAACGTGACAGTCTCTGAGCAGCTGGAAGGTGAGATTGGATGCTGCAACACTTTTTGATAACTTCCCCAGAAGTCACACAATGTTACTTCAGCCTCAATTTTACTGGTCAAAGTGAGTCAAGTTACTGACCATCCAGCTCAGATCAAGGGGTCAGAAGATGGAGTCTACTTTCTAATGGAAGGAGTTTAATTTTTAATGCATTATATATGTTGATACATCTGGGTTTGGAAATTTGAGAAGGTGAAAAGAGAAAGATCTTTTTGAGGGTTTTTATTCTAATTATTTTGCATTTTGGAATTTGGACAAGTTTAGCCAACCTTTCCGTGGCTAAGCTTCTTTGCTCTAATTGAAGATAATAACAGTATCACCTCACAGGATTGTGAAGATTCAATGAGATAATATATATAGCATGTCTAGAGGAGTACCTGGCTCGTGTAGGGCCTCTAAATGTTTATTATTATTGGCAATAAATGAACTTAGTTTCTAGCTTCAACATTGTCACGAACTAGCTAAGGTATGCTTTTCAAGACATTTAACACCCACAAGCCAGTTTATTTGACTATAATCTGAGGCGCTTATAATAGATGATCTCTATTGTCCCTTTTAATTGTCCCTTCTAATTCTACAGATGCAAATGTACTAATGTTTTACTTAGAAGAAATATTTCACATAGAAGAAACATATATCATATTTATGATTAACATGAGCATTTAAGGCTCTGGGGATGATTGGCTACAAATTATAGTGCAGAAGTCTTAAATTTCTTAGTACATCAGTGAACTTAGAAAAGAAATATTCTTTATTATTATGTATGTATTTATTTGTAGAGATGAGGTCTCACTACATTACCAGGCTGGTCTTGAACTCCTGTGCTGGAGCCATCCATCCGCCTTGGCCTCCTGAAGAGCTGGGAGCAGAGGCATGAGCCACTGCACCCAGCCAATACTCTGTATTAAACCATGATTCATTGAAGGGGAAGAGCTATCAAAAGTAAGTAATTTTATTTGTGAAGATTGTTTACCTTTTCTCAATTTAACAATGAATAGCATTTAGCATGTCAAAGATTATTACATTTCCTGAAATTGTTAGGTTGGTGCAAATGTGATTGTGGTTAATGGCAAAAACCACAATTACTTTTGCCCCAACCTAATAAAAAGCCAAATAAGGCACAAGCTCACCACCTCGGCAAACAAATATAGGGGAATGGGATGATATGAGTCTGGCGAGGTGAATAAACAGAGGCCAGATTGTACTGGTTTTTGTGAGTTACATTAAGACATTTTTGCTTTATCCTGAAAATAAGGGTAGAGAGAGACCCTTAAAGGGCTTGAAGCAGAAAAATCTTTTCAAGTGGAGGTGAAATTTGAGCTGGATCTTAAACTAGAAAATTTCATTGGTGTCAAAGGACAATATCAAAAAAAATGGAGTTAACGTTTGTGTTCAGATAATGGAAGAGGTCGTTATCTGTATAGGCCTGAAAGGATCTACAAGGTAATGGTAAGAAATGAGACCAGAAACACAGGACCAAATTGGAGATGACCTTCAAAAGAAAATGCTTGATTCCTGTGTTGACTTTGAAATGCTTAATTTCCTTCGAATCCAATCTATTCCACTACCACTTTACTTGTCTACTTTATGCTTTCTGTTCCCTTTGTAAAAGTCTCAGTGACTCCATGCTGCCCACAGAATAAGGTAAACAATTCCCAGTCCAAGTGTTATAGTTCTCTTTTGTATCCTTCCTGCCACTCCGCCCTGATTATGAAACCAGCAGACAGCCAGGCGTTAGCCCTCCTCTCCTTCCCCCAACCCCTGCCCTTTCTTCTCTTAAAGCCCTCTCTTCCTTCACAGCCTTAAGTATATATCGAAGTGTTCATTGGCTTAATACTTACCTTCAAGTTACAGAAGATCGAAAAGCCTGTTTATTTTGTCGGCATCATATTGCGTCAGTGTGGTGGACGCTGTGTTGGGCCGTAGAGCTCACCCTTGAGCCTGGAGGTCTTATCCCCCTCAGCTGCTGGGAGTGTTGTCAGTAGACAAGCCTCAGCTGTCAGGCCTCTTCAGCGCTGCCTCACCTAAGGTTACTCCCTTTCTGGGAGTAGCCCACATCCAGTGACTGGATGGAGGCAGAGGATAAAAGCCCTGCTTCATTACCCCAAGAATGGACAACAGCTGAGAGGCCAGGCTAGCTTCAGCGCTCTCTGTGAGTCAACCGAGGCTGTATAGGAACCATCTCCTCTCTCTCTCCACAATCCTCCTCCTTCGTTTTCCATCTACAAGTGCGATCCCAGGAGCCTGCCTTCACAAACATCATGGACATTAATCTCCCTCCCCAAGCCTGCTTCTCAACCCAGGACACCAGGAAATATTTTTGAATGAGCAAGTGAAAGAATGTCCAAAATATCCTGTACCTTTTGGGATGGGTACTGGCTAAAGTAATTACTGTTATCTGAATTGCCAAGCTAAGCATGTTAATGATTTTCTAATTATTTAAAGGACCATGTGTGAAGTCTTAATAATCTCTGTTGTACTCTCCTGCATTTGGTCATTGGTTCTTTGCTATATACTGATGCAAATTACTTTTTCCAAGTTTAAAAGCTTTTTTTTTTTTTTTTTTTTTTTTTTTTTAGGAATGTGTCACCTTTGATAACCTGGTGCTTTTATCTGCCTGAACTGGTTGGGAAAGTTCTACTAAATACAGTACTAAAGAAAGTTGGTTTGTCCACATTTCATTGGTGACATTCCCAGTGTAGAACCTTTTCATGCTTTGTTATTGAATAGCTCTCAAAATTTAAAGTTGATGCAATATTATTTGTATGCTGATGAAAATACTTGATGTATTTTTAAAATTTCAGTGGTTGACATTTTGGCCACTGGGTGTCATCACAGATCTAGGTTTTAAAATGTGCAGTTGTCACTTGCTGACTGAAATTAACTAATAGAGTCTGATGAGGCTTAATGGTACATCTTCATCATTTGACCTTCATACATTGAGTATCAATCTCCACTATAGGAAATTGTTTATAAAGTACAATTTGGATACTTTTTAGTCTTTCTTTACAACACATCACATGGATAGAAGGAAAATTTCTTCTAACAATGTCTGGAGTGAGCCTTGAGTGGGGAAGTGTGGTGGGAAGGCTGAGATAGAAAGAGGACACGTAAATGATTAAGCTACTGCCTTACTAGAGGACCAGCGCCAACCGAAAAGAAAGATGTATTCCCAGCCTGGTGCGGTGGCTCAAGCCTGTAATCCCAGCGCTTTGGGAGGCCGAGGCAGGTGGATCACTTAAGGCCAGGGCTGTGAGACCAGCCTGGCCAACATGACGAAACCCCATCTCTACTAAAAATACAAAAACAATTAGCCAGGCATGGTGGCGCACGCCTCTAATCTCAGCTGCTTGGGAGTCTGAGGCACAAGAATCGCTTGAATCCGGAGGCAGAGGTTGCAGTGAGCCGAGATCGTGCCACTGCACTCCAGCCTGGGTAACAGAGCAAGACTGTCTCAAAACACACACACACACACACACACACACACACACACACACGTATTCCCTAAGCTACCCAGATCTATCACCTGGTTACCTCAGGCCATTACCATGACCTCTATCTTAATTTCTTTTAATCCTCACAACCTCTATAAAGCACTTTTATTTCATTTATTTTACAGGTGTGGAAATTGAGGCACAGAAAGGTTAATGATTATACCCAGGGCCAGACACTAGGTGCTAGATCCAAAATTTAAGACAGGGAACATTCCCAAGGGTAGCAGATTATACCTTGGCGAAGGCTTAGGCAGTGTTTCCTCAAAGATGGTCCCTCAACCACTTTCATCAAAATCATATAGTAATTGCTAAAATATATATTCCAGCACCTTCCCAGTGCTACTAAATCAAAATTTCTGGGATAACGTCTGGGAATTGGCATGTTAGTAAAATTCCATCAGATGACTTTTATGCACACTGAATTGTGAGAATCTATTAGAGGAATGAAATTGTGAAGGCCCCCTTTTCTGGAAAGGAAGGAGAGAGAGCAGCCCTCTGAAAGCACAGCAGGATGGAATCCAGGCTCAGGAACCATCCTATAGTCTTTTTAATAGGTACTCCGTGTGCATTGGAGACTTTCTTCCTGATTACCAACAGGCCTCAGGTGGCCTC